>NC_000008.11:98839222-99464222 GCF_000001405.40 Homo sapiens
TTTTTTGTAGCACCAGGGATTCCCACTATGTTGCCCAGGCTGGTCTTGAACTCCTGGGCTCAAGCAATCCTCCTGCCTCGGCCTCCCAAGTGGTAGGACTACAGCATGAACCACCATGCCCAGACTAACCTCTTCCTTAACTCAACATAGATGGAGAGATAAGAAATGAAGGATCCTTCCTTCAGTGGGTGGGAGAAGTAAAGGGAGAAAGACTGAATATTCAAACTTTAATATTTTTGTTCCTTTCAAACATTCTTTTTACCAACATTTATTCATTAAGTTGCCAGACACAGATAATGAAGTGTGGTCCCTAACCTGACACTATGGAATATCCATCCCCATTACAATCTTCTTTTTGCTCTTTCTTTGGAATTCCTTTCCAAAGGGAGTGATTCCCTTACAAAAGGTAATTTTTTGCTTAATAAAGTGATTATTTTACAAAAAATTATCCATGGAATACTTTTACGTGGTTAATTTCCCTCAGGTATTTAAACTACGATTTCAATCTCAGTCTTTAGGAGAAAGAGGGTAAGATGACTGTGGCTTCTAAAATTTCCTTTGAAACAAAGTCAAAGATATTAGGAAAGTTATCTCAGGGGCACCTTGCGAATAAATCATCATCCAAGGGTTTTGAGTAACTCAAAAGTAAAAAAAATAGATTTTTCTGCCATATAATCAGTTGTTATAAAATACCGTCGACAAAGAACTGTTGAATTATCTCTTTATATTTAGCCACAAATAAGGGGAGAAAGTAATAGAGAAGGGTCTGAACACCACAGATTTATGCTTAGTAAATGGAAATTATTTTGAAAAAAATAAAGAGTAAGGGCATTAAAAATATAGGCTGGGTGCCGTGGCTAACACCTGTAATCCCAGCACTTTGAGAAGCTGAGGCAGGTGGTTCACTTGAGGCCAGGAGTTCAAGACCAGCCTGGCCAACATGGTGAAACCCCGTCTCTACTGAAAATACAAAAAATTAGCTGGGCATAGTGGTGCATATCAGTAATCCAGCCACTCAGGAGGCTGAGGCACGAGAATCACTTGAACCCAGTAGGTGGAGTTTGCAGTGAGCCAAGAACGCACCACTCCACTGCACTCCAGCCTGGGCAACAGAGTGAGACTCTGGTTAAAAAAAAAAAAAAAAAAAAAGACCAGCCTCGGCAACATGGTGAAACCCTTTCTCTACAAAAAATACAAAAATTACCTGGGTGTGGTGGCACCTGTCTGTAGTCTCAGCTACTCAGGAGACTAAGGCAGGAGGATCTCTTGAGCCCTGGAGGTGGAGGCTGCAGTGAGCATGATCACACCACTGCACTCCAGCCTGGGGCAACAGAGTGACAACCTGTCTCAAGAAAAAAATGTATATATATATATATATATATATATATATATATATATATATATATACACACACATACGTTTTATATATATTTATATACACACACATAACTTATTAATTCCTATCTGTATTAATTGCCTATTGCCGAATATCAAATTATCCCCAAATGTAACCATTTAACATTTATTACCTCCTAGTCTCTGTAAGTCAGAAATCCAGGTGCAACTTATCAGGACCCTTCAGTTCAGGGCCTCTCAAAAGGCTGCAGTTGAGGCACCAGCCCTGTGTCTCTCCCAAGGCTTTAGTCAAGGTGATGGCCAGGGCCATAGTCACCTCAAGATTTAACTGGGACAGGATCCACTTCCAAGCTCATTCAGGTGTTTTTGGCAAGATTCAGTTCCTCATGGGTGCTGAACTCAAGACTTCTGTTCCTTACTACCAGTTGGCCTTTGAGAGGCCCCTCAGGTCCCAGCCATGTGGCCGTCTCTAGAGGGCAGCACTCAGCATAGAGGCTGGCTTCATCCAAGTGAACAAGTGGAGAGAAGACAAGAGAGCAAGCAAAATGGAAGTCACAGTCTTTTGCAACCTAATCAGAGAAGTGGCATCCTATTATTTTTTTCTCTGTTCTATCAGGTAGAAACAAATCACTATGTCCAGCCCACACTCAAAGAGAGAGGATTACACAGAGCTTGAGTACCAAGAGATAACTTTTGGGAGGGAGGGATATGTTCATTGTCTTGATTGTGGTGATGGCTTCACAAATGTGTATATAAATCAAAACTTATCAAACAATTGATGTACAATAAACTGCACTTGAATTATGTACAGTTTATTGTATGTCAATTATATCTCCACAAAGCTGTTTCAAAAATAAAGCATTATTTTATCTGTGTGCAAAACTGAGGTTCTTTAAAGCAGGAACTATTTCAATAATTCTACCATTTCACCTTAAGAACTCTAAAAAAAGAAAAAAAAAGTACAGGGTCTAGCATGGTGGCTCATGCCTGTAACCCCATGGCTTTGGGAGGCTGAAGTGAGAGGATTGTTTGAGCCCAGGGGTTGGAGATTACAGTGACCTCCACTGCACCCCAGTCTGGGCAAAAAAGAGAGACCTGGTCTCAAAAAAAAAAAAAAAAAAAAATTTAAAAATGTAAAAAATAAAAATAAAAAGTTTGGACTTGACAGTTCTATGGAAAATGGAAAAAGATGAAAATAATAATAGTAATAAAAAATACAAGGTTGTCTACTGCAGACTATAAGAAAAATAGGACTTCAACAATCAGGAAAGACAAAGTATCTTTCTAATCCAGTGGCTCTAACTTTAGTATGCATTAAAATCACTTGGAGAATCTGCATTTCTAAGTTTTCAGGAAATGTTGATGCTGCTGGTCCAGAGACCATACTTTCAGAATCAGTGTTCTAGTTCATCAGCAATAATCAACTAGAAATTGGGAAAGAAAAAGATAGCATTCACAAATATAACAAGCTCCATAAAATACATAGAAATAATCCAAAAGAAAACTATATAAAACCTATATGAATTTTAAAAAAAATAGTGAAGGGCATGCAAGAAGCTCTGAATAAAAGATATACCATGTTCCTAAATGAGACGATGCAATATTTAAAATTTTTAAATTCTCCTTGAATTAATATATAAATTTAGTTAACTGCAATTTTTTAAAGTCTCAAAAGGACCTTTTACAGAATTTAACAAGTTAATTCTCAAGTTAAAATGGAAAAGGAAATACATAAAAAGAGCCAATGAGGTTTTGAAAAAATGAGCAATTAAGAGAGACTTGTCCTAGCAGGTGGCAAAACATGGAATAAAACCATGGAAATTGGCCAGCCTTACACCTATAATCCCAACACTTTGGGAGGCTGAGGCAGGCAGACCGTTAGAACTCAGGAGTCTGAAAACAGCCTGGGCAACATGGGGAAATCAAGTCTCTACAAAAAAATGCAAAAAATTAGCTGGGCGTGGTGGCATGCGCCTGTAGTCCCAGATACTCAGGAAACTGAGGTGGGAGGATCACTTGAGCCTGGGAGGTTGAGGCTGCAGTGAGCCTTGATCACACCATTGCACTCCAGTCTGGGTAACAGAGTGAGATCCTGTCTCAAAAACAAAACAAAACAATGGAAATTAAAACAGTGTGGTATTGGCTGGGCACAGTGGCTCATGCCTGTAATCTCAGCACTTGGTAGGCCGAGGCAGGTGGATTGTTTGAGCTCAGGAGTTTGAGACCAGCCTGGGCAACATGGTGAAACCTCCCTGTCTCTGTCAAAAATACAAAAAAAATTAGCTAGGCATGGTCCTTAGCTAATTAGCACGTCTGTGGTCCCAGCTACTCAGGAGGCTAAGGTGGGAAGATTGCTTGCGCCTGGGACGTGGAGGCTGCAGTAGCCAAGATCATGCTACCATGTACTCCAGCCTGGGTAATGGAGTAAGACTCCCTAAAAATAAATAAATAAATAAAGTGGTATTAACTTAGATATAGATAAATTAATATATATAATATATAATAAATAATAAGCCCAGAACATAACCATTTTTATCTGGAAATGTTGTTTATGATAAAGTGACATTTTACATCACAGAGAACAGATCACTCAATAAATTAGGATGAAACAGGTGACTTTTTGGAATACATAAAATAAAGTTAGATCTCTGTTTCTATAACTCTGCATCAGTTAGGCTTCTTTATATTGCAAGCAATTGATGATCCAGCCCAAACTGCCTTACTCAACAAAGGGCCCATTTAACTGAAAGACCCTGAAATAGAGCAATTCCAAATTTAGGATTTGCTTTGAGTTGGTGGCTCAGTACTGACATGAAAGACATTGGAGTTTTTGTTTATTCACTTGTTTTATGTTTTCTTTTTCTGCCTCTTCATTCTGACATAGGCAGTGTCAGCTGCTTCCTAAGACTTCAATGGCTGCCGAATTTGCCAAGCTCCAAATCTTACACAAAACTGCCCCAAAGGAGAAAAATACTATCTTTTGGTAGCTCCTTTATATAAGAAGGAGAAACCTCCTCTTCCAGAATGCTTCCACAACCTCTTCTTGTCATTGGCTCAAACTGTCGGCTTGACCATTCCCTAGCAGGCAATGATTTAGTTTACGCCTGAAACAACAACTGGCTTATCTGAATAAATCTTTGTGGAAAGAGGGATGGAAGCCGTGCCTGGTGGCTCACGCCTGTAATCCCAGCACTTTGGGAGGCTGAGGCGGGTGGATCACTTGAGGTTAGAAGTTCAAGAACAGCCTGGCCAACATGGCAAAACCCCGTCTCTACTACAAAGACAAAAATTTGCCGGGCGTGATGGTGCATGCCTGTAATCCCAGCTACTCCAGCGCTTTGGGAGGCCGAGTGGGAGTATCGCTTGAGCCCAGGAGTTCAAGTCCAGCATAGCCAACAAAATGGGACTGCGTCTCTTAGAAAAATGAATTAATTAAGCCAGGTGCAGTGGCACATTCGTCCTAGCTACTCAGGAGGCTGTGGTGGGAGAATCACTTAAACCCAGGAGTTCAAGGCTATGGTTGTGCCACTGCACTCCAGCCTGGGCGACAGAACAGACCCTGTCTCTAAAATAAAATAAAATTTAAAAAGGCATTTTGTTTAGCAAGTAAAAAATTGTGAGCCACTATGCCCAGTCCTACCTTTTTTATTTTAAAATTATAAAACAGCCATGGGCTTCAAGGAGACCAAACTCCTTCCCATTACATGAGAAGAAATCTTAATTAGACTATGTCCAAATCTAAATAATTTCATTATCTTTGCAATAATTGGTTCAGCTATGGGAATATGATGTCATTCTAGCCAATAAGATGAGAAGAAAGGAAATAGAAGAGAACACAGCCTGCAAGGGGGCTGACAGTATCCCAACACAGCTTGGTTTTGTGTGTGTGTGTTTTTGTTTTTTTTGAGACAGGGATTGGCTCTGTTGCCCAAGCAGAAGTGCCTTGGTGCAATCTCGGTTCACTGTAACCTCTACCTCTTGGGCTCAAGCCATCCTCCCACCTCAGCCTCCCCAGTAGCTGGGATTACAGGCCCGCACCATCATGCTCAGCTAATTTTTGTACTTTTTGTAGAGATGGGGTTTCACCATGTTGGCCAGGCTGGTCTCCAACTCCTGAGCTCAAGGTATCCTCCTGCCTCAGCCTCCAGAGTGCTGGGATTACAGGTGTGAGCCACTGTGCCCGGCCCAAACACAGTCTTAAAGAATGTCAATGATTATTGCTAGCATGATCAGATGGTTATTCCAACTGCAGCTGTTCTTCTAAATATGCACTGGGGCAAAATGCTACAGCTTCAGTCACTGGTATACAGCTTTGGAGCTAGGAAGTGTTTTTTCTACTTTCCAATAAGCAAAGTACACCAGAAGCACTTTGCTTTCACGTGACAAAAACTGACAATGGTTGGAGCAGAGCATCCCAGTGGCAATGACTTGAGATTGTCACTTAGTTCCTTCTGGATCCCTGGACTTGCTCTGGTTCTTATCCTCTCTGAGACCCTATTCTATAGTTTTTGCCTCGATTCTATGGCTACATCATGGCCCTCTAATAACTTTCTTTTTTTACTTAGAGTTCATTTCTGTTACTTGCAAGAACCCTACTAGCTATACCGACTTATTTTTTTAAACCACGTATTTATTTCACTGAGTTTTTGTTTTGCATTCAGTTTTATAATATATTTATCAATTTTATGTCTTATGTGCTTACTTGATTTTGTTACATGTCAGCAGTTCTTTTCTACCACAACTTCCTCATTCTTAAATTCTTAAGTTTTGACGAGTCTCTCAATGTAATAGAGCTCATCTTTAAGAAACTTTTCAGACAGAACACATAGATGGTCTAATTCTGAGATCTTTTATAACTGAGAATGCCATTCTTTTGACATCACACATGACAGCACTCCCACCCTCAGTTTCTATGGGTATTGCTTTATTGTTTTATGGTATTTGGTGTTACTCAGAAGCCTGAGGCCAATCTGATATTTTTCCGCTGAAAGTAACCATTTTTCCACGTTCATATACTTGGAAGTTTTCTCATATGTTTTCTTATTATTTCTGCTTCCTTTGTTATTTTTACCTTTATAAGTTCTACACAGTTAGTCTGGACTCTTGCAGTTGCTAATGACAGAAAATCAACTTCAAATTGATCAGCATTCAATTGTGGGCAAAAGAATTCATTGAAGCCAGTTTAAGCAGAGAGATACTTACTAAAGTGTATTAACTTGCTGCAGAATGATTGGAAGACTTGTAGCAGGAGGCTGGACTTTCAGGAACTCCTGGAGCTACATTGAAATCTACCTCAGCAAAGTTGCTGCTACCACTGCCGCTGCACCACTACTGACTTAAAGACCAGGCTGCCTTTAAGCCATGGTCAAGAAAGTTGCCAGAGTAGGAAGTTGCTGTTGTCACTGCTGGTTGCACAGAGCTAGGAACTGACAAGACATCAGAGCTTCTGACAGCTGCTGCAAAAGCACCAAAATGCCTCTGCCACTGTGCTGCTGGAATAGCCACCTCATAGGACCCATAACCCTCTTCCAAATCTCATTCAGATGCATCTATGTGATGGATGCTACATCCCATGCAGAAATCCTCACTGCAAAGGTCTATGGGTAATGTAGACTTCCATCTTCCAGCCTCTGATGTACACGAAGTCTCATTAGTATGGGGTTGGAGCAGTATTGAGTGAACCAATTGATAGTGTCTGCCACACTCACTAGAATAAAACAAATTTGTTCACCCATGTCCCTGGGAAGGCCAAGGAATAGAGCTGACTCTAGAAACAAATGGAAGCAAAAGTTCAAACCATGACACAGGCATTCTTTCTCTCTTCCTATTTTTCAGTTCTGATTTTATTCATTTAACTAACATTTATTAAGCAACTACTATGTTCCAGACACTGTTCTAAGTGCTGGGATGCCGCAGTGAACAAAACATACATAAGTCTTTGCCCCCTTGGTCCTGTTTTCTGGGAGAGCTTTGTTTTCTGGCAGATTATTTGAAAATGGCAGCAAAACTAGTTCCCAGTAGCTCCAAGCGTATAGGTTACTTAGTGCTTGAAATATCACAAGAAGAAAGGTTTTTCCTCCCCCAAAGCCCTATAAATTCCACACAATAAAAAGATTCTAATTGGTTTTATTATATGATGTATCCAAGACCAATCAGGTATTGAGGGGCATGTACCATATGTCCACTGGATGTGGAGAGACTGTTCCCAAACACAAAAGGTGCTGAAACCACAAAGATAGAGTTGATGTCCGTTTCATTCCTAAACTATTCAGGATCCTACACACACACACACACACACACACACACACATTTTCATATACTTTAAAAAGTGCCCCCCCATGACAATGCAAATTTTTCTTCCACAAATGAAAACACACTCTCTTTCTCCCCAAAAGAAGAAACCTCAAAACTCATCTAGTCACCATATTGTGCTCTAAAGTCCCAGAATTTTAGGTCTAGATATGACTCTTCATTTAATAACCAATGGATAAATTAAAAATATAGGCTGGGCACAGTGGCGAGTACCTGTAGTCCCAGCTACTCAGGAGGCTGAGGTGGGAAAACTGCTTGAAGCCAAGAGTTTGAGGTTGCAGCACGCTATGATTGCATCTGTGAATAGCCACTGTGCTCTGGCCTGAATACTCAGTTTTGCAATATATGAGGTGAATCAGAAGACCACAACAAAACCTCTTATTTGAAAACTGAGAGCCAATTTCCAGTGGCCACCATTCTATAGCATATACCTGTGCTGCTAAAAGAAAAAGTAAGGAGTCTGCCCTAGCAGTAGGGTGAATCTTGCACTGTCAACTCCATGAGCTAGTAACCAAAGCCAAAGATCTGCCAGGTCCTGAATTTTGAACCCGAACCCACAGCCCAATGGCTTTTTCTCTTTGCCACAGACCTTGATGCTGTGCCCATACGCCTCGCTCTTGGTTTAACTGTATTGTTCCTGGCTGTGTCCCAACACCCCAAGATCCAGTAGTCTTTCTCAGACCACATCCCAGTGGTTGTCTTTAGTAGCAGAATTACTGTCACCTTTGTAGTGCTGAGAAGTAACAGCAGGAGGTGTCTGGAGGAGGCCTGGGGGTCAAGCTTCTACCACAGCCAGGATCTTTTTCCCTCTTTTTTTAAAAAAAAGGTTTTTTTTTGTTTGTTTGTTTTTACTTTTAAAAATATTTCTTCCTAATTATGTGCTTACTTAACCCCAGCCAGTTTTATCTTCTGCAATTCCCACCTGCCTACCTTACCTCTCACTAACTTTAGCTCCAGGTTCAAGTAGGGAATAGAGTCCTTAGACTTCTCCAAATGCACATGATCAGCTGCTTCTTAGTTATCCTACAGGTATCTCAGATATCTTGCTGGTTACAGACAGAAAGGGCCTCTCCACAGAGCTATATGTCATTCCCCTTCAGCATGCTGTTTATTCAGCATGCTGTTTAGGTTAAAGCCTTCTTGTTTAAAAAAACAGTTGTATAGAGATATAATTTCCATGCCGCACAATTCACTCATTTAAAGTGTAAAGTTCAATGACTTTTTAATATCTTCACATAGTTGTGCATCCCTCACCATAATCCATTTTAGAACATTTTTATCACTCCAAAGAAACCTAGCACTCACCTCTCAATTCCCTCATCCCTCCCAGTCCCTGGCAACTACTAATCTACTTTTTTTTTCTTTTTTTTTTTTGAGACAGAGTTTCGCTCTTGTTGCCCAGGCTGGAGTACAATGGTGACTTCTCAGTGCTCCCTGCAACCTCCGCTTTCTGGGTTCAAGTGATTCTCCCACCTGAGCCTCTCAAGTTGCTGGGATTACAGGTATGCGCCACCATGCCTGGCTAATTTTGTATTTTTAGTAGAGATGGGGCTTCTCCGTGTTGGTAAGGCTGGTCTCGAACTCCTGACCTCAGGTGATCCGCCTGCCTCGGCCTTTCAAAGTGCTGGGATTACAGGTGTGAGCCACACATCTACTTTCCGTCTCTACAGATTTACCTATTCTGGACATTTCATATGAATGGAATCATATAAAATGTGGTGCTTTGTGACTGGCTTCTTTCATTTAGCATAACATTGTCAAGGTTCATCCTTGTGGTAGCATATATCAGAACTTCTCCTTTTATTGCTGGATAATATTCCTTTGTGTGGATGTACTACATTTTCCTCAACCATTCATTAGTTGGTGGACATTTGGTTGTTTCTTACTCTTGGCTATTATGATAATATTGCTGTAAACATTCATGTACAAGCTTTGATGTGGACATGTGTTTGCATTTCTTGTGGAATACCTAGGAGTGGAATTGCTGAGCCATATGCCAATAGCATGTTTAACTGCTTGATGAAGGCTGTAATTTTCTTGAAATTATTAAAAGCAGCCAGGCACAGTGGTTCAAGCCTGTAATCCTAGCACTTTGGGAGGCCGAGACAGGCAGATCACGAGGTCAGGAGTTCGAGACCATCCTGGCTAACACGGTGAAACCCCGTCTCTACTAAAAATACAAAAAATTAGCTGGGCGTGGTGGCTGGCACCTGTAGTCCCAGCTACTCAGGAGGCTGAGGCAGGAGAATGGCGTGAACCCAAGAGGCGGAGCTTGCAGTGAGCCGAGATCACGCCACTGCACTACAGCCTGGGTGACAGAGTGAGACTCCATCTCAAAAAAAAAAAAAAAAAAGAAATTCTTAAAAGCATAAAAAATCATCAACTTATTCCAATATCTGTATATTTTCTACAAGTCACTAAAGCACTAGCTATAGAAGGCACATGATCAGATTTCTCAAATATAACATGTGTGGTTACCCTATAATCCAAGTGTTCAGTTCTTAGATGGGGACAGAAGAATCCTTATTCCCACTTACATACCTCAACTCACCCAGTTCTTCATGTTAGGGCCTAAGACTTGCTGCACTCCACTTCTAGTTACCAATATTTATCTTATGATTGCAAGTAAACCAAACAGTTAGGTCTCACATAACTGAGAAGTTTGGGAGACCTGACTTCAGATATAGATGGATGCAAGGGTTCAAACTGAATAGAGACAGATGCCAGCTTTCTACTTTTCAGCAATCCTTTTTCTGCTTTGGCTTAATTCTCAGGTGAGCTTGCTCTGCTTGACAACAAAAGTGCTCTTAGAAGCTCATAATTTCAGATACCAAAAGAGATCCGTATCAATCTCTTCATAAATTGCTAACTGGCCCTCCTTGGAGGTGGGGGTGGGGATTATTTTTACTCCTTGTTCAATTTCCAGGTCCAAAGGAATAGGGTGGTCAGCCTGGGTTACAGGCCCATTCCTGTGGCAGGAATCAGGGGGTCAAATGATTGCTATACACACTAGGTATGGCATGAGAGGTTACTGAAAGGAAAATATGCCTGCAAAACAGAAAAGAAACAACTGTTCAACACTTTCTGTATCTATTATTCAATCTCATAATTTTCATTTTTATCTCTTTATCACTTTTATGGGTTTCCTATGAAATGTTTCTCAAATTTGCCCTATACATCATTTATTCGGTTTTCTGCAAGGTGAAGTCTATAATTCACCTTCCGCACTTTGGTTTCTGTGTAGATTTAAAAAAATGATTTACGTATTTATTATTTATTTAATTAATTTTTTTAGAGATGGAGTCTATGTTGCTCAGGCTGTAGTGCAATGGCTATTCACAGGGACAATCATAGCACACTACAGCTTTGAACTCCTGGACTCAAGCAATCCTCCCTCCTCAGCTTCCTAAGTAGCTGGGACTACAGTCAACATGCCACTACACTTGTATTTAAATGTTTACTGTGAGTCTCCTCTGCTCTGGGTATTGGGCTGGGACAAGGACCCTGTCTTCAGAGAGATTACTGTCTAATGGAGGAGGAAGCCAAGAAGCAGAAAATTACAATAAGATGATATGATTAAGGTAAGCTCATGGGGCTTACAAGCGCACAGCACAGACATCCAACCCAGCTTGGGGGTAGTCAGAGGTTTCCTAAAGGAGGTGACATCTTTCAAGAATGAGTATTGATTACACAGGGAATGAGGGCCAAAGAAGGAAGGGAATTTCGGGTGTTGGAGCAGTATGTACGAAGGCATGAAGATGTAAAAGGGCCTGTCATGAAAGAGGAACACCAGTGATTTCAGTGTGACTGCGACGTGCAGTGCGTGGTGGGCAGCAAGAATGAGGCTGGTGAGGAGCACAGGGGCCGGGTCATCAACCACACCTGTGTGCCTGGGGGTTCAGAGTTTAACCTGGGGCAGTGGAAGGGTTTAAACAGGAGAGTGTCATGATCAGAGCCGCATTTTAGAAAGGCAGCTCCAGGGCCCTTCAGAATCAAGAAGATTGTCCAAGAGATTACTGCAGCCACAATGGTGAGAGAGGGTGAGGAACTCAATTATGAAAGTGTGGCAGGTGTGTAACCTTCACATGCCCAGCTCCTTCTTGTGATTAAGTCAGAAGCTCACCTGGCATCTCCTAGGAGATTTTCTCTGCTCTCCTAGAAAGTGATCTTCATATAGCTAAAACCTCCTCACCTTTAAGCATCTGAGCTCAATGCTCACATTGAGATGTCACATCTCAAAGAGGCCTTCACCATTCTAGGGAAGCAACACCCCCAACCATCAGCACTGACTTAAGTATAATTTCCATGAGGACAGGGAGTCATCTATCTTACTGTTCTCTGTACTCCAGAGCCCAAACAGAGTAGGAGCTTAAGAGCATGTGTTTAGTGGGTGAATGTCGAATGAACTGAAGCCATTCTCATCTTCAGGCAATGTGCGGAAGTTCCTCGAGCCCACGCTAGTATAGAGAAAGGCTCTTGTGGCAAGGTCATGGTTGAAAAGACAGAGGTTGCAGAGTCAGAGGGGCCTTCAGATATGACCATTCTCTGAGCATCTTATCTTGCCTTCTGTGTTACTACAGCTCTACTGGCCTGAAGTGTGTTCCTTAATGTAATCAACAATTAGCTCTAAGGAGTATGAAACTGCATTTTTGTCAAAAACTATCTTCCTCAACTACACGGAAAAATCCATTTTTAGAGTGAAGAAACATGAGGTTAAAAAAAGAAGAAGAGAAGGAGAAGACAGAGAAGGATGAGGAAAGGAGGGTGAGGAGGAATAGAAAAAGGAGGGGTAGGGCATGGTGGCTTATGCCTATAATCCCAACACTGTGGAAGGTAGAGGCAGGAGAATCGCTTGAGGCCAGGAGTTTGAGACCAGCCTAGTCCACATATCAGGCTTTTAAATTTTTTTTGAAGATACCTTGTCTTTACAAAAACATTTTTTTAAACAGTCAGGCATGGTGGTGCAAACCTGTAGTTCTAGCTACTTAGCTAGAGGCTAAGGTGTGAGGATCTCTTGAGCCCAGAGGTTCGAGGCTGTAGTGAGCTATGATTGTATCACTGTACTCCAGCCTTGGAAACAGAGTGAAATCTGCTCTTAAATAATAAATAAATAAATGAAAAAGAAAAAGAAAGAAGAAGGCAGAGCCAAGAGACAGAAAGACAAGAGAATGATGTATAGCATTCAGCTACATCTCTTAGACTTTGCAATTCTATGAACTAACAAGTTGCCTTTGGAGCTAAGCTAATTTTCTTTTTTTTTTTTTGTAACAGAGTTTTGCTCTTGTTGCCCAGGTTGGAGTGCAATGGCGTGATCTTGGCTCACTGCAACCTCCGCCTCCCAGGTTCAAGCAATTCTGTCTCAGCCTCCCGAGCAGCTGGGATTACAGGTGCCCACACCATGCCTGGCTAATTTTTGCATTTTTAGTAGAGGTGGGGTTTCACCATGTTGTCCAGGCTGGTCTCAAACTCCTGACCTCAGGTGATCCACTCACCCTGGCCTACCAAAGTGCTGGGATTACAGGGGTGAGCCACTGTGCCCAGCCTGGAGCTAAGCTAATTTACACTGGCTTTGGGGACTTTCAAGTAAAAACACCCTGACCCAGTTAATAATAAATCAAATAATCAATCTATCCCTATACCTATCTACTAATATGTTCTTCAAGGACATAGTTGACAATTCACTCTTCTGATTTAATTTCCTTTATCTTTTCTACTCTCATCTTTTCCTTGAGATTTAAAAAAAAGCCAGAGGGTGGAAAAAACTTTGCAGGGGCAATTCTCACAGTTTATTTTTGTGTTTCTCTCAAATCTCCTTACATGTTTATGTAAGATACTACTGTGGGTCTCATGTTATCCACAGAATCTTAAAAGGGATTATTAGCATAGCTGTGGCTTTCTCCCTTTAAAATAAACCCCATGTTACTTGGAATTTGTATTCCTCAAGGGACCATTTTTTCCAGATACACATCATACTAAATACTTTAATCAAATGTGTAATCAAAAATATTTTCCATTTTACTTCTTTTATTCATTTAATGGATTTATGTTACCCATTCTTTTTGGAAGATAATTAACTTGGAATAAAGGCTCAGCTTTTATATTCCAAAATATGAAAAAAAATTTCTTCTTTCTGGGACATATAAAATGTCAATCTAATTGTGCATTGTTTGGTATAGTCATGTGTAGTTCTAAGGAATATGAAATTATATATATATTAATATTAAATTAATTTTTCCTAGGGTATCACTCTCACGCTTAAAAGAATTTGGTATAGGGTATGACTTGAGCAGGTTGTATAGATCTTTTTAGGGCTCTCACATTATTTCAATTATCACTAATTGAAATACCTAATTATTTCATTACCTAATATTGTCAGATAGGTCCCACATATCTGTATCTTTGAGTCCCATGGCACCAAGCTCAGGAGTGGTTCCTGCCTTCAACACAGTTCAGAAAAGGTCTTGGATTGAGGCAGAAGTTGGTTCAGTACCAGGGAGTGAGCTCTGTTCTTACTGCTGGTCTCTGGTCTGTCTGCCTAAGCCTTGGTCTGTGTTTTCTTCTATTGCTGTTTTCCTTCCCCTGCTTTGCACACCTCCTCGTTCTTACTTTCCCTCTGGGTCTAGTTTCCCACTGGCTCTATTTTATGGCTGGTCCTGACTTCTCTGCTAATGCACATTCTGGCTTCTATTGCTCCATGGGTTGCTGACCCCTGACTGCTTTTTAATCCATCCAGGTCTTGCATCTAGCCACACTCATTTGTGCTCCACAATGCTAGTGCTGATTCATCACATCTGTCAACACTTAGAGATAATGAAGTGGGGAAGCTCAGACAGAATCAGGAACCAAAAGAAAGATACAAACTACTGAAACTGACTCCAGAAGAAATAGAAAGTCTGAATAGAACTATATGTCAGAAAGATGAATTAGGAATTAGTAATGAATAATTAGTTTGTAATTTTTTATAATGCTCATAAAGAAAGACCCAGGCCCACATGTTATCCCCACTGAATTCTACCAAACATTCCATGAGGAATACCAATTTTTCACAAACTCTTCCAAAAATAGAAGAGGCAGGAACACTTCCCAAATCATTCTGTGAGATCAATATTACCTAGATATCAAAATCACACCAACATACCACAAGAAAACTATAGACCAATATCTCTTATGAATATGAATGTAACTAGGCAAGAAAAAGAAATAAAAGACATTGAGATTGGAAAGGAAGAAGTAAAACTATATTTATTTATTTATTTATTTATTTTTGAGATGGAGGCTTGTTCTGTCACCCAGGCTGGAGTGCAATGGCATGATCTCGGCTCACTGCAACCTCTGCCTCCCGGGTTCAAGTGATCCTCCTGCCTCAGCCTCCTAAGTAGCTGGGATTACAGGTGCCCACCACAATGTCCAGCTAATTTTTATATTTTTAATAGAGATGGGGTTTCACCATGTTGGCCAGGCTGATCTCGAACTCCTGACCTCAAGTGATCTGCCCAACTCTGCCTCCCAAAATGCCGAGATTACAGGCATGAGCCACCATGCCGGGCCTAAAACTATTTTTAAAGATGATGTAATCTCGTATATAGAAAATCCTTAGAAATCCACTAAAAAATTACAGTTAACAAATGAATTCAGCAATGCTGCAGGATACAAGATTAATATACAAAAATTAATTGTATTTTTATATACTTGCAATGATCATTTAAAAATAAAATTATAAAAAACTCATTTACAATAAATTTAACAAAAAAAGCACAAAACTTATACTCTGAAAACTAAAAACGTTCTGTAAAGAAATTAAAGAAGATCTAAATAAATGAATAAAATGTCCCATGTTCATGGATCAAAAGACTTAACATTGTTAACATGTTACTACTCTCCAAAACTGGGCACGGTGGCTCACACCTGTAATCCTAGCAATTTAGGAGGCCAAGGTGGGCAGATCACTTTGAGGTCAAGAGTTTGAGACTAGCCTGGCAAATATGGCGAAACCCCGTCTCTACTAAAAATACAAAAATTAGCCAGGCGTGGTGGTGTGCACCTGTAATCCCAGCTGCTGGGGAGGCTGAGGCACAAGAATCACTTGGACCTGGTAGGCGGAGATTGCAGTGAGCTGAGATTACGCCACTGCATTCCAGCCTGGGTGACAGAGTGAGACGCTGTCTCAAAACAACAACAACAACAACAACAACAAAATGTTAATACTCTCCAAACTGATCTATAGATTCAATGCAATTCCAATATCATCTCACCTGACAGCTTTGAACAAATCTACAAGCTGATTCTTAAATTCATATAGAGTTCAAGGGATCCAGAGTAGCCAAAACAATTTTGAAAAAGAAGAATAAAGTAGGAAGACTCATACTTCCCAATTTCAAAACTTACTACAAAGCAACAGTAATCAAGACAGTGTGGTGCAGGCACAAGGACAGACATATGGATCAGAGAGTCTAGAAATAAATTTATATATCTATGGCCAATCAACTGATTTTTGACAAAAGAACCAAGATCATTCAATGGGGAAAGAATGTCTTTTCAATAAATGGTGCTGAGACACTGGATAGCCACATGCAAAAGAATGAAGCTGGACCCTTACCTCCCACTATTTTTAAAAATTAACTCAAAATTGGTTAGTGACATAATAGAAGAGCAAAAACTATAAACTATTAGAGGAAAATATAGGGGTATATTTTCATGACCTTGGATTCAGCCATAGCTTCTTAGATATGATAACAAAAGCAAGAGCAACACAAGAAAAAATAGATATATTAGACATTGTCAACATTAAGAACTTTTGTGTTGAGGGGCTTGTATCTAGACTATATAAAGGAGGCTTTCAGGCTGGGCACAGTGACTCACATCTCTCACATCTGTAATCTCACCACTTTGGGAGGTTGAGGTGGGAGGATTATTTGAGATCAGGAGTCTGAGACAAGCTTGGCCAAAATGATGAAACCCCATCTCTATTGAAAATACAAAAATTAGGCCGGGCATGGTGGTTCACGCCTGTAATCCCAGCACTTTGGGAGGCCGAGGTGGGTGGATCACCTGAGGTCAGGAGTTCGAGACCAGCCTGGCCAACGTGGCAAAACTCCGTCTCTACTAAAAGTACAAAAATTAGCTGGGCATTGTGGCAGGTGCCTCTAATCCCAGCTACTCAAGAGGCTGAGGGAGGAGAAGTTTGAACCCAGGAGGCGGAGGTTGCAGTGGGCCGAGATCACACCACTGCACTCCAACTTGGGCGAAAAGAGAGAGACTCCATCTCAAAAAAAAAAAAAAAAAAAAAAGGCCATGCAGTAATGGCAGGTGCCTGTAATCCCACAGCTACTCAGGAGGCTGAGGTCTCAACCTGGGAGGTGGAGGTTGCTGTGAGCTGAGATCATGTCATTGCACTCCAGCCTGGGTGACAGAGTGAGTGAGACTCCATCTCAAAAAAAAAAAAAAAGAGTTCTTTCAACTTAATAATAAAAAGCCAAATAACACAATTTTAAAATGAGCAAATGTCTGAATAGATGTTTACCAAGAAAGAGATACAAATAAATGGCCAATAAGCACATGAAAAAATGGTTGACATCATTAGTCATCAAGGAGACGCAAACTGAAGCCACAGTGAGATACCATTTCACACAGTAGGATGGCTAGAATAAAAAAGTCAAATAGCAATTAAGTGTTAGCGAAGACGTGGAAAAATTAGAACTCTCACACACTACTAGTGGGAATGTAAAATGGCACAACCACTTTGGAAGACAGTCTGGGTGCTCCTCAAACTATTAAACATAAGATTACCATAAGACCCAGTGATTTCACTATTAGGTATATGCCCAAGAGAAATAAAAACATCTGTCCACACAGACACTTGTATTCAAATGTTTGTAGCAGCATTATTATAAGAGCCAAAAGGTGGAAACAACCCAATGTCCATCAACTAATGAACAGATAAATGAAATGTGGTACATCTATGTAATTAAATGTTACTGGGCCATAAAACAGAACAAAGTACTGATATACTGCCATAACATAGATGAACCTTGAAAACATTACAGTAAGGGAAAGGAACCAGTCACAAAAGACTACATACCATAGGATTCCATTTATATAAAAGTCCGGAATAGAGAAATCTATAAAGAAAAAACCTGGATTAATAGTTGCTTAGGGCAGGGGAGGACAGGGGGAAGACAGTGAGAGAGCAGATAGCTAAAGAATAGGGGGTTTCTTCTCGAGATGATGAACATGTTCTAAAATTGACTATGGTAATGCACATATTTGTGAACGTACTAAAGGCCACCGAATCACACACTTTAAAGGGTGAATTTTATGGTATGTGAATTATATCTCAATAAAGCTGTTAAAAACAAACAAACAATAACCAAATCCACCCAAGGGTTGTATTTGATGACTTTTCAGAACATTAAAAAGCTTTGAACATCTAGTGCAGATTCCTGAAAGTTTAGCTTCATGGATCTGTTTATTTTGCAATTAATGAAGGTTAAAGGAGCATTCTCCAGCCTCTCGAAAACTGTTACTTGGGAGCTTAGAATTTCTAGTTATGAATCTATGCACAAGAACAGCACCTGTCATGTCTTTCAAAGGAAAATGTATTTGCCTTATTAACAAATCAAGAGTACTAAGTTTCTATCAAAAGAGCAGAATAAAAAAAAGATTAAATGGCTTATTTGCTCATTGTTTAGAGAAGTATGCTAGTGAATAATAGGTTTAAACTTCTGTAAGAGTTACTAGCATTTCAAGTTCTTAAAAAAGGAATAATGCATTAAAGTCCATTTAAAACTTCTAAAAGTGACATCAATGACCATAAAATAGAAGCTGAATGAGTATTTCAAGTTAAAATTATTTACTAGACCAACTACTGGCTATAAGCAATTAAACTAAATACAGAATTATTGAGATGGGGATAAGAAGAAAATAAAAATGTAAATCATTTTATTACAGGATTAAAAAAAGCTGATGAAAGAGCTGTAACAATATTTTGATAGGAGGAGAATAACAGAATCAGTTAGAAGCAAAACTGGAGAAAGGAGAAAAGGAAAAGAAAAGCCTGTGTGAAATATTTAACTGGGTGTTGAAAAATATGATAATTTTGATAGGCTCACTTTTTAAAACTAATTTTCTCACATGTTTACCAATGGCTGGATGTGCAAATGGACAACAATTTTTTATCTTGTAATAAAATGAATTTTAAAAATATAAGGTAGGGCCAGGCACAGTGGCTCATGCCTGTAATCCCAGTCCTTGGGAGGCCGAGGTGAGCAGATCACTTGAGATCAGGAGTTCGAGACCAGCCTGGCCAACATGACGAAACCCAGTGTCTACTAAAAATACAAAAATTAGCCGGATGTGGTGGCATGCACCTATAGTCCCAGCTACAGTATATACATACATACGTATATATATATATATATATATATATATATATATAGAGAGAGAGAGAGAGAGAGAGAGAGAGAGAGAGAGACAGAGAGAGAGTATATAGTATATATACATAACTCCTGACCTCGTGATCCACCTACCTTGGCCTCCCAAAGTGCTAGGATTACAGGCGTGAGTCACCACATCCATCCGGTAATTTTTTTTTAAACTCTCTCTTGTACCTGTATCTTATGTTTAACCGAAAAAGGTTGAAAATTGAGTTGCTAGACTTAATCATTATTTTCCCTGGCTGAAGGGATAGTGGGAGGGGTCAAGCCTCTAAAAGGGAGATATCTGGGCCAGGCGCCGTGACTCACACCTGTAATCCCAGCACTTTGGGAGGCCAAGGCGGGTGGATCAAAAGGTCAAGCGATCAAGACCATCCTGGCCAACATGGTGAAATCCTGTCTCTACTAAAAATACAAAAATTAGCTGGGCGTGGTGGTGCATGCCTGTAGTCCCAGCTACTTGGGAGGCTGAGGCAGGAGAATTGCTTGAACCCAGGAAGCGGAGGTTGCAGTGAGCCGAGATAATGCCACTGCACTCCAGCCTGGTGACAGAGCAAGACAGCAAGACTCCATCTAAAAAAAAAAAAAAAAAAAGCAATCTCTGCACACTGGCAGCAATGTGAATAAATAAAAGGACTAAGGATTACTGAATATTTGTCAGTTAAAGAAAAGCCAACTCAGTGTCTATAAGAATAAATCATTCTTGACTATTCTTTCAGAAGGAAAGCAAATTTACAGAGAAAGGGGAGAAATAATGAATTTATTTGATTTTTGGAAAAATCTTTGAAAAATTTTCACACCAATAGCTATTCCTTAGTTGAGTTAGCCTAGGGTTTCACTATGAGAAAAGAATTAACATCAAGGTAGTAGGGCAGAGACATTATTAAATGGAGAAGTGTAAATTGTGGTATTTCCTGAGGAAGCAATTCTGGGTCAGTCCAATTTAATGGTTTATTATGTTTTGGAAAAGACAGTAAAATCTCTACATTTGAAAATGATACTACATTTTTATGGGGAGTGAGATGTCAAAATGACAAGGATAAACTAGGCAAAGCGAAAACAGCAGACAATTTTGGCCTATATATAAGTTAACAAGCACATTAGTGGGAAAATCATCCAAGCTCTAGTTATACATGGATTTGATTGCTGAGTCACAATGGGGCACAGGAATCTAGGCGTCACTGAGGCTGCTTTTTAAAGATACCCCAATGATCTGTTGACATTTAAAAAATCAGCACAAGGTTATTGGAAACAAGGCAACTGACATTGTTGATTTTCCTATCCATGAACAACATAGCTCTTATGACTCCTCTCAGCACATTTGGCTCCGAGACCCAGAAGCATGAATAGAAGGAGCTGGCCATCCAGGGCATGCTTTTCTACCCTGTGCAATCATATCACACAGCATGACCATGCTTATGTATAAGGACAGAATGTGTGTTGGCCACATCACTGGTAAGAACCCAGACAGCATTTCTTGGGCTCTGATAGTCACCAGAAAATGGAAGGACGTTTATTGAGAAGTTACAACGTGAAAGGCACTCTGCTGGGTTTAGGAAGGATATGTAGATAAATTAGACAGTGTGCTTACCTACTTGAGCTCCAAGCCTACTCAGAGAAATAAAACTATTGCAATATGGAGGAGTTGGTAATTATGCTGAGAGGTGTGGTTGTGGGTGTTCAGAGGAAAGCGAAACCAAATTCTGTCATTTATTCATGTTAGTTCAACTAACATGTATTGAGTACCACTATTCATTCATGTATTAATCAATATTTATTTACTACTATGTGCGAGCCACTTTTCTAGGTGCTGGGATGTAGCGGTGAAAAAGACAAGGTCCCTGTTCTCATGAAGTTAAGACAGATTATTTTTAAAGGATCAAAATAGATGTGATAACATGAAATAGATAAGTGCTATGAAGAAAACAAAACAAATGGATGTGATGGAGTGGCTGGAGGTTGGTGGTTCCTTTATATGGAATCAGAACAAGTCTCCCAGAGAGGTGACGTCTGATACCTGTTGATTAGAAGGAGCCTGCTGTGGGAAGACGCCCAAGAAGAGCTTTCTAGGCAGAGGGAACAGCAAGTGTGAAGGCCCTAAGGTGGGAAGGAGCTTGGTGTGCTTGAAAATCAGAAGAAAGACCAGTTATAGCTCAGCAAGCCTGGAGAAGCCAGACAGACAAGGCTGGAAGAAGACCTTGTTCTTCCTTTTGTGGATCCCTCAACCCTCATAGCCCAACAGAAAAAAAGAACATGTCAGTAAGTACATGATAACGCGCAGATTGCACAGATTTACAAAGGAGATCAATTTTTTTTAAATGTGAAACAGGAGTGAAAGATCATAGGTTATGAATTATATTTTCAGAAAGAACTAGGAGCATAATGCTGAGGAAGAGGGACTATGGACACTATGGACCAGCATACGACAAACACACAAAAATCTGGACACGGGGTGGATGCGGTGGCTCATGCCTGTCATCCCAACACTTTAGGAGGCCGAGGTGGGCAGACACCTTGAGTCCAGGAGTTCGAGAACAGCTTGAGCAACATGGTGAAACCCCATCCCTACAATAAAATAAAATAAAAAATTAGCCAGGTGTGGTGGTGCATGCTTGTAGTCCTGGCTACTGGGGAGGCTGAGTTGGGAGGATTGCTTGAACCCAGGAGGTGGAGGTTGCAGTGAGCCAAGATCACACCACTACACTCCAGCCTGGGGGACAGAGCAAGACTCTATCCCAAAAGAAAAAGAAAAAATCTGGACACTAGGCTAAGAATAAGCTGTACCGTGGGAGCAGAAGCAGCTGCAGAAGTGGGCAAAGAGGGTACTGTCCAGGGCTGGGACAGGGGCTGCAAGGCTAAGCTCCTTACACTACAGGGTTTGAATGATCCCTAAAAGGTCAATCAAATCCATCTTCTTTTCCACCAGAAACCTCTCAGGACTCACTCTGGGGAGGTGAAACACTTTACATGTCATTAACATGTCACGTCTTGCAATGTATTCTTAGGGCTTTGTTTCTTTGGATTTTTTTTTTTTTTTTTTTTTTTTTTTTACAGAGTCTCTGTCGCCCAGGCTGGGGTGCAGTGGTGCTATCTCGGCTCACTGCAATCTCCGCCTCCCAGGTTCAAGCAATTCTCCTGCCTCAGGCTCCTGAGTAGCTGGGACTACAGGCGCACGCCACCATGCCCGGCTAATTTTTTGTATTTTAGTAGAGACGGGGTTTCACAGTGTTGCCCAGGCTGGTCTCGAACTCCTGAGCTTGGGCAATCCGCCCACCTTGGTCTCCCAAAGTGCTGGGATTACAGGCGTGAGCCACCATGCCAGGACCCATTTATTTGGATATTTAGTCTTCAAGAGGTCTCTGTTACGAGAGAATGGCAGCACCTTGGTATGAACTTTAAATGCAATTATAGTCCCTCCATCTTTATAACAAGGCAAGAGATAGTAATGAGGCACTTGCAGCTTTTGAATCAGAACAGAGTAAAGAGATTGCTTTAAGGAGGCAGCATTCACAGCCTTGTGAACCAGGTACACTGTTCATGGACTTGCCTCATTGTGGAACCTAGAGAAAATTTATTATTTGAAGTCCCAGTTTCCTCATCTGAAAGAATGTCAGCCTGAGAGATTTGTTACAGAGATTTAATTGGATAATTTAAATGAAAGTGCCTGCCAGATTCAGTAAATGTGCAGGGGTCTTTTTTCCCACTCAAACCTGTGGCCCCAATTCACCCAAATCCTTGAGGCCCACTCTGGGTGGGGAATAGGGAGTCCACAGACCCTAAGGAGAAAGGGCAGAAAGAAGATGAGATCATTAGGAGAAGCTGGTACTACTTACGAGGCATTGAATTGAGGAAAGATGTGTGAAAAATGAAATTTATCTTCATTCCAAAAAGGATTCTGAGAAGAGAAACTCTGGAACTTCTGGAGTAATGCATTTTCTCCCTTCTTAATGCAGGAAGCTAACACAGACATTGGTTTCAAGGGTGTTAAAATATAATAGGGCTAAAATCATTTATTGCCAAGATTTTGATAACAAAATCCAAACATAAGAACTAGCAACCCCACTTGCAAGAATTTAAACCAAGTTAAGCTCAAATCAATGCACAGTATATCCAACACGGGAAAACATTTTTTACACTGCCTGACCTGGGATTCCAGCAAACAATCTTCAGCTATGTAAATTCATAGGCCCTTTTAATACCATGTTAGTCTAGGTTCACATCAATTGTTTCTTGCCAGGAAAATGGGTTTTTCATTTGGAGATGGCTCAATGCCAGACCGAACAGGACTTTTTAGAGACATTGGAACTCTCAAATATCACCAGTCACAGTCAATGCAATTTCAAGCTCATGCGATTTTAGTTCATGCAATCATTTGAAGAACTGAGAAGGCAGAAAGGAGGGCGCTGGTATCAGAGGGATTGCAAAATCTATTGAAATGGCATCTACTGAAGAAGGAGTCAGGTGACCTATGTGAGGCTCTTAGTTCTATTAATAAACCAAGGTAGGACTTAATTGGATGAAGTGACAGATGTCTAGTATTTTTCATTCTTAAGGTACACACAACAGGTTCAAACCAGCCTAGTAGAGATTCAGGCATTCACTTGGTGGATTGGCCAATTTAGTCTGAGGCAAGGAGGCACTCCCAAACATACCAGACTCCTTGGAAATATGTTAAGTGGTACTGATGATGGCCAGGGCTGCCAAGGATGTCAAATGTATTTAAAAGTGAGTGGAGCCCAAGCCTGCTGCCCTCTGGGTGGAGACATGGTCGATTTCAGGAGGATATGGTTCCTTTTTTATGGTGTGAGCAGGAGGTCCCCAGCCAAGGATCTTACCTGACACAGACAACATCAAGATAATATGAAGTATGATAGAGATGCAGCTCTTGTCTTTGTGAAAATAGTGAGACTGGTGTTATCATTGATAAGAGCAGCATTTGCCTTTTTGTTTTATTTTCTTTGTTTAATTTTCTTTTAGGAAGGGCAGTACAACATTGAGCTGAAGGCAGACTATCAGCTAGATTCCCTGGATTTCAACACTGGCTCTCCCACTGGCTAAATGAATGATATTAGGCAAGTCACTTAACCTTCATGTACCTCAGTTTCCCCATATATAATAGAGATAACAGTAGCATCTACCTCAAAGATTTACTTTGAGGAATTCATAAACACACACATGCTCACACACACACACACCACACAAACTGTTTAGAGCACGCCTAGCATGTGGTAATTAATAAAGTTGGTTATTATATTTCTGTGTGGTTGATTAAAAAATAATACATATTTGCTATAAAACAACCAGTATACAAAAAAATTTTAAATGAAAACAACCCATTACCATCCATATTCTCACTATCCACAGGCAATGGCAACATTTTGGGAAAGAAGTACAAGGTAGAAACAACCATTTAACTATGTAATATTTATTCTTTCCTTCTTCCTTATTAACCACACCTTGATTTTGTTGTGGGTAGCAAACTATATTTTCCAGCCTTCCTTGCAAATAAGATCAGGCATGTGACTAATTTATGGCAAATGGAAGTTGTTGGGTGGGGCTTCTAGGAAAGCTCCTTAAAAAAAGTCTGAATCAGGACGGGCGCGGTGGCTCACGCCTGTAATCCCAGCACTTTGGGAGGCCGAGGCAGGCAGATCACGAGGTCAGGAGATGGAGACCATCCTGGCTAACACAGTGAAACCCCGTCTCTACTAAAAATACAAAAAAAAATTAGCCGGGTGTGGTGGCGGGTGCCTGTAGTCCCAGCTACTCCGGAGGCTGAGGCAGGAGAATGGCATGAATCGGGAGGCGGAGCTTGCAGTGAGCCTAGATTGCACCACTGCACTCCAGCCTGGGCGACAGAGCGAGACTCCTTCTCAAAAAAAAAAAAAAAAAAAAAAAAAAAGTCTCAATCAGCTGGATTTTATTCCATTTTGTCATCAATCTTCCTCCTTCCTACTGTCTAAAACATGGGAGTGATGGCTGAAGTTTCAGCAATCAACTTGTAAACCTGAGTATAAAAAGCACACCATGGGGATGGTGGAATACAAAACAAGAACGACTAAGTCTCTAAGGACATTATAGAACAGCTGTATGCACCAGGAACTGCTTGCTATCTTCTGGATCTTTCATTTGGTGAGAGAAAATCTCTTCTTGTTGAAGCCACTAGCTATTGGTAATGTCTGTTTTCATATAACTAAACTAGATTCCTGAGTACTTCCATTGTCTCTACCTTGTATTAAATCCTCTGTTTCCCAAACCACATGGTTTCCTTTTTCTTGGTTGATTCCCCTGTGTTGGTGTAGCATATCCCAGGTAACTTCATGAGAAATGTACATCACAGGCAAACTTTTTGAGATTTAAGAGTTTAGGTAAAATACTTGTTTATCTGCTACATCAAAGGTCAGAATAACAGTAGCTTAAATAAGATAGAAGTTTGTATCTGTCACATAACACTCTGAACATAAGGGCCCAAGGCTAATACGGTAAACTCTGGCCTATTCTATTACTACTTTCATCTTCAACAAGCAGCTTTTTGTGGTCCATATTGGCTGCTTCCACTCCTTCTATTACAGCTACATTTCAGTCAGAAAGAAAGAAGAGGTAGAAAAAGCAATCTCCTTTCTCTTTAGGACATGGGCCAGAACTTGCACATATCACTTCAGCTCTCATCCCACTTTACAGAACCCAGCCACATGGTCACACCTAGATGACAGGAAGGATCAGAAATACAGTCTTTTGCAGGGCAACCAATAGAAGCCATACAGCATTTATTACTGTAGAAGAAGAGGCCAGGCGTGGTGGCTCACACCTGTAATCCCAGTGCTTTAGAAAGCCAAAGTGGGAGGACCACTTGAGACCAGGAGTTCAGGACCAGACAGGGCAACATAGTAAGACCTGTCTCTACAAAAACTTTCTTAACAATTAGGTGAGTGTAGCAGACCCAGTTTGAAACCAGGTTAATTTTGCCAGAGCTTGTGTTTCTTCCCCTATACCTCTCAGCCTCCCAACATAAGCAATCCAAAATGGCCATATAGTTTATGCCATATAGTTTACTACTTTTTTTTTTAAAGATAGGGTCTCACTCTGTTGCCTAGGCTGGAGTGCAATGGCATGATATCACTGCAGCCTCAACCTCCTGGGCTTAAGCAATCCTCCTGCCTCAGCCTCCCAAGTAGCTAGAACTACAGGTGTTCACCACCACACCCAGCTAATCTTTAAAAATATTTTTAGAGATGGTGTCTCACTGTGTTGCCCAGGCTGGTCTTTGTCCTCCCACCTTATTCCCCCAAAGCACTAGGATTATAGGCATGAGACACCATGTCCAGCCTAGTTTGCTATTTTTAAAGCACAGGTCATTTCTCAGGGGTACTCTCTAATAAAGTTATACGACGTGCCTTTAAAATAGCAGTAGGCCAATGCCATTGGCTGTGGAGTATCATTATGGACATCAAAGTCCATCTAAGTCTATATTACGTTGCAACACAGTGGAGTATCAAAGCCCCGTTAGTGCCCTGCAGTGGTCACTGTGTGAAATAGCCCACTAGGTTTTCTGCAAGGCCTGTCGCCTGCCCACAGGGCAACACATGGGGCTGCCCCAGACTGTTTCTTCCTCCTGGCCACACAGTCCTGCAGTCTGGAGTGGGCAGAGGCTCTGCAAGCAACATTCCTGGGATGCAGGACCATGTGCCCCGTTGCTGTATGTTGCTGCCTGCACACTGTGGCTGCTGCTTTCTTCCCTATCTACACCCTACAGTTTTTAGACCATCATGCTCAGATCTCTCAGGCATGTTGCTGATGGAGCAGAAATTCCAAATTTTGTTAAGTTCTCAAAGCACCTCCTGTTGAGAGAGTGTGTCTAGTTTTTGAATTCCACCTATTTGGAATCTGCAAACTGAGTGTTCATTTTGCAGGGTCAGTAGTGGCCTTACATCATCAACAATAAACATTCGCTGAAAGCCTCTTATGTCTAGGGCTGTGGGCAGCTACCTATGTAGTGTAATTGGATCTCCTCTAGAATCAGGCTCTCACCCTGTGACTGCTTAATGTAGTCTAGGAGGTTATGAAGCCCTCAACCCAGCTGAATAGAGACATTAATTGACCCATGACTAACCAGCTTTTGATAAGATGCTTCCCTGTGGCAAGATGTGGGGCTGCTAAATTTCGTTGAGACATAGGTAGTCCAAGGCACAAGCACTCTGGGGTGGTGAGGCATTGCAGTAGGAAGAATACAAGGTGAGTAGGAACGCTGGAAAGAGTTTATTGAATACGTACCGTGTGTCAGATGTTCTCTATACATTAGCTGCTGTAAGTCAGGCTCCCCAGGAAACAGATTCTGAAATGGAGGTCTGAATGTAGAGGTTCATTGGGAAGTGATCTCAGCACCAGTGCCTGAGAGGACTGAAGTAAACAGGATTGGGCAGAGGAAAAAGTGGAAGAATAGCACAGCTGCAATAGAGGTTTCAACCAATCCTCCTACCGGTAGCTGGTCCTTCAGAGGTGTCCTAAGTGGAAGGGAGTGGGCCTTCTTGCCCTTTCTACACACAATTGATAAGTCATCAGATGCCAGATGCCCCTGGGGAGGGGCAGAATTTTGGACTTAATACCTTCAGCTGAAGGCAACTTCTGGAAGAGGCTCAGTTGTGAACTGTTAACAGGTAACTCTCTTGACAGGAGGGGAGGGAGGGGAAGAGTGCCTTGATCCTGAAAGGGTGATCTGGGCAGCACACCACGACATCCACTACATTATATTATTTCATCCACAGGACATCCTATGAAGTTGTCATTATAATTACCATTTTAAAATGGGGAAACTGGCCTGGCGCAGTGGTTCATGTCTATAATCCTAGCACGTTGGGAGGCTAGGTGGGTAGATTGCTTGAGCCCAGGAGTTGGAGACCAGCCTGGGCAACATGGTGAAACCCTGCCTCTACAAAAAATACAAAAATTAGTTGGGCGTGGTGGCGCATGCCTGTAATCCCAGCCATGGCAGGCTGGGGCAAGAGGATCACTTGAGCCTGGGAGGCGGAGGTTCCAGTGAGCCGAGATCGCGCCCCTGCGTTCCAGCCTGGGTGATAGGAGTGAAACCCTGTCTCGAAAAAATAATTTTTTTAAAAGGGGAAACTGAGGCTTGGGATGTTTATCTAACTTGTCTAGGCTCACATAGCTGGGTTAGATTGACTAAAACCTCCATATGCTTTCTACTACACTACCCTGCCTCAGAAAGGAAAAAATAAGGCAGGGAGGGCATGGAAAAAAAAAAAGCTGGAGACAGCTTCACCCACTGCACAATTTTGTCAGAAATGGATCAGAAGATGCAGATTACAGAGTGGTTATGAGCACAGTCTCTGGAGCTACCCTAACTGGTTTGTATCTCAGCTTCATTGCTTACCAACCTTCGGCAAGAATTTAACCTCTCCATGCCCCAGTTTTCTCATTTGTGAAATGGAGATAATAACAGTACATGCCTCACAGGGTTATTACAAAGCTTAAATGAAAGAATAAATGCAGCACATGCCAGGGCCTAGGACAGTGCCAGGCCTATAATAAGCCCCTGGTAAACTTTAGCTACTATTATAACATTCCCATTTATGGTAACTCTTTTGACAGCACAGGAAATACTCTCTTTAGGGGCTCTGCTGAGACTTGCCTAACATTTCAAAGAATGATGCCTGTCTCTGAGCACCACACACAGCCTCATCACCAGTGAAGGCTCTGGATGTTCCATGGATCTGAATAATTTTAAAAACCCAGCTTTTAGGTGGTCAGGGTGACTCCTGAAATACGAAAGGGAACAAGTGCCAACCACACCTACACCTCCAATGTATAATCCTGGAGGCAGAATAAATAAAAGAAAACTTTAAAAAAACAGCTCCTTATTGTCTGCCAAACAAAATACCTTTTACTGAAGTCAACTTTTTAGAAATCTTGGACAGTGCATGAGTGGAAGCTATTCAATTCTCAAAGAAGTCTCAGTTGAGTTTTGTAATCCAAATCCCACAGCCGAAGGAGAAAGATCATTAACCTTATTGCTGCAATTTCACCACCACTTCCCCTGGATAGCAACACTCAGGGAGTTAAACCCTCAGTGCATGTTTCTTAGGTGTGTGGCCCATTTGTTACTGTGTATCCCCCAGCCCCGCTGGAGCCACTCAGTGGGTTCTGCCACAGCTCAGTTCTGCCACAGCTCAGTTCTGCCTACCATGTAGCCATGTGATAAAAGGACTTGGAAATTTAAATCAATCACTCCTTTAAAAAATAATTCTTAAGAAGAAAATCATTTAACCAAGCATAGTGGGTTAAATTGTGGCCTCCAAAAAGATGTATCCATTTGGAACCTGTGAATGTGAACTTATTTAGAAAAAGGGACCTAGTGCAGTGGCTCGTGCCTGTAAATCCCAGCATTTTAGGAGGCCGACGCCGGCGGATGGCTTGAGCTCAGGAGTTCGAGACCAGCCTGGGCAGCATAGTGAGACCTTGTCTCTACTAAAAATAAAAAATAAAAAAAAATAGCCAGCTGTGGTGGCGCATGCCTGTGGTCCCAGCTACTCGAGAGGCTGAGGTGGGAGGATAGCTTGAGCCTGGGAGGTCAAGCCTGTAGTGAGCTATGATCATGCCATTGCACTCCAGCTTGCATGACAGCATGAGACCTTGACTCAAAAAAAAGAAAGAAAGAAGAAAGAGAGAGAGAGAGAAAAAGGAAAGAAGGAAGGAAGGAAGGAAGGAAGGAAGGAAGGAAGGAAGGAAGGAAGGAAGGAAGGAAGGAGAGAAAGAGAAAATAGAAAAGAAAAGGAGTCTTTGTTGATAGATAAGAATCTCACGCTGGGTCTGGTGGCTCTTGCCCGTAGTCCCAGCACTTTAGGAGGCTGAGGCTGGTGGATCACTCGAGCCCAGGAGTTCGAGGCCAGCCTGGCCAACATGGTGAAACACAATCTCTACCAAAAATGCAAAATTTAGCTGGATGTGATGGCTCACACCTGTAATCTCAGCTATTCAGAAGGCTGAGGCACGAGAATCGCTTGAGCCCGGGAGGCAGAGGTTACAGTGAGCCGAAATTGTGCCACTGCACTCCATCCTGGGCAACAGAGTGAGACCCTGTCTCAAAAAATAAATAAATAAAATAAAATAATAAAGAATCTCTAGATGTAATCATCCTGAATAATATGGGCAGGCCTTAAATTCAATGATAGGTGTCCTTATAGAGAATGGCAGAAGGAGATTTGAGAAACACAGAAAGGAAGGCCATGTGAAGACAGAGGTAGAGATTAAAGTTATGCAGCCACAGCTAAGGGATGCCTGGAGCCCCCGAAAGCTGGGAGAGGCAAGGGAGGATTTTCCCCTAGAGACTTCAAAGTGAGCACCGTCCTGCCAAATCTTTTATTTTATTTTTTTAAAATTTGAATCCATTTATACAGACTTATCATACATTTCAGAAATACTATAAGAAAACAGAAATAAATATCATTGTCTTTGAAGAAGATTTTCTTTTTTTTTTCTTTGCTTTGGGATAATATATTTTTTCTTTTTTTTATTATTATTATTATACTTTAAGTTCTAGGGTACATGTGCACAATGTGCAGGTTTGTTACATATGTATACATGTGCCATGGTGGTGTGCTGCACCCGTTAACTCGTCATTTACATTAGGTATATCTTCTAATGCTATCCCTCCCCTCTCCCCCAACCCCATGACAGGCCCTAGTGTGTGATGTTCCCCACCCTGTGTCCAAGTGTTCTCATTGTTCGATTCCCACCTATGAGTGAGAACATGTGGTGTTTGGTTTTCTGTCCTTGTGAAAGTTTGCTCAGAATGATGGTTTCTAGCTTCATCTATGTCTCTACAAAGGACATGAACTCATCCTTTTTTATGGCTGCATAGTATTCCATGGTGTATGTGCCACATTTTCTTAATCCAGTCTATCACTGATGGACATTTGGGTTGGTTCCAAGTCTTTGCTATTGTGAATAGTGCCGCTATAAACATATGCGTGCATGTGTCTTTATAGCAGCATGATTTATAATCCTTTGGGTATATACCCAGTAATGGGATGGCTGGGTCAAATGGTATTTCTAGTTCTACATCCTTCAGAAATCGCCACACTGTCTTCCACAATGGTTGAACTAGTTTACACTCCCACCAACAGTGTAAAAGTGTTCCTATTTCTCCACATCCTCTCCAGCACCTGTTGTTTCCTGACTTTTCAATGATTGCCATTCTAACTGGTGTGAGATGGTATCTCATTGTGGTTTTGATTTGCATTTCTCTAATGGCCAGTGATCATGAGCATTTTTTATGTGTCTGTTGGCTGCATAAATGTCTTCTTTTGAGAAGTGTCTGTTCATATCCTTTGCCCACTTTTTGTTGGGGTTGTTTGATTTTTTCTTATACATTTGTTTAAGTTCTTTGTAGATTCTGGATATTAGCCCTTTGTCAGATGGGTAGATTTAAAAATTTTTCTCCCATTCTATAGGTTGCCTGTTCACTCTGATGGTAGTTTCTTTTGCTGTGCAGAAGCTCTTTAGTTTAATTAGATCCCATTTGTCAATTTTGGCTTTCGTTGCCATTGCTTTTGATGTTTTAGTCACGAAGTCCTTGCCCATGCCTATGGCCTGAATGGTATTGCCTAGGTTTTCCTCTAGGGTTTTTATGGTTTTAGGTCTAACATTTAAGTCTTTAATCCATCTTGAATTAATTTTTGTATAAGGTTTAAGGAAGGGGATCCAGTTTCAGCTTTCTACATATGGCTAGCCAGTTTTCCCAGCACCATTTATTAAATAGGGAATCCTTTCCCCATTTCTTGTTTTTGTCATGTTTGTCAAAGATCAGATGGTTGTAGATGTGTGGTATTATTTCCGAGGGCTCTATTCTGTTCCATTGGTCCATATCTCTGTTTTGGTACCAGTACCATGCTGTTTTGATTACTGTAGCCTTGTAGTATAGTTTGAGGTCAGGAAGTGTGATGCCTCCAGCTTTGTTCTTTTTGCTTAGGATTGTCTTGGCAATGCGGGCTCTTTTTGGTTCCATATGAACTTTAAAGTAGTTTTTTCCAATTCTGTGAAGAAAGTCATTGGTAGCTTGATGGGGATGGCGTTGAATCTATAAATTTCCTTGGGCAGTATGGCCATTTTCTCGATATTGATTCTTGCTATCCACAAGCATGGAATATTCTTCCATTTGTTTGTGTCCTCTTTTATTTCATTGAGCAGTGGTTTGTAGTTCTCCTTGAAGAGGTCCTTCATGTCCCTTGTAAGTTGGATTCCTAGGTATTTATTCTCATTGAAGCAATTGTGAATGGGAGTTCACTCATGATTTGGCTCTCTGTTTGTCTGTTATTGGTGTATAGGAATGCTTGTGATTTTTGCACATTGATTTTGTATCCTGAGACTTTGCTGACGTTGCTTATCAGTTTAAGGAGATTTTGGGCTGAGATGATGGAGTTTTCTAAATATACAATCATGTCATCTGCAAACAGGGACAATTTGACTTCCTCTTTTCCTACTTGAATACCCTTTATTTCTTTCTCTTGCCTGATTGCCCTGGCCAGAACTTCCAACACTGTGTTGAATAGGAGTGGTGAGAGAGGGCATCCCTGTCTTGTGCCAGTTTTCAAATGGAATGCCTCCAGTTTTTGCCCATTCAGTATGATATTGGCTGCGGGTTTGTCATAAATAGCTCTTATTATTTTGAGATACATCCCATCAATACCTAGTTTATTGAGAGTTTTTAGCATGAAGGGCTGTTGAATTTTTTCAAAGGCCTTTTCTGCATCTATTGAGATAATCATGTGGTTTTTGTCTTTGGTTCTGTTTATATGATGGATTACGTTTATTGATTTGCGTATGTTTAACCAGCCTTGCATCCCAGGGGTGAAGCCAAGTTGATCGTGGTGGATAAGCTTTTTGATGTGCTGCTGGATTCAGTTTGTCAGTATTTTATTGAGGATTTTTGCATTGATGTTCATCAGGGATATTGGTATAAAATTCTCTTTTTTTGTTGTGTCTCTGCCAGGCTTTGGTATCAGGATGATGTTGGCCTCATAAAATGAATTAGGGAGGATTCACTCTTGTTCTATTGATTGGAGTAGTTTCAGAAGGAATGGTACCAGCTCCTCTTTATACCGCTGGTAGAATTCTGTTGTGACTCCATCTGGTCCTGGACTTTGGTTGGTAGGCTATTAATTATTGCCTCAATTTCAGAACCTGTTATTTGTCTATTCAAGGATTCAACTTCTTCCCAGTTTAGTCTTGGGAGGGTGTATGTGTCGAGGAATTTATCCATTTCTTCTAGATTTTCTAGTTTATTTGTGTAGAGGTGTTTATAGTATTCTCTGATGGTAGTTTGTATTTCTGTGGGATTGGTGGTGATATCCTCTTTAACATTTTTTATTGCGTCTATCTGATTCTTCTCTCTTTTTTTCTTTATTAGTCTTGCTAGTGGTCTATCTATTTTGTTGATCTTTTCAAAAAACCAGCTCCTGGATTCATTGATTTTTTGAAGGGATTTTTATGTCTCTGTCTCCTTAGTTCTGCTCTGATCTTAGTTATTTCTTGCCTTCTGCTAGCTTTTGAATATGTTTGCTCTTGCTTCTCTAGTTCTTTTATTTGTGATTTTAAGGTGTCGATTTCAGATCTTTCCTGCTTTCTCTTGTGGGTATTTAGTGCTATAAATTTCCCTCTACACACTGCTTTAAATGTGTCCCAGAGATTCTGGTATGTTGTGTCTTTGTTCTTGTTGGTTTCAAAGAACATCTTTATTTCTGCCTTCATTTCATTATGTACCCAGTAGTCATTCAGGAGCAGGTTGTTCAGTTTCCATGTAGTTGAGCGGTTTTGAGTGAGTTTCTTAATCCTGAGTTCTAGTTTGATTGCACTGTGGTCTGAGAGACAGTGTGCTATAATTTCTGTTCTTTTACATTTGCTGAGGAGTGCTTTACTTCCAACTACGTGGTCAATTTTGGAATAAGTATGATGTGGTGCTGAGAAGAATGTGTATTCTGTTGATTTGGGGTGGAGAGTTCTGTAGATGTCTATTAGGTCCGCTTGGTTCAGAGTTGAGTTCAATTCCTGGATATCCTTGTCAACTTTCTGTCTTGTTGATCTGTCTAATGTTGACAGTGGGGTGTTAAAGTCTCCCATTATTATTGTGTGGGAGTCTAAGTCTCTTTGTAGGTCTCTAAGGACTTGCTTTATGAATCTGTGTGCTCCTGTATTGGGTGCATATGTATTTAGGATAGTTAGCTCTTCTTGTTGAATTGATCCCTTTACCATTATGTAATGGCCTTCTTTGTCTCTTTTAATCTTTGTTGGTTTAAAGTCTGTTTTATCAGAGACTAGGATTGCAACCCCTGCTTTTTTTTTTTGTTTTCCATTTGCTTGGTAGATCTTCCTCCATCACTTTATTTTGAGCCTATGTGGGTCTCTGCATGTGAGATGGGTCTCCCAAATACAGCACACTGATGGGTCTTGACTTTTTATCCAGTTTGCCAGTCTGTGTCTTTTAAGTGGAGCATTTAGCCCATTTACATTTAAGGTTAATATTGTTATGTGTGAATTTGATCCTGTCATTATGATGTTAGCTGGTTATTTTGCCCATTAGTTGATGCAGTTTCTTCCCAGTATCAATGGTCTTTACAATCTGGCTTGTTTTTGCAGTGGCTAGTACCGGTTTTTCCTTTCCATGTTTAGTGCTTCCTTCAGGAGCTCTTGTAAGGCAGGCCTGGTGGTGACAAAGTCTCTCAGCATTTGTTGGTCTGTAAAGGATTTTATTTCTCCTTCACTTATGAAGCTTAGTTCAGCTGGATATGAAATTCTGGGTTGAAAATTCTCTTCTTTAAGAATGTTGAATATTGGCCCCCACTCTCTTCTGGCTTGCAGAGTTTCTGCCAAGACATCCGCTGTTAGTCTGTTGGGCTTCCCTTTGTGGGTAACCTGACCTTTCTCTCTGGCTGCCCATAACATTTTTTCCTTTGTTTCAACTTTGATGAATCTGACAATTATGTGTCTTGGAGTTGCTCTTCTCAAGGAGTATCTTTGTGGCATTCTCTGTATTTCCTGAATTTGAATGTTCTGCCAACTCCTTTATGTCAGACTTCTGGCCTCCAAAACTATGAAAGAATAAACTCCTGTTGTTTTAAGCCACCAAGTTTGTGACAATTTGTTACGGCAGCCACAGGAAACTAATACACCAAGATTGGCCAACTCAAATGGATAGTCTTGTTTCATTGTTTCCTTTATAACCCATGTTTTATATATCTATATCTATCTATATATAAACATATATATATATGTGCTATCCATCAAAATGTTTATAATTTTTTTTGTTTTTGGAGACAAGTTCTCCCTCTGTCACCCAGGCTGGAGGGTAGTGGTGAGATCATAGTTCATTGCAGGCTTGAACTCCTGGTCTCAAGCAATCCTCTCACCTCAGCCTCCCCAGTAGCTGGGACTACAGGTGCACACCATCACATCCTGCTACTTTTTTTTTTTTTAAAGATGGGGTCTCACTATGTTGCCCAGGCTGGTCTCAAACTCCTGGCCTTAAGCAATCCCCTCACCCTAGCCTCCCAAACAGCTGGGATTACAGGCATGAGCCACCACAACTGGCCCTTGTTTATGATTTTTAAATATATTCAGTAAATTAAAAATACAAGTCATAAACAGTATGATCCAATTTTGATTTTGAAACAATACATGACAACTATCCATTACCCAGTGAGTGTTTGCACTACATATTTTTCTGAATAAATAATTAGAAGGCTTTAAACCCATATAGTATCAATGGATAGGTCCCAGATCTTATTCTCTTGTCCAGATTTGAGGAAGTCACTTCTGAGATTGAGCCAGTCTTCCTCAATTATGTGGAAATATTCAGTTGTTTTCCCATCAATAGACCCAGACCAGAGATCAAAAACTCAAATATCTATAGTAGCCAGGCAGAAATATTCTTTAAGGATGTTGGTACCATAGAAGACATTCAGGTATCTTAGGTACTGTGGCAAACTGGAAAGAACATTCTTGTCTTGAGTTGGAGCTCCAGCTCATCCCCAACTGCCTGTTGTCACAGGGAAGTCAGGCTGAATGTTACCAAATCTTCTGATTTTTAAAGAGGTACTGGAAATTTCAGTTTTTATATGAAAACTTCTGTTTTTTAAACACAAGCATCTAATTCACATTCTCTTAAAACATTTTTCAGGCCAAATAAAATCCAGAAGCTCAGTCCTTTAAGTTTCCACTTGGGATTTAGACCTTCATAAATAAAGACCATTTCATTCTTCCCAGAGGTTAAGAAATCCAGGTTTCAGAACACAATGCCTAGGCTTCTTTGTTGGAAGAGACATGGAAAAATTCCTCTCATTCTTTGCTGATGAGCCTACAACCTTGAACACAAGACACAGTTAACTCTGTAATCAAGTTATTCTGCCACGTGAAATTTTTCACAAATTGTCCTGCTAAGTAAACACTGTGCCAAATATATGGTGTATCTCAATGCATGGTAGATCATTATCACAATGATTAGTATGAGTTTTCTCCTCCTCCTTTGGATAGTCCAACAGTAGAGATAGGGGTAGGATAATGTGGTACCCAGGAAATGGTAGAAGAGCCTTTATTTCTCAGGCCATCACAGTAGCAGATGCTTATTGACCAAGCCTGCAGGGTCTGTTCAAAGGCAAAGGACCCTATTCTCTCCATTATGCTTAGTGCCAAGCAGAGTCATAGGAAACTTCCACTGTGGCACTAAAGGCAGTGGTTCTTGGTGTTCAGTCTGGTTCCCCAGGACCACTGCTCCCCATTCCCATCAAATGTCCAATCCCTTCTGGGGTACAACATGGGAGCAGCTGTTCCACTTAGCCCCCTTCAGCCTTTGGGGTCCCTCTACTTCTTGGATAATCTAGCACGTTTAGGAACCTAGGGCTTGAGAGGTTGGGGAAGGAAAAGCCTTTTAATGACACCAGAAAACAAAAGCAGGCTCACTTGATTGCTTGAAGTGGGTCAAAGACCAAGAGAGAAAAATTCTACTTATTGTTTTCATGTTTTCTTACTGTAAGAAACCTAAGAGAAATTAATCTCTCAATGGATCCAGCCACCACATTATCATATTCAGGAGAAATGTCCCTAAATTCCAGACTTTTGAGTCTGCCCTAGAGTCAGATCTCTGTCTGCCATTTGAGAAGCTAACAAGCCAAGTAGTGCCCAGGAATGTCCATAATAAACCAAAGGCATAGGCAAGAGAGGCAGAGAGGCATTTGTGTTGGGAAGGACCACAGGAACACTCTCACTACACTGCGGCTCCACAAAGCTTTATTCTCCTGCCCAGGTCTAGAGGAAAGTCTCTTGAGGCCAGGATATTATAGATGACTTCTAGGACTGGAACAATGACTTGCTCCTAGTAGGGCTCAATAAACTTGTTGCTTAATCGTTTCTAAGAAGCTGTGCGAAAGTGAGAAAGCCTCAGTCTCTCTGTTTCAGCTTCTCCAAATGTGACTAACAGCAGCAACCCTGTCTATTGCTGAGAACTGCTGTGCAGATGAAAACAGACAAATATATGTAGTTTTAAATGTAGGCAATGTGCTTGTAAATTTGCATTTTGAAAAGCTAGAAATGCCCTTGAGTAAACTGCCAACTCCTTGCAGAAAAGATAAAGAAAATTTTGTTCCGCCCAGAACAAAAAGATCCTGGCTATTCCATTAAAACATAGCCTTGCAGTGTTATCTAAGAATTTGTTACACACTTTGTAAGCTTTGTTAGCTAGACTGATTAGATAGATAACTGTGATTTTGAACTATGACATCTATTCCAAAAGGTTTTAGAAACAACATGCATTACTATGTAACTAAAGATTCAAAGTAAACAGGTCTTTTAAGGTTTATCTAGGCTATGTAATGACAATACAAACGGGCATTTTGATAACAAAGCAGTATTAGGTCAGCACTTACAATTCAATGTGAGTCTGGAATTTAAAATAATGGGCAGTCTGACATCCTCCATATTGTCTCTGTTCTAGCTCAGGAGACTATACAGTCTACTTTTCAAACTCCAAAGCTTAAGGTGTTAGAACAAATGCCTTCAACTGATTGTTTAGACTTTTCACTCCTAGGCTCACTTAAAAAAAATTAGCAGTAATACTATGTTAATAAATTCAGTCATTCCATGTGTTTTTTTTGTTTGTTTTTTTGGTTTTTTTTGAGATGGAGTTTCGCTCTTGTCGCCCAGGCTGGAGTGCAATGGCATGATCTCGGCTCACCACAACTTCCGCCTCCCGGGTTCAAGCGATTCTCCTGCCTCAGCCTCTCAAGTAGCTGGGATTATAGGCATATGCCACTACACCCGGCTAATTTTGTATTTTTAGTAGAGACGGGGTTTCTCCATGTTGGTCAGGCTGGTCTCGAACTCCCGACCTCAGGTGATCTGCCCACCTCGGCCTCCCAAAGTGTTGGGATTACAGGCATGAGCCACCGTGCCCAGCCCAGTCATTCCATGTTTTGTGAGGGAAAAAAACTTGAAAAAATATTGAAATAATTATTATGTAGTACTTTAAAAATGTTTTCCAGACACTTTTAAGACAATAATAAAATAAAAGAATTATAGAGATTGAGGAAACCTAAAAGAAATAGTCACTGGTCTAATTTTACAAACAAAGAAACCGGCCCCAGAGTTTTGGGTGAACTGACCTGCTCAAACTGGTGTTAGCAAATCATAACCAAATTTGTTGCAACAACAGCAACAACAACAACAAAAGAAAATCTTTTTTTTTTTTTTTTGAGTCTTGCTCTGTCACCCAGGCTGGAGTGCAGTGGTGTGATCTCAGCTTACTGCAACCTCTGCCTCCCAGGCTCAAGCAATTCTCGTGCCTCAGCCTCCTGAGTAACTGGGATTACAGGTGTGAGCCACTATGCCCAGCTAATTTTTGTATTTTTGGTAAAGACTGGGTTTCCCCATGTTGGCCAGGCTGGTCTCGAACTCCTGGCCTCAAGTGATCCACCCGCCTCTGCCTCCTGTCAGATATGAGTTCTAAATTTCTTTACAAAGAATCAATATGTCAGTATGTTCAATTATTTGCCTTCTACTTTTAAACTTAACTTCCTCATAAAGCAACCTTTTTGGATTAACTGCTCCACCCTGACTCATTTCAATCACCTGCACCACCCTGACTCATTCTGATTACCTACTCCACCCAGACAAATTCCGATTACCAGCTCTGTCATAACCATTTTTCCCGCCAAACCACTCACCCCGTCACTCTCTTTAAATTAGCCAATCGGAATTAGTTTAGCCTGTGCAGTCTAACCCTAGCCAATAGGGGAAGAACACAGCAGCAGGGGCCACGTGTGTCAGGGATAAGAACACCTTCCCCTTTCTTGTCCAGTGTGCGCTCACCATTGCTCCATTTGTAAGGGTGCACCCTTCTCTAGAAGTAACTTGCCTTGCTGAGAATTAAAAAGAAAATTTTATATTCGAGTGCTATTTCTTTTGTAGCACCAAAACTTTATTTATAACACTCCCAAAGTGCTGGGATTACAGGGGTGAGCTACCACTCCTGGCCAAAAAAGTCTATTGATAGAGAATTATTTTCTTTTTTCTTTTTTTTTTTTTTTTTTTTTGAGATGGAGTTTTGCTCTTTCGCCCAGGCTGGAGTGCAGTGGTGCGATTTCTGCTCACTGCAACCTCGGCCTCCTGGGTTCAAGGAATTCTCCTACCTCAGCCTCCCGAGTAGCTGGGATTACAGGTGTGAGCCACCGCGCCCGGCCATAAATTGGTGTATTTGTGTATGCACACTTGGATACCAAAATCCACGGATATTGAAGTCCCTAATATAAAATGGCATAGTATTTTCATATAACCCATGCACATCCTCCTGTATACTTTAAATCATCTGTAGATTACTTGTAACATCTAATACAGTGTAAATGCTATGTAAATAGTTGTTATACCATATTGTTTGGGGAATAATGAGAAGAAAGCAAAAAGTCTGTACATGTTGAGTACAGACAACTTTTTTTCTGAATATTTTTGATCTGAGGTTGGTTGAATCCACAGATGCTGAACCCACGGATACGGATGGCTGACCACGGTTGTTACTCTTTCACTTCGAGGCATCAGGTTTTATCCTTTGGATTTAGACAGGACTAGGATATCCATATCAATTTTAATTCCATTACACTTCTGTCAATTCAATTTTTTTCAGTAAACTGTTATTAATACATTTTACATATACTTTTATCAAAACTGGGTGCTGAGGAAAGAATACATTCAAGTCTTGGAAAATACCTGCCACAAAACCTAAAGAGCTAATCCTCTATGTCAATCCAATCAGCCTTATTTCACTTTCATATAAAGCCTGACTTTTTCTTTTTTTTCTCAAAAATTAATCAGTGTGCAATAACTTTGTTTTTCAATTCAAATTAATGTATTAATTCATATCTCAAAAACATTGTTAAAAACAACTGAGAAATATCTTCAGGGAAGTACCACATAATATTACTAAAAAAGATTAAATCAATAACATGATAATTAATATATCATTTTATAACATGTTATTCAAACGTGCTAAGCAAGATAATAAATCAATTTGCTGTTTCAACAATTTTGAACTCGAATAAGAAAATCACTTGAATTTGCTTTTTGTCTAACATCATTTCCATAGTCAAAAATAAATATAAAATAGGCTGGGCACAGTGGGTCAGCCTGTAATCCCAGCACTTTGGGAGGCCGAGGTGGGTGGAACACCTGTCAGGAGTTCAAGACCAGCCTGGCTAATGTGGCAAAATGCCGTCTCTACTAAAAATACAAAAGTTAGCCAGGTGTGGTGGTACATGCCTGTAATGCCAGCTACTCGGGAGGCTGAGGCAGGAGAATCGCTTGAACCTAGGAGGTGGTGGTTGCAGTGAGCCAAAATTGCACCACTGCCCTCTACCCTCGGTGACAGAGGGAGATTCCATCTCAAAAATAAATAAAATACATATAAAATAAATGCAAGTAATAATTCATTAGCCAAAAAAAGTAAGAAATGTGCATTAAAATGATCTATAACATAACCACATTTATTTAAGAATGTATTCCAATATCAAATGGCAAATTTCAACAAAGCAAAAACTTTTTCCCACCAACGTGATACTTTGTAAAAATGTAATAGAATGTGTGACTAAACTTTTAGGTTATTTGTGAAGTTAGAGGTATCATAAAAGGCATAGTATTCTTCTGAAAAATTTAGTTTGATCAAACTCTGGTGTTCATTTGTTGAGAAAGAATAAGAACCAAGAATACAAATCAAACTCCATTAAGAAAATAAAAAGACAAGCCACAGACTGGGAGAAAATATTTGCATATCTGATAAAGGATGGGCAAAAGACATGAAAAGATCTCACTTCACCAAAAAAGATATACAGACGGAAAATAAGCATACGAAAAGAAGTTCAACATCATATGTCATTAGGGAATTACAAATTAAAACAAAAAATTAGAAACTACTACACACCTATTTAAATAGCTAAAATGGAAAACACTGACAATACAAAATGCTGATGAGGATGTGGAGCAACAGAAACTTCAGTTCATTGCTGGTAGGAATGCAAATGATACAGCCAGTGTGAAAGTCGGTTTGGCAGTATTTTACAAAACTAAACATACTCTTAATTATGCAGCAATGGTTTTGCTCCTTGGTATCACCCAAACTTATGACTAACCCAAAACCTGCATATGAATGTTTAGTTAATAAATAACATATTTATGCCAATAACATATAGCATATTATTATTTAGTTAATAATAAACATAGCAGCTTCATTCTAATTTCTAAAACTTGAACATGACAATGATTTCCTTCAATATGTGAATGGACAGGCTGTAGTACATCCATACAATGGAATATTATTCAGCACTAACATGAAATGAGTTATCAAGCCACGAAAAGACATAGAGGAACCTTAAATGCATATTACTAAGTGAAAGAAGCCAACCCCAAAAGGCTACATACTATATGATTCCATCTATATGACATTCTGGAAAAGGCAAAACTATGGAGACAGTAAAAGGTCAGTTGTTCCTGGAGTTGTGGGGGAGAGATGGATGAACAGGTGGAGCACAGGAGCATTTCAGAGCAGTAAAACTCTTCTGTCCGATACTGTTGTGGTGGGTATATGTCATTAGACATTTGTCCAAACCCATAGAATGTACCACACAAAGAATTAACCCTAATGTAAACTGTGGACTTTAGTTAATAATAATGAATCAATATTGGCTCATCAATCATAACAAATGTAACATACTAATGCAAGATATTAATCATCAGGGAAATGTTGGGAGGGGGAGAAACAAGAAGAGATTTGGGAACTCTGTACTTTTCACTCATTTGTTCTGTAAACCTAAAACTGCTCTAAAAAACAGTCTGTTAATTTAAAAAATATCAAACTCTGTAATTTTGTTTAAATATATGATCAAAATTTCCCTATGAATTAATGAAAGAAAAGTGTATGCATTGCTAAAAAAATCCAGAAGCTAGCATTTTATTTCTTATTAATCGAAAGAAGGAAATATGCAAAATTTAATAAATAAAAATGAGAATTAGGCCAAAGAGGGAGAAGGCTAGAAGCTTGAGGCCAGGAGGTTGAGGCCATGGTGAGCTAGGATTATGCCACTGCACTCCAGCCTGGGTGATGGAGCAAGACCCTGTTTCTAAAAAAAAATTGCTTCATTCAAAAAATATTTTTAAAGATGAGAATTGACCATATTTGAAATAAATATTTCATGATGATTTGATAATCAATTCTAACTATATTCTTTATGTAATAATATACAGCAAGTCCAAAATAAATAAAAAATTTATCCATGACTTATTCCTGAAAAATTGGGTAGTCATGAAAAACATTTAAAATAGTCAGAATCATTCACCTATTCTGCTTTGGGTGTTTATAGTTGCTTCCCTTTCCTTTTTAAAATTTTTTTATTTTTAATTTTTGTGGGTACGTAGTAGATGTATATGTTTATGGGTTCCTTTCTAATCAATGATACATTTTAGGAATAAGTAATTGAAGAGGTAAAAAATAATCAATATTTACATATACTTAAATATATTGACAGTCACTCCTTCATACCAATATCCTTTTTTTTTTGTTTTTTTTTTTTTAGGCAGTCTTGCTCTGTTGCACAGGCTGGAGTGCAATGGTGCAGTCTCACCTTACTGCAACCCCTGCCTCCCAGGTTCAAGCCATTCTCCTGCCCTCAGCCTCCCAAGTAGCTGGGGTTATAGGCACACGCCACAATGCCCAGCTAGTTTTTGTATTTTTAGTAGAGACGGGGTTTCACCATGTTGGCCAGGCTGGTCTCGAACTCCTGACCTCAGGTGATCCACCTGCCTCGGCCTCCCAAAGTGCCGGAGGCATGAGCCACCATGCCTGGCCCAATATCCTCTTTTTTTACTCACCAGGTGATGCATTCTTTAACAGCTGCCTTATTTAGAGGAACCACTAGGACAGGGCCACTCAGATTAAGGAAGAAAGATGTTAAACAACAATTATCATTACTCCTACCATCACACTCAACCAAATATCTCAATACCAAAATGGCCATTTCTAATGCTGGTTTTACTCTCAGAAATAAGGTTTTCTAAATGAGAGTTTCTAAGCCTTATCTGGGAACCACATCATCGTAGGAACCTTCTCTTTGGTGTCCTAGGAGTTCTCATACCCAAGGCCAGCTTGATTTGGGATGGTGATGGGTCTTTCTTTGTAAAGTGAGAAAAGGCCTATGGTAAGCACAAGCACGTTATCAGCAAGGGTTTTGTTTTGTTTTGTTTTGTTTTTTAAGAGAAAATATTAAAAGAAAGTTGAATGTCTGACATGGAATCTCTCAAAACTATCCAGGCACGCTTACGCAAAACTAATTTCTCTCCTGTTTTCCCTCTACTGTTCTCCTTCCACAGCTAAGGGGGAGAGGGGAGTCCTGAATCTGATTTTTTAAAAAGTGCCTCCAGGCAAGTCTGATGATTAACCATCCAGTTTGGAAACCACCCAACAATGTACATTCATTGGGGCTTGATGAGGTCACTCTCCACCATTCATCACATTACTTATGGATTAGGCTGGCCTGCCAGAAGGAAAATACAGCATATTACAAAATTTCATCGAAACTATCTAAATCACTCTCTTGGGCTAAAATATCTGCAAGGAAATCCAAACACTCTTCTGTATTACTGAAGTCCTTTGTTTCCAAGTAACACATCAATTTAACATAAATAAAAAGAAGAATTTATTTTAAGGACAATAAACATCTAAAGGAACGCAACACCAAAACTGCTGCCTGGTCTGAGGAGGGACTGCAACCAGGCATTTCTTTACCTGTCTTGCTTGTTTTCTTCTCCTTGTGTGCTCCATTCTTTTTTCTTGAAGACAGAGGCTGCTCCGTTCCTAAGGCAGATGGTAATGCCACTGTCCATGAGTTGTAACATTTCCTCCACTGAAGAGTCTAGCTCAGAGAGATCTCTCCATCCTTTTTCCAAATTCCTGAAGAAGGGACATTGAATGGCCTATTTGGAATAAAAGATTCACTCCTTAGTTCAGTCAACTGAAGCCAGAGGGGCAGTCACATACAAATAGGGTTGCCGGGGATGACTTCAGCATGTTGGGAACAGGGAGGGGAGAGCAAAGGAAGCAATTAAGGGAGTCATCCTGAGAAGAGCAGGAGTTCTCCCAAGGTGTACTACTACTACATCCTGTAAGCTCCGGACAGCCAATGTGGACAAGGAAATCTTCCAAGGTAGCACTTATTAGCTACTGTAAGGAATGACGTCACTGAGCCCTTACCACCAAGACTATTTTGCTGTAACTTCTAGTTTTCAGTAATGCCATTGATAAGTTTTGTGCCCATAGGATTCTCATTCCTATATATGTGATCTATTTTTTCCCCTCTCTGAAAGTCTTCAGGATATTTCTTTATCCGTGTTGCTCTAAAACTTCACGATGATATTCTAAGATGTGAGTCTATTTTTATTTATTGCTCTGGGCACTTACTCAGGGAGCCCCCTTTTTAATCTTCATTTTAATTTTTTTAAATAAAAAATCCCCATTTGGAGGTAATCTCAGACTTTTTACAAAATTGTAAATATGGTATAAAGAATTCCCAGATTCCCCAAATGTAACTTGGTACATAAGCATAATTTATCAAGACTAAGGAATTAACAATACAATAGCTTATCCTACAGACCTTATTTAAATTTTGTCAACTGTCCTATTAATTTTCTTTTCCTGGTTCAGGATTGCAGTGGACTGAATGCTTATGTCCCCTTAAAATCAATATGTTGAAATGCGAGCCCCCAAGATGACAGCATTAGGAGCTAGGGCTTTTGGGAAATAATCAGGTCATTATACGATTTAATAACACCTCTCCTGTATAGAATGTATCCCAGTTGTAACTTCAGATTTCTCCTTGTGATTTGATTAATTTGTCTCCCCCATTAGAATATAAGTTTCATGATGGGAGTAATCATGTCAGGTTGCTTTGGTCACCATTATATTCCCAGTACCTAAAATAGTGTTTAGCACATATTATGTCCTCAATGAATATTTATTAAACAAATGAATAAATTCCTTTAAAACATTTTATGATGCTGGGAACCATTGTTAAGAGAATTGTTTTTGCCTAAAAACTCAAAGAACACTGCAATACCATCTTCCAGGTTCCCCGTGTGGTTGGGCATGGTGTTGTAAAACAGATGAAATAAATCTCAAACAAATGAACTACCCTGTTAACAATGAGGAATGTGTTAGCCAAATCACCTATAACTCATTGTAACTGGCCACATTATTATGGAGAATGGCCTTAGGGACTTGAACAAACTTCTCATAACATACCAGAGTCTGGTCTTACCAGGAGTATAAAATCAATGGGTAATTAACTGAACCAAGACCAGGCCTGCCTCCTTGCCCCAGCACAGATGTGCACTGATTTCAAGAGGGCACAATTTATGTTTCATGGTGAGTAAAGGAGGCTTCAGACCAAGGACTTGCCAATGACTAGCCATATGGAAGCCAAACTTTACCCTCTCTTTTAAAAGTGCAAAGATGGTGTCAAATTCAACATTTGTGGCATTTCTTAGAGTTTTATGATTTAGGTTTTTGTTTTTGTTTTGTTTTGTGTTTTGTTTTGTTTGAGACGGAGTTTCATTCTTGTTGCCCAGGCTGGAGTGCAATGGCGCGATCTCGGCTCACAGCAACCTCCGCCTCCCAGGTTCAAGCGATTCTCCCGCTTCAGCCTCCCAAGTAGCTGGGATTACAGGCATGCGCCACCAGGCCGGCTAATTTTTTGTATTTTTAGTGGAGACGGGGTTTCTCCGTGTTGGTCAGGCTGGTCTCAAACTCCCAATCTCAGGTGATCTGCCCGCCTCGGCCTCCCAAAGTGCTGGGATTACAGGCGTGAGCCACCGCAGCAGGCTGATTTCGGTTTTTATTTAATAGAAAAGCATTGCATTTATTTGTAACAGCCAAAAATTGGAAACATTTCAAATGTCCTTCAGTTGGGTGAATGGTTAGACTGTGGAACACCTATATCATGGAATACAACTCAGCAGTAAAAAGGAACACGTTATTGATATGCACAACTCCTCCAATGGATCTCAAGGGAATTATGCTAAGTGGGAAAAAAGCCAATATCAAATACATATTGTATGATTCCACTTATATAACATTCTTAAAATGACCAGATGATAGACATAGAGAACAGATTAGTGATTTCCAGAGGTTGGGAGTGAGAAGAGGGCGAAAGGCATGACTATAAGGTAGCAGTATAATGAATCTTTATGGTAGAACAGTCCTGTATCTTGATTGTGGTGGTGGTTACCCATGTCTACACTAGATAAAATTGCACAGAACTATGTACACATACACACACACACACAACTACATCTAAAATTGGTGAAATCTGAATAAGATCTGTCAATTGTACCAATGTCAACTTCCTAATTCTGATCCTGTACTAGAGTTGGGTAAGATTTTGGCATTGGTGGAATCTGGGTGAAGTATACACGAAACCTCCACATGACAGGTTGAGCAATCCTAATCTGAAAACCTGAAATCTGAAATGCTCAAAATCTGAAATTTATTAAAACAAATGTTCAATGCAATGTATTTGCAAGAGCAAAACAATTTAAGCAATATAAATGCTCATCAGTAAGGGATGAGTTAGGCCAATTATTTATATGCAATATTAGGATAATATGGAATGAAATGAGGGCATACCCATGCTAAGCTGTTACAAGTGGTTGCCCTGGGAGTAAAGAAATACACATTAACTTTTTCTTTAGATATTTCAACATCGTTATACTACTTTTATAATGTAAAAACTAAAAATATTGTGCCCAGAAAAAGAGAGAAACAGTCATTTCTCATTATCCATAGGAGATTGGTTCCAGGACACCCTAAAATCCACAAATGCTTAAGTCCTTATACATAATGGTGGAGTACTTGCATATAACCTACACACATCCTCCTGAATACTTAAAATCATCTTTTGGGCCAGGCACGGTGGCTCATGTCTGTAATTCCAGCACTTTGGGAGGCAGAGGTGGGTGGATTACCTGAGGTCAGCAGTTTGAGACCAGCCTGGCCAACATGGTGAAACCCCATCTCTACTAAAAATACAAAAATTAGCTGGGTATGGTGGTGCGCGCCTGTAATCCCAGCTACTTGGGAGCCTGAGGCAGGAGAATCGCTTGAACCAGGAGGCGGAGTTTGCAGTGAGCCAAGATCATACCATTGCACTCCAGCCTGGGCAACAGAGCGAGACTCCACCTCAAAAAAAGAAAAAAAGAAATCATCATTTGGTTACTTATAATACCTAATACAATGCAAATGTCACGTAATAGTTGTTATGGTGTCTTTTTTAGGGAATAATGACCAAAATAAGTCTGTCCGTGTTCAGTACAGAAACAACCATCCATTTTCCCCCCGAATCAAAATCTGAAATTTTCTGAGTGCTGAAATGATGCTCAAAGAAAATACTCATTGAATCATTTTGGAGTTCAGATTTTTTGATTAGGGATGTTCAACTGGTAAGTATAATGCAAATATTCCAAAATCTGAAAAAATCCGAAAAAATCCAAAATCCAAAACACTTCTGGTCCTAAGCATTTTGGATAATTAATACTCAACCTGTATTTTTGCAACTTTCTGTGAATCTATAATGGCTTCAAAATAAAAACTTATTTTATGCAATATAAGTTATTTCTAGTAAAACAACATTCAGCATATATGTTTGCCTTCATTTACTTCTGAAATCCCACTAAATGGAGTAAAGAAAAGATTATAAACATAAAAGTATACAACCACACACCCCCACCCCAGTATGAGACCATAGAAATGGAGATGACTGTAAAAATATAGAAACTGGAAAATAGATGTACATGAGATAACTATTTATAGTAGGTTTCTGTGAAACCGTAGTAGTAGAGATGACCCCAGAGCAAGGAGCAGTCAGCAGGGATGACTCCATTCTGGACAAGGCCACTAAGAAGACCTGTTATGTAGGCCTGGACAAAGTACCACAAAGCCAAGCAGCTATGGAGAACACATGGCTCGAGGCATTCGCTGGCCTTTCTGTCTCTGAAGCAGTTGCTTAGCAATGTGACAAGATGCCAGACAGTTGGAGACCCAAGTAAGTGTTCACATGCTGGGGGGAAGCAGAGGGATGGCTGAATATGGGGCTAGTGGTGGATCTAAAGTCTGAACTATTGGGGGCCAGACACAGTGGCTGACACCTGTAATCCCAGCATTTTGGGAGGCTAAGGTGAGTGAATCACTTGAGGTCAGGAGATCGAGAACAGCCTGGCCAACATGGTGAAACCCTATCTCTACTAAAAATACAAAAATTATCTGAGCATGGTGGTGCGTGTCTGTAGTCCCAGCTACTCAGGAGGCTGAGGCAGGAGAATCGCTTGAACCTGGGAGGCGGAGGATGCAGTGAGCCGAGATTGCACCACTGCCCTCCAGCCTGGGCGACAGAGTGAGACTCTGTCTCAAAAATAAAAAATTTTAAAATAAATAAATAAAGTCAGAGCTATTGGGAAAAATCAAATAGCACAGGGGCTGAGGAAGAGTGGTCTCAGTGCCTCCGGTGTCTGAGGCTTGCTCTGTGGACTAGAAGGGAGTAGACAAACCTGATTTATAGGGCCAAGGTTGGGCTGGACACCCCCAGTCTAAATCAACAGTTTTCAAACTTTGTAAAGCAGTGGAACATTTTCTCCAAAGTAAATCTTAAATAAAAGTGTAAACCACCAAAACAAAGTGGGGTTGCTCTGGTAGCAACTGCATCCTTGATTTCCAGGCCTCCTGAGGGTCCCACATCCAGATGTTGAAGCAAAAAGGAATTCAAAAATGCAGTAATTTTCTTTATTGAGAAGTTAGGTTAGAAACCCAATTTTCAAGTATGCAAATTAACTAGAATGTCTCCAGTCTGTGTTAGATAGAACCTGAAAACGGAAATTTTGAACTAGCACACCAGTCACCATTTCCAGTCTGCTCTCTCAGCAGGCCCCATGGCCCCTGTAATTTAGCTAGTTAAGGCTTTTCCTCTGGCCAAACAGCTAAACTTGAGCCAGGTGGACTTAAACACATGAACCAATTCAGTTTACTGTCTAAAAATGAAAGAGAAAAGTCTGCCAGGATCTTCTCCTCGTCCCCACAAAGTTCCCAAGAGCAGAATTCAGCCCTCCTCCCCTCCCACTACAAACACAGGAGAGAGGCCAGCCCAATATAACTTAAAACAGAGCGACCCTGCAGCCCTCTCAGACAAATTACATCAAAACAAGTCAAAGCAAATGCAACTGTCCTTACCAGTTTTGTAAAGGAATTGCCTGGGAACCATTCCTTTTCAGACCTAATTAAAAAGTCAGTTTTGAATTACAGAACAAGATGGTATGAGAGCCAGTGTTCAACAGGCAGAACAAACAAACATGCAAAGATAAAATGCATGGGCTTTTACAGAGAGCTGCTGCCAGCGACAGCAGAAATGGCTCTCTTTCAGCCAAGTCTAGGGTGCCCTGGAAAACTTCATACCTCTCCAGGGAGACAGTTCCCAGAAACCTCCCTCCCCTGCAAAGCACTCCTATAACAAATAAATAAACTACATTTCCCAAAGTTCTCTTTGCTCAGGCCTGGGGCTATATTTTAAACCACTCTGTAATTGTCCCCCACCAGAAAAGCAGAAATGTTTAAATGTGACAACCTTTTGACATACAGAGTTGACTCAGCTCATTTCAAATTTCATCTTATCTCCAGTGTCCTTGGGCATGTTTTAAAAGATAAAAATACCAAATGTGACCAAGATCGTCAAGGTATAATGGAACAAGGGTCCAATGTTTTTTTACCCTCAACGAATGCATTATACTTCATTTAGATCAGCGGTCTCAAATATTAGCATGCGTCAGAATCACCTGAATTCAGGGCTTGTTAAAATACAGATTGCTGAACCGTACCTCCACAATCTCAGATTCAGCAGATTTGGAGGGGGTCCGAAGAATATGCGTTTCTAGCAAGTTCCACCGGTTCTGGATTACACTTTAAGAACTGCTCTCAGAGATTATCTACATGGTCAATTCCAAATCTATCAAGAAAGAAGGCACACAGTTACTGATTTCTGCAAGCTTTGAACTAGCAGTATCTTTAAGGAGAAGACCCCAGCCATCTCTAGCAGTGTGGGGAAGAGTAAAAGGCAAAGCCTCTAGTTCCGGAAGATCCAGAAACTGGCACTGCCTGGTCCAGCATTTTCATTTTCCCACTGAGGAAATGTAGGCTTAGAGGGAATCAATTTGTGCAGTCTCCCAGTGAGTCCGTGGTTGTGCTGGGACAAAGTACCCAGTTGTCCTGGCTTCCACTCCAGTGCTCTGGCCCTTGCTGGAGTAAAATGGGACACCTGGGCTTGGCAAGGAACAAGGACGCCAACATGATTCTGATTCATCCCAATTTCTCCACAGCCTTCTGCCTTTTCTCTGCATTGGTAAAAGTATAATCCCCAACCCAGGAATTTTACTCTCGCTTTCGTTCATGTCTTCGTAGCCTAAGACAGGCAGTCAAAATGGGACAGCTGACAGCCACAACAGCCTTTAATTACAATATCTGGAGGACACATTAATGAATGTAGACCCATTTATTTACTTTTTTATGTACCTTGTCTGTGCGACAGCAAGCAACTAGAATCTCAGGAAACACCAACCAGACCCAGGCATCAATCTGCTACTCTGTTATTAGAAGGAAATTAGCCTTTAAGAAAAATTGTCTAGGCTTACCAATCACTCCCACCAGCCACCAGGGGTCACATAAATAGAAGTTTTCACTGGACCTTTCTAATTCACAAACCTACCCTCTTCCACCACAGGCCTTGGTAGAACACATAATTCAGCAGCAAGAATCCCTTGAAGAAGAAAAGAAAACACCTATAAAACTATATTTTTTTCTAATTCCAGAGACATGAAACCCTTTAGGAGTTTAGGCCAGGGTTCATGACAATCCATTATCTGAAAGCACAGATGTACAGATAAACCATTATTTTTGTAAAGATACATCTTCTAAAACACCAGTCAGCTTGGCATTGTGTTTGTCCTTGAATTGAAGAACGATATCATTTTATCGTCCTAGCCTTGAGCATGGTTATCAATGCCAGTAACTAAGAGGCCTAATTTGAAAGATGGTCATGATGTCCGACTTACAAATGCCTTCTACTCAGTTAACAGGGACTGCTGAAAGCAAATGGCTTATACATTGTTGCACAAGTGGAAAATCTGGCCTCCTAACAGTTGTTAAATGTGCCAGCTAAGAGCCTCTGAAGGTCAGTCTACCAGGGCTGGGGCAGTGACCACAGCCACGTGCTGCGCCTTTTGCAGCTCAGCACCGCATGGTGCAGCTGTTGTATTGGCCAAAGAAAGTGCTGGCAGCCCCGGGAGAAACAGAGACTTAATTCACTTGCAGGAACTTTCCTGAAAGAGTCTTTTAAAAAGCATTTAAGGCAGACCAGGTGCACTTATTTTCTTTTTAAATCTCATTGCTTTGTCAAGTATTCTCGTTTATGGCTCCAACACTCTTTATGTGCAACATTAACCATCCTTTGTTACATTATAAATTATAACGAGAACTTTTATAAAACATATTTAATGATAATTCATGATTTCTAGGTAGATTCCTTTAGATGTATAACATTTAAATATCCATGGTATAGCACTCTTGATATGTACATAGCAGGGATTGCAATTTAGGTTGCCTGGGGTTTTGTTAAAAGTTTTGTAAGTTGTGCAGACTTTATCTTTAAATAAAACTGTGTGTGTGTGTGTGTGTGAGAGAGAGAGAGAGAGAGAGAGATACACAGTGCTTAGATATAAACAGTAGTAAAAGAAAGCTGATTCAATTCAGTATGTTACACTGTTAAGACTTCCAGCTGTCAAGTGCTTCCACTATAAACAGGAGGCGGGAAGAATGGGATCTAGAGGGAATAGAGATTGCATAAAAGTGAAACTTCATGATGTGAGGGCCGGGGGTTGGACTCAAGTCATCATCTATTTAGGTGAAAACTGCCAATACCCTGAATAATTCTAGGAAATACTCTGGTCCTTCACTAGACTCTGAAAGTACTCAGGCCACAAACTCTCCCAGTCCTAGCATGACAAAAGACCTCCCTATGCCAATAAGTAAAAATGAGTGCCAGAGCCATCCTCAAAGGTAAATATCTGGGGTAGGCAGCTGTTTGCATAATGTGATTTTAAGTGTGACAAGCACGTACTCCACCCAAAAAAAAATCTATGCTATAGACCCAGGTCACGGATGCCTGCAATTCTACCATTAGGGAGTATTTCCATCCCAGTCAGAGACTTAGGAATCATCCTTGACTCCTCTCTCTCCTTCTCTGACCCCATTCAATCAATCATGAATTCCTCCTTCCTAGCTTGACTCTGTCCCTTTATCTTCATTCCCTCTGACAGTACATAGTTCAGGTCACCATCGACTCCTGCCAGGATGACTGTGGTTACCTCCTGACCTGTCTGTGTGCCTCCAATTTGTTCTCCACACTGCAACTGCAACAAATGTGATCTTTCTAAGATGCAGATCTGATTATGACAGTCCCCAGATTAAAACCATTAGCTGGGTCCTCAAGGCCCTCAGAATGAAGTCCAGATTCGTTAATGGGGTTTACAAGCCCTTATGCTCTGGCCATGGCTGACCACTGTGGGCTCTCCTATGCCACTGCCTCCCCGTCAGTGCACTCACCTTTCCTTAGTCCCTTACTTTTGCTTCCAGGCCTTTGTACACATTGTCCCCTTTGCTTGGTACACTCTCCCCGTTTCCTACCTTTGTTCCCAAAGACTGCATGACCCTAAATTTATCCCTACTTTAGCACTTTCTTACTATGTAAGCTTTATCCATCTGACTCTAATTCTTTCTGAATTAGGACTATGTATTTCACAAATGCCAGAACTCTTACTTATTCACTACTTTATTTCCAGGACCTAGCAAATACTTGTCTCATAGCAGTCACTCAATAAATATTTGTTGACTAAATGAACAAGTGAATCAGTAAATGTCTTATCTTTTATTAACAACGTTAGCAATTCACACTTCAGTGTGATTTTTCTTACTACAGCTCTCTAAGAATATATTTGAGACGGTTAATGAAATAAAGGCAGAATTGGCTCTGGAAAACCAGGGGACAGTATAAAGGCAATGGTTAGCCAAGAAAGAAAGGCACTGAGAAGGAAGGTAAGAACAGGTTCTATTGGGATTGCTTAGATAGGGGTCCTTTCTAGATAAAAAGAAAATAGCGGCTGGGCACGGTGGCTCATGCCTGTAATCTCAGCTCTTTGGGAGGCCAAGGTTGGGTGGATCACTTGAGGTCAGGAGTTCGAGACCAGCCTGGCCAAAATGATGAAACCCTATCCCTACTAAAAATACAAAAATTAACCAGGCATGGTGGTGCATGCCTGTAGTCCCAGCTACTCAGGAGGCTGAGGCAGAAGAAGTGCCTGAACCGAGGAGGTGGAGGTTGCAGTGAGGCAAGATTGCACCACTGCACTTCAGCCTGGGTGACAGAGCAAGACTTGCGAAGAAAGAGAAAGAAAGAAAGAAGGAAGGAAGGAAGGAAAGAAAGAAAGAAAGAAAGAAAGAAAGAAAGAAAGAAAGAAAGAAAGAAAGAAAGAAAGAAAGAGAAAGAAAGAAAGAAAGAAAGAAAGAAAGAAAGAAAGAAAGAAAGAAAGAAAAAGAAAGAGAAAGAGAAAGAGAGAGGGAGGGAGGAAAGAAAGGAAAGAAAGAAGGAAAGGAAAGGAAAGGAAAGAGGAAGGAAAAAGAACTTAAAAAAAAAAGCAACCAAAGCTTGAGTTCTGTTCCTGATTTCATCCCCAAGGTTACCACCAAGAAAGGTGGTTTTCCTCTGCATGGGTTGTACAGTGAAGTACCCGCACTTGGCCTGTGGCTCCACCCACAGCTGGCTCAATGACTGTGGCCTGTGCCATGGAGAAGCTGCAAGAACAAGGCAGAGTGGACTGGACAGTCTGTGTCACCCTGGCCAATTTGACCAAACTTATCTAGTCACAGATGGTTATGAATAATTTTTTGCTTATCACAGCCTTTCGGAAAAGTATTAAAGTTTCAGCAGCCCATGCTTCATGTATTTTCCTCCCCAAGTATACCCTTTTACCTATAATCAGTATAGCGGAAGGATAAGATGTAAAATGTGTTCACTGGTTTATTAGTTTGTTATACTACTGACCTCAGTCAATCACCCGGTGATGTTTCTGGGCAATACAAAAATATCTTCTTCCTTCTATCCCGTGATAGGGGGTATTTTCTAAGCCTCAGACATGAGCCCCCACTTTTTTTCCTCTCTCTTCTTTCCTTGGTGAACCAATTCTACATACTGATGATGCCTAAATCTAATACATCCACCTTGACCTCATAAACAGAATCCACCCCCACATATTTCATTGTCTGTAGGACATTTTCCTTTGGACAGCTCATCAATCAATTCAACAAGCCCAAACTACCTTGTTATCTTACCTTCCTCCAAAAAAATATCTGAGCCACAGCTGCAACATCCTAACTTTTTCCAGTACATCATTAATCTCCTAGTCACATGTCAGAAAACTCACTCCTTCCACTAGAACATAAACTGTCACCTCATCAATGAGGGCCACCTTGACTACTCCATTTAAAATTTCATCTCTATGGCCCCAGCATTCTTGATTCCCCCTTAAAGTGCTCTGTTTGTTCCCAGCATTTATTGTTTTCTAGTATGCTACATAATTTACCTATCTACTTATTATTTCTCATTCTGTCCCCAAATCTTACTAGAATGTAAGCACCACTGAAGACAGAGACTTCTGTTCACAGATATCATCCCTGTGCTTATAACAGTGCCCGACATACAGTAAGTGCTCAATAAATATTTGTTCAATTAATTCATTCACTCTACAAGTATATACTTAATATAACAAATAATGTAACTTAAAATACCTTACTCCTCTAATTGGAATTTACACTCTGTGAAGTAGAGGTCTTTGACTTCTTTGTTCACTGCTGTGTCCCCAGAATCTAGAATGGCACCAGGTAGCAAAGGTGTTCAATAAAAATCTGTTGAATAAATGAACGAATGGATAGGAACTCATTGAGTACCTTTTAGTACCAAGTACTAAGTGAGGTGCTTGGGGATTCTAGATATTTTAAATAACTAACTATGATGCAATGGGATAAATATAAATAATAGAAGTAGGAACAAAATGGCATGGGAACTCAGGAGCAATGGCACTGAAGATCATTCTTCACGCCTGAGTCTGAAAGAAGACACAGATGTTTATCTGCTCCCTGTGCCAGGTAAAGGGCCACAAAGGGATTAAAGTGTATGGTATGGCGCAATGTTTCTCAACTGTTATTTCCATATGAGTTACCTGGGGACTCTTGTTAAAACAGACTCTGGTTTGATGGGCCTGAGGTAAGCCCTAAGATTTCACATCTCTAACAAGGTGTTGTTGAGGCTGCTGGTCCTCAAACCACACACTGACTGACAAATGTACACAACTCGGCACCCATCCCCCTTATTTCTTTTTACTAGACTAAAATTTTGTCTATGTATCTAACACTCCCTCCTCCAGTATGGAGAGGAAGTGGTTCTAGTCCCAGCTCCAGGGTTAGACTGGATTTGAGCTTGGCCAATCAGGACAAGGCATTCTTTTGACTGATTACTGGGTGAGAATGGGAATGGGAAGTAAGGATGCATGATCTGTTTAGGGGAAAGGTTTTCCTTTCTATGCTGCTGTCCTTAAACAAAGAAGCGTATGGCTTGATGGCTACAGGCAGCCATCCTCCAACATGAGAAGCATGAGCCTCAAGATGAACCGAATGCCAAGGGTGCTGAGTGGAGAGGGGGAGAGAACCTGGGTCCTTGATGATCACTTAGCTGCTGATTGTGTTGATCCTGGAATCTACTCTACCTCTGATCTTTCAGGTATGTGAAATGATAAATATCCTTATTGTTCAAGCCAATTTGAGGTCAAGGCTTCTACTTGCAGCAGAAATTATCCTAATGGTTACATCTGATTTTTGTTTATTTGTTTAGGGAACAAATATTTATTGAATACTACTATGTCCCAGGCACCAGAAAAATAAGACAGGCATAATTCTCTACCCTCGTAAAATTTATAGCCTAGATGATAAATTAATTTGATAGAGTTCAAATTTCTGAGATGAGCACGATTTCATTTTAAATTATTTATATTCTTGGATGGGGACTACTTCTCCCTCCCTAGCCCTGCCCCTGAAATAGTTCTTTATTAGTCATCTCTGCCCTAGTACAACTGCCTTCATCCTAAAACAGAGCTTTGTCTCCTTACGCTTGAAAATTGCAACAGTACCCTAACACCCCTCTCAGATCCAATCTACAAACTAGTACCCTATTAATCTTCCTAAAGCATCAAATTCACGAGAGAAAATTCTCCAGAGACCCTCCATTGCTTAAAGCAGTGATTTTCAAGCTTGCTTTATGAAAGCAAAAAACTGTTTCTTCAAAAGCAAAAAAGGTTATTATACAAAGTCACAATGTATTAAATAGACAAACTAGTGCTGTGCTGTAGAAGTGAGGGACACCCAGAATCTCATCCCCTCCCCAACCCCATTCCTACTTCACTTCCCAACACACCCACTTCCTGAGGAGTGGTAGAGTTCAACTGGTGCCTTCACTTCACATAGTTTCACAAACAGTAGCCTTGTCATAGGGTAAAATTAAAAATTTCCACTTGTCATTCTATTACCTGCCTCTGTTATCTGCCCACATTCTTGATTTGACCAAGTCCAGCCTCCCCACTACCCTTCAAACATACACACTCAAGTCTTTGCCTAGGCTATTACTTGCATCAGAAATGTCTGGGCCAGGTGCAATGGCTCATGCCTGTAATCCCAGCACTTTGGGAGGCAGAGGCTGGTGGATCACTTGAGGTCAGGAGTTTGAGACCAGCCTGGGCAACATAGTGAAACCCCATCTCTACAAAAAATACAAAAATTAGCTGGGTGTGGTCGCTCATGCCTGTAATCCTAGCTACTCGGGAGGCTGAGGTGGGAGGATAGCTTGAGCCCAATAGGTGGAGGCTGCAGTGACCTCTGATAGTGTCACTGCTCTTCAGCATGGGCGACAGAGACCCTGTCTCAAAAATAAAAAAATAATAACAATAAAAAAATAAAAGAAAAGAAAGAGAAAGAGAAAGAAAGAAATAAGAAAAGCTGTGTGTCCATGTCTGTGTCTATGCAAAACAGATACACCTCCACTAGAAACCTGAAAACAACATGGAACACACACTCCCAGCATCCACATAGCAGGCATGACCAATCGATCCCAATCCATCAGTCTCACTTCCTCTGAGTTTGGTAGCTCCACAGTTTGTTTCCATGCATCACATCAGTCAACCACTATCAATCCTATTATTTAACACGCAAAAGAAATGTCTTTTTGGCCGGGCGTGGGGGCTCACGCCTGTAATCCTAGCACTTTGGGAGGTGGAGGCGGGCGGATCACGAGGTCAGGAGATCAAGACCATCCTGGTTAACACGGTGAAACCCTGTCTCTACTAAAAATACAAAAAAAAATTAACCGGGCGTGGTCACGGCGGACGCCTGTAGTCCCAGCTACTCCGGAGGCTGAGGCAGGAGAATGGCGTGAACTCGGGAGGCTGAGGCAGGAGAATGGCGTGAACCCGGGAGGCGGAGCTTGCAGTGAGCCGAGATCGTGCCACTGGACTCCATCCTGGGTGACAGAGCAAGACTCCGTCTCAAAAACAAACAAACAAACAAAAAAAAAGTCTTTTTATCCTCTGCAGTAAATACAGCCCTTATTCCATCATTTTATGGATTCACATTGGCACTTAATTATAAAAGAGTCTGATGTGTGTGATTCCTTAGTTCAATTATAAATGACTGGAGGCTAAGGCCTGTATTTTCTCTTCTTTCCCCTGGATTTTTGGCTAAGCTGTAGCCTCTTAGCAGGTATTAAATAAATACATACATAATGAATAAATGTTGACAACTATTAATTTGTGTCTTCTAAAGCATACTGATATGATCACCACACCATATCAAAACACGAGACAGCCCCTTACAGCTTGAATAACTACTTTAGGAATCAAGAAATCAGAGCTCTTCTGCCCCAGGAGCACTGCTAACTAGTCATGTGGTCCTTTTATCTTCTGGGCCTCGGTTTTCCTCACCTGTAAGAAGGAACTTGATTATATTATTTCTGAGGGTCAATATTAGGGATGTTCTTCAGGTTTGCTAGGAGAAGAAGCACTCAGATTACCAGGTTGCCTGTGGGAGTGGAGTTCATCCTCCATGTCCCTAGCTGTATTCTGAGTTCCTGGACTTCCCAGTCATGGCCTGATGCCGGACCTTATGGAGAACTGGCACAACATTTCCTGCCATGGAGTGTGACTACCCTTCTCTGTGTGAAAGCATCATCAGTTTATTCCTGTCAAACAGACTCTGTCGGTCGGGTAGAGTTTCACAACAAACTCTGTTGAGGCTTTTAACCTCCTGCATACCTGGCTTCCCATGATTGTCTTTGCCTAGGACACCCTGGTCTAATCAGCTAGGGCCAAAACAATAGGGTCAGTTTCACTCAGGGAATAGTCAAGCCACTTTATGTAGGGAATAACTGATTTGGGTCATCATTCTCAGAAAAGGGGGCTGTAGGTGTGGCATAACCTACAGCTCCATAAACTCTTTTCTCTCTCTTTCTAAAATGTTTTATGAGAATTAACCAAATACTGACAATCAATATAAAGAGCATTAAGAAATGTGCAGCATGAATGAAAGATTACATTATTCACTTAGCAGTAATTTAATCTTTCTGCACAGTAGAAACGCATACAGAAAGACCTAGAGAAGAGGCTAACTCACAAATGGCAGGAAACCAACTCCCCAAAAGACTTTTTGGGATCCAGAGATCTTAAACATAATGTAGTGTTCCTCCAGTATTTAAAACGAAAGAAATATTTTTAAGAGTACACAGGGAGTAAAAGTGTTTTATAACCTTCTGACATGTAGCTAATTCAAACACAGCCTGCCTGGTACGTGCTCGGCCACAGCCAGTAACAAAATCTCCAGCCTGTGGACCAATCCCCAGTCCCCTCTCCTAGGATCCAGACACAAGTGTGCTTTCCAGAATGGGTTGGAGTGTGCTAGCCCACACATCTCACTTAAGCAGAGAAATCAGGGGCTGACCCTTGAGTCCAAGGCCTTTGGCAATGGATACACTTTTATAAATAGAAAGAAACAAAATATGGCACTATGTTTTCAACTATCATTTCAAAAGCAGATTTAAGAATGTCAGGATCATTACTGTTACACCCAGAAGATAGCACAGAAGATGCCACAGGATCACCCAGGCAGCATTTCATGGGGAAAGGAGCCTAGACTTGGCTTTCATACAGCCCTAGGATTGAATTCCTATTTTGCCTTCCCCAGTTTGCAAAATTTTTTGCAAAGTGCTTAATATTAATAGTAGTTACCATTCATCAAGCACAGTAGGCCCTCCTTATCCATGGGTTCCACATATCTGGATTCAACCAACCTCAGATCAAAAATATCTGGAAAAAAATTGTATCTATACTGAATATGCACAGACTTTTTTTCTTGTTGTGATTTCCTAAACAATACATTATATTAATAACAATGATTTATATAGCATTTATAGTGTATTGGGTATTACAAGTAATCTAGAGATGATTTAAAGTATGGGAAGATATGCATAGGTTAAATGCAAATATGACACCATTTTGTATCAGGGACTTGAGCATCCTTGCATTTTAGTATCCATGGGGAGTCCTGGGACCAATTTCCCATGGGTGCTGGGGGATAACTGTACTTTATTCTGTGCCAAGGGCATGATATGCATAATGATATTTACTCTTTACAAGAACCCTGGGAGGTAAAAATTATTGGGTCTCTGAGATAGTAACCTTCCCATAGCCAGTTAACGTGTAGGAGGGAAGCCAAGATTCAAAGCCAGGTCTGAAGCTCCTTACTGCCTTTCCTATTCATCCTCTCTGAGACTTCATTTCCTCATTTATAGAATAGCTATAATAACACCTCCCTTAGAAAACTGTAGGGAGATTTCCATTTTGTTTTATTGTAAACATGCCTGGAACATAGTGATTGCTTAATAACTGTTGGCTAGTAATATAAATGTATACATGAAATACTGAAGTCACAAAAGGGCCTGCTGGCCACAGACTGGTTTCCTTGATTTCCAGTCTGCTATTTATTTATTTATTTTTGAGACAGGGTCTCCCTCTGTCGCCCAGGCTGGAGTGCAGTGGTGCGATCTTGGCTCACTGCACCCTCCACCTCCCAAGTTCAAGTGATTCTCCTGCCTCAGCCTCCCGAGTAGCAGAGATTACAGGCGCCCGCCACTACACCCGGCTAATTTTTGTTTTTTTAGTAGAGACAGGGTTTCACCATGTTGGCCAGCCAGGCTGGTCTCAAACTCCTGACCTCAAGTGATCTGCCTGCCTCGGCTTCCCAAAGTGCTGAGATTACAGGCGTGAGCCACCATGCCCAGCCTTCAGTCTGCTTTTTAAAAACATTTTTTTAAGAAGTCTAATTGAACATTACCACAAGCACAAAATGTAGAATTATATGAAATCGCCCCACATCCAATCACACATATATAGTTTCCCCTCCCCAGCTTTAGTGAGGTATAAGTGACAAAAATTGTATATATTTACAGTATACAACTTGATATTTTGATATATGTATACATTACACATAGTTTTTTGTATATTTTCTTCTGCTGTTTTCCCACGTGTCTTTTTTTAAAGATTGTTATAGTTTTATATTCTTTTTTTCTTTTTTTTTTTTCTGAGACAGGGTCTTGCTCTGTCACCCAGGCTGGAGTGCAGTGGTGCAATCTTAGCTCACTGCAACCTCCCCCCACTGGGTTCAAGTGATTCTCCTGCCTCAGCCTCCCAAGTAGCTGGGATTACAGGTGCACGCCATGACACCAAGCTAATTTTTGTATTTTTAGTAGAGACAGGATTTCAGCATGTTGGCCAAGCTAGTCTCGAACTCCTGGCCTCAAGTGATCCGCCTGCCTCGGCTTCCTAAAGTGCTGGGATAACAGGCATGAGCCACTGCACCCGGCCTATAGTTTTATATTATATTTTTTCACTTAGCATTATCATAAATATGAATATCATAAATAATATGAATACTATGCTACATCCTATTTATGCTTAGCATCTTTAATCACAAAATCAGTGAACCATTCTGGAATATTTTTTTCTCCTTTGGATGAGTTTGGGCCCTGTGTGAGAGAAATCTAGAATAGAATCCTCAGCTCCACCACTTATCACCACATGACTTTAGGAAAGTTCTTAACTCTCTAAGCCTCTGTTTACTTACTTGTAAAATAGGGATAATGATTCCTACATCAGAGGATTATTGTGAAGATTAAGTGAGGTAACACTTGTAAAGCCCCTATGCTTTTACTATTCACAATAAGCTTTTATTAACTCTAGCTATTCTTAACTAGAGGCTTCTCCTTCCCCCATCCAAACAGCATTACTTCACATTTTCTGTTAATCAATGGCTTTAGAGAAATATGCTTAGAGATTACATTGGTTTAAGAGAGGGAGAGGTGAAAGGGGAGAGAAAAAGAAAGCCTGGGAGCGGGAAGGCTCTGCTAGGCTCTCTGACTGCACACCACACCTGCCTTAGACCTTTTCTTGCAACTCTTGCAACTGCAGGAGCAGCAGGGGTTCCCAGGCTGAAATTCCATTCTCAGGTAGCTCACAGGGCAGATCTGGTCACTGCTGGGATGTGTGGGCTGTGCCCACCTGCTCCCTCAGGCAGCCTCATTCCACACTGGCTCCCTTGGGATGACCGAAGCCTCTGTGGCCTGGGATAGAGGCAGCTGGGGAGGTCAGGGCAGCTTTCTGTGTTCCGTGAGAGCTTCTCAGTTGTCTGAAATCCTCAGCCTTCAAAGTAGAGCTGATCCCTACCCAGAAATGTGAAACTGCTGTGAGTCAAATAAATCATTAATAGGCAAGCTGGGAAAGAATGGGCAGTAAAGAAGACAAAGGGTCAATCCTAACCCTCCTCAGAAGGACGGACTTCACATGTGCCCTCTACTTCCTTACTCCATTGCCTGCAACACACAAGATGCTTTTTGCTGCCCAGGAAGTCTCCAGAAACATTCCACACAATTGAGCACTCCCTGGTTCTGGAAACACTCTATTCTCTTGGCTGCCATGATGTCATCCTCTCCCGCGCTTTCTTCTGCTTTTCTGGATGTTCCATCTCTCCCTCCTTCGTCTGCCATTTCTCCTCTACTTGACCTCTAAATGTCAGAGCTCCTTACGGGATGGCTTTAAGTTCTGTCCTCTTTATGAACTTTCCATCTCCCTAGATGACCTCATCCATTTCCATGATTTGAAATATCTAATTCTAAATTTTTATCTCCAGCTCAGACTTTTCTGAGCTCTAGACCTATTTGTCCAATACCATGGATACACACATCTCCACTTAAATGTCTCTAAGATCTTTTGTAACTTAACATTTCTGAAACTCTTGATCTTAACACCCCAATACACATTCCCCCAAAGTGTCCCTTCATTCAGTGCTACTCTCCTAGTAAATCTCAGCGATTCCTATCTGCTCAGTAGTTCAAGCATACCTGAGACCTAGAAGTCATCTTTGATTCATCCTCTTCCCTCACCACGCCCATCCAGTTGATCACAAATCTCTCTCAATTCCTCCTCTACAATATTTCTTGTGTCTTCCCACTGTCACCGTCCTGGCCCAAGCCTTCTCTTCTGATAGCTAGCTAGCTAATCACCCTGAGCCCTCCATATGGAAACCAGGGATCATTTAAAAACATAGTAAATGGGGTCATGTCACTATCCTACACAAAAATACTTCAATGGCTTCCCATTGCACTTAATAATAGCCAATGTGTCAGGCACTTTGCAGAGATTATCATGCATTACACAGGTGCATTATCTTAGTCTTCACAACCCTGTGATTACCATCCTATTTTACAGATAAGGAAACTGAGGACTGGAGAAATTAATTTGCCCAAATTGACAACTAGAACAGTGTAGAGTTAAGATTTGAACTCAGTCAGTCTGACTCCAAAACCCAAGCCTCTCAATCACCACTGTCCTGCCTTTCACTTAAGACAAAACCCAAATTCCCTAACATAACCTAAAAGACTCTGGCTTCTACCGCCTCTTTAGCACCATCTCCTTCTGCATCTCCATCTTTCAGTGTGTTCTAGCCATGCGGGTCTCCTTTCAGTGACTCTAATACCCTAAGGGGCCATGAAAATTATGTTTACTACAATTTCATTATAGCACAGGGAAATGGCTAGGATATGACATTGAATGCACTAAATGAAAACACATAATTGCTTATATCATATATGCCTGAATATGAGCAACTTTGACTATTATACAGTCCCAAGTTATCCTGATGAAAATATTAAAACAATTGAGTTTTTATGGGCAGGTGATAGAAAACTTGAATAAACTTTTAGCAATGGGGATGATTTTTTTTTCTAATGAATCCCAGAAGAGAATGCTCTTTTTAGTAGTCAAATCCCAGAAGAAAATGCTATTTTTTAGTATGTTTAACTGAAAAAGCTTATATTTCCACTTCAATTTAGGAAGTTCTTCTTCTTCTTCTTCTTCTTCTTCTTCTTCTTCTTCTTCTTCTTCTTCTTCTTCTTCTTCTTCTTCCTTTTTTTTTTTTTAAGTGGGGCCTTGCTCTGTCACTCAGGCTGGAGTGCAGTGACACAATAGCAGCCCAACTGCTGGGTTCAAGTGATCCTCTAGCCTCAGCCTTCCAAACACTGCATTACAGATGTGAACCACTGTGCCTGGCCTTAGGCAATTATTTTTGACAGAAGGTATGGAAACTAATGTTGCATTATAAAGTCCTCATCAAATATCTCATACTTAAGCAAAGACCCCAAATCATAGTTTGTAGATTTACTGCAGCTTTCATTCAAAATACGTTTTTTATCATCTGTCACACAGGAAAACCCTGATACCTGATATCTTCCTATCAGCCTAAAGAAATAAGAAACACAATAGGACAGTGATTATACTTTTAAATATTAGGGAGTTTAGAGCCCCAGATATTCTATATGCAGACCACTATGCTCATGTTTATGTCTTTTTTTTCTTAAGTGTTAGAAATGTTTATTTGTCAAAAAATTATTTAAAAATGGGAGGAGTGGAGTAAAACAAGGCTAAATTTCAGCTAATGCTGTACCACGATCACAGGTCAGATATAAAAAAACAAACAACACAACCCCCAATGGTCCTAGCAATTTCAGAAGATTAACTTCAATGTTAGAGTCCAGAACTAACAGAGAAGAGTAAAAGGCTGCTTGCCACTACATGGTCATTTGAAAGAGAAAGGAGATGCTGCAGGTAGGCAGGGAGAAGTATTCAACTCCTAGGGAAAGCAAGATAAGAGGGGTTCCACTGCACAGGAAAAAGGGGATGCCAGCATAATCCTTACCTAGGGCTGTTCAGAGGCTGAGAATATAAGGAACAGAGTAAAAAAGGCTACAGAGACTAGTATCAGGAGGAAAGAAAAGTCAACTTAGAAGAATTAAATTAAGAAAGAAAACATAGTTGGTCACAAACTCCTTTTGTTTACTGAAACGTGAAGCAATGGAAACATCCTGGCAAAGGGGACCGCACGGAGCAAGTTCTCATATATGCCCGCAGCCCGAGGGTTCAGTCAGCAATTATTCTACCTCCAGTTTTTAAAAGGCTGAGTACCAGGCTCGGTCCATATAGTGCTCCCGTTCATACCGGGCCATGTCGTGTAGAGAATTCCGTGTAGCTGCTGAAGCCTGAAATAACTCACTCTCTGGCCCATAACCGTAGCCCTCTCCAACTGTGGGGAGCATGGCTGCAGCATGACGCGGTTCCACAATAGGAGGAAGTGGTGGCCGGAGCGGCAGCCATAGTAGCTGAAGTGGCAGCAGCACAAGAACTTGGCAATAGGTATCTGTCTTAGGGATTAGCAGAAGTAGAGTTGAGGTGGCTGGTCACAGTTGTACTTTGGACTTGAGGCAGATGGGACATGGTCTGCTCTGCCTAGTTACATGCAGAAGCTGCTGCCGCTGCTGCTACTGCCTCGTAAGAGCAGACCCAGTATCGCTTATAGTAGTGGAGTGCTGCATATGCATCGTTGTAATACCTGGATTCCCCATAGCCCATGGTGTAAGGCGTGTGAACTGCTGCATATTGTTCATTACACTGCTCAGTAAAGTCTGCCACACGACCCGTACGATCTACTGGGCACTCTTTGGACCAGTGACCTTCTTTCTTACACTGATAGCAGCCACACTGGTCTCCCATTCCAGGGGCAGTCCGAAGTCGGGCTTGTGGACAACTACACATGCATTATCTTGCCTTGAAACTCTGTGTTGTCAAGGCCCCTGACGGTCTCACTGCGTCCTCTGACCACTCCATGTGTATGAAGTGTATGAGGACATAATCTTTCACGATGTCACATTCAATGACTGGACCATACTTCTCAAACTTGGCTTGAAGCTCTTGGTTGGTACAAGTGGGACTGATGTTACCCACGTGTAACTTGGTTGACGCTTTGCTCTTATTCTTGCTGGCTTCCACGTTGATGTTCACCCCATGAAGCTTGTAATGATGCAAGTTGTGTATGGTATCCTCAGCCGCCGTCTTGTCTTCTATGTGTACAAAGCCGTAGTTCTTAATGATGTCACATTCCAGCACCTTCCCTACTGCTTGAAAAGAGAGCGGATCTCCTGCTCTGTGGCCTCCTGGGGCAGGTTTCTGATGAACAGCTTCATCATCCGGACAAGCACCTCTGGGTGGCAGCGGCGGAGGTAGCTCCTGCGTCAGAGAGAACCCTACAAAATCGTTTGTCTTGATAAAAGAAAAACTTCAGCCGAATTAAATTTAAAAGAGTTTAATTGAGCAACGAACGATTCACAAATTCGGAGCCAGAGTAGGATCAGAGAATCCAGCGCAGCCACATGGTAGAAGGAGATTTATGGACAGAAAAAGGAAAGTGATGTGCAGAAAACGGAAGTGAGGTACAGAAACAGCCAGATTGGTTACAGCTCAGCTTTTGCCTTATTTGAACACAGTTCAAAGAGTTGGCTACATGTGATTGGTCAAAACTCAGAGATTGGCACACGTGTGGGCTACGGTCTGTTTACACCTCCACTTGTTATAGTTCATTATGCACGGAGAAACCTAGGCCAAAATTAAAATATGTAAGGAGGCAGCTTTAGGCTAAACTTGATTTAACAATCTTAATAAGATCCCTGTCCAAAGGCTCACATTTCTATAGAAGCTACAGTTTTTCAATTCCAAGGATAGGTAAAAACAGGGCAGCACCATGATCTATAAAATCTAGAGTTATGGCTCAGAGTTAGGGCCGTTTCTTGGTGACATTGTGATGGTTTAGCTGGTCTACAACAAATCTATGAGGGCAGAACTTGGAAGTGTTGACTGCCTTCACGGCATGGAAGGCCTCAGCCCTGTGCACCACAGCGTGGTTGTGCTCCTGCCCCGTGGTCAGATAGGACACGCTTGTTCAGTAGTAGTTCTCATGGTCTGCAGCGCGGCCGCCAGTGCTTCCAGATCCACTGCCTTCCAGGAATGCCACAGCAACAGAGGAGGGCAGTCAGGAACTTGGAGCCTGGGGCTGCACTCATCAGACAGCCAAGTCGTTTTGGCCACTGATGCAAAGATGAAATGTTTAACTATCTTCTTACAATATTTAACTTGGTAATTTAGTTTAAAATGCATATACAAAATTGCAAGTATTAAAAAATGTTATTTTTAAAAATTGCCTTTTCCCACTCACACATTTCATGAAAACATTTTATTCAAACTTTTTAAAGGCATGTTTCATGTCAGTGTCTTCCATCACCTCTAAAGAGATGTTCTCTACCAATTTTCCTGACCACCTCATCTTCACTTCTATCCAAACTATTTGCCACATAGTACTTTTTTCTTAAAAACAAAAAAATTATTACAGGCTGGGTGTGGAGGCTCACGCCTGTAATCCCAGCATTTTGGGAGACTAAGGAGGGAGGATCTGTTGAGACCAGGAGTTCGAGACCAGCCTGAGCAACATAGGGATAACCCCATCTCTACCAATAAAAAAAAAAAAAAAAAAATTAGCCAGGCATGGTGGTATGCACCTGTAGTCCCAGCTACTCCAGAGGCTGAGGTGAGATAATTGCTTGAGCCCAGGATTTGGAGGCTCCAGTGAGCCATGATTGTGCCACTGCACTCCAGCCTGGGCGACAGAGCAAGATTCTGTCTCAAAAGCAACCAAAAAACAAAATTTATTACAGAAAATTTCAAACACAAATAGAAGTATATAGAAATCTCAAAAAAGGCCGGGTGCGGTGGCTTATGGCTGTAATCCCAGCACTTTGGGAGGCTGAGGCTGGCGGGTCACAAGTTCAGGAGATCGAGACCATCCTAGCTAACATGGTGAAACCCCGTCTTTACTAAAAATACAAAAAAATTAGCCAGGCGTGGTGGCACCACCTGTAGTCCCAGCTACTCGGGAGGCTAAGGCAGGAGAATCCCTTGAACCTGGGAGGCAGAAGTTACAGTGAGCCGAGATTGTGCCACTGCACTCCAGCCTGGGCGACAGGGAGAGACTCCATCTCAAAACAAACAAACAAACAAAAAAATAACCTCAACAACTATCAACTCATGGCCAATGTTTCGTTCATAATCCTCCATGCCCTCCTTCCTGAATTGTTTTTAAGCAAATCCCAGATATCTTATCATTTCACCCAAAAATATTTCAATATGTATCCCGAAGAGAAAGCTCTTTTTGAGAAATATAACTGCAATCACATTATAGTACCTAAAAATTAATAATGCCTTCACATCATTAAACATGTAGCAAGTGTTCAGATTTCCCCAATTGTGTCATAAAGTTGTTTAAATTAGGATCCAGACTAGGTCCATAACTTGCATTTAGTTGATATGTTTTTTAATTATCTTTTAATCTATGGGTGTCCTCCTTCCTCTGGCTCTTTTTTCCTTGCATGCAATTCATTTGTTGATCCGCCCTTTAGAGTTTCCCATACCTGGAATTTTGCTGACTGCATTCCTGTGGTGTCTTGTATCATGTTCCTCTACTCCCCTTTATCTCCTGGGAAATAGTAGGTGGCTCTGGAGACTTTATCACATTCACATTCTATTTATTGGCAAGAATATTTCTTAGCACTTTCATCAAGAGGCTAATTGGTTGGTTGTTTTTCTTTTTGTGTTATTATAGCCATTAATCATCACTACCTAGATTCACTATTTCAGAAAGGGTGCAAAATGGTGATACTCTGATTCTATCATTTCTTCTTCATTTATTAGCTAGAATACTTCTCTAAGGAAAAATGTTCTCTTATCAACTTTTGATTATCCTAAGGTGCAGTCTTCAGGAAAGGCAAGATAAATGTGTGATTCCTTCTTTTTATTAGTTTTCAGAATAATGGGTTGGTTTCCTAACATCCATCAAGAGTGACCTAATGTCTAGGTATTACTTAGTTTTCTTTTTGGGTGGGCATGATGGCTCATGCCTGTAATCCCAAAACTTTGGGAGGCCAAAGTGGGAGGATCACTTGAGCTCAGGAGTTTGAGGCTCCAGTGAGCTATCATTACACCATTGCACTCCATCCTGGGCAACAGACCAAGACCTTGTCTCAAAGCAAAAATGGCTGGGCGTGGTGGTTCACGCCTGTAGTCCCAGCACTTTGGGAGGCCGGGGCGGGCGGATCACCTGAGGTCAGTTCAAGACCAGACTGGCCAACATGGTGAAACCCTGTCTCTACTAAAAACACAAAAATTAGCCAGGCGTGGTGGCAGGCACCTGTAATCCCAGCTACTCAGGAGGTTGAGGCAGGAGAACCCCTTGAACCCGGGAGGCGGAGGTTGCAGTGAGCCGAGATAACACCATTGCATTCCAGCCTGGGGGACAAGAGAGAGACTTCTTCTCAAAAAAAAAAAAAAAAAAAAAGAAAAACAAGGCTGGGAGAGGTGGCTCATGTCTGTAATCCCAGCACTTTGGGAGGCCGAAGTGGGCAGATCACTTGAGGTCAGGAGTTCAAGACCAGCCTGGCCAAGATGGTGAAACCCTGTCTCTACTAAAAATACAAGAATTAGCCAAGCATGGTGGTGCGTGCCTGTAATCGCAGCTATTCAGGTCAGGTGGCTGAGGCAGGAGAATTGCTTGAACCCAGGAAATGGATGCTGCAGTGAGCTGAGATCACGCCACTGCACTCTAGCCTGGGCAACAGAGTGAGACTCTGTCTCAAACAAAAACAAAAACAAAAACTTAATTTTGTTTTATCTTATTTGTGATATACTACTTTTTATTTTATACAGGCTCCTGGCCGTGGAATTTTTATTATAAGCTACAACCAACCAGTTATAAACTATCAGGATAGTTGACCTTTTTTTCAGTAGATAATCATATTTTATCGACAGATGTTGAATTTTTGAGATAGAATTCACATACCACGCAACTCACAAACGTAAAGTGTACAATCCAATGTTTTTTAGTATATTCACAGATATATGTAACCATCACCACAATCAGCTTTAAAACATTTTCATCACTTCAAAAAGAAATCTCCGTAATCTTTAACTACCACCTCCTTATCTACCCATCCCCTCCCCCAGGCCCAAGTAACCTATGATCTAATTTCTGATCTGTAGAGTTCCCTCTTCTGGACTTTCATACAAATTGAATCATATATTATGTGGTCCTTTGTGACTGGCTTCTTTCACTTGGCATGATATGTTCAAGGGTTATCCATGTTGCAGCGTGTATCAGTACTTCATTTCTTTCTACAGCCAAATAATATTCCACTGTATAAATATACAACATCTTGTTTATCCATTCATCAGTTGATAAATGTTTGGGTTGTTTCCAGCTTTTGGCTATTATGAATATAGTTGCTATAAACATTCATGTTCATATTTCTATGTGGACATATGTTTTCATTTTGCTTGGGCATATACCTGGAGTAGAATATGGTAATACTATGTTTAATCATTTGAGGAACTGCCAGACTTTTTTTCAAAGCAGCTGTACCATTTTACATTCCCACTAGCAGTGTATGAGAATTGTGATTTCTCCACATCCTCACCAATATTCATGGTTATCTGACTTTTTGTTTCCAGCCAACCTAGTGGGTATGAAGTAGTATCTTATTGTAGTTTTGATTTGTCCTTCTGTGACTTATAATGCTAAGCATCTCTTCATGTGTTTATTGGTCTCTTGTACAGCTTTCTTGGAGAAATGTCTATTCAGATCCTTTTCCCATTTTTAATTGGATAATTTGTCTTTTTTATTGAGTTGTAGGATAGATAATTTTTCTCATTTGCCACATAGGTATGTATTAATATAACCACTTATACTTTTTAAAGTAATTTTTTTAAACTTACTTTGAAAATGTAACCAGGACTTAAAGTTGTGTAGTAATAACCTCAGGATTAATTATTGACTCCATATTAAGTTTTTTAGTAACTTTTAAATATTCCAGCAGATGAGCTCAATAAACGTGAAGAACTAACATTGGCTGAAGTTTTTTTCAAACTAACATGTCTTCCCTAAACAATAAGTTGTTATTCAAAACAAAATATTGAGAAGGAAACTTCTATAGTGTGATCAACTTTGTAAGGACTTGAACATATGGTGACTCTTTTCTGAGGAATATTTTTACGAAAATCCTGTCTTTTATTGGATATATGTGGTACATTACAGAATTTACAACTGTGTTTTAAAATAAAGCCCATGTAGCCCGCATTATTGGATGACATTAGTCCCTGTGCATTACTGCTGGGTTGTGGGAGATTGCAGTGTTAAATGACATCACACAGGAAGTGTTTAACACAGTCTACGACCTGCCTGTGAGAATATCCTTCTTCAACTTAGACTCCAGAGGAAATGAGTCTTTCCACTGAAAGGTGTTAAACATGTCCCTCCCACGGTTACAGTGCTCAAGAGAAAACTGACTGGGCAGAGAGATTATAGCCCCAGGGAGAGCATAGGTGAATAGCCCACTCCAGCCAGCTTAGTGGTCAGCCATCGCACTTAGCAAGGGAAACAGAGCTGACACATCACATGGCTTCTGGTGAGGTCCATATATAGCAAGGCAACAGGCCACAAGCAGTTTTGTGGACTGCTGGAAGAAACACATGCTGGAAAAAGGTTACCACTAGTTCTTTGTGAGGAAGAACTAGGGTCTGGAGTCAGATGTCACTGTTCATTTTTTGTAGTTTGTTGCATGTAATCTTGTAAGCAAACTCTAGTTCTTTTCACAATGAGCGGATTGGTCGTTCTCAACAAATTATTGTCTTCCTCAAGTTCTAAATTTAAAAAGCTCTTTATGTATAGATAAATTAGGTAGACCACAACTAATTGTTAAGTCAAGATTCTGTTTTTGCCATGATCAATAATACATCAGCAGCCTCCCTTACAAAATTACTAATGCAGCCACAAGGATGTATTACTCATATAAATATTGTATTGTATTTATTTATTTATTTATTTATTTTGGAGAGAGGGTCTTGCTCTGTTACCCAGGCTATAGTGCAGTGGCATGATATTGGCTCACTGCAACCTCTGACCCCAGATTCAAGTGATTCTTGTGCCTCAGCCTCGCAAGTAGCTGGGTATTACAGGCACACGCCACCATGCCTGGCTAATTTTTGTATTTTTAGTAGAGACGGGGTTTCATCGTGTTGGCCAGGCTGGTCTCGAACTCTTGGCCTCAAGTGATCTGCCCGCCTCGGCCTCCCAAAGTGCTGGGATTAGCATGAGCCACCATGTCCACCCCAGAAAATATTCTTAATGGAAATACACCAAAACAATCGTGTTAGTATATTTTGAATGGGGGCCTTATAATAAGAGTATTTATCCTACTTTTTTTCTATTTTTCTAATTGTACATAATGGGAATTTTTTAAAAAATGAAAACTAATAAAATAAAAAATAAAGCTTATTCCTAAATGATTCAAATTTGTTAGTTTCTATAGTAGTGCTTTCCACCCTTGAAATATTGACCAAAATAGATTACTTCCAGTCCAAATAATTAGGTTATAGAAAAACATTAAGAATTTGTCTATACAACATTATATGTGTTGAGGTTTTACAGAACTAAGCCCTTTTTCCTCACCTGAGTTTAAGACCAACTGAGAGATAGACACAAGAGTCAGACAGTTGAAGATCAGAACTTTATCTTGGGCCGGGCACCGTGGCTCATACCTGTAATTCCAGAACTTTAGGAGGCAGAGGCAGGTGGATCACATGAGGTCAGGAATTCAAGATGAGCCTGATCAACATGGCAAAACCTCGTCTCTACTAAAAATACAAAAATTAGCCCGATGTGGTGGCGCACGCCTGTAATCCTAGCTACTTGGAGGCTGAGGCAGGAGAATTGCTTGATCCCGGGAGGAGGAGGTGGCAGTGAGCAAAGATCGCGCCACTGCACTCCAGCCTGGGTGACAGAGTGAGACTGCATCTCAACAACAACAACAACAACAATAACAAACGAAAAAAAAAAAACTTTATCTTGATCGCTGGTAAAGCTGGATTGGAGAACATGGTTTTAAATCTGTGACTTACATTTTGCCCCAAATTAAACGTGTCTGCTTGGTCACAGGAAGAGTTGGAAAGCCACAGGCTCTCTTCATAGGGATGGAACGTGCCCCACTAACAACACTATGCAGAGAACAGACTAAAAAACATACTCTCTGCAGGCAGCCAGGCTAACAGGGAAGTGGAGTCCAAGAGGCTGAGTCATGCATGCCCAGTTCTTATGCCCAAACACCAGAGGTAGCGGGGGTAAAGAGAGACCAGGGATGTTACTTTAAGAAAAGAAGTCTTCCATTCAGAACTATAAGACCAAGGGAAATGAATAATCCTAACCCACCTGAAGCAATAATAAATGGTAAAAACTCCAGCCAGGTAACCAGGGCCATGTGATCCTAAGAAATAGTTTTGAGTGGTTGTGTTTTTTTTGTTTTTTGTTTTTTTGACAAAGTCTCACTGGTTGTGGTTTATTTGTTTGTTTGAGACAGGGTCTCACTCTGTCCCCCAGGCTGGAGTGCAGTGGCATGATCTTGCCTCATGCAGCCTCCACCTCCTGGGTTCAAGCAATTCTTGTGCCTCAGCCTCCCAAATATCTGGGATTACAGGCGTGAGCCACTACACACAGCCCATTTTGGCTATTTTTGAAACTAAATTGATTTTAAAAATTAGGGGTTCACATAAATGGCAAAAAAAAAAAATCATTAAGCAGAGGAACCTGTTGTATTTTGAAAAACAAATAAGAGCTTTCTTTTTTAAAAATGTGCAATAATATTTTCACTTGATTTATGCTTCTTTCAAATTCCACAAATTAAAAATGACTTGCAAATTAAAACAAAAATTAGAAAAACATTGTCATGTCTAACAGAATTCTCTCTCCCTTCTCTAAACACTACTTAGCCAGAAACAGAGAAATAAAAACTTCTATAAAAGAGGGTAGAGAAGCTGTTGTTTGTTCTTTAAAAGTTAATTCAGTGTGCAAAGCTGGTAAGGAAAGCCCATCCTCTTAGCTGGAGTTGCATAATCTTCAAAGAAGAGTCCCTGGAGAGTCATAACCAGAAATGTTGGTTCAACACACACACTTGCTGTGCAAGACTCCTGGCCTTCATCCAGACTCCTTGGGACAAGGTGTCCACATGCACCTGAATGCCGCCAAGGAGATGCCAGGTAAGAAGATTTTCACATAGGTATTTCAGTGTACAAACCTGTTGCACCACATGTGCCCACTCAGGTATTAAACTGAATCCCTTTCCACACTGCAATGTGACTGAACCTGAGGAAAATAATCTTCCACACCAGGCACAAATGAATATTTCTGCTTAGGAGCAACCAGAAGTCCAGGAGTGAGAACAGAGTTCTCCAAGGCAATTGCCTCTGGCAGCCACAGGCTGAGATACCTGGGGTCTGTCTTTACTGAGAGACCTTGAAACCCTTAAGCCTCTTTTGGCCTCTATTTTCTCATCGCAAAAACACGGAGGCTGGATTTATCAGGTGGGAACTGCTTTAAGATTCTATGATACTTTAGTTTGTTTCTATCCAAACATTCTCATGGTAATCCAATAAATTAAGGTGAAATTTATTGCAGTGATTGATTATTCAGTTAAAGCCAATTCAAAAAAAAAAACAAAAACCCGAGTTTATCACTATGCAATATGTCCATGTAACACATCTGCACTTGTACTCCCTAAATCTATAAAGATAAAAAATATATTAAAAAAACAAAAACCAGCCAGGTGCGGTGGCTCACACCTGTAACCTCAACACTTTGGGAGGTGAGGCAGGCAGATCCCTTGAGGAGTTTGAGACCAGCCTAGGCAACATGGCAATACCTCATCTCTACAAAAAATACAAAAATAGAGGCTAAGGTGGGAGGATCGCTCACTCGAGCCTAGGAGGTTGAGGCTGCTGTGAGTTGTGATTGTGCCATTGCCTTCCAGCTTGGGCAACAGAGCAAGACCCTGTCTTAAAACAAAAAAATGAAAAAACCTGTAAGCTACACTTGTGTGCAAGCACATGCCTACACACACACACACACACACACACACACACACTCTCTCTCTCTCTCTCTTCACTCTTAAAATACGGGGCTTGAAATTATTTCAGTTGTTTGTTCACACAGGCCCAAATTGCTCAACACTGGGTTTCATGTTGCCGCTATTGACATGTTAATTGTACTGGATTGTTTTCTGTCCTCTCAACTGTCCTCATCTCTCTTTAAGCAGAATGGATTTCTAAACATGGGTCCTCAAAACAGGATGGTGGAGCCAGCCCCACATGCTTGGGGGCATGTAAGAGCTAAACGTGCTGATATGCTGAATATGTGCCTGAAAGATGGATGTGACACAAGGACAATAAACAGTGGTTGATTGAAGGAAAAATTCCTGAAAAATTGAAGGCAAATACATCTTTCACTAAACAGAATCAAATTTTATGTGTTGTAGGACAAGTATCCAGGACTACATTTTAAAAATGTAAATGTAAAAAGAACACTGGATTTAGGTCCAAATTCATTTCTGCTACTTACTGTGCAACTTTGGGCAAGATCCTTAAGCACTGTCTCTGAGCTTTGGTTTCTTCTCTAAAAGTGTAGATTAGACACCCACCTCAAAGGAAAGGGTGGTTGTGATGGTTAATACTAAGTGTTAACTTGATTGGATTGAAAGATACAAAGTATTGATCCTGGGTGTGTCTGTGAGAGTGTTGCCAAAGGAGATAAACATTTGAGTCAGTGGGCTGGGAAAGGCAGACCCACCCTTAATCTGGGTGGACACAATCTAATCAGCTGCCAGCACCACTAGAACATAAAAAGAGAGACTGGCCTAACCTCCCGGACTATATCTTTCTCCCATGCTGGATGCTTCCTGCCCTCGAACATCGGACTCCAAGTTCTTCAGTTTTGGGACTTGGACTGGCTCTCCTTGCTCCTCAGCCTGCAGACGGCTTACTGTGGGACCTTGTGATCATGTGAGTTAATACTTAATAAACTTTCCTATATATATATATATATATATATATATATATATATATAGTTCTGTCCTCTAAAGAACCCTAATACAATGGTTTTGAAGATTGAATAGGAAACTATAAAAGTGCCTGGTATAGTACTTAATATACACAAAAGTTTTTATTTGGATATTAAAATAATTATTTTATCATTTGAGAAATCTTTTTGAAATGCAAATAATAATTAATGCTGATTGATTGATATGTGTGTGTGTGTGTTTGTGTGTGCGTGTGATTTTTAAAATGGAGTCTTATAAAAATTTTCTCCAGATAAGACGTGTTCATCATTCTGTCACACAGGGCACCCACCACTCAGAGAAAATATCCATCCTCCGCCCCTCCACACACATCAAGTTCTTATCCAAAAGAAGTTTCTCCCTTCCTTTTTATGCCAACATGGTTAGCTCATATTTCCTTTACTAGTGACCAATATCATTTTACCTATCTATTTTAGGATAGCTTTTCCAGAAACTATGAAAGGCAGAAGAAAATTCCTCCTGTTTCAAAGACCTACAAAGCAGTAGCAGATTCACCAACTTCTGCTGCAGATGCTACAAGAAGCCTTTATTCACTGTCTCAAATGCATTTTTTTTTCCTGCTTTGGCATAACCCTGCAAAAGCTAAGGAGAGCAAGTGTCCTCAAAAGAAAGGGAGTGTTAAAACCCCGTTTAAAAAAATACGAAAACTGGCCCGTCGTGGTGGCTCACGCCTGTAATCCCAGAAATTTGGGAGACCGAGGCGAGTGGATCACTTGAGGTCAGGAGTTCGAGACCAGCCTAGCCAACATGGTGAAACCCGTCTCTACTAAAAATACAAAAATTAGCTGGGTGTGGTGGCAGGCACCTGTAATCCCAGCTACTTGGGAGGCTGAGACAGGAGAATAGCTTGAACCCAGGACGCGGAGGTTGCAGTGAGCTGAGATCACGCCACTGCACTCTAGCCTGGGTGACAGAGCAAGACACCACCTCAAAACAAGCAAGCAAACAAACAAACAAACAAAAAACCACTTCAGCTTCTAGCGTAGTGCTGGACATGCAGTGAAGGATGCCAAAAAGTTTAAGAAGGAAAATGGAACAAGCACTGTGTCTACAGTCTTCACAACTGAGACTTAGTTTCTCTTCCTGCAGTGTAAATATAATTGCCCTCCCTGTCTCCACTGGTTATTGAGAGGACCACATGACCATGAGTAGCAGCAATACATTACCTAAGTTATTATTATTATTGTTATTCATCATGCATTCAACAAATACTGAGATCACTGTTCTAGGCTCTGGGGATATAGCATTAAATCATCAGACTAAGATGTCTGCCCCTCGTGCAGCTTCCTAAGTAATTGTAAGATATTTTTAGTTTGGGAATAGTTCTAAGTAGAAAATAAACAGAGCAAAGTAATTAAAAACAAAACAAAACAAAACAATAAACAGGGTGGAGATGGGAGTGGTTCTAGGTTAGTCAGTCCTTTTTGATGGGGATTTGGGAGCTGAGTCCTGAGCAATGGGAAAGAGCCAATCATGAACAGATGTGGAGGAGGAGCATCTGTTCTGGGAAGAGCATCTGCACTTCTTCATGCAGGTTCTGAGTTGGGCATGAGATTGACATGTCAATGGACTAGAAAGACAGCCCATGTTCTTGGAGCACAATGAGCAAGGGAGAGGGACAGAGGATGAAGTCAGAAAACAGACGGAAACCAGTGCATCTAGGTCATGGTAAGGATTATTCCAGAAATCTGCTGAAATGCAGATGTTCCTGTTTAATTGCCTTGACACACAATAGGCACTTAACAAATATTTATATTCATTGATTTCCTACAGACATAATGTCTTAGATAAATATGTGATCTAACAGTCATCTAATTGACCAGGGCTCTGAGCAAATGGCAGATGTACCAGCATAGCCTTTTTAAAGAGGACAGTAATGCAGGCTGCATTCCAGGGAGCAGAATCCAGAGGTGGGCTTCTCATCTGTAATGGATTGAACGTTTGTGACCCCCAAAAATTCATATCTTTAAATCCTAACCCCCAATTTGATGATGGTATTTGGAGGTTAGCCTTGGTCACGAGGATGGACCGCTTAAGAACGGGATTAGTACACTTTTAAAAGAAACCTCAGAGAGCTCATTTGCACTATTTGTCATTTGAGGACATGGGAAGGACCAGAAAGAGGCCCTCATCAGACACCGGATCTGGCAGCTCCTTCATCTCGAATAGCCCAGCCTCTAGAACCGTGAGAAAATAAATTTCTGTTGTTCATAAGCTATCCAGTCTATGGTATTCTGTTATAACAACCCAAACAAGCTAAGACATCATCCATCTTGGAAGAAACCGCTCCTATTTCACTGTAAATTGCAGATTCCACCAACACCCTGCCAAACACCAAGAACTGAGCTCAAGGTTAGTGTCATGTCTTCTGGGTGCCAAGACTTCGAAGCCATCTCTGGGGAGTGTGGGAGGGAAAAAACCAACAGCTCAAGACCCATTCTCTACTCCTTTCTAGCAATGCAACTTTGAGCAAGTGAATTACCTAGTAACAATAAAGGTAAGTGTTCATGTAGTGCTTTCTATAGGGCAGACATTGTTCTAAAGACCTTGTATGTATTATCTCATTCAGTCTTTAAGAAGGGATAATAATAGTGCCTACTTCATAGGCTGAGATGTGAATTGCAAATCAATCAATGTTTGTTCCCTCCCCCTTTTTCTGTGAAGACTAAAATGTCTGCCTTCAAAAGCACTAGAAGAGATAACGTGTATGAATTGCTTGCTCGATAGTGGGTGCCCAACATATTATAGCTATAATAATAATGATGTTATCAAGTCTCCCTCTGTGAAGCCCTAGTTTAGCTGGGGGGTCAAAGCCCTGCTGAATGACTTGCAAAAGTCAGGTATTTGGGGTATATCTTGCTGCTAACTTATCCTAGAGACTGATTAAGAGCCTGGAGCATAATCAATGCTTAACAAATATTCTTTCCTCTCTGCTGAGATCCAGAACTACCTGAAAAGGTAGCTCAGAGAATACAACTTAGTATTTATTAACTGTAGAAAAGAAGATCGGGTGTGGTGGCTTATCCCTGTAATCCCAGCACTTTGGGAGGCCTAGGCAGGAGGACCGCTTGAGCCTAGAAGTTTGAGACCAGCCTGAGCAACATAGCAAGACCCCGACTCTACAAAAAATAAAAAATTAGCTGTGGTGGTGGCATGAACCTGTGGTCTCAGCTACTCAGAAGGCTGAGGCAAGAGGATCGTTTGAGCCTAGGAGGTCAAGGCTACAGTGAGTCATTGATTGCACCACTACACTCTAGCCTGGGTGACAGAGTGAGACCCTGTCTCAAAAAGACAAAAACAAAAACAAAACTTTAAAAAAGAAAATCTAAACCTTTGTTTAAGGTGTTACTCTCCAATGTTCAAATTCATGCCTCAGCAGAGAATTTGACAATCAGAACATGAAGAGGGGTCCTGGCACCTCTGTCAGCCACATCAGGACCGGCCTGAGAGTAAGAGGCAATAACAGTGTCATGGCCAAGCAGAAGAAAGGGTTAGGGGAGCTGGCTAAGGGAGATGGGCTCAAAACAGTGAGAATGACACCTTGTAATAAGGCAAAGAAGTAGAGAGTGTTCATAAGCCAAGATTTCGCAAGCAAGATCTGCCTGTGTAACAGTTTATGAACCCTATATTCTGCCATACATACTGTACCATATCCAACAGGCCCCAGGGGATAAGAGTTGAGGGACCCCTCATATGCCTCCCTTACCACAGCCTGCCACAAGATCTCATCTTAGAAGAGGGACATTTTGAGGCTAATGTCTCTATCTCCAAAGACCTCTGTGAAATGCCAAGGTCTGACTTGAGAGAGGTAATACATCTGTCCATTCACCTACCCACAAATCAGTGTGTTGTCTTAGTAGATAAGCCAGCTCTCATGTTAGGAAACTAAGAGTAGAGTTCAGAGATAGGACACAAATCAGAAAAACCGCTGTCAGTTCTAAAACAGGCCAAAAAATAACAATAAATCTGAGGTTTAAAAAAAAATCAGAACAATGGTTGCCTAGGGGGGATTGACTGAGAAGGTACAAGAAGGAATCAGGGGAGGGGGAAATTCTATGTTGTGATAGGGAGTAAGTTACATGGGTGATGTATCCATTTGTCAAACTTGGACCGCTAAGAGCCCAAGAACTGAATATTTCAATGTACGTAAATTTTACCTTAAACAACTCTTAAGAAAAATAATAATGCAATGGAAGAGTGGAGGAATAGATAATATAGAGATGGCAGAATGAGATGGGTACATGAGTGTTCATTATACTATTGGATTTACTTTGTATATGTTTAGAATTTTCCATGATAAAAAAGCTAAGAAAAGTCTTAGGAGCAGCAGCAGGTAGGACTGGGGACCAGGAAGGGGCTCTGTGGGATGAGGACCGACACAGTCAAAGGACTGCATGGGGAATACACAAAAATGTTGGGGGGAGGGAGGAAGGAGCCTTTTGTCCCCTGCACATTTCTTGTCAAATTTAATCCCACGTGTTATATATGCTTTTGCCTTATGAATCCAATCTTTTTCCATTTCATTTTCTAACTGCATAAAAGAAAGCTAATATTTTCATGTGTTTGCACAGGCCACTGTATTAATAGTTACAAGCTTCCTAAGAGGAGGGCAACTAGAAGGTTACAACGTGGTTTAAATGTGTCCCAGGCCAGCCCTGCTCATACCAAGTGAGAGAACTTCAGAGGAGAGGGACCCACAAACCTAAACTGAAATTGCTTAAGAAACTTCCATATGTAGATTGTTGTATTCCCAGAAATGATTCTCATCACACAAAAAAATTGGAGGTTGGGGTAGGTTAGTGAATAGTCTTCATGTGTAGATAGATTTCTCCACCAGGGGATAGAGCTGACAGAACGAGGCCTGCAAACTCATGGAAATTAGCAGTAATGAGACATAAACAGTCAAACCTCAAAATAACATCTCTGGCCTTTAGAATCAACACAGCTCTCCTGTCAGCCTGCACCTGGCCCGTCCGGCTGGGTCTGGGAGCCAGTGGGGTTTTAGGCCCCTTTTAACAGCTGCCAAAAGCACATTACTCATGGCCGGGAAGTTGGCCTTTTATGTTGCCACAAGTGGTGCAGCCGTTGTTTGGACCTGGCGGAGTCCATTGTAGGTTTTTCTCAGGGATGGGGCTTTGTTCTTTGATTTTTCCAGAAGCTCTAGTTTGTTCAAATGTTACCCATGTGCAGTTTGCAAGCCCCCCATGCTCCTGTGCTGGCCTACAGCCATGCTCACTGCCTGGCAGCATCCTCCAGCCCCTGGAGAAGCAGGGCAAGAGGCTGAGGTTAGAACAGCAGAAGGTTACAACCTCACCCTAAGAAACTGTTTGACCTGCCTTGTCAGGGTCCAGGTTCTTAACACAGTGCAAAGAGCTGGGAGGAGGCAAATTAACACAAAAACTGCCTCTTACAGGCATACCTGTGAAACTACAAAAAAGCCTAATTGTAATACCTCTGTTTGAAATACACCCTTGAAATAAGTTGGTTGGTTGGTTGAGTGGTTGGGTGGGTGTATCTAGTTAAAAGAATCCCTATATCTATTTAGTTGATAAGATCTTTTCTGGGTTTCTAAGCTGCAGATCAGCCTGGTGCAAATGGATTTAGGGTGAAATCCTGGTGGAGGTCATTAGTATCTGGTGATGATATGCTCACAATATTTTAGTGTAATTATTTGTCTACTATCTATTTCCCCTTTTAGACTTTCAGTTCTTCAAGGGAAGGAGTTGTGTCTATCTTATTCACTGCTCTATCTTCAGGGTCTGGCTCAGACAAAACCTTCAAAAAAAAAAAAAACATAAAACTCTACTGCATGAATGAATATGTTGAATCTTGAGAGCTTGTCTGGAGGTTCTAGCAGGGGAGCTCAGCTACTCTGTACCCTTGACCGAAGGCCGGTCCTCCTCTGTCGGAGATGGTCATCCACTTCAACTGAGCGCACAGCTTCAGGAGAGAGGCACATGGAGTGCTGAGGGAGGAAGGGGACACCTGCCTAGCCAGCCAGATCAGCTGAATTAATCCTGGTGGTCAATAAGATGACAGATGTCACAGCCAGATCACCCTTGCATGCAAATATGTTGAATCTTTAATGTTCAAGTTGTTACAGCCTATGATGGCCTGGAGGCATTTCATACTACACTGGGTCCCTTGTGGCAAACTTTGTTAGCTGGGTATCCACAGCCATTTCTTTCTTTTCTTTTTCCTTTCTCTTATTTTATTTTTTTGTTTTTTGAGACAGTCTCACTCTATCACCCAGGTTGGAGTGCAGTGGCATGATTTCGGCTCACTGCAACCCCCACCTCCCGGGTTCAAGCGATTCTCCTGCCTCAGCCTCCCAAGCACCTGGGACTACAGGTGCGCACCACCAAGCCTGGTTAAGTTTTTGTATTTTTTAGTAAAGACAGGGTTTTGCCATGTTGGCCAGGCTGGTCTTGAACTCCTAGCCTCAAGTGATCCACCCACCTCGGCCTTCCAAAATGCTGGGATTACAAGCATAAGCCACCACGCCCGGCCTATCAACAGTCATTTCTATCTCCTTTCTCCTTCTCACTACAGAGGTTGGAAAGCACCCTTGCAGCTAGGGGTAGCCAGTTCTGGCCAATAAGGCTTAAGAGGGAAACTGCTGGCGTATTTCTGGGAGAGATATTTTGTTTTCTGATTAAAAAAAGAAAAAAACTCAAATAAAATCACTTTCTGGCATTGCCCTTTCTTCCTTCTTCTTGCTGTGAATGTGGACTGTAAAGCCAGACACTGTGACAGTCATCTTGCAACCAGTAGTGACAAGCATGAAGAGGAAAATGCAACACCTAACTAAGGATTGTAGAGGAGAAATAAAAATATTCTGGGTTATTGGGCTTCAGAGAGTCACTGAATCATCTCTGGAACCACCTACCTCCAGCCTTCTTATTAAGTGAGATAACAGGAACATCTGTAATGTTTGAGTCACAATTAGTCTCATTTTATTTTCTATTACCTGCATTTGAATATTTCATAACTGGGACTTTTCTTACTTCCACATTAGATACATGGACAGCGATGGTGTTTTATTCAGCTTGTTATTCCTGCACACCTAGCTCAGAACCTGGTACATAGTAAGAGCTCAAATATTATTAAACGAATGAACAAACAAAACAGGAAACAAATAAAAAGGGATTCAGAAGTTTATTTATTGCTCTTCTATTATATACAAGGCACTGCTGATCGCTGAGTGAGGGCTGTTCTTAGAATTTATTATTTACTTGCATATTTAAACTATAGTATTTATAAGGCATTGGTTACAAACTATTGTAATTCTTGGCTCTTGTCCTTTGATTTATATAAATTATGGTTTATCAAAGTACATGCTGTTTGCTTATTTTCTTAATGCACACATACTCATTCATTCTTGAAGCTTTAAGAAAAGTAACTTCCTCTATTTCCTCTATTATGTTTATTAGCAAACCCTTTTTATGAAATATGGAAACTATTTTTTCTTCTTTGAAATTAGTTAAAATTGGTTCCGCTGAGGATTGTCAAACTCTGGCTGTTTGCTGACCTCATTTCATGTAGAGCACTAGGGTATACACCATCCATGGGGTTTCAAAATGTTTGATGTTTGAAACTTTTAAATTAAAAAGAAATGTGGAGCCTTGATCAAATGGAAAGGTTTTAAATATATCTAAAGCAAATTGTAATGAAGCAAAATGTATACTTGCTTACAGTCAATGACCCATGTTAGAAGAAGGTATGAAATAAAAAAAGAACAGTAATAATGCAAATATTATGTTAATAAGTCTGGGGATTGAGTTTGTGGGAGTTATAATAAAGTTTCTTTTTTCCTTTCACGCTGTTCTTCATCAGAGCTCCAGTGAAACAAGAGTAATAAAATTTCCATCAACAGGTGGCAACACTTGTATTGTTTGCTTTTTAGAGTAGGCCTTGATTGCATTTCAGAACAAATGCATTGATAGTTGGCAAAGATGAATATGATATTTTTTTAAAGCAACCAAATCCAGAAATAACCTCATGCAAACATAAAATGAAAACTGTGACAGAAGAAATCATGAAAACAAACAAACAAACCTAAACCCTAGCACTACTTGTGAACATGGCCTGAGAAACCCCACGGGCATGTCCTTAAGCACAGAACGACGGAGTCTCCCTAGGCTAGAACAACCCAGAAGCCCACAGTACAAGGGTGAATGGTCACTCAACCAGAGATATAAATAAGATGGAATACCCTTTAGCTATTAAAAGTGTTGAAGTCTGGGGTACCCTCCAAGTCATGGAAATGTGTATATGGAATAAAGTGAAGTGAAAAACCAGAACATAAAACTCTGTGTATATGCAGGTTACAGTTTTGCAAAAACGTGTGTGTGTGTGTGTGTGTGTGTGTGCGCGCGCGCGCGCGCGCGCGCGTTGACAATGATGGGAGAGAATTTGGAACCATATCAATAGTTTTACGTTGAGCCAGCCAGTTCTTTTTATTTTTTTCCCCCTGTGGAATTTGTTTAGATTCATGATATTAAAAAGGAAAGAAAAGAAAAACCATAGCACTAAAACCAGTCATTGTACCCTGAAAGAGTTGTCAGGCCTTCTTGAGTTCATGGAGGTTTGCAGGTTCAGAGAGTCCATTTGAAGAAAGCAGAGAAGCATGAAGACAAAGATTCCGTTTTTGTCCCTGAAAATTTTGTGGAGGCTGTTCCCCGTCCTTGGCAGGCCTCTGCCTTCTTGTTTCTTCACACTGCAGTTTAGATAGCAGGGAGAACCTTGTCTGTTTAATAAGTTTGTGAACAAAGCCTGATTGCTTCCCTTGTCAATAAATAAACATTATCTGCTTCTGTTTCTCTGCTAAATTGAGTTTTTGCTTACCCTAACTGGTTATATAAAGGCTTTATGTACACAGGAAAAAGAAATGACAAGGTTGTGTAAGCAGGCAGCCCTGGGTAGAGTTGTGAAGTCAGTACAGTTTATTTCTATGGGCTCCTTCTTCTTCTTTATGCATACTTTCCCTCTTTCAAAGGCCCAGATGGCTCCTGAAACCACTATGCTCATCTTGCATCAACCTCGTAAGGAACCAATGGATTTCTTCCCAGGATTCTTTAAATCAAAACAAAAGAGGGACTAGCCCAAGGAATGATCACTACAGACTGAATTTTGGGCATGGAAGTGGGTTTATATTTGAGAATGACAATCTTAAGTCATACCACATAGGCAACAGTCCTTGTAAAAAGCCAGAACTGAGGAACAAACCTGAGGCACAGTTTAATTTACTGGCTTACCACCAAACAATTAAAAGGAGGTAAACTCAGTATTAGAAGCTAGGTCTGCGGAAAGCAGAAGGTGCAATGAGAGGCTGTGAGAGTTCAGAGGAATGAGGATGAACCTCTCTTTCTCTTCCCATAGGATAGTGGAGCCTGGACACTGTGCCCATAAAATGCCTCAGAATTGTTGCTGGTGTAAGGCACGGTATGGTACCAACAAGAAGGGAGAGGACAAAATCCTCTGATTTTGAAATAATGAGGGACAAAGGAGAAAACTACTCACACCAATGATTCAAAGCTAGGTTTCCTCTGAAATGTCATCCTGTAATGAGAATGATGTTAAAGTCCAAAACTTTCTCAAAAGTAACCACAAGAAGGTCAGATTGACCAGACAGAGTGGGTGCTTTGGGGCCCATCTGCTCCCAAAGTCATTCATCAGACTCAATGCTACTTCTCTCTATGTGCAGGGCTGCCATTGGTCTCCTGAAAACCCATAAGAAATTTTTGATCTTTCTGTTGGCTCAACAATTCTGATTTTTCTGCCTGGCTTATTGATAGTGATTGCTCACATTTCAAGTAAAAACTGCAAAATAAGGCATCCAGACTTGTTGCATCACAAGGCAGGAAAAGACAATTACTGAAAATCTAAAGAGAGATACGTGACTATTCTGCAACAAGTTCCTTAGCTCTCCCAAGATCATGGAGCAGATTGGCAGCAGAATTGGAGAGAAACTGTTTTCTGTACTGTATGCCTCACTCACTCATTTACCTGAGGGACTCAGGTTTTGAGGTAATAGAGATGCCAAATCCTTAGCACTTTACTGTATAGAAGGCAGCTCCATAGCCTTCAATGTCAGGAATAAAAACTCATTCAAACCCCTCTAATTTTAAAGATTTTTTCAGCCCCCTTTTTTCATCTGAAAGTTGTATTGTTGTTGGCCCAAACACCACTTTTTGATTGCCCTTGCTGCTTGCTGTGAATGCAATCTCTAAAGCACTCTGTTTAATCTTTGAATCAGCTCAGGAAGATGGAATTACCATCCCTGGAAAACTGCAGTTTAGTTTCAAGGAACCCGCTGCAGCTGCAACAATAAGATGGAAATGTGGTTTGGAGGAGGCAAGGATTAAAGGTATGGGATTAGGAAACCCTTGTTTGCCCTAGTGAGTTGAATGACCACATAAATCACAGGCTAAACTTGGCTCTGCTCAGCTCATATTAAAGTATGTAGCATCAGAGCCTCCTCATAATCAGGATTTGTCATCTTGAGTATCAGGATGGAAGATGCAGATGCCAAAGAGGGGCCGGGGGAGAAGAGAGGATGAGAAGGAAGTGAATAATTTTGGAGACAGTGACTACTATTTTGATAGGAACCAGAATGTCTGCACTATTTCAAGAACCACATATAAGGACAAAAGCTGTTGGAAATGTGCCTTCTAACTTCAAATTGCGCCTGACCATTAGAACGCTGATAAGGGTTGGGGGGAGAGCAGCTGGAACTCTGCAGGCTGCTTGGGTTTCTTTTCGTGATATTTATTCCTAGATCACATTTGCAGCTGCTTTTATCTGCTCTTTAGAAGTTCTTATATTTGGGGAATCATTCATTGTGAAATAAAAACCTATTCATTGACCTGGAAATGTGATTTATTAGTCAGCTACAGAACTAGTTGTCTATTAATGCAAACATATGGAATACGGAACTTTTCATTCTACCCAAGATGCCACTTATGGACCCTCAAGTTTATCATACCCCGTGATGCCCCCATATTAGTGCCCTGGGCTAAGACATTGAAAATAATACTCTCTTCAAGAGAAAGTAAAACAATACACACACATGCACACACACACACACATCTATAATGCAGTAATATGGACAGGGAAATGGGAAGAGGTTTTTGAATAAGAACCAAAGCCGTAAAAGAATAACCAGCAAAGAAAAGACAACATACAAATGCAGTTGTAAAATTAAGGCCGTTAAGAAATAAGGCATAGCCAGATCTTCTTAAAATGGGGCCAAAGCACATTGGGATTTGGGACAACAAAAGAGGAAGTTAGGGCAGGGTAGAGGAAACTGACTCCAGGATAGCTATGGCATGGTATGTTAGGACACAGCAAGCTTAGGTGTGCTATGGTACCAGCTGGCCCAAAACCAGTAGGCAAGGCAAGGTACTGAGAAGTTCCAGGCAGCAGTGGTGGGTGGTTGTGTGGTGACAGTGAGAACTGCAGGGGCATGGGGCCCGAATGCAGACTAGGCTGTGTAAGGGCCACAGCCAGGCAAAATGAAGTTTATAGTGTGTCCTAGCTCTATGCAGAGCCAGGAGTTCTAGGCAGGATAACCAAGCAGATCAAGCTAGAATCAAGATATCTAGATGGGCGCAGTTCTGACAGAATGAGGGTGATGAGATGATACTTCCACTTTAGGGCTACATTAGGCCTGTGGCTCAATCTCTGAATGTGAGATCATGCTGGCAATCCAACTTTATTTCAAATCATACTGGAGGGCAGAGCTGAGGCTACCTGTCTTGTTCAGGGTTGGACCATGTGTTGGCCCTATAGTGTTATTTGTCTGCTCAACAGTCCTTCCTTTGGGAATAACTTTTCTGTGATTCATTGTGGTTTGGGCATTGCCCTCCCAGTGCAAAAGGGTGGGACTATGTCTCAGATCTGGCCAGTCAGATTCCTTTATTCCCCAACCTACAGTGATTAATCCAGAGATACGCATATGGCACAAGCTGAGCCAAATCTTCTATGGAAGGTCTTCTCCTACTACTAGTGTTTATTGAGTGCTTACCCTGTGCTGGGAACAGTTTAAATGCTTCAGATGCATTATCTCATTTAATTATCATATAATTTGATAAGGTAATGCTATTATTATCACCCCTTTACAGATAAAGAAACTGAAGCAAAGATAGAGTAACTTGTCTAAGATCATACACCTAGGTGGTAGAGATAGACTGTGTAACTAGGCAGTCTTGTCCCAGAGCTTGTGCTATTAACATGAAAGGAAAGACACACTTCCCTGCTCTAGGATTGTAAACTATAATGATCACATAACATAAGCTGGAACTATAAGTGTCCACGTTCCTAGGCCACAGAGTGGGAGCTGTCTGCAGTAGAAGAGAATGAGGCCATATATTATGAAAAGAAGGGAAAGAGATCCTCATGATATGGTTTGAGTGCCTGGATCTAGGCATGCCTGAAGCTATTCAACTCATGGACTTTTCGGTTACATGGACCACTAAACTCCCTTTATTGCTTAAACTAGCTAGAGTTGGGTTTTTGTCACTTGCAAACAAGAGTCCTGACTAATACAGGCTTGTCTGTAGGGTACTTCAGTATGCAGTGGGGAGCCTAGAGAAGATGAGAACAGGAGAAATGAGTCAGAATGTGTTCAAAGCAGGTTGGCATCCTACAACACGCATGCCATTGTTGTGGCATTCCACGGCTCCAGTTGTCCTTACCTTATTATTGTGCCCTGCTTCAGTTGACGGTCTATAAACCAACTGTCTCTGCACAGACACAGTCCACTGGAGAGAAATCTAAAGCTAAAGCAATGCAAGGCTATCACCTCACCAGGAGAAAATGTTTACTCTGCCTTATCAATACCTGGATTTATAGCATACTGCAAATAACCTGTAGAATGCTGGTTGATCACAAAAAGGCCACACCCAAGAAACTGTGAAAAAACAAGACAATTGCAAAGCTTGTGCTTTAAAATATACCTATGCATCTCCTTTAAAAGGTTGGGGGATTTGGCAATTGGATGGTTAGTTAGTCCCTCAGGAATAGCTAGACAGATTCAATAGTTATTCCACCTTTGACTAGTTTGAAGTATCCTTTCTAGGTTCCTGCACTGCAGAGCAGTGAGCCTTTGTGTGGCTTGGCCTTGAGGTTAATACAAGCGAAACTCTTAGAGCTATATCTGGCACATAGTAAGTGCTCATTAACCAAGCACCATTCTTTTCTTCTCTTCTTGGCTTTCCAAAGATTCTACAATACTGGTATTACCTTTCCAATTAAAAAAATTATAATAAGTTGCTGATTCTCCCCAAAGGAAGCACAAATTCCTCACTTGGAAATAATTCCCTGCAAAACTGGCTTTATGGACCAGAAGCAATTTCTAAACCTGATAACAGGTTTAGAATGAGGGGGGCTTTAACAACTGTATGGACTACTGGGAGAAGCTCCAATCAATATTCCCACACATGGACAAGAGTTGAGCTGAAAAAGATTTTTAATTCAAAGGTCAAAGCTTGACAAACAGGCCGGGCATGGTGGTTCATGCCTTTAATCCCAGTACTTTGGGAGGCCAAGGCGGGTGGATCACCTGAGGTCAGGAGTTTGAGACCAGTCTGGCCAACATGGTGAAACCCCGTCTCTACTAAGAATACAAAAATTAGCCAGGCATGGTGGCAGATGCCTGTAATCCCAGCTACTTGGGAAGCTGAGGCAGGAGAATTGCTTGAACCCGAGAGGCAGAGGTTGCAGTGAACTGAGCACAGCATTGCACTCCAGCCCAGGCAACAAGAGCAAAACTCCATCTCAAAAAATGAACAACAACAAAAAAAAACTAACTAGAGAAACTAAGGCAAATGAATGCCAAGAGTCACACAGCTGATGAGTAACAGTGTTGTGATTCAAAGATCAGGTTGGGAGACCAGATGTGCTGGCCCATGCCTGTAATCCCAGCACTTTGGGAGGCCAAGGCAGAGGATTGCTTGAGCTCAGGAGTTTGAGACTAGCCTAGGGAACGTGGCGAAACCCCATCTCTGCAAAAAAATTAGCTGAGTGTGGTGGTGCACCACTGCAGTCCCAGCTACCTGGGAGGCTAAGGTGGGAGGATCACTTGAGACCAGGAGGTGGAGGTTGCAGTGAGCCAAGATCACACTACTGTACTCCATCTTGGGTGACAGAGCCAGACCCTGTCATAAATAAATAAATAAATAAAGGAATAAAGATCAGGTTAGTACAATTAAATTGTGCCAGCCTCTTGGTCTCCCTTGACAATGAAATTAATTATATCCCTATTTTTTAGTGTGTTATAATCTGAGTTTTAAAATCTGAATTAATTATCATGATTTTCTCTGTCTTCCCATAAACTCACTTGAAAAGCAGAAAGTGCTTGGTCAGCAAGAACCTTCAGAACTTTGTAGCTGAAAGGAAGTTTAGAAATCAAATAGGGGTGAGGAAGACTGGATTAAACAGATGTCTTTACCGTAGGCCTTCTCAGAGTCTTTGTTGTGCTAGCATGCACTTTGATTCTCCAATATATAACCTTTCTCAAACTTATTTGACAATGGAATCTTTTTTCCTCAAAATTATTAAGATCTTGAGGTGTCCTGAACAACATGTAGGAAGTGGTATAATAAATCTCTAGTCCCATCCTGGGCTCACATTTTGTTCTGTAAATCCTAATTATGTCCCTGTAAGCTGAGGCCTAGAGTGACAAATCCTTCATCTCAACTCCCTCACTACCCTGGGGAGGAGGGGAAGGCGGTTGTGGGGGGAATGGGAGGCCTACTGGGAACTCCAGGTTCCTGTTCTCTCAGGCCCTCAGCATGTAGGGAGGGAGAAGCCAGAAACTGCAGCTGCCGCCCCAGGCCCCCAAACTCCATTCCCTTCACTGTAGCTTTGAATTCCTCCCATGTGTAATTATAAAGTATGTGTTCAGTTATTTACTTTCCCTGTTCCATGCAGAGTGTGTTACTGAATAATACAGTTCACAAGTAAATCCAACTTTTCTGCTGCAAGGTCTGAATTAAAAAGATTATAACCTTCTATCATTCCAGTTTTAAAAGAAACCACTACTTATGTAGCTTAAAAAAAAATGGAAACAATGATTGTCTGTCCTCTCAGAAATGCAAGCAAAATTGTAGAATTAAGATGTTTACATGGATTTTGTTGTTTCTAACAGCCTTAAATTGCCTCATTTAGGAAGGGTAAAAAATAAAATGCCCATGTTTCTTGGATTTCCAGGAACTGAGTCTGGCAGCCGGTTCACTGTTGTCTTCTAGAATTTGAAGCAAGAAAAATTACAACCAAACTGGTGTCAATTTGCTCTATTTATCTTGGGAATTAACTTCAAAGCTTAATTGTCAGAGACAGTGACCTCTATACTCATGAAAATCCCCAGGGAATTACAAAAGCAGACTACTTGAGTGGAATGTGAATGTCATTCTGAGAACAGGCCTGCACAGCGCCTGAAGGAAAATGCTTAGCCCAAGAAGGATGGAGCTGACCCTACAAGCTTCTGTACTTCATTTCTCAACACTCAGATCAAGTTCCTAACCCACAGCTTCTGTCTGACCCATGTTTCTGCCACTGAGCTGGTTCCAGAATTGCCTGTGGATGTGCCCTGCCACAGAGAGATGAGGTATCCTTGAAATCGGCTGAGCTCAAGTGCAACCACTGACCCCACTCCACTCCTGAAGACTTCCAAGGAGATAGTGCAGTGGCCAAGGGATGAGCTGAAGTAGTTCTGCTTGTATAGGAAGGCCCCTGGGCAGTGTTTTGTCTGGAAACTTCCCCTTAATCTGGCAGAATTTGGAACAAATGTTTGGCTGAAACCATATACTATCAAATTAATAGAACAATTGTAGGATAGAGAACAATAAGTCAGAAAACAAAAATGCAAGCACACAGCTCATAAAGTCTACTTTATGGAAGTAAGTAGAATGCTGAAAAAGTACACATTGTGCTCTGTGGAATAACCACTCCTACCCCGACCCGGCCTGCGCCAGCCTGATCCCTCATGCACATAATTAAAACAAAAGGAAGAGGAGAAGAAAATCATTTGAGCAAATAATGTCCAAGCCTCTGCTGTGGTCAGTGGTAAACCCAGATACCCAGCAGATAACATCATGGTTGTAATGAGGTAACAGTGAACAGCCAGGAGAGGCACTGGCTTTTGATAACAGCCATTTTTGTTAAGTACAAAAAACTTTGCTGACTGGCCCCGCCCTAAATCATTGCCTTGTAAGAAAGGAGCCCTGTCAGAACAAAAACAATCATGCTGTACTAGATGACTCTGGAATACACAACAATCTCCTTTCCTGGATATGTCAGTGCAACTTAAGAGCCCCAACTGTGGTTAAGTATACTTTCTTTTACTCTAAAAGATAGAGCTCCTTAATTGATTTCGCCTTCACTAATGAATGGTCCCTCTTGCTCCAGGAATGTTGTTCCTTTTAACCAAAGCACAATTTTGGGTGGTACTTTAATGAAATGATGAGGTAAGTGGAGACTTGCAGTTAGCAAACCAGATAATCCAAATAAATTCTGGTAGTCAGATACCGAAGCCAGATCAACGAAATGCCTGGATCCCCAATTGATCTAAACAGGCCTCCAGGATAGTTCACTCCTGATGGTAACAATAATTAACAGTGGAAAATGGAAGAGATAATTTGGGAATCATGCAGAGTTTATCATCTCAGATTGGGAGCAAGTGAGAAGCCAATGAAAGGGGAAAAAAAAATAAGAGAAAATACTATGAGTAGGAAAACAGTTTTTATGATTTGGCATCTAAGAAAAACAAGGTAGTTGGGAGTAATGCTTACTGTTTTCTAAGATTTATCTATTCTTAGTTATTCCTAAGCAACATTTTGGATCAATAGTTCTCAAACAGCCAATTTAAGGACCCATGAAGGCTAGTCATTGGAGGAGGTCTTTAAATATCAATAGCTGGATTCCCAGGTCTAGCTCTAGAGCAAGTCAAGTATATAACCAGGGAAACAGTACTCCCCAGGTTTAGTAGATAAACACTCGACTTTCAAAAACATTTGGATAGGAAGAGATAAGCAATAGGAAGCCATTGTAGGTGTTTAATGAATCAGAGGAAAGTGATTTAAAAGGGCTTTAAGGAAATTATCTGGCAATAGAGGCACAGTGGCCTGGAGTAGTTGTTTCCAAATTTAGTCTATAGGCATATCACCAAGGGAACTATCTTGTTAAAATTCAGATTCTCATTCAGGAGGTCTGCTGCATTACTAAACAGCCCCCAGGTGAGGCCAATGCTCCTGGTCCTCCAGCCATACTTCGAAAAGTTAGGCCCTGGGAGGACAGCTGGGGTTGAATGGAATTCTGATACTCAGAGGCTATTGATACAGCCAATTACTCTGCTGGAATCAAGTCACCACTTTTTCCCAGAGCCAAATTCCAGCTTCAATCTAGACTGTTACCTGGTCATAAGAGAAAGAGCCTTTTGCCTGAAATCAGTAGCCCCAGGTCTGTGCTGTGGAAAAGTCAGCTAGTTTGAGGAAATTACTTTCCTCCTGAGCCTCTGTGGCCACATAGGTAAAATGAGAGACCTGGGTTATATCGTCTCTAAACTACATTCCATGATCCTAAATCCTCTAACTCCAACACATAGAATGGGGTCAGACCAAGTTACATGGCCTTTTCTAACTCTGCAGGTTATTAGGTATTGTATTCTAAAGAGTCAGCATGAGTATTTTACATCCTTTGGTATGTTTGTTGTAAAACATATGTGTCCTTCCTATGTATCAGTTGTGTACATTACTATTTAGACATGTAATAACACCCTAAAAAAGCGAAATACATTTGTATGTGGGGAGTTGATAAAAGAAAATACTATTGTATACAGACCGAAAAACATTATCCTTTATTTTTAAAATATTGTAAGCACTGGCATAAACAAGGCATAGCTTACAGATGTGTGTAAATCTGCACAAATTGTGCACATTTACTATTTGGAGGGGGAAATGTATTTTAAAAATTGTTTGGACTATATGTCCTTTTTCTTTTTAGCAGAGTGGGGAGTCAAAAGAATTGAATTACAGGGTAGAATATAAAATATCTCCTTTAAGGAAATAAATGTGTAATAGGAACTATCTATCCAATTCTCTCAGGCATGGGAAGCCCTTGGGGCTCATGTAAATTGTATATAAGTATGTCTTCAGTGTCACTCCAGATGTTTTTGCAGGGAAATAATCCCTCTCCCCATATATTGGCATCAACACCCTGCATGTAACCTCCATACTCAAACTTGCCCCAAGCCAAGCAGCATCCTGAAGAGTGATTCCAGGTGAGATTGGGGAGCTCTAGGCCCTTCCTGCCACCCTCCTTCCATACCTATGTTACTAAATATACTTCTAGACTTGGAAGAGAGAATAGAGCCTGTAAGTATTAACACAGGACAAGGCTCAGAAGCAAAGTTAACCCACCAGGCAGAGAGGTCAGGCCAGGACAATTTTAAATGGTAATTAAGTCTCTCCACACTTATCTTTAGAGATTGTCCTTGGGCTCTGGCTGAGCAGGGCCTTCCCTGCTGTGTGTGGGGTCTGCTTGCAGTTTTGACTCTGCCCCTCTGGGGAACCCAAGCTGCACATTTTTTTCTGCAGCCTCTGACTATGAGGTTATATTAATAAAAAGGCCATTCCTGCCTTTAGCAGTTGCCGACCAAGTCTGCTTTATATGGCAACAGAGCCAGGAAGAATCCAGGGCTTCAGTACAGGGACTTTTCCACTAGTATGTACTGTTTTGTTTCATTTCCTATTCCATCTTCCAAGGAAAAAATGAAGTCCTGCTGCAGAAGACCCAGTCACTAGGCCCACCTGACACCTAGTACATATCTGACAAAAGGAATGCTGCCATGTGGTACAAGTGGCCTTCCCCAACAATCCCCAGCCAGGTTCCTGAAACCTCTCTTTTCCAAGTCCGACCCACCTTCTTTGTTCACACCTCCCCACTCTAAGAAGAAAGCTGCATATCGGAAGCCACAACTAAGAGTGAACAAAAAGGGGCAAGTAGTGGCAATATGCTCAGGGGTTCCAAAGTAGAATCCTGCCAATGCATATAGTGCTTAAAACCATAAAAGCAGCAAAGGTGTCAGTGAAAACGATGTAGAACCAATGACAGTGATTATGGTGCCAACACATATAAGATGACATATGTAGGCCGGGCACGGTGACTCATACCTGTAATCCCAGCACTTTGGGAAGCCAAGGTGGATGGACCACCTGAGGTCAGGAGTTCGAGACCAGCCTGGCCAACATGGTGAAACCCCGTCTCTACTAAAAATACAAAAATCAGCCAGGTGTGGTGGCATGCTCCTGTAATCCCAGCTACTCGGGAGGCTGAGGCAGGAGAATAAGCTTGAACCCAGGAGGTGGAAGTTGCAATGAGCTGAGATTGTGCCACTGCACTCCAGCCTGGGCAACAGAGCGAGACGCCGTCTCAAAAATAAAATAAAATAAAATAAAATAAAATAACATGACATATATAAAGAGCAAAGCACAAGCCTAGACATCCTATGGCTAAAACTGTTGGTTGTCTCCCTATATCCATTCTCCTTTTCTTTAGTAATAGAAGTCTGAATTTAAACTGGGCACATGGCTACCCAGAGTAAAGACTACATTTCCTAGCCTCCGTTGCAGCTAGATATGCCTGGTGACTAGGTTCTGCTTTCTGTGGAGTCTCCTTAGAGGTGGGGGTGGGGGGCTTGCCCTCCTTCATGCCTTCCTTCTTGCTGTGGGTCAGAATGCAGCTATCTTGGACCATAAAGTAAGAGTCATGGCTTGAAGTTGGTGAAAACACATGATAGAATGAGCCCAAGTACCTGATAATGAAGAAGCTATCCACCATATTGATGCTGGCTTGTCTATATTTATGTGGGAGAAGTCAACTTCTCTGTTGTTTAAACCCATGTTAATTTGGATTTTCTGATACACACAGCTCAATTGTATTTTAATACAATCTCCTTCCTCAAGGCCTCATACATCAATAGTATCCCCAAATTAATTGCATCATTATTTCATTAGAGAATAGCATCCAAAATAATAACTTAGAAGCTTAAAACAACCTATTCATTATAGATTCACTCCATGTATTCTCTAATTGCAATTAAAACAAGATTATAATATAATGCATGGTACTGTATTCCTACTTTTCAGTAAAAAATGAAAATGTAGACATTTTCTCTTGGTAAAAGTCTTACTGTCAAAGCAGATGAGTAACTTTTTCTCTAACATTTGTTCCAACAGCTTAAATTGTATACTCTTGATAACCAGATAATAGGTATTGAGTCAAATTTCTTCCCCTTGGTTTTCTCTCCAACTTCTTACATGGATAGGAGGAATAATTTTGTAAGGTCAGTTCATGTTAATGGGTAAGAAAAAGTCATAACTACTAAGAGCATTAATATGGATCCATGTTATTTATTTATTTATTTTTGTTTTTATTTATTTATTTTTTTTTGAGGTGGAGTCTCACTCTGTCGCCCAGGCTGGAGTGCAGTGGCCCAATATTGGCTCACTGCAAGCTCCACCTCCCGGGTTCATGCCATTCTCCCACTTCAGCCTCCCAAGTAGTGGGACTACAGGTGCCCGCCACCACACCAGCTAATTTTGTTTTTGCATTTTCAGTAGAGACAGGGTTTCACTGTGTTAGCCAGGATGGTCTCGATCTCCTAAGCTTGTGATCCACCTACCTCAGCCTCCCAAAGTGCTGGGATTACAGGCGTGAGCCACCATGCCTGGCCTGCATCCATGTTATTTAACCCTCAGAATATCCTTAATTTGCAGATTCAGACACAGAGGGTTCAACAAGCAACATGACTTGCCCAACATAATAGAGCTATTAACTAGGGATCTTGGATCCAGGGTTTCTGATGCATACGATATCATAATTGCCTATTTACTTGTACATCTTCCCAGTAGACCATAGCTCCAAATTCATTATTGCGTTCCCAGTACCTACCACAAGGCCTACCATACCAAACATCCTCAATAAATGTACATTAAATGAATTACCAACTCTAAAATACCACTCTGCTATTGCTCCCTTGCTCTGCAAGTGTTCTACAAACCAATGCCCTTAATATATTCCAGGTCACTCCCAGGCCATATGGCTTGTCAAGAGAATGTGGTCAATGATGAGACAGAGGGGGAGCAGGACTAGTGAACACACCCATATGACACACTTGTTCTCCACACTCTCCTGGGCCTGGGCGGGCCCACCACGTAGGGCATTTGGATGTGTGCCTCATGGCCTGGGAGACAACTTGCACTTAGTGTACTTTTCCAGGAAAAGAAAAAGACAACCATGGTCTAACACGTTAGAAACACTGCTGCCTGGTGTTCTGACATCATAGCATCCACCCAGTTTGATTCCTGGAGGCAAGCCCACTTGCAAAGCATGGGCCAGGGATGGTATGGGGGAAAGGACAAGGGAAGAGGGGTTTGGTGACTGAAAAGTGAAGTATGTGGCTAAGACAAGCAGTATGAGCAGACACTGTAAAGAGTGGAGGGGGGCTTCTCATACTGGTATGTCTCCAGATCCATTGAAGTTTTCTGTGTTTTGGGCTCAGAGGCAAAGATAACAGAGCTCATCACTTCTTATAAGACCAGTATTCTTTGAAACTTTGATCTGAGCTGGTCCTGCTCCAAATTCTCCCAAAAAACTATGAGGATGGGGCCAATCTAGCCGTCTGCCTCTTCCCTTACTCCTCCTCCAGCAAGGGTGCCAGAAGAAGAATGATTTGTTTTTTCTCTGTGGCTCCTTACAGTCAGGAAGTGAGAATCAGCTTGAGTGAGCTATGGTCACCAATCACAATGAAGCTACAGTGGAATTATCACCTGGCATGAAGTGAAATAACATCATTATAAAATGTTGTCTTCCAGTTGGAAAGCCAGAAGTTAAGCCTGTGCTGGCATTCACTTTCTAATAAATGGGCTGGCTTAAACATTGATTTTCTCTCCTTGACTTATAAAAATGACTAAAAATGTAAGACAGAATTCAATAAATGTTTTAAAGATTGCCATTAAATACAAATACTTTAACAATTTAACAAAACCAAGGGGATCCAACCTTAAAATTCCACCTTCCTTGTCCTCACTTCTACCCCCAAGTCAGGATGAAAGTTCAAGGTTTCAAACAATAGCACAATTGCCTCTTACCTGGTACATAGTAGACACTCAAGAAAACTGTTGAAAAGGAATTGTATGTGCCTTATTAGTCGGTACTTCACAGGATTTTTAGAGTTGGCTTGACTTGGATTAGATTCAAGAATAGTGTATTAGCCCTCCAGGGGAATATTCACAGGCAAACAGCTACAAGGATATACTACATTTTCCTTTGTTAAAACTTGTATCTGCATTCAAATATTGGCCTTGGCATTTCCTAAGGGCTGGCTGCTTTGAATGTTACTATATCAAACCATCTGCACTGGGAAGCAAAATTCTGTTAAGAAATAGAATCACTGGTAGTAAAGAGATTACCACATTCCTGACCACTGTAACATCTTATATTTTGAGAATCCCCATAAGAAAAGGTCATTTGAAAATAGCAACCCTTTGTCAAAGTGGAGATGATGAATACTTTTGTACAATTTATGACTATGGTCAGTATGAAAATTCATTTTTGTTTATATGCGTTTTCAGTGGCTTCCCTGCACTGACTCACTAAAATTAAAGCTTAAAAAAAAAAACTAAAAAAACTTGAAAATAGATGATGACAAGAGGCTTCCAGTTAGACGGGATTTTGGGGAGGCAAAGTGCCTTCTATTGTTCACTGCCCAAAACTAGAAAATCCTGGAGGGAAGCAAATGGTCCAGTGGAGGCAGCTCTTTGGCCGAGGAGAGAAGTTCAAGTGAAGGTCCTAGAGAGAAAGTGCAAAGTGAACAATCATAAGGGAAGTTGACTTGGCATAAGAAGACTAGAAAGTGCCAGTGTCATTCAGATTTTTAGTTGGGGGAGAAGGGAGACTATTTTATACTCCCTCAAGAAAAGCAAAGGGACTTGATTCCATCTTAAGGTGACAAATCAGGACGCCAATGCTGGATGCACTTGAAGGTGGAGAGCTAGGCAGATTGAGGCAGCAGGAAGCAGGGTGGGAGCCAGTGTGCACCAAGTGGGTGAGGGGAACATGTGAGTCAGTTCCAGCTGTCCTCAGACCCTCCTGCCCAGCCTCAGGGTAATCCAGGGGCACAGAGACTCTGAGCCCTGGCCCACCCGTGGTCCCTCGGATTTTGACACTCCCTCACCCCCAGTGTCATGCACTCTGACCTACTGCAGGGAGGGTTGGCAAGGTGTGGGCAATGTGTGTCAAGATGTGTGTGGAAGGTGTGCAGTAGACACACAGAATCCCTAAAATGTGATGAAAATAAAAGAATGACATCGGCACGGACAAGGAAGGCAGGCAAGTGTTACAAATAGTTAGAAACTGTAAAATGAGGTGCGACATTTCCGGAAATCAGTCAGATCTAGTATTAGATAATACTAATTAACAACAACTGGCCGTGAAAGAAGGCACCCGCACTTTTTCTCCATTGCTCTCCCCACCATCTTATGCCGACTCCTTGCGGGGAGGGGTACAGCCTTGTTCCCCTAGGTATCCTAAGCTCGTTTCCAAGTACTTGAAGGTGCCTTTGGAAAGTCTGATGAATGAGAAATAAGTGAGCGAGTGAATGAATGAATAAGCTGCCTAAAGCAGATGCGTTTATGCGTGCATTCTCTCGAGTGAAGGAAGAAGGAAGAGGTAGGGACGGAGGAGGAGAGAGAGCACGCGCGGGAAAGATAAATCGCGCCCGCCCGCGATGGACCCCAATGTCAATCTGATCTAGGTTAGTGGTTCTCAAACTTTACCATGCATCAGAATCACCTGGAGGGCTTGCTCAAACACAGATTGCCAGGCCCCACTCCCAGTTTCTGACTTAGTAGGTGAGGCCAGAGAGTTTGCATTTCTAACAAGTTCCAGATGATGCGAATGCTGTTGGACCACACTTTAAGAACCGCTGCTCTAGAGGGTAACTCGGACCTATCCCAGCGTCCCAGGGAAACGAAATCTGCAGTGAGAAATGGAACGTCCAAGGCAATCTTCAGCCGGCCTTTTAAAAACAAGTCTGGAGACGGGAGGGTAGCGCTGCTCAGCTCCAGCCAACTCACTGCCGCGTAGGAACGGAGGTCATCGGAAATCAAGATTTCCGTTTGAATTTTCCCAAAGTTTAAGCGTTGGCAAGTGCGTTGAAAAACACACACAATATGAAAGCCTAATAAAAATATAGGTTTGCAGACCGTGCCCTAGTCTTTTCCGAGGATGTTCTTTTCTGTCATCCATCGTCTACCCACGTTGAGCACGACAGCCGGGCCAGTCCCGCCCTGGGCGGTTGGGGCCTTCCCAGAGGGGCCCGGTGCGGAGAGCCCCCCTCTCCCCGGATGTGTCTGGGGCCTGTCCTTCACTGCGATGTCATCGGTAAACCTGGTCTTCCTTGTCACGGACACTGAAGCGCTTGGTTCGAAAAGCACCATGAATTCGAAGCAGCCTTGGACGCGGGATCATGGGCGTTAGCCTGGCTCTCTCCGACGAGGCAAACTGCAGGAGATCCCCTTCCCTGGAGTCACCGGAAGGCGAAAGCACGCTCTGTGCCCGCGCGCCGCCCCGGGAGCCCGCTCCTACCCCCTCGGCGTGCGGCGCGGGCCTGGAGACCGCGGAGCCCGAGCCGTATCCAGCTTGTGCAGGAGCCGGTGCGCCCTTCCGCCCGCTCCTCCCCCGGGACCATCCTCACGCTCCAGGGTCGCGGAGGCATCTTGCGACTAGCGAGGGGCTGACGGTGGCCTGGGTGGCCTTGCGCCGGCTCTGGGCTCCGCCGCTGCGGCAGCCGAGGGCCTCAGCTGGGAAATCCAAACCCGGGCTGGACCTGGGCTCAAGGAGGTTTCTGTCCCCAGGCTAGACCACCACGGCCACGGCCACGCAACTTGCCCTGAGACCCCGTGCTCGGCCTTCCCACTGAGCTCCCCTTCCCTGTGACTCAGTGCCTCGCAGGCTGGTGGCCGGAAGGGTGCCTGCGGCTGGCTGGCCCGGCCCGATTCCGGGTGGCGGGGTTCCTGCAGTGAGGAACGACCCTCAGCTCCCGCAGACGCGGGAAGGCCCCCGCGCCATCCGTGGGAGTGGGGCAGCCTGTCTGCACGCGGTCCCCTGGGAAACCCCTCTGCATCTCCCGCCCGGACAAGGTCCCCGGCCTTGGAATCTGCGCCGCCCCGCACGCGACCGCCTGCGAACTCCCTGCGCTGGGGTCAGAACTGGTATCTTTCTCCTCCTCTGGGGAAGTCAGGGCAGCCCGGAGTGGCGTCGTGGGTCCGAAAAATCCGTCTCAGAAACCCACCAGGAGAAAAGGCTCTGGGGTGGGGGACACCATGTGGGGCTCCCACAAAGGACCCGACGGTGGGTGTGGAGAAGCTTATTGGCCCTGAGAATAGGCCCAGGCCCTCTCCACAGGACCCCTACCGCACACGCGACTCTTTCTCTGCAGCAAAGGGGCTCGGGCCCAGGTACAGGGAGCCGCTGGGCCGGCGGGGCAGCTGTTGGCCAAGCCCTCACGCAGCGGAGCCCACCACCGGTGTGGCCGCCCCCTCAGCCCGCGCCACGCAGAGCTCGGCCGGTGCCTCCAGGGGGCGCTGCGGCCCTTCCCGCCGGCTGCGGACTGCAGCCCGCGGCTGCGCTTTCCCACCTCAGCCCTGCTGAGAGCACGGGCGCTGACGCGCTGTTTTAAAAGATAAAATTCTTAGCCTTTTGCCCTTGTCTCCGCACCCTCGACTCGGCCTAGTACACGCAATCCTCCTCTGGGTTCCCCAGGCGTCCTTGCTACTCCAGGGCCAGGGTGCACGCACCCTGAGCAGAGCCAAGCTCCCTACTCCTCCAGGCTCTGGCGAAAAACGGCCAACAGTGCGGGAAGTTCAAATGCAAAAGGTCCCCGCCCCGCAGAGGCAGTGGAAGGCTGAGGAGAAGGGAGGCGAGTCCCCGGAGGTAGTGGCTGGGATCCCTGGAAAAAGATAAGGTTTTCACATTGTATTCTTTAAAGATTAAAAGTTTCGAGGATCCGAGTCCGAGTGGGAGAGGCGCGCGGTCCGAGTGGGAGAGGCTGAGAGTCAACTCCAGGGAAGTCTGTGTCTGACACCTGCTCGCTGCTTAGCTGGCAGAGCCTCCTGGGTGGGCCGGGGGGCAGGGGCCTGCGCTGCGCGCCCCCTCCTCCTCCACCTCCTCCTCCGCGTTTCCTGTCCCTGGCCTTCATCCCGGCCTCCCGGGGCGTAAACTTGCAGCGGTTGGGGTTCAGGCAGCCGCTGCTCGCGCGCCCCTCGTCAGTTAGCCATTTCCCTGAGAGCGTCCTTGGTGTCGCAAGTCCAGAGCCGCGAGGACAGCAGATGACCGGGTCAGCGGAAATTTCAGAGCCAGCCAGCAGCTCAGGTCCCCGGGGCCGCGGCAGGAATGGAACGGCTCCGCGGAGACAGCCTCGGGGGCACAGCCGGGCCACTGCAGACTCCGGGACTTCCCTCTCCGCACACCCGAAACCCACAACTCGCCCGTGGGCCGCGTGGCCTTTCTGCGCCGAGGGCTGCTGGGGGCGGGCGGCGAGCCTGGCGGGTGACCTGCTCTTGGGTGGGCCCCGCAATGCCTGCGCCCTAGACGCCGGCCGGGACGAGGGGCTGGCTGGGTCTGAGCCTGGAGAAACACAAGGGTCAGCCCCCAGTGGGCGCAGAGGTGGCCCAGGAGGGCCCGCGGACGGTGCTGCGCTGCGCTCAGCCTCCGGGCCGCTCCCCGCGTTCGGCGCGCACCTGCCCATCGAGGCGGCAGGGCCAGCAGGCGGCCTAGGCGCGGCCGGGCCACGCGGCATCCCCCAAAGCTGGAGCTCGCCGACTCTTCCCTACCTTTTCAAGAGACCGTAGTCGTGCCCAGAACGCCGGCGTGGCCCAGACTCCATTTTGGAACTTCGCAGGCTGGCGTGGACGAAGTAAACACATTTATGGAAAAACCCCGGGGTTAGGAGGTTTGCGGAAAGAGGGAGCAGCTCGTGGGGTTGGAAATTCTGCCTACCCCTCGGGAAAACCAAACGGTTCTGCACCCAACGTACACATACTTAAGGGCGGGAAAGGTGTGAAGCCCGCTGCTGGGGAGTTGCCTCCCCTTTGATGAAAAGGAAGTGCGAAGCGTAGGAACGCTCTTCAGGTCACCACCCCGTGAGTGGGAGGCTTGGGGAGTCTGAAGGAAGAGAAAGCTCCCTCCAAATCTCCCAAACTGAGAAAAGCTGCAGGAGGAATGAGGCAGTTGGAGAGAGAGGACCGCAGGCATCCCGCAGCTGAGGCTCAGGACTGAGCTCTAAAATGAAAGCACCCCTATGGGACCCACCAGGCAAAACGTTAAAAAAAAAAAAAATCTGAATGCTTAGGCATTCTGCTGCTTCCATTCTGTGTGTCAAATCTACTTTGAAGCAGTTAAGTACTGCAGGATATTAAACACTCGAATCTCCGTTTCAAGCTCACTTTTTAATCTTTGCGAACTTAAAATTGGAAAGACAGAAAAAAAATCTGCGACCCCTGTTATGTTTTACCAAAGGAACGAAAAATTCTCTCCACCTCGGCATAAATAAAATAGAAAGAATTTTATCTTAATAAAATAATATCTGGGAGCTTCTGCTTGACTCCCCAATTACTGCTTAACCTTTTGACAGTTTTTAGCCTCTGCTTGTATTTATCTACTTCCCCGCACGATTGAGATTTTTTGAATTGTCCTTTGGGGCGTCTCATTCAAAACCATCTTTCGACGGAACACTTTTGAATTGTACAGCCTCTTGGTTGAAGATCTACGTCCTCAAAGTGCGGGCTTGCCGTGGAGTAACACAGATCCCCTCTGGCAACTCGTCTGGGACGAAGGGCGTTTTTGCTTAGTGTTGATCACGCAAATCACATCTGAAAAGAAGCTGCTTAAAATGGGTGTGTATCATTCCCTTCCTGTCACTCGGTCACCCCTATTCCAGAGAGGTTGAAGTGCTTTTTGCAGTTACACTCACACAAGACCAAACCTTTAGAAGGACCTGAAAAATGTATCACTGCACTTTGAATTCTATTAACTTTCCTGGAGACTGAACATTGAACTCAATTTTTGCTGGGAATGAAGATGTAAATGTTTTGAAAAACTAGAATCGCATTTTCCTAAATTTTAAAAATGATTGTTCTTCACCAATTCCAGATGGATTCTTTATTCTTTGCCAATGGGTTGCAGATGCCCACTGTTTTAACCAAGTTGGTTTACTGCGTATGAAATGAACATTTGCCGATTAAAGCTTAAATATTGGAAGAAATTTCTCCTGGGGCATTCCACGCGTCTTTGCAATAATTACTAAATTAGTCAATTGCCACCTCTGTAAACAAACTTCGTTTAGAAAACAGCAGGCGAAAGCAGACTACACATGTAGTCATAATTGACCAAAAGTATGTACAAAACTGTTTAAAATTGGGGAAAGAGTGATTTATGCTGGAGAATGCAGTCTAGACCTGAATTATTTTACTTTACGGTGAAGGTAGTTGTATTGAATGTGTTAAGATGTGCAAATTAAGCCGGCGAGCGAACCAAATAAAAATACTAAATGCCCTTTGGGATTCTCTGTGGAGTCTTTGAGAGGCAGAGAAGCAGTTGTTGAGTTTCTAATGGTATAAGGAAAAGTGGCAACGAGAAGAAAGGGGGTGGGTATTGTGTTTGTGTGTGAGTTTTGAACTGAGTCACCTACGGCTGCGTCTCTATAACAGGGAAACCTCGAGCAAACCTGTGCCTTTAAGACTCAGTTGCTATCCAAACAGAAGTAAACAGAGTGGACCATTAGCAGACGCCGGGCGCGGAGGCGGAGCCAGGGCGCTGAGGGCCCCGCGCGGCGGCGGGACGCCCGCCCGAAGGGGAGGCGGGGCCGCTACTAAAGCCCAAGACTCCCGGCCTGGGGCAGCCTGGGGAGGGACGCGGGCGGGGACGGAGCTCGGCGTGCTTGCTGCTGGAGGGTGATGGCCCTGCAAGGCTGTGGGCTCCGACCTCACCGGGAGTCGACAGCGAGAGGTTCGCCGAAGAGCGAGGTTCTGGGCGAGCGCTGAACGCCGGCCCCAAGCACCCCGGGTCTTTACACAGTCCGCGTCCACAGACTCTGACGAAGACGTGGATCTGCTCTCGCTTTAGCTGCTCGCGGTCCTCCAGATCATGTCCGCGACTCCTGCGACTCCGCGCGGAAAAAAAAGTTTGCCAGGCGTGGACTCAATGACCTTTCCAAGCTGTGCGCCTCGCTGCCTGGACCGGGTCTGAGCGCGGCTGCCCAGGTTGACCTTTCTGCGGGAGGTGAGTGTTCGCTCTGGGAAGGGGCTGTAGCTGCCCTTTGGAAGGAAGGGTTTGGGGGTGTAAGAGGCGTTCAGATTCTCGGTCTGGTGTGCCCCAAATTCAGATGTGAAAATAGATCATGGGGATGCAATCCCAGGGCACTGTATTTCTCACTTCCTTGGGTCCCTGGCACGCGACTCCCAGCTAACACCCAACCACACACATTTCTACATACTGTTTCTTAATTTTGTTTTGGGATATTTAATCTAAGCGGTCAGCAAGACTTCTTATAAAAGCTGGTCTACGTACACTGAGATCAAACCCCACAATCCCATGGTGTTTCTGCTCCTGCCCTAGCAAGCCTGGGTCGACTTGTCCCGGGGCAGCCGCGGCAGCGCAGCGTGGACGGGCCCGGACACCCGGTGCCTGCCCAGCCAGCGACGCTGAAGGCACATTTCAAGAGGGAAATAGTTCAGTCCTCGGTAATTTGTCAACCTCGTGCTGGCTTTAAAATTCTCCTCCCACCTTCTAGTCCTGACTGAGGGGGCCCAAAAGCAAACTCCCCGGGGGCTTAAACGCTCGGATTCCTGAGAAACGGCAAGTGAGAAAGGAGTTGCAGTTGTACGAAGAAGGAGCGAGGAAAAGGTGTTTGTGGAGGGAGCCCCGGATCTGTCTTCCTACCTGTTAGCCGAGAACAAAAGGGGGCTGGCGTTTCCCGAAGCGAAAGGGCGCAGACAGCCACTTTCTCTGCTAAACAAACTGCAGTCCTGGGCAGAACAAGAAAATTACTCACGCAGGGGGAGCAAGGGGAGCACAGAGAAACAGAACCTAGATTATGCGGAAGGCATCTTAATTTAATTAACTCCTTGGGAAGGCAGAGGCGCTCTGAAGGGGCAGGAACTTCGCAGCCGTTTCTCTATTCACCTGATACAGTCTGGCCCTAACAATCTGTCCTTTAACAATTTTTTTTCTTTTTAATGATCTTCTTTGATCTACTTAGTCTATAGCTCTCTAATTTATATAAAATTCTGCTGTGGTTTGGGCTGAAATTCAGTGAGCCTACCTATCCGACCATCAGTCATTTATCTCATATACCAGTGCACAGGTTTTAGCAGATGAACCCTGACTGTATATTATTTTTAGATAATTCAGTGTAATATTACCATTACCAAAGAGCGAAACTCCTTATCAAGTTACTTCTTAATTTTTTTCTCCAATGTTTTGAAAGCTTCACTGAACTGAAATAAGTGTGTACACATCTTCCTTGGTGACAGCCAGTCAAGTAAATTTTACAAAATTTCTCCACATGCCTGGAAATTCCTGTGAAGAAGACTGATGAAAGAAAAGTAGCCTCAGCTCCACCAACATATTTATGACTTTTCATTGGTTTAAGTTTCTTTCCTTGCAAGATTAAAAGTAACCAGTGGTCTGAAACGGGACGGTGGAGAAATGACAGCAGATGATGATCGCTGTTATTTCCTGAAAGGGAGTGTGGGAACTACAAGGCTCAGCTCTAGACAAAACGAAAGTACTTTAGGATCTCTGCATTCACTTAAAATACTTCTTTTGACATACATTTCCAGCAACTCAATGGGAGTGTGGAAATTTAACCTTCCTAATTATTTGTGGCAAGAGCCATTGGTGGATATTTAAGGTTGTTCTGTTTGTAAAAGGGTTTCAAAAGGACCAATGGTTTGCTCTTCCTCTATGAAGAAACTATCTGCCCTACAAATTAAAACAAACAGGTACTATGAAATAGCACTTTTTTTTTTTACTAACATGAACCTGAATTATATTAGTCGTTAATTTCTGTATTATAAACCATTCAGAGAAAAGGGAAAGAAGATGGCACTCAACTTTGTGGCAGTGTAACCTTTATGGCAGAGTTCGCTGTGCCTTTGGTATAGAAATCACAGGTCACAACAGTACTTTAGCCAACACCACTCCCCCACATGCCCGCTCCCCCCTCCCCAACGCATACACCCTGTGGTGGGAGTTGTGCTTTGCCTCCTGTATTTATTTCTAAGAAATCTAGTCTGGGAATACACCCAAATAATAATTTCGGTTTCCTCTCTATGGGAAAGAGGTTGCTTTTCAACACGAAGGGAAAAATAATATTTTGAATCTCTGGAAAATCCTCATTACGCAAAGAGAAGGAAATAAAGGTATAAATTATTATTTTTAATTGAAAGGGAAATAATCAGGTAGATTACCAGGAATGTTAGTAGAATCCTTTTCCCCTGCCTCCCTAAGAGACTTGCCACCGAGCAAAAATGAATCGTGATTTGTGGTGGGAAAGTTGATTACTAATGGGGGTTTGCAGTTGCGGTTGAATGGTCTGACTGAGACCCTCTGACTGTTACCCACCTCTCATTAACTCTTAGCCTGAACTCCCAGACCGCATACCACCAAGCAGAAGCGATTCGTTAATAAATCTCTGTCCCGAGCCCTTCCAGAGGAAGGTGTGGGCCCCGCAGAGGCAGCCAGATCCTGCCTTGCCAGAGCGCTCTGTCATTAGCGTAGCCCCCTAAGTCTGCTCACAGATGGAACCATAGGCAATACTTCATAACGCGCTGGAGAGGACAAGTCAGACGCAGGAAGGGGTTGGGTGGGAAGGGAAGGCTGGAGTCTCTCCTGCCTTCCTGCTGGGTTCAAATGCCAGGCTTGGCGGTTGGTGGCACAGACTGGGAAACGTGACTCCTACACCTGGGGGTCTGCCCTCAGAGGGAAGGCCCTGGTCCCCCGAACTGGCAGAACTCCTTTCTAAAAAGGGGCTGGTAGTGGGAGAAGGTGGGCCCGCTGTGAATGTAGGTGAGGTGATCCCGGGAACCTGGGTCTGAAATCAGACCTGTGTTGCCATTGGGAGCACGGAGAGAGGGGAAGCGCCCTGCTTAGGCCCAGGCCGGGCGTCCTGGTGGTGGGACCGCAGCCGCACTCACCTCCAGGCCAACGGACAAGGTTCCTGCAAGCCAGCAGGGCCACTCTGTGCTTGGCCTACTGCAGCTCCCCTGCAGCTCCTTTCCTCTCCCTCCCCGGAGCGCTCTCCTCTCTCCTCTCCCCTCTCTTCTCTCTCCTCTCTCGTCTCCTGGGGCATCCCGGGTGGAGGGATGTAGGGGTCGCTCCTCGGTGCCAGGCCGGGAAGCAGCTCAGGCCTCCCAAGAGCTTGGCGCTCAGTCTGGGAAAAGGGGTTCCTCTGGCCTCAGGGACGTTCTCCGCCCCCACCCCACCCCCTGGGAGCCTGAACCATCTGGAAGGGATCTTAGTCGGGGGTTGGGAGGAGAGCCCGTGGATAGGAGGAGGGGGCGATTCTAGGCCGAATCCAGCCCCTGAGGTGTCACTTTTCTTTCCTGCGGCCCGTCACCGCTGATAGATGGGGCTGAGGGCAGAGGAAGGAAAAAGAAAACCTCCGAGGTCAGTGCGGGGCGAGGTGAGCCCCTCCCAGGGCCCTCTGGCCCAGGAGGATGAAGCGCGCCGGCTTCGCTCTTGCACGCCGGCTTGCCATCCGGGTAAGCGCGGGAAAGGCGGCCACAGGGCGCGGCGGCAGCGCAGCGCGTGGGATCTCACGACCCATCCGTTAACCCACCGTTCCCAGGAGCTCCGAGGCGCAGCGGCGACAGAGGTTCGCCCCGGCCTGCTAGCATTGGCATTGCGGTTGACTGAGCTTCGCCTAACAGGCTTGGGGAGGGTGGGCTGGGCTGGGCTGGGCTGGGCTGGGTGCTGCCCGGCTGTCCGCCTTTCGTTTTCCTGGGACCGAGGAGTCTTCCGCTCCGTATCTGCCTAGAGTCTGAATCCGACTTTCTTTCCTTTGGGCACGCGCTCGCCAGTGGAGCACTTCTTGTTCTGGCCCCGGGCTGATCTGCACGCGGACTTGAGCAGGTGCCAAGGTGCCACGCAGTCCCCTCACGGCTTTCGGGGGGTCTTGGAGTCGGGTGGGGAGGGAGACTTAGGTGTGGTAACCTGCGCAGGTGCCAAAGGGCAGAAGGAGCAGCCTTGGATTATAGTCACGGTCTCTCCCTCTCTTCCCTGCCATTTTTAGGGCTTTCTCTACGTGCTGTTGTCTCACTGGGTTTTTGTCGGAGCCCCACGCCCTCCGGCCTCTGATTCCTGGAAGAAAGGGTTGGTCCCCTCAGCACCCCCAGCATCCCGGAAAATGGGGAGCAAGGCTCTGCCAGCGCCCATCCCGCTCCACCCGTCGCTGCAGCTCACCAATTACTCCTTCCTGCAGGCCGTGAACACCTTCCCGGCCACGGTGGACCACCTGCAGGGCCTGTACGGTCTCAGCGCGGTACAGACCATGCACATGAACCACTGGACGCTGGGGTATCCCAATGTGCACGAGATCACCCGCTCCACCATCACGGAGATGGCGGCGGCGCAGGGCCTCGTGGACGCGCGCTTCCCCTTCCCGGCCCTGCCTTTTACCACCCACCTATTCCACCCCAAGCAGGGGGCCATTGCCCACGTCCTCCCAGCCCTGCACAAGGACCGGCCCCGTTTTGACTTTGCCAATTTGGCGGTGGCTGCCACGCAAGAGGATCCGCCTAAGATGGGAGACCTGAGCAAGCTGAGCCCAGGACTGGGTAGCCCCATCTCGGGCCTCAGTAAATTGACTCCGGACAGAAAGCCCTCTCGAGGAAGGTTGCCCTCCAAAACGAAAAAAGAGTTTATCTGCAAGTTTTGCGGCAGACACTTTACCAAATCCTACAATTTGCTCATCCATGAGAGGACCCACACGGACGAGAGGCCGTACACGTGTGACATCTGCCACAAGGCCTTCCGGAGGCAAGATCACCTGCGGGATCACAGGTGAGGCGGGCAAGGAGGATGGCTGGGAGAGGGAAAGCGAATTTGTCCTGGACACACCGAGTCCTGATAGACATTCCCAGTGTCATTATAATCCCCTGTGATCTAAAATACACCCTCAGTCACGCTCCTCAGCCCGGTTCAGCTAATTCCCAACATCTACCCTTTCTTTCCCCCAGCGGCTCTTGCTACGTTCTTGTTTGGAATGAGGGAGGGCCTTTCCTCAGTCTTGGACAGGAACAATCTGTTGGCCTTAGTCCTGGGATGGTTATCCTGTCTCCTCCCGGTGCTGTGGGGAGTGGTGCAGGCAGAACCCAGGTACCCTGGGGTGCCGGTCCTGGCTGCAGTCGGGCTACTTCTGTTGGGTTTCGTCCCTCCCCCCACCCCCCACCCTCCACCCAGGTGCGCCCCAGAGCCTGCCGTGGGGACCTTTCTTTTAAGCTGTATTTGTGGGTTGAGAGGGGGAGGAGGTCTTGAGGTCACCGAATTTACAAACAGCTCCCACCTCCCTTCCGCGACCTTAAACTCTGCATTAATACAAGGCAATTGAAGGCATTCAATAATGTAAGTGTTATCATTGGGTAAAAACTTCTCAGGAGTTGGGGAGACCTTTTTAGCGGTATCTTTTCTGGACTCTACCTGCTGTTCCCCAGAGATGAGACTTCTGTACCCATCCTGCGAGGCTGTTAAGGGATTCACTAAAATTAGCACTTCTAAACTCAGCCTTGCCTTACATCCTGATTTGGCCAATTTAAATCCCAGAGAAAACCATGGAGGCCAAGAAAGGCCCGTTCAGCGGGGTTTCGAGCTCCAGAATACGCCAGAGAGGGCGATCAAGTGTAGATAAAGCCCGCGGGCTGGTGAATATTTTGAAGAGAATTAGTTGAGATTAACCATAAAGAGAATTACACAGGAAAAAAAAAAATCTAAAAACGTAAATGGAAATCTTGTTTCTTTTGTTCTTCCACGACTTCCTTTTAAGTAATTGCTAAAAGTAACTCTTCACCATGGGGCAAAGTTATTTCAATGAAACCTTATATTGATTTTCAGATACATCCATTCCAAAGAAAAACCCTTCAAATGTCAGGAGTGTGGGAAAGGATTTTGTCAGTCTAGAACTCTAGCAGTTCACAAAACTTTACACATGCAGGTAAGTTTGTTTTCTTGTTTAAAAACAGTGGCTGGTTCGTGTTATCATTACTGCTTTGCAAAAGGTGTTCAATGGCAGACTCTTTCTCTTAAAAGGCTCTATTTAGATTAGTTCTCTAGGTGGGGAAAAGCAACACTTGATTTCTTTAATACATAAAATTAATCTTGTTTAACATAAAGCATTTTTATATTTTTCTCAAAAAACGGCCACTTTGATTATCATAAATCCTAATTTTAGAATTTTTTTCATCCAATCTGTCCTGCATTTAAAGCTTTCGTGTTTAGGAGGAAATAAAGGTAATTTTGATAATGGAGGCATAGTGAAATCCCATACGTTCTCTTTCCCAAGGGCCTCATAATTTGTAGCTTTCAGGACATTGAGGAATAGTTTAGTTTTCCAGCAAAGAGGAGCCTTATTACCCAGGAGAATGTTGTTCCTTAAGAGAGGATTAGAGTTTTTCCTTCCCCCTTTTCCTGCCTATGACATGGTGATGAAATGTGAAGAGCTGGAAATCACAAAGCCCACCGAGGTGGCTGCGGGTCTGCCTCCGAAGTTATCAGTGTAATCGGGCCTCTGTGTATGCCTGCACGTGTATTTTCATGATTGGAAGATTAGGAGCACGGATTTGTTCCTGCAAGTCTCCTCTTTTGTTGTCATGAGAGTGTTATGTTAACGCTTGTGATAACGATAAGACAGAAACTATTGAAAAGGGTGCAGTGGTGGTGTGAAGGATTAATCCTTTGCTTGCTTCACATCTGAACAGGAATCTCCACACAAATGTCCCACATGTGGAAGAACCTTTAATCAGAGAAGTAATCTGAAAACTCACCTTCTCACCCATACAGACATCAAGCCCTACAGCTGCGAGCAGTGCGGCAAAGTGTTCAGGCGAAACTGTGATCTGCGGCGGCACAGCCTGACTCACACCCCGCGGCAGGACTTCTAGAGAAGCCCAGGATCTGTCCCGTGCCGCCGCTGCTCCCCTCCCCAGACACCTCTCCACGTCTCCTACCCAGGGGGTCGCATCCCTAGCCCTTCACTGACCCCAGCTCTTCCCTTGCTGCAGCCGCACCTGCAGCTCCAGGGAGTTAACTCTTCTTCTGGGGGACTGAGAACTGTAGAAAGCCACACACTACTACATCCCTTCACAAAGAGTATATGCTAGTTTCTTGTAGATATTCACAGCTCATTTTAGAGCTCTGTACATAATGTTGTGGGTCTTTGTTTTGTTGTTTTGTTTGCTTTGGGATCTTGTTGGATGCACTTAGATATGGAAAATGGAAGCCAAATTTTATCTTTAAAGACTGTATTTTCAAAATAAAACTTTTTCTTGTTTGTTTCAAAACTCCTGCAAAGGTGTCTTGCTATTTAAATACTGTTTTTCCTCTAGATTCTGGAAGAGTGGGCTGCCTCTATAAAATTCAATACTGAAGGACATTCTTTATCCCTAGGTTTAAAAAATAGGATTTCTCAGAATTCTCATTCTGCAACTTCAGCCCTTCCCTTTTTATATGGTGGCATTTTGGAATTAGACAATTGGGCTGCTTGTTTTTCAAAGATATTAAAAACATTGATGCCCCTAAGGTTTTATCCCCTTTTGTTTATTTCAATGACTTGCGTATTATTCCTTCAGATAAATGCAATATCTTAATATAACATGCAACTTCCATGGCTGTCCTACTTGAAAGCACAGGATGGGAAGAAGCAGGAAGCATAGAAGAGGTGGGAGCTTCTTGCCACTTCATTTTTGAAAAGTCCTTGGCCTATTGTCACAATTTATGATGGGCAACTTCTCTTACCATTAGACTTTGAACACTATGATTTATCACTGTAGACAGAGACTTTATCCTGCCTTCAGGACAGAAGTCTAAAATCCGACAGAAGAGTACAGGAAGATACAACCTTCAAGAAGACGGGAGAGAAGAGGAGAAAGGAGAAACCACTAAGCTATGTTCACAAAATATTTTTTTCCAAGGGTGGGGATCCTTTCTTCTAGAAGGTTAGGATTTCTCTGCAAAGCAAACTGAGTTGGGTTACCAGTGAGGTTTCCACCACTGGTTGGTCTTTGTCCCTGGGAAAATGCCAGAAGTGCAGGTTACTCCATGTATAGAGCTCATGGCAAACATGTAATCACCTTCTGAGACATTTCAACCTTTCCTAAATGGTTCCCGGGGAACATGACTCTAGTATAGTGACAACCCTGAAGTATAGTGTAGGATTTGAGTGGAGGGCTTTGGAAGGAGATAAAGAGTAGTACTATTCAGAGACTGGAAGGAAAGTGATTTAACTTAAAGGGGGAATGACAGAGAAACCTGTGGCACAGTAGGCTCTCACAAACTGTTTAATATGGAATAACAGGTTAAACAAGGCATTATCAGATTTATGTAAAATTTGTATATTTGTGTGGGGATGGCATGTTTCACTTTCAGGGTGATTCCAAGCAACATGTCCTATGTTTGTACCTTAGAATCTTCCAGAAAAGTAGATAGAGACTTGAGGACTAGGTTCAAAATTTCTCAACAGTACCTTGTTCAATTCAACTTACTAAGAGGTTTCAAAAAGTGTTCCTGACTAATTGCTTCCTCTGTTTTCAGGGGAGCTGGCTAGAAGTCATGTTTATCTCTCACCAGAGATTAATTCTCTCCAACAAAGTGTCCACTCACCAGCCTGTGTGCCTAATGCTCACACAAATGCATTCCCCAGCGTGGGATGAGCCCAAAGTCTTCCTGAGGAGTAGGGGTAGGGATGGAGTATGGAGTGCATGTGCTTGTGTTATTTAGAGGAATGAAACAGCTGTTTGCTTTCTTTTGTTTGTACAGAATTAACTCAGTGACCTCCCTGCCCCTCCTCTCTCAAGATCCTGCCCACGTTGGTACAGAAGATTTGAATACTTTAGGGCAGAGTTAACATTGACTGTCCCTAGAGCCCCACTAATCCTGCAGGCTTTTTCTACATAGTCAATCTCACAGCCCCACCCACCCCTACTGACTACAAGTGTTACAGTTCCATCTCACAGGGTTCAGTCCAATTATCAAAGAATGACCCTTGTTCACTATCAAGCTACAGGCATATCCTTGAAGTCCCTATTACAGGAATACATAGATAGGTATAACCACAGAACTGTTCCTCCCCATTTATTTTAGTGGAAGAAATGGGAATCAGAAGGGAAAGAGAAAGAAGAGAGGAGAAAGTGGAGAAAGCAGTTCCCCATCTGATACACATACTATTTTAAAAGTTAAGGTTACTTATAATTAATTTATTTACTCATTAATTTAATAAATGCTTATTTTATGCTTCTCATATGCCAAACCATGTGCTAAGCTCCACTGATTTTCATGATCAGTTTCTGCCTTTCTATATCTAGTGACACATTTTTGGAATCTTGGCTACTTAGATAATTAAAAACCTATGATAGGGCTAATTTAACAACTCCCCTCAATCTAGACACTTAAATCCAGCATTCATCTAGGCTCAGAAAGGTTCTAGCTTCTGTCAGGGTAGACTTTTTCTACATACTCTTCATGATCTTAGGTGAACTTTTATTTTTATTTTTAAGATAAAGTCTCACTCGTTGCCCAGGCTGGAGTGCAGTGGCACAATCTTGGCTCACTGCAACCTCCACCCCCAGGTTCTAAATGATTCTCTTGCCTCAGCCTCCCAAGTAGCTGGGATTACAGGCACCTGCCACCATGCCTGGCTAATTTTTGTATTTTTCGTAGAGATGTGGTTTCACCATGCTGGCCAGGCTGGTCTTGAATGCCTGACCTCAAGTGACCTGCCTGCTTTGGCCTCCCAAAGTGCTGAGATTACAGGGGTGAGCCACCATGCCCAGCCAGGTGAACTTTTAAACAGTGAGTTCCTCTCCAAATTCTGGGTTTTGTTTTCTTCTTCTTTAGACTGTCCAAGTGTACAGGAAATGAACAAATTTATGAGACATCATAGGGAAAATATCTTGTATTTTAGGAAATTGATCTGCTGGGTTTTTTTGGTTCAGAGAAGAGTCATTATTTGAGTTTTAGATTAGCCTGTGTTTTCCTTACACCCTCTACCACAGTCAACTCATGAATCAATGCTCCTGGCAAGAGACCGGCCAGGAGTTGGAAATATCGCAAGTCATAACCACAGTGCTGAAGAACTTCATGCACAAGTTAGGTATTTACTCTCGAGCTGTGACTGTAATCTCATTTTGTAGTCTATGCAGTAAGGTTTTAAAAATAATTTCTAGAAACGAATTACATTGTAATCAACTGTTAATATAAAATTATGAATGTGTGTTAGGTGCTCTTACTGATGCTAACCTTGAAATGTAGGTCATTGTGGTACTAGTGCTTTATAATTGTAGCAATTACAATTGCTATTTTGCACAGGCACACCCTTTTTTACATGAGGAAGCATTTTTAAAATCTGTCTGTAGAACAACAAAATATTTAAAAAGTCAACAAATCTAAAATCTCAAATTATAAATAGGCCCAACTACCACTAGTGATAAAACCAGAGGTGGTTACTGGGAATTTCATCTGTTCATCTGCTGATGTTAGCCCAGGCATTTGGTCCTCTTCACTTAAATAATGTTCAGTCAGATACTTTTACCCAAACTTTGATTCTGGAGGGGCAGCCTACCCTTGGAAGGCACTTGGGAAACATTAGTTCTTGAGGATCGTCAACATGACAAAATAGATGCATTTGCACTAAACACTGTGTAGAATCAACAGCAAATTTTAATACAAGAAAAGTATTGGCGGCCGGGCGCGGTGGCTCACGCCTGTAATCCCAGCACTTTGGGAGGCCGAGACGGGCGGATCACGAGGTCAGGAGATCGAGACCATCCTGGCTAACACGGTGAAACCCCGTCTCTACTAAAAATACAAAAATTAGCCGGGCATGGTGGCGTGTGCCTGTAGTCCCAGCTACACGGGAGGCTGAGGCAGGAGAATGGCGTGCACCCGGGAGGCGGAGCTTGCAGTGAGTCGAGATCGCGCCACTGCACTCCAGCCTGGGCGACAGAGCGAAACTCCGTCTCAAAAAAAAAAAAAAAAAAAAAAAAAAAAGAAAAGTATTGGCATAATGGGTTGTCTTTCTTATTACCAAAGTGATTTTAATATTATTATAATAAGGAAAGATTTAAACAATTGATGAAACCATATAACACATTGCAAACAGGAATGACTTTTGTATTTTAGGGGTTTATTTGTGTTTGCCTTTATTAGTGTGTTATATGGATACTATATTTCTCAATTTTTTCTTCTATAATGTAACTTGTCACTGATAACCACCTCTGCTGACAGCAATGAGCAATAAAGGGTGTGGAGATTCAGAATGATTCAGCTTTGATGACCTGAGATATTTCAAGTTCATTCCTGTTTCTTTTTTTTTTTTTATTGCTTGTTGGTTTTTTTCACCCAACACAAGCTACCTTATTATCTATGCTATGTAACTTTTTTTTCTTGAAACTATCCCAGGCAAAAACTGATAGTGAAAAATTGTAAGTAACCTTATATTATAGCCCACAAGAGGAAAATTGGTAAGTAAATTATCATGCTATATCCGTTAGGATGTTTTCTACTGCACAGAACAGAAAACCCACCTCAAAGGGGCTTAAATAATAGGAGATATTTTCTCACATAACAAGAAGTCTCCAAGTAGGGTTCAGGGATGTGTAATTAATTGGAGTGTCACAATCAACTAGGATCAATTCTTCCTACTTTTCTGTTCTTCCATCTTTAGTGTGTATACTGGACTTCCTTTATGGCCACAAAATGGCTGCAACAGCACCAAGCACTAGCTCCACTGCTCCCTCCTTACACACATTCCATAGGCAGAAAAAGGGATTATCTCTTCCTTGTATCACTTTTAAGGAACTAAGAATCTGTTTCACAAATCTAACCTGTAGATTTGCCCTTATATCTTATTGGTCAGAAGTATGTCACTTGTCCCTTCCTTGGCCAATCACTGATAAGGGGAATAGAATTGTACCATGATTGGCTTAAACTAAATTAAAAAATCACCTTTTATGAGTGGAAATGGAGTTAGCCTTTAAGCCTGAAGCCCTTGACCACCTGAAGAAACCTGAGTTCTGTTAGCAGGAAAGAAAGGAGAACTGGCTATTGTTAATACTAGGCAGATGTTTAAAATGAAGTTTCCATTAAATACCTTGTGTTAGGAGATGTTGGTATTAGACAGTATTATCTCAACTATATAAAAAGACAGAGACACTATTATCTCAAATATATAAAACAAACAAAACCTTTAAAAAACTAAGCAGAAACAAAGACTAGCAGAAAATATACCAAAATGTTAACAGCAGCTTCATGAGTGACAAACTAAGGGTACACTTTTCTTCTCCTTTTTAAATTTTTAAACTCTTCCACAATGAGCACATGTTACTTTTATGAGCATTCAGAGCTCCTTTTCCTATCTTTTCTCTTCTCTAGGTTTCTTTATCCTGGTTCCATATTTTCACTCTTTTTAGAGCTTCGACAATTCTAACCCAGGGTTCCTCATGTGTGAACATTACAATTACCCAAGGTACTTATTTCTGTGTCTTCCCTAATCCAGTGGGTGAATTGGAATTTCTGGTGATAAAGAATAAGTACTCTATTTTAAACAAACACTTCAGGTAGTTCTTATGTGTATTAGAGATAGAACTTCTGCGTTAGCCTTTGATACCATCATTCCCTTTATCTTATCCATCAGCCATTTACTATGTGCCTACCATAATAAACATAAAACAAATCTCAACCCCCTTTTCTTTACTTATTTACTCACTGTCCTTGAAGTTGTCAAATTTTCCTCTGCTTTGACGCTTACTGCCCTTCCGTGGTCTTTCCCATGTACTTTTATTTTCTATTGTTGCTGTCCCAAATTTCAATTTTTTCATTAATAGACATGTTTGGCTTTGATATTTTATTCATTCATTCTTCTTTGTTCTCTTGATCTGCTCCCTAATTTAAAGAAGCAGCAGATGAAAGAGACTATAATAATTGGCTGAAATGGGAAAATCACAGAGTAAAAATAATTTTCTTTCAATTTACTAATGAAAATATTGTCACCAAATGACTTCTTACTTCAGCTTTTGTACAAACAGCATTCATTTGCTGCAGTAATGCTTTACGTATTGAGGTGTGGATGTGTGCTGGTTTTAGGATCAGAGCTAAACTACATTGCTTTTAGATTATTTATGTTATCATCACACTAAAATTAGAGCTGGAGGAGGCCATTTTTTGACAGAAAGAGTCATAAACGTGAAGGTCAGAGATGGATTTATTTTTTTTAAGCTCTGAAACTGTTTATGGACAAGACAGTTAACTTCTCTGAGACCCAGTTTCTCATCTGTACAATGAGAATTTGCACTACACAATTTATAAGGTCCTCTCTAGCTCGTAAGATATAAGGTTTTGAGAAAAGAGCATTTCTAGAAAAGTATTGATGATTTCACAAAAGTTAGAAAATATCAAGAAATCAGATCACTTTTGTCCCATAAAAATTTTTATTAACTCAATAAAAATCAATGTGATTTCTACTTGAAACACATATCATTTATTTTCTTAAAACTTCTCAAAATTTTAAAGACCCTACAGAAGACTGTTAATTTAATTTCTTAAAACTTTCTTAAAATTTTAAAGACCACACAGAAGACTGTAAATTGAAAGTAATATTTTTACATTGAAAAGTAAATTTACTTATTTTTTAGATGATAAAAACAATCATACTTATTTTAAAATATTCAAACAGTATATAAGTGTATAAGGTAAATTTCTTATTATCTGCTCCCACCCCAACTAATCTGGACAATCACACACAAATAGGATCTACTGTAATACTATTTTTCAACTTGCTTCCCTCCACCCCCACTTAACAATAAACAATGTATATATAAAATAATGTATGTATAAACCAACGCATATATTGGGTCTGTTTTACCCTATCGGTAAAAACAGATCTGCTGCTAATGTAATGGAAATAATCAAAACAAAACTAAGGACTTTTAAACCTGAGGATTAATTCTTATGCATTAGAATTTAATATGGAGAAATAGGGAAATCATTCTGTTACCGAAATTATTTACAAAATACCATCCTTAACTGACAACCTTTAGTCCCGTATCTTCATAAAAGCAGCTTAGAGTGCCTGAAGGGTTTTGAGGGTTCTGCAAGGTGTGTCATATTATAGCTCACATCAGTGCACATTGATGTATCTCTCTGGCAAGAACTGAAAGATACAGTTCTTAAATCCCCTGCTGACCCATTATCCATGGATCATTGACAAGATAGAATGTAATAGCTCCTGTCTTTTTACCAAGGTAAACCTCCCAGTGAAACTGCATTGTTCATGCCCTACATCTTTTATCTAAATAAGAAAATGAATATAGGGAAAAAAACTATGTTAAGTAGATAATATAAATACTTTCATATTCTTTATTATATTTTAATATTTGTTGAATGAGGAAACATAAACTGTTTAATTGCAGGGGCTGAGACTAAGAAAGTTTTCCCATAACCTATCTTTCCAAATAGATCATCTTAAATACAAGGCTAAAGGAATTGCATAAGATCCAGCATTTAGAACACCAAATTAAACTAATAGACATGTTGCCTATTTAAGGACAGCATTAAAACAGTAGTTCAGTTGGTGTTATGGGTCAGAATTTAACATTTCCCATTATCTTGATCTAAAAAGTCAATGTTTCTCTACTCTAAAAGTTATTTCATTTGTGAACTGGGTCATAAAGAGTCATAAGCTCTCAGAGGGATTTATTCACAGACCTCGGCAATGTTTACCATGTGGCACTGTGTTTTTGCAACATCACATATTGACAGTGCTGTGTTGTAAATTTCATAATGCGATGACAGGACATGGCCATATTTTTATGTGGTTCTGATCAAGATCCATCTGAAAGCTCCTTATTTTATGTTAGTCTTCTTGACTTCTAAAAGAATTCTGCCATATTTCTATCTGTTTAAATCTAGAAAAGGTTAGAAATAGAAAGATGATGCTCTTGTCAACTTGATTAACACTTCATTTCCTGCCCGGGGCAAAATAAAAAAAGAAAATGAAAAAATAAATACATAACTTGACCAACCATCTCAGTAAGAATATGGGCAAGTGAATCAGATATTTGGCCTAGACCAGTGAAATTAAAGATACATATCCCTTTAACTCAGTGATTCCACTAGAGAAACTCAAACACATCTGCAGAAAGATACATGGGCAGGAATATTCTCTGAAATATTGTTTGTAATAGAGAAAAACTAAAAAAAAATCAATGTCCCCTAGCATGAGAATGGGTAAATAAATAATCAATATTCACATAATAGAACACCATATAGTAGTTAAAATGACCCGTTTAGCAGTAAACGTATCAGCATGGATTAATCTCAAGCACATAATGTTGTATGGGAAAAAAATAATTTGCAGAATGATGAGTACCTATCATTCATATAAATTTTGGAGACATGTAGTTCATAAAACTGTAGTGAAAGTATAAGATGTTCTTGGAAATAATAAGCACCAGAGTCTGCATAGTGGGTACCTTTGGAGAGAAAGAGGAAAGAAATTAGAGACCAGTACATATTGAGGGGGGATTTCAGTTGTATTTATGATATTTTATTTCTTCATTATATCTGAAGCAAATATAGAAATTAAGACTTGGAAAAGCTGAGGGATAAATAGAGGGGTGTTTGTCATATTAGTCTCTCTACTGTCCTATATACTTGGAAATTTTCATAATAAACCGTTTTCAAAAAAGAATCAGATATTAGAGCTGAAAGGGACTTTAGGAAATGTCTAATAATTGGATTTTTAGTGAGTAGCTACTCTGTGATGTTAGGATTACTCTGATGATGTTAGGATTACTCTGGTGCATCAGAGACACAAGGGCTCTACACCCTTGGAGCTTACATTCTACCAGAAAGAGACCAAATTTAAAATTAAACAGAATATTAACATGGACCATACAGAGGATTTCATTTCATTTGAGGATGAAGAAATTGAGGTGCAAAAAAGTCAAGTGATTTTCCCAAGGTACAAGCCAATTCTAGAACTTTGCCTTCCTCTCTGTCTTTCTACATACTTCTATTTTCCTCTGGTCTCCCTCTAACCTAATGTTATTCTAATTATTGATGGTGTTAGGCACAAGCACATTGCCAGTGTCTCACTTGTTTGTAGCCATCTGTTTGGCATAGGTACAAATTTGTCAAATACTAAAACTTAACTAAATAGCTTTAAAATTGTTGAATATTTTGAACATGACATTAAATTACAACCTTCTCATATTAGGTAGGTCAGCATTATCTTTGTTTCATGGGTGAAGAAAGAGATGAATGGGGGAGTAGCTGTGGGGTGAAGTAAATTGCCTAAGGCTCTGTAGGAAACAAGAGTGACAGGTTCTGGATCAGAATTCAGAACTCTGACTTAATCTAATGCAAAATCTGGAGTACCTTTCTTGCTGATCTTCCCTTTTAGGTTAATGTGCCTCACTTCCACACATTCCTGTAAAGCTAACACTCTTGAAAATTGTAAGAAAAGGGCCCTTACCACTAATACCTTGTCAGATAAATTGAGTATTTTTCACCTTCAAAGTTTTGAATTCATTGGTAAACATGTTTAATGTAAACTTTTATGTCCATCTAAGTGTGCAAACTCTTCTCTCCAGATGGCCTCAAAGAACATTCAGGGAAATCATTTTCCAAACCATAACTGTTCTATTCAGAGCTTTGAAGACAGATATCAGGTGAGCTTTTATCGACTGTTGGAAAATAAAGGGAGTAGAAGAACAAAATGATTATGGTAACCTAGGCTACCTAGATGGTGTTATGACATTCATTCTACTGACAAAACTCTAGCATTCATAAAGTTTATTTTAAAGTAATTATCTTCATTTCTATTTAAATAATTATTTTAATATTATGATAGCTGAAGGTGATTGTTTCAGCTTCTTCTTCTTCCGGAGTTTATTAAAAAAGAAATGGTCGCTTGTAGGAATGAAGCTCTTATGGGGAAAAATTATTCTGAGCAGAATTTAAATATCCAACATCAGAAGGTACTATGATGTAATACTATTGCTACCCAGGAGTCCATCAGCAGACTGTACCCTGTGTGTCACATACTTCCCTACAAAGCTGATTACAGGTTTATGTTGTAAGTGCACAATATTGACTGGTACAGGATACAGATACTTATTATCCGGAATTACTTATTATCTTCATTTTCCAATGAATTCTTTCTTCCCTTGGTTGATGTGTGAAGCTAGGTTTCTAAGGACTTCTTCAGTGTTCTTATTAAGAACATCTGTAAAGAGCATCAGAATGAAGTGTTGAATTTCACCCATTTGGATTTCATTAAAGTGTCTATAGTTGTCAAGCATTTAGAAAGTCAAGACACTAAGAGTTTGGGGTTTGACCCAAAGGAAATTGGTCCTCATTTTAAGGCTAAAAAGGAGGGATAACAGAGCCAAATTTTTTTAGGGAATGGGAGATTAAAAAAGAAATTATTCCTTTCAGATACATGCCCCTAAAGAATGAAAGCTTAAACAGTCATACTTTGTAATAGTTTCGTTTTTCATCTTGCCAAAACAAAGTGTGGGTTTATTGCAGAAGTTCTTAACCTAGAGTTCATGGACCTTTAGTGGTCCATAGGCAGACTTCAGAGAGTCCATAAACTTTGTGAAATTGTAAGCAAAATTTCACTTGCGTATACAGATGTGTGTTTTTTTTTCCCCTAGGGAGAGGAAACTAGCTTTCGTCAGATTTTCAGGGACATCTGTGATTCAAAAAAGGTTAAGAAATGGTTTATTTTCTTACTTATTTAAGAATCTTAAAATTTTCAAAGTATCTGAATAAGCAGAGTTTTATATTTCTCTTTTTATTAAAAACACACTATATATAAATGTATATGACTTTTAAAATGCAAGTAAGATATACTAATTTTTAAACATTAACAAATGACCAGAATTTTTGGTAATCTGTGAAATCTCAATTATAACTAATTTACCTAAATATACAATCTGATCTAACCAGGTGTAATAAAAATAACCTGACTAGCTATTTAAAAGAAACAACATAAAAAGAGTAGTGAACAGTGAAGATACCTTGTGTTGGTGGTACAAAGCCGTAAAAAAACAAAGCAGCTTGAAAATTTTTTTATTACATGTAATAATAGAAGTTTTCTATTTGGTTAATTAATTATACTCTAATTATAGTAAAGTGGCATGAATTAATTTATATTATGACTCCAATCCACTGAGTAAAAACAGCAGTTTCATTTTATAAACAACAATAAGTGAAATAAATTCTGCCGTGAAAAAGCCACTGGATATTTTTAAGTTTTGTAACATTTTAAATGAATACCAAATAATCTGATCATCATTACACTAACTCTAGTTCCATTTAGACTTGGGACATTTGGTAAAATTTAAGATGTCATATTTTAAATTAAAATATAACGTGTTATTTCTTCTCTGCATACAATTTTTTAAAAGTGTTGTTTTAACTGGATCTTCCTATAATTACATTTGGTTTTAAAAGTAGATTATTTAGTACACATTGAACTAACATTTTTTCAATGTGGTTAACTAACATTTTTTCAATGTGGTTTTCCTTGTGAATCACACACTTAGCCTGGAATCAAAAGACAGAATGCAGAAATACAACATGAATCTTTGACTAATAGGCTATCTGCCACTTGTTTTTGTTTTGTATCACAGGAGTATATACAGGTTATTTCTTTCCCTTTAGCTAAACTTCAGGCATGTCTACTTTATCTTTGCTCCTTTTCCAGCAAACTTTCCTTAGCCACCTTCTTGAATTACCTATCCTCTCAGACAGTTCTTTAGCTTATTATATGTGAACCTGGCTTGTTTCCAAATTAACTTGGCTGGTCTCTTAATTTTTCCCATCCTCTCTCAAAAGCCCTGATGTACCCTTCTGATATTTACCAAACCAAACTCAGTATCCAGGCTCCACACTCTCCACCTTCTTCATATACATACTGCATGTCATCAACTTTTCCTATACTATTTTTCAGATGCCTTTATTTTCTCCTCAAACTTTGTCTTTCTCTTTTTGCCTCAAAGTATTTTCATCTGTTCTTAAAAACATACTTAACTGTAAATATTAGTGGAAAATGGACTGTTTGAGTTGTCAATTTTTGTTTTACAGTTAAGGCCTCTTTTTGTTCTTTAGCATCAAGTTTATCTCTTACGATTTAAATAAGGTTAGAGCCGGGTGCGGTGGCTCATGCCTGTAATCCCAACACTTTGGGAGGCCAATGCAGGCGGATCATTTGAGGTCAGGAATTTGAAACCAGCCTGGCCACCATGGTGAACCCCGTGTCTACTAAAAAAATACAAAAATTAGTCGGTGTGGTGGTGGGTGCCTGTAATCCCAGCTACTCAGGAGGCTGAGGCAGGAGAATTGCATAAACCTGGGAGATGGAGGTTGCAGTGAGCCAAAATGGCACCACTGCACTCCAGCCTTGGCACTCCATCTCAAATAAACAACAACAACAAAAAAGGTTAGAAACTAGTAAAGGTTATGGTATATGCATTATATCTTAATAAAGCTAGTAAGCTATTACAAAAGAACAGAAAGCAATGAAAGAGAAAAAGAGAATAAACTACAGGAATTTACATAAGTGTTGGACAGATAAACTGCAACATGAAATCTAGATAGTTATAATTATTATAGATACTATTACATGCACTGCTTAACTTTATAAATTCTCTGAAGTCCTCCTATAAACTAATAATTTAATCTCCTCTGCTAACTTACTGATCCAGACACAAATTATGTAAAAGCTATCTATCCAAATACAAATTATGTAAAAGCTTCTAGCACAATGGTGGCATATAATAGAATAGGTGTCAAATAAATGTTAAAAAACAAAAAAAGTTAAGGTACAATTGATAGAGTCAAGTTATATATATTAGTATAGGGTTTAAAGGCTAAAAGAATTTAGCCTATGCCTAAAATAGTCAGGAGCCAATTTAAAGTTTTTAAAAAACTCTTTTTCTTTGATATTATAAATAATATATGTTGTTACACGAGTAACACGATTGGAAAAACATCAGATTAAAAATTCATTTTTAGGCCCTTCTTAGAGTACAATTATTAAAGAACAGTTGAAAATTGGTTTTGTGGCCAGGCACGGTGGCTCACGCCTGTAATCCCATCACTTTGGGAGGCCGCGGCGGGTGGATCACGAGGTCAGGAGATTGAGACCATCCTGGCTAACACGGTGAAACGCTGTCTCTACTAAAAACACAAAAAATTAGCTGGGTGTGGTGGTGCGTGCCTGTAGTCCCAGCTACTCGGGAGGCTGAGGCAGGAGACTGTTGTGAACCCAGGAGGCGGAGCTTGCAGTGAGCCAAGATCGCGTCATTGCACTCCAGCCTGGGCAACAGAGCGAAACTCTGTCTCAAAAAAAAAAAAAAGAAAAAGAAAAAAAAAAAGAAAGAAAGAAAAAAAAAGAAAATTGGTTTTGTGGAGTAAAATGATGATTCCCGTCAGCTTTCTACTTATTATAGGACTCTCACAATTTGGGTGACCAAGGAATATTCATTCCAATATAATTCTTCCTTTTGTAAACAGAGAACAACTTTTACATTTTCTGCTAAAAATATAAAATGGTGAATATTTAGTTCAAGATGTTTACATTGCTCAAAAGGTGTTTTGTTTTGTTTTTTCTACCTTTCATCTCCTCCTTCCTCTCAGGTCTTCAGAACCAATGAAGAAGAAACCATTACTTATCAAAGAAGGTGAGGTACAAAGCTGATGGGTCACAGGATTGCTAGTCAGAACAGCTAGCACATTTTTAAATTTGTAATCTTTATTATGTTTCAAGAATAGCAATGTCTTTGAATGGAAGGAACTTCAGAAATGTCTTTGTTCGGCCGGGCGCGGTGGCTCACGCCTGTAATCCCTGCACTTTGGGAGGCAGAGGCGGGCGGATCACGAGGTCAGGAGATTGAGACCATCCTGGCTAACACAGTGAAACCCCATCTCTACTAAAAATACAAAAAATTAGCCGGGCGTGGTGGCGGACGCCTGTAGTCCCAGCTACTCGGGAGGCTGAGGCAGGAGAATGGCCTGAACCCAGGAGGCGAGCTTGCAGTGAGCCGAGATTGTGCCACTGTACTCCAGCCTGGGCGACACAGCGAGACTCCGTCTCAAAAAAAAAAAAAAAAGAGTCTTTGTTCATCCCTTATACAGTATTATTAAAGGTAGGGGCACTTACATTTTGTGAAGTCGTAGGTACCATTATTAGGTAACTCTGAACGCTGGAGAAGTCTTATGTTCAATCAAAAATCCACCTCATTGCACCTTCCAATGATTGGTCCCAGTCCTGCCCTGTACTTTCTCTAAGCTCTAAACTTGGGAGAAGGGGAGAATTCCTCTTTTATAAAGAGATGAAAAGATGTTTGAGCTGGACTTTGTAAAATGTTTAGAATTTTTAGGGAGTGGTGTCACCACACCACCAGATCCTCGGAAAAATACATTGCATATTCCTTCTTTATGCAGATTCTAGAGTAGGAAGTTTTCGTCTCTCTCATCCAAATATGCCAAGGAATTTAGCAAATTTTCAGTCTTTCAGGGACATCTGCCAACAATTACCAATAAATCAACGTTAGCATACCTTATGGGAGGAGAGAGAAGGAACTAGAAGTTTCATGGTTTTATTTCCTTCTCTGATGGTGTGGTAGGAAGGAAGATTAACTGGTTTGATCTGAAGCCTTACTGGGTATAAATCTCTTAGATACCTGGCCCAGATTAACTGAATTATCCCAGTATTGAGCATACAGGTTGTCAAGGGTACTTGTATCACATTGATTTGCCTAATAACCCTAATCTGACTGCAACCTCCTCCAACTGTAATTAGGAGGTTCCATTGTCCTTCTCTTGCAAGTTCTAACATGTTATGTTCCCATCTTCATTCGAAACGGCCTGAGTTGCATGATAATATCTCAAGCTGCCAAAGGCCACAGCTTCTTTATTAAAAAAAAAAAAAAGAATTATTACAGATCATGCCGCAGGACTCTTAGTGACTGTCTCTGGCTTGGCACATCCTCATCTATTTATTCATCCAAATAATAACTTCAAAAAAAGTTAAAAAAAAGAGTCACCCTGGTAGCAAGACTGAGATAATGTATATCAGCTTTGATCACATGCTCTGAGGTTTGGGAAAATGAATTATTATAAACTGGGTGTCATCCTCGGCTCTTCCCTGGAAACACTTTTCTTCAATGTTGCTTTTGATCATATTTTAAAGTTGTAATTAAGGATTCCTTTCCTCTAGTCATGTTTTCTCTCTTGAGTTAAAACCTTATGGAAACAATCCAGTGGAATTATATAGCTATGGTTTGACTCACAGGAGCTCTTGGTAATGATTAAGTTTGCCTGGACAGAAGGATATGGAATAGGTGTTTGCCTAGTGGGTGTGTCAACAGAGAGGGTGTCCTTTTTTTTTTTTTTTTTTTTTATCTTTCTACAACCTGGTGTCCTATGAAGAACCCTAGGACATATCTGTAACTAGGAAATTCTTTGATTAAATGTATATATATATATATATATATTTTTCCAATACTTATCATTCATTTGATAGACATTCAACAAATATTTGAGTATCTCAGTGTGTTAGGCGTTGTATTGATTTATTATAAGAGGCAAATAAAGAAAAACATCAATAAGGAAATAAATATGCTATGATCTGGGTATGTGTAGGCTTCTATGGACGTATGTAGAAGGTTCCCCTGTCAGTGAGGGTGGAAGAGAGGGGATAAGGAAGACTCACTGGAGAAGGTAAATGTGGTTTCAATGGTGAGAGAACATTCAGGTGAGTTTCTCCGAATGAAGTATGCTCTCCTGGTAATGATCATAGTAATGGCAAATAGCAGGGTTTTTTTAAAGCATAATCCATGACACAAAATTCTTTTTAGACGCTCTGAGAAAAAGGAATTTTGTAGTCAAATACATCTGAAACTTAACAATGTATGCTAACAACTAATGTCTCTGAACAGTCTGGCAGTAAAGAAACCTGATTAACACAGTATAACCCAGCATTTCCCATACTACCCTGACCATAACCATCCTTTCTTGTTGTTGGGGGGATACCTGGGGGAAGACCTATTGCCATCCTGAAGGATGTCTTAAATTTTTTTTTTTTTTTTTTGAGACGGAGTCTCGCTCTGTCACCAGGTTGGAGTGCACCGGCGCGACCTCGGCTCACTACAACCTCCGCCTCCCAGGTTCAAGCGATTCTCCTGCCTCAGCCTCCCGAGTAGCTGGGACTACAGGCGTGCACCACCACGCCCAGCTAATTTTTGTATTTTTAGTAGAGACAGGGTTTCACCATGTTGGCCAGGGTGGTCTTGATCTCTTGACCTTGTGATCCACCCGCCTCGGCCTCCCAAAGTGCTGGGATTACAGGCGTGAGCCACCGCATGTGGCCCACCATTAAAATTCTTAACCTAAAGAGGATAATTCCCATGAAAAATGGATGCTATGGGTCAATTAAATAAAATCAAACAACACATTTTATCTTGTCCATGTTTTACAGGTGACTAAAATAATGGTTAATGAGGATAGCTTTTATAATGGGCAAAATAGGCCATGACTTGGAGTCTCTAGCTTGCTGAAGCTGTGTGCCTAACTCTCAAAAAATCTGCATAGGATCCTCACCTTAGAGGTGAACAGACTAAAGCCCTAGGGCAGAATATGTCTCTACATTCCTTGAAACAAGTGTGAAGAAAAAAAATTAAAGAACTGCCATCATGAATTGTACTAAAGCCATGATCAAAAGTCTCTATACTTTGAAACACCTAATCATATTAGAGGATTAAAAACACATCAGTGAACGCTAACCAATTATTTATTCATTTCCATATCTTTTAATTTTGATAACATAAATACTGTGGTTTTTTTTCTCAATTATACCGACAAAATCTTTCTCCTACCTTCAGTCTGAGAGGTTCCTTTTGCTGTAATATCTTGTTGTTGTACTTGGCCTATAGTCTTTGCGTGCATCTTTTTCCATAAAAGAAGACCTAAGGGTCGTGAAAGATTAAGAAAAATTCAGATGAGAAGTCTTATCTTTTCTAGGAATAATGAAAAGTGTATAACCTTTATTTGAATGTTAGACTTATTTTGTGTTCTAAGGCTCTACTGTTGAGGCCATATAAAAAGGTCATACCCTTAGAGGTAGACATGACCTTTTCTGAAGAAAGTGCACATTCTCTGTATCACTTGTCTGGGAGGGGCAGGTCCTCTGACAGGTAATAGAATCTTGCAAGATGGGTTTTGGTCTTCAGCAAAAACTCCTGACTTCCTCTGGAATCATGTTCTTGCTGGACTTTCAGGTAAATGGATTATTTGAGGATGCTCTCTGGTGGTATGGAAAAGATGGCTTCTCCCAGGGGCTAGGGCTAGTTAAGAAGGCAGTACCCTTGCAGGGGATCCTAAAAATGAAGTGATAAACTTTCAGATTATCTAGCTTTATGTTTCTCTATGTTCATTCTCATCTGGCTATGCCCAAACCTTTAGTAAAGTCTGATTATTATACTTTGGTCTTGCTTAGGTCCGAGTTGTGCATTAAACACCATGAGAATTTGGAGTCCATGTTTGGGCCAAAGGGCTAAAGAATAGATGGTAGAACTCGAGTTAACATAGAGATATGTGGTTATGGCTATTACTAAGGAAAATAACCATCAGTTATGTACTCTGTGCCCAGCATTTCACTATGCTATCTCATCTAATCTTCACAAGAATTCTCAAACATAGGTTTTATTAGTCCCATTTTGCAGATGAGGAAACTGAGACTCAGAGAAATTAAGTATTTGGATATATCCTATAGCTATTGGGAGGTGGAATTTGAACCGAGGTTTCATCTGACTCCAGAGGCTGAACATACTCTAGTCAAGTTACATAACTTCTCATACCTTAAGTTTTTTATTTGAAAACATCTGCCTTCTAGGGTTGCTATAAGGATTCCATGACACAATGCATATAAAGATTCTGGGCCATTAACTAGAAGATAATAGGTATCCCCCAAATAGTGCTTATCCTTATGTTTTCCTTCTGCCTTTCTGGCCATTCCTTCTTAATATCCTTCAAGGGTTCCTTTTCCTCTGATGACCTGTTAAATTGGTGTTCCCTAAGTTTGTTCTTCAAATGAACACTCTCCTTGAGTGACTTCATCCAAACCCAGGGCTTCAGCTACTGTTTTTATGCTAGTGACTTCTAAATCTGAACCTCCAGGCTAGATCACTGCTGACATCTCTATTGGATGTCTCACAGACATATGAACTCAGTAAGTCCCAAACAACACATCTTTCTGTTTCACTCTTGGCCTGTCTCTCAGCAAGTGGCATCACTGAATCTCTAGATACCTAAGCCAAGGCCTGGGAATCTTCGTCTACTCATTCTCAGTCATCCCTTACACTCAATTAGTCATCAGGTTATCTTAAGTCTCCCTTCTTATCATTTGTATCAGTCTCTCCCTCTCTCCCTATCCTCCCTCAATTTCATTTCCACAGCCACTATCACTGCCTAAATTCAAACTCATCACGTCTATCAGGCATTACTGCAACAGTCTCCTAACTCATTTCCCTACAATTTACCCAACCCTCCTATCTGTCCTCAATATTACTGTCAAAATGATCTTTCTAAAAAGCAAATTCATATTATACATTTTTCACTTAAAATTCTTTCAAGAGCTTCCCATAGCTTTCAGGATAAAGTTCAAATTCAGCACACTAAGCCCTTCAGCATATAGCTGCTCCCTACCTCTTTAGCTGTATTTTCCACTAATTCTGTATTTTTTCATTTGCACCATTTGTTTCTGCTTTGAAGGATTACTTGAACTTCTCTAAAGGAAGCTATTTCTAGCCTTGGGCCTTCAGGCATGTCCTTGGGTGCCTACCCATCCCCTTAACTCCAAAATCCCCCTCAACTCTTTCCTTAAAGCTCAGCTCAAGGGCATTCCTCTGGACAGTTTTCCTTGATGTTGACCCTGGTGTTTCTGTTTAATGCTCCCATGACACCTGTGCATTGCTGTGTGACAGCACTTTTCATACTACACATCTCTGTCACTAGTTTGTAAATGGACCCCAAAGTTTACTCCACATTGTGTCCCCATTACCTAATCCCTAGTGCCTAGCTCATAACCAATGCAGACTGCTGGTTAATGAAGGAGTGAATTCAGGAAGAGAGTTTTAAACCCTTGGCTATGTTGTGTGTGAACCTAAGAAGCTGGCTGGGCATGGTGGCTCATGCCTGTAATCCTAGCACTTTGGGAGGCCGAGGCGGGCAGATCACTTGAGGTCAAGAGTTCAAGACCAGCCTGGCCAACATGGTAAAACCCCGTCTCTACTAAAAATACAAAAAAATTAGCTGGGCAAGATGGTGGACACCTGTAATCCCAGCTACTTGGGAGGCCGAGGCAGAAGAATCGTTTGAACCTGGGAAGCAGAGGTTGCAGTGAGCTGAGATCGCACCATTGCACTCCAGCCTGGGCGACAGAGAGAGACTCTGTCTCAAAAAAAAAAAAAAAAAAAAAAAAAAAAAAGAAGCTAAGCGAAAGGTAGGACTTTGAGACTTTGAGTTAAGGTGGCACGTTACTGGAGATTCCTTAAGCCTCATTCCTCCTACGCTCCTTTCTTTTCCACTTTACTTATGGCCAGGTTCCACCACTCACCCTAGGAACATGAAGACACAACAGGTTTTAGACACACTCTATGGAACAAACAATTAAGACCCTGAGTATTTCATTTGCTAGGCTAGGGAGATAATAAGATAGTCTGATTGGGACCTATCAGTGGAATACCCATCCTGCCCTCTACAAACTTGAGATTCAATATTCCTGTGAAAACCTGAACCAGAGGCTGAGCTCTAAAAGACTCTGTTTGGTTTTATTTTCACTGGAGAAACTGGATACATTTTTATGACTTTAGTCGATCTCTTCACTTTCTGTTTTTCCATTTTTTCAGATCTTTCTGGATGTTTTCACCTTTTGAAGCTGTTTCCTACCTCTTTCCGAAAGTAATAGAGAGAAAAAGGGTTAAAAAGAAGGAAAAGCAAAACCAACTAATTCAAACGTTAATCGAATTTTTAAAAAAGCTTTTTTGTTGGGGAGAGTCTCTGAGTTGGAAAATACCTTAGGAATCATAGACCTTACCCAATAACTTTAGTTAGTAAATAATGAGATGAAGGGAAAGAGGTTACTGACTTGCCCAAAACCACTTAAGCAGCTGAAAGCAAGAGTATTTTGGCCCGAAATCCTCCAAGTTCGTTTTTGCAATCTTTTCCTTGGGAGACTCTCTATACTTGCGCCCACAGCTAATACATTCTGTCTATGCAAGCCCAGGTAATTGGCAAACGTATATTTATTATATCTAACATACATTATATATAATTATAAAAAACATATGACCTTATCACACTAAGAAGAGAAGAGGCCACATTGTCGATGCTCAGGGCTCAGATTCGGCTCTCTATATTTTGCCCCTGGGAGGGTAAGAAAGGTTGCCAAAGGACCTCAGGCTCTCGGACACCAGGAGCCTCGGGCTGCACGGAACCACTGCTCCTCTAGGGCTTGGAGGGAAAGCCAAGGCCGCGCCTGCCGTAGACAGCAGATGGCCTGAGCAACCTGGAGGCGCGCCCTTCAGTGCCTTCCGGGAACTGGTTAGGAGTAGCCTGCGGAGAGCCGCGCTTGCCTCACTTTCCGGCGCCGGCTCATGGCTTAGGGGCCACAGATTTGGGGCTCGGGCGGGGCTCTGGGCACGTGGCCGGCGGGCCTGGGTGTTTGCCTGAGTCCCGCAGCCGCGGCCCGGGCGGGCAGCCAGACAGGCCGTGCCCAATGCTTGCGCGCCCTGCTCGCGCCGGGGCATTTTACGAGCCTCGACCGCTGCCCCCAGGTGCTCACAAACCCCCGTGCAGCCTGTAAGAAGCACCGCGGCCCAGTCTCTGAATCTCCGGGTGAAAGAACAGGCTTGTCTGAGAACCAATGTAGAAATCTCTCCTGTTTCACCGACGGCCAAAGAGGGCCTTCGGCTTGACCAACGGAGGAAAACGTCTTCGTGTGGAGATCGATTTCCTTTCGAGAGTTTATTCTATACCTGTGCAGCATCTTTTGTGTAGTAGAAACTGTTTTGCACTGTGAGTAAAAAAGACGAAGTTAGCCTTATGTGGGGGGGCGGGGCGGAGGCAGCTTATTTCCACATAAACTAAGAAACAATTAGGTTAAAAGAGTGAGGAGCCGGGCGCGGTGGTTCACGCCTGTAATCCCAGCACTCTGGGAGGCCGAGGCGGGCGGATCACTTAAGTCCGGAGTTTGAGACTAGCCTGGCCAACATGGTGAAACGCTGTCTCTACTAAAAATACAAAAATTAGCTGGGCGTGGTGGCGCGCGCCTGTAGTCCCAGCTACTCGGGAGGCTGAGGTGGTAGGATCGCCTGAGCCTGGGAGAAGAAGGTTGCAGTGAGCCGAGATCTTGCCACTGCACTCCAGCCTGGGCGAGCAACAGACCCTGTCTCAAAAACAAACAAACAAACAAACAAACAAACAAAGTGAGCGCTCAAACCTGAGTAGGGCGCCTGGGGGCAAGCAAGCGAGGGGGAGTGAGATTAAGTGGAGAAAGCGCTAAAGGGGAGGGTTAGAGACGTGAGAGGGGAGCGGTTAAGAGAGAAGGAAGCGGAGGGCAAGGAGACGTGGGGCGGGGAAGGGAGGGCAAGATGGGGGGGCTGGAAGGTGGAGAACTAGGCCGGGTGCTGTTCGGCGGGAGTAGGACTAAGCTGGGAAGACGCGGGTGGGGGAAGGGCTGAAGTCGGCGGTGATGGAAGGGCTGAAGTCGGCGGTGATGGAGAAGGGATGAGAGGCCTAGGCCTAGTTCGTGTCCATGAAGCCTCTCCACGTGGCCGACTTCCCTTAGAGAAGTCCCACAAGCCCTCAGCCCTCACAGCCTCGCCCGCGACGCCGTGCCCACCCCTCCCCTGGCAGCCCCGAGACTCTGGGCGTGTGCTTCCCGCTCCCCGAGGGCCTTAGGCCCAGCGGACGCCCGGCCGGAGCCTGATGCCGGCGGCCTCCCCCTCCCTCAGCGAGGCACGCGCGTCCCCAGGACCGCCGGTGCCGGGGCCTTTAACCCTGGCCGCCGACGCCGCGGGGAAAGGAAGCTTCTGCGGCTACAGATGGCGCAGGCCCCAGGTCGCAGAGAAGCCCTATCCAACTCTGCGGACTGGCCCTGGGAGAAAGGGCCCGGGAGTTGCTTCTCCAGTCGGTGAACGCTCCGTTGAGCCACGTCTATGCGCTTGCTCATGGATAAGCGCACTGGGGGACTATACTGCAGTGTGACCGCCAGTGTCCCCAGGGAGGCTGCGGAAAAGTAGAGGCAATGAGACCCGAGCAGAAATAGGGACTTCTCGCGGCAGTCCGCACGGAAGCAGCTGGGGAGCATCCAGCTCGACCCTCCCCACAGGCCCAGGGTCGGGACACCGAGGGAAGGCGCGGCGCGCGCGGCAAGGCCAGGGGCGCGGGGCTGGGCTCGGCCGGCACAAGTGCTCGGACCGCGGAGCGTCCTCGGTGAGGCGTTCGGTATGGATTGGGTAGGAGCGGCCCTGGGCGATGGGCCTGACGTCGGTGGGCGCAGTTGAGGCCACTGCAAGGCCGCTGGATCCCGGATCCGCACCCGAGACGGAGCGGGGGCCACACGGGATAACCGAGGGGGCGAACGGGAGTTTCGGGCCTCCGCTCCCTCTCCGGGTGGGGGACAGGTCGCCGAGTCCGAGGTCGGGCGCGAAGGCCACTCGCATTTTCCCGCCTTCCGCGAGCAACCCAGGGGCCCTGCGGGAGGAGGAGAGGGTCCCGGGAGTCCGCCCTTCCCTGCGCCTTCGGGACCGGCAGGAGGCGCTGCGCGGGCGAATTAAAAGAAAAGGAAAAGCTCGTAGTGGAGGTGTTACCGCATCCTGCCTTTGGACGCTACTCTTAGTTGAGTGACCCGATTCGGACCTTAGGGGCGTTAGGGTCTCCTCCACCGCCTCCCTCCCCTGTTAAAAGTGTGTGTGTGTGTGTGTGTGTGTGTGTGTGTGTGTGTGTGTGTGTGTGTAAAATTTAAAATTTTAGATATGCTGACATAGGCACTTAAAGGAAGGGTGTAAGGCAGACATTCTAATCCTTGACTATCTGTGAAGGGCTCGCCTATGATTGCCATTTTTTAAAGATCCTAAGGTTTTATAAACACTGTCTTATAAGACAGACACATTCGTAAAGTTTGCTTCTAATTCTTTTGTTGAAATAAAGATTTATATAAGAGGACTATTTCTGCTTATTTCTGAGAGAAGATCACATATCAGTAACAGAACAAGGTAAAGTACCTGTACTTCCAATATGTAATTGGAATTCCAGTGTATTTATTATAATATATTATAGTATACTTAGAGCATGCATTATATTCTAATTGTGTAACAGTTATTTGTGTACATGTTTTATCTTGTCTTCTAGACTGTAAGCTTCTTGTGGGCAGAGATGGTTTTTTTGTCTAACACGGTACAAGGCATTGAGTGAATAAAACCGAAACTGTCTCCATTTACTATCCAATGTGAATTCATATAACTTGCTTATATATTTTATAATGTATAAGTAAATATAAATTTGCCCTAGAAAAATAACTTATACACTCAATATTGTTCATAATCATTTTCAGTAGGAGAAAACCAATTTTTTGCTTCATGATATAAAATTCAGCATTTGGCATTATATTTACTGCAACTGTTAACATTAACCTTATATAGAGCAAAAGTTACAGGGATTTTTGGCATAACCTTTTATGACTAACAATTCATTCACCAAATTACAAGTACTTCTCCAGACTATAAAGAGCAGAAATGTATGCTATAACAAGACTGTTGCATATATTTTTCAAGGACTGATTAACATTTGGTTATTACATTTATTTTTTAACTCTATAAAGAAATTAGCAGTTTAATGGCAAGATTTTAAAAAATCAAGTCATCAGGTTTTTTTAACCAGTAGAAAATCATTTGAGGCAAAAGGAGTTTTTTTATTTTTTTTCAGCTTCATTTATTCTGCTTCCAAAGTTGGTAATGATTTGGTCTTAGTGGAAAATTCTTACTTTTCACACCAGTGATTTTATATATATCCTACTCACAGAAGTGTACCAGGGATATATATATATATATAGATAGATAGATATTTGTTGACTGAAATTTATTCTGTACCCCTGCAGAATGGGCACTACATATGGGCTCTTTGGAATAATATTCAGTAGTTAGTTTGTTGGGACATTTGATTCGTATCTTTTTTTTTTTTTGGATACAGGGTCTTGCTCTGTTGCCCAGGCTGGAGTGCAGTGGCATAATCACTGCTCACTGTGATCTTGATCTCCTGGGTTTAGGTGGTCTTCCTACCTCAGCCTCCTGAGTAGCTAGCACCACAGGTGTGTGTTGCCATGCCTGGCTAATTAAAAAAATTTTTTTGTAGAGACACGATCTCACTATGTTGCCAGGCTGGTCTAGAATTCCTGGGTTCCAGTGATCCTCCCACCTCAGCCTCCCAAAGTGCTGGGATTACAGGGGTGAGCCACGGTGTCCGGCTTTCATTCTTACATTTAATTCAATTAACCGTAATTGAATTGTGATTCTGCTGTGCAACTGGAGTAACCAGCAACCAGTAATATCTTGATTTCAAATTGCGTGGGAGACTTGGTGTCCCTGAACCAAATGATTGGATTTGGAGCTAGAGAATGCAGAAACAAGTTGTGATATAGTTTTGAAGTGAGAGTTGTGTGGGGAGAGATGATGTTTCTAGTCTAAGATTTAATATATAAAAGTACAAAATGTGTGTCTTTAAAAACCAATACTGTGATAGATTTATAGCTAAAATAGCTCTGCTTTCTTTGGAAAAAACCTATACAACTTGAAATTTAAAGTCATAATCCTAGAATGTCTTTTTAGGTTTGTTCAACTAAATCAAAGCAACTTTTAAAAGTTTATTTCCTTAAACTTTGAAATGCAATATATTTTGGCCAGGTGACTTGAAATAGAAAACAGATAAAGATGACTTACTGGTTAGTGAAACACTAGTCTGAAACAGACAGCTTACTTTTTTTCCCCCTCATTTCCCCCAGACCAGCTGTTTATGTTTAACCTTCATTTACTACTTCAAGAGCCATATTTACACTTCTCCAGCAACACTTTATCCATATGTTCCTTGGCCTTATACATTATATAAGGCTGTTTTAGGGCAACTTCCTAATCATCTCATTTAAGAAAATGTCACACTCACCTCAAATAACCTTATAGAAGATGTCAGATGATATCCCTGCTAAAATAACCCCATAGAAGATGTCATCTGATATTACTTATAGGTTTCCTTTCATTTTTACCAGTAATAGTCTTGGCCAGGTTTTTCTTCCTACTTGGACAGCTAGGATGTTTTCTTTTTTCAATTGATAGAAAAAAATTCTTCTAAAAATATCTCATAATTCACTGTAATCAGATAATGAATTTAGCTTTTGTCTTAGTCCATTTTCTGTTTTTATAACATAATACCATAGGCTGAGTAATTTACAAGGAAAAGAAATTTATTTATTATAGCTCTTGAGGCTAGGAAGTCCAAGGCCGAGCGGCTCACATCTGGTGAGGGCCTTTGTGCTGCATCATCCGATGATGGAAGGTGGAAAGGCAAGAGAGTGTGAGAGTGCAAAAGAGAACTGATCCCCAAAGCCTTCCTTTTAAAAGGCATTAAATCCACGCATGAGGGTAGAGCCTTTGTGGCTTAATCACTTCTTACAGGCCCCACCACTCAATGCTATTATATTGCCAATTAAATTTCAACAGGAGTTTTGGAGGAGATAAACATTCAAATCATAGCAGTTCACGCTTAGCACCTCAAAACTCATTCCTTCTCGTATGCAAAGTACATTCATTCTATCCCAGTACCCCCCAAAGTCCTAACTTGTTGCAGCATCAACTCAGAGCCCCAAGTTTGCATGTAAATGAGATATAGGTGAAAGTCAAGCCATGATTCATCCCGAGGTACATTCTCTTCACCCATGAACCTGTGAAATCAAAACAGGTTATCTAATTCCAAAATACAAGGTGGAACAGGCAGCGTATAGACATACCCATTCCAAAATGGAAGAATAGCAAGAAGGAAGGGATAACTGGTCTCAAGAAAGTCCAAAACCCAATAGGGAAAACGGCATTGAATCTTAAACTGGAGAATAATCTTGCTTGACTCTATGTCCTGTATCCTGGATACACTAGGGTGGGTATTGGGCCCTCAAGACCTCAGGCAGCATTATCCTGACGGCTTTGCTGGGCTTAGACACCCAGCAGCTCTTACAGACTTGAGTCTTACGCCTCCAGCTTTCCCAGGCTAGAGGTGGACCTACAGTTGTGAGGTCTTGAGGACTGCTACACTCCCATGGCTCTAGTAAGCATTGCCCTAGTGGATACTCTCCAGCAGCTCTGCCTCTGCTACAAGTTTCTGCCTGGGCTCCCAGGCTGTCTGCTACATCCTTTGAAGTCTAGGTGGAGGTAGCCATGTCCCCACAGCTGTTGCATTCTGCTAGCCTGCAGACATAACACCCCATGGATGCTGCCAAGGCTTACAACTTGCACCTACTGGAGTGGTGGCCAGAGCCACACTGGGCCTGCTTGAGCCACAGCTGGGGTGGCCAAAGAGCACTGTGCTGGATTGCGGGGAGCAGAGTCCCTAGCTGCCCTGGGGCATTGAGCCCTGGGCCCATCCCCCAAGCTATTCTGATCTCCTAGAGATCTAGGCCTGTGAATGGAGGGGCAGCCTTAAGGATCTTTGAAGTGCCTTTGGGGGTCTCTCCTACCATTCTTGATGAATAGCACCTAGTTTTCTTCTATCCATACTAATCTCTTTAGCAAACAATCCTTGGCCACACTTTTAGTATTCTCTCCCAAACACACTTTTTAATTTTTATTTTATTTTATTTCATTTTATTATTATCTTTTTGAGACAGAGTCTTGCTCTGTCACTCAGGATGGAGTGCAGTGGTGTGATCTCGGCTCACTGCAGCCTCTGCCTCCCAGTTTCAAGCAATTCTTGAGCCTCAACCTCCTGAGTAGGTGGCATCACAGGCGCATGCCTCACGCCTGGCTAATTTTTGTGTTTTTAGTAGAGACGGGGTTTCACCATGTTGGCCAGGCTGGTCTTGAACTCCTGACCTGAAGTGATCCACCCGCCTCAGCCTCCCAAAGTGCTGGGATTACAGGCATGAGCCACTGTGCCTGTAAAAACACACTTTTTTATTCTTAACATGGCCAAGCTGTGAGCTTTCCAAATCTTTCACTCAGTTTCTCTTTTAGTTACAAATTCCATCTTTAAATCATTTCTTTCCTCTCACATCTTACTCTATGTGGTTAAAAGTAGCCATGCAGAAGACTGACTGCTTTGCTGCTTAGATATTTCTTTTACTAGATATCCTAGTTCATTTCTTTTAAATAAGGCCTTTCATAAAGCTCTTGGGCATGGACACAATTCAGCCAAGTTCTTTGTAACTGTATAACAAGGATGGCCTTTACTTGGGTTTCCAATACCTTGTTCCTCATTTCCATCTGGGACCTCATCAGAATGGGCTTTACTGTCCATATTTCTACCAGCATTCTGATCATGACCACTTGAGTAATCTCTAAGTGTTTCAGACTTTCCCTATAGCTCTTCTCTTCTTCTTAGTCCTTACCAGAATTACCCTTAATGCTTCATTCATGACAATCTAGCCATTTTCCACCCTGTTCCTTTAAATTCTTCCAGCCTCTACCTGTTACTGAGTTCCAAAGCCACTTTCACATTTTCAGGTATTTGTTTTAGTAACAGTCTCACTTCTTGGTACCAGTTTTCTATCTTAATCTGTTTTGTGTTGCTGCAACAGAATGCCACAGGCTGGATATAAAAAGAAATTTATTTCTCATAGCTCTGGAGGCTGGGAAGTCCAAGGTCAAGGGGCTCACATGTGAGAGTCTTCATGTCATGCCATCCCATGATGGAAGTGGAAGGGCAAGAGAGTGTGAGACAGCAAAGGAGACCTCCCTCTGAAAGCCTTAAAAAAAAAAGTATTAAACTCCTCCATGAGGGCAGAACTCATATGGCTTAATCACCTCTTAATGGCCGCACCACCCGATACCTTTACAATGGCAATTAAATTTCAGTAGTTCTGGAAGGGATAAACATTCAAATGACAGCAGCTTCCTAAAGAGGATTATAATGAAAAGATACTTTTTCTTTGTTATAATTAATTGTCTTAAATAAAACAAATGATTATTATTACTTGGTTCATAAATCCATACTAGAATGTTACTGCTTTAAGCCTATGTAGAGAATACTATAGGAAACAACAGAATAGACTTTACTTTTTGTCTGATATCTTGCTTATTACTGCTGCTTCTTTATGTTCCAGAAACTTAAAGAACTGACAAGTAAGGCTTAGGAAGTGTTTTTATGGACAAATCATGTGATTATATTGACTTATTTGGCTGCTTAAAGGTAGTTATATATATTGGGAAAAAAGTCAGGTCACGGAATTTTCAAATTGCTTTGTCTAGGTTGCTTACTGGTAGTTAGTGGTTAATTCAGTGAAGCTGGAGTTAATATTCTTTTATTTAAAATCCATTACAGCACCAGCATGGTGGCAAGTGCCTATAATCCCAGCTACTCGGGAGGCTGAGGTGGGAGAATTGTTTGAGTCTAGCAGTTCAAGTCCTGGACAACATAGTAAGATCTTTTCTCTACATAACTTTTTAAAAATAAATAAATAAAACCTATTATAAGGTACTGATTATCAAATTGACCTTTAGTCATTCAATATCGCCAGGTTCAAGGTTTTCATTTATAAAATAGGCATAATCATATTTATCACCTTTGAGGAATATTTAACATTTCAATAGAAGAGATGCCAGATAAGTTCTATTATAAAAATACATTTAATACATTACAACCAATTATTAGATCACTTGTATCTTTAAAGTTGCTCAGTGGTTTACAAATGATATATGGTCTGAATGAATGTGTCTTATTATTCTCTGCTTTGCTCTTGGCTCAAAAAGATACTAAATTTTACCAGAATCTACCACTCCTTTCAAAGTAGACCCAACCGACCAAAAAACCCAAGTTGAACTGAAATTTCATTTTGTCAAAAACAATTTCCTCTTTGCACAGAGTTAGATTGTCTCATCTAGGTTAGTTCCGTAGTGCTAATTCTCCATGGTCTTATGGCCCTTCATTTTTAAGCCTGTGGAGTCATCCCTCTGAGTGTCCATTTCTGGAATCAATGTGAATAAAACTGTGCCTGAAACTATCCAAAGCAAAAGTTATAGGAATTTTCAATGTAACCTTTTATTACTAATAGAATTCTCTTACCAAATTACACACTACTTCCTTTCCAGGCTATAAATCATTATGCCAGCTTTGACAGTTGTGAGATATTGACAGCTTCTGACTGTTAAACTAAATCACACTTTTCACATTTAACTTACTACTCTTAATTCTGACAACCTTATTGCCTGAGTTACTGATTTTGGCACTTAATCAGAGACTTCCATTTTAATATTTGTTTTATGCTTTGTTCCTCTTGAGACTGTAAAGCCCCTGAGGTCACGTTCTATGTATTATACATTTTTTTTTTTTTTAAAGCCTCACAACTCCTGAGTGTAGTTTTGGCATGGCATGTGGTACTCACTCAGTGAAGAATTCTTCAAACATCAACTTTTTTTTTTTTTTTTAGTATTCTGTAAGGCAAAGAGATATGAAGAATTAAAATACGTAATCTCTGCCTCTGTGATAGATGCAGTTTAGCCAGGAGAAAAGCAGTCATACTAAGATCCACATCATTTATTAGATCCAGAACCCCTTTATGCATAATTCTGAAGTCCAAAAATTTCTGAAAATTTATTTACTTATTTATTTTTGATAAAGTATTTGGCAGTAAAATCTAACCCGAGATTAAGTCATTTGGTAGAGAAACCTGAACTGGTGTGACTGAACTGGTGTGACGCTATAGTCTTCATTTATTCTACTTAAGAAGAATATTCATATGTTTCACTGCAGAAATATTAATGTTTTTGATTATAATGTTATGTTTTACATAATATATGTGCTATATTACCTTTCAAAATGTGAAAATTTCCAAATTCCAAAATACATCAGACCTCATGACTTTTGGGAATCTCTTAATGTACAAAAAGTTAAATGATAAAATATTTAAATATCAAATAATATAGTAATAGAAATATTTAAAATCAGTATTTGGAAAATTGCCAGTACTTAGGTGATAGTGTCTCTGTGGGGTGTCCCTGCAAATAGGCAGGTACTCAGCCCTAGATCCCAGGCCAGAGGCAGGTGAAATGGGAGTATTTTCTGACGTGTCCAGGCATAAGAGCCAGAATATCTGTACAAACCAAGTTCTTTAGGGAACACTAACAGTCAAAACAGGGAAACTGAGTTTAGTCATCAAGGGGTTAAGAGATGGCCCAAGAAAGGAACCAAAGAGACACTGGAAAAGAGAGGAATTAAGGGTAAGAGTCCCAGACAGTTGCCTCAAATGAGGATCATAGATCTATCTGCAACCTATGGATATCAGTGGATAGCTGTGATGTGCAGCATAGACAATTGAACTGGTATAGACAATTGGTGCTAGGATCTTAGATCTGGAAGGGGCCTTTAAATTAAAGATCATTTACCCCTGCACCCCCTCCCTGTTTTACAAATGAGTAACATAAAGTTCAATAATTATTTTTCCAACATCTAGTTAGTGATTAAGCTACACACAAACCCAGGTTTCATGTTACCTATCTGGTGCTTTTTCTACTGCTATAGAGAGAAAGTATTGCAGTTTCGAGTGGTCAGGAATTATTTTTCAGAAAATAATGAGACTTGATGATGATAGTAATTTGCAAAAACTTAATTCTGCATAAATCTCTAAATGTATTTTTGTGTATATTTTCCTGTTTTTAAGTACTTTGATGAATACCACTGGGAATTGTAAGACCTGGGTTCTAGTTCTAGCCCTGCACAGATTATCTAAACAGCCTTGTGAACCTCTCTGAGATTCAGTTTTCATCTTTAAAGAAGGTAGGATCAGGTGACCTTTAAACTCTCTTATTCTGTCATTTAGATCTGTTTCTGTGTTTGCTAAGACAAAATAATTTCCATTAACAATCACTCATTTTAATTAAGGATGACAAAGGCATAGGTAATATATTCAGATATCTCTGCATAGATATATTCCTTGGAAAATCTAAATCTGTATCTGGAATATAGACTCAGATATTTTGGTGAAATGAAAATACAAAATAAATTAATACCAACAGTGCATTCAACAGTAATCAGTTAACATTCACTGTGTGTATGCAAAGCACCGAATAAGGTATGTTCTTTTGCTTTCAAGTTGTTTAGGATTTAATTAAGAGTTTACTTTAAATAGTTAAAAAACTAAGTAAACACAACAAGCTCTATGGAACTCAGATTATGTTCAGCTGGAATGAATCAGCCTCTAAAAGTGCGGTATGACTGGCTATTCAACCTTTTGTTGGAACTGTTGAAATTACTTAGCATTTCATAATGTAAATATTTTGATACCATGCCCTCCTTGATTAACATGAAGTGGTTTGCCATCATTGAAAAAAACTTGTAACCCTTACAGATTAATGCAAGAGTATAATGTTTCTAATTTATTATCATCAAGGATATTATAACTGTATCCCCAATCTCTTTCGTCAGAGTCTCAAGCATGTTAGGGGAGTATCATATTCATTTCACTTTATGTTGTATTAACTAATGGTAAAAATATTTGGTTGGAACTGCATAGCATTGTGATTGACTGGTGAACATTTTAATAAAGGAGATCTAAATAAAGATAACATTTTTCAAAAGAAAGACATTGCTGGTGCTTGACTACCTGTTCTGTAAGATGTTTATTCAGTCTTGACAGTTAATTTAGATTAAAAAATTTGAAGTTACCAGTTTGTGATAATCTTTACAGAATGAACCTTTTTGTGAAAATTTCTTGTTGGTGCTTTCCTAAACAAGGGTTTTTTCAAACTTTTGCCTGCAACCCACAGTATGAAAGAAATTTTGCATTGTGACCCAGTACACATACAGGTAACTGAAACAAAACTTCTGTGAAGTAGTACTTACCTTACTGTGTGTGATACACAAGAATTTTTAAATGCTGTTCTGATTTATTTTATTCTTTTAAAATTGTTATGTCAGAAACCCACTAAATTGATTTATAACTCCCTGAAGGGACATAATCTGCAGTTTGAAAAGCTTTAGCTAAACTCTGTTTTGAAGATACTTACTATGTATTATTTACTTTTTATTCTCCATTGCCTAAGTCTGTGCTCAGCACATAAATGGTATTCAAATAATGTTTGTTGAGTGTTTTAATTGTACTTGATCTAGTTTCAGAAATGTTACTGTGCTGGGTGTGGTGGATTATGCCTATAATCTTAGCACTTTGGGTGGTCAAGGTGGAAGGATCACTTGCGGCCAGGAATTCAAGACCAGCCTGGAGAACATAGCAAAACCCGGTCTCTACAAAAAAATACTAAAATTAGCCAGGTGTGGTGTTGTGTGCCTGTAGTCCCAGCTACTCGGGAGGCTGAGGCAGGAGGATGGCTTGAGCCCAGGAGGTTGAGGCTGCAGTGAGCCAAGAGCATGCCACTATACTCCAGCCTAGGTGGCAGAGTGAGACTCTATCTTAAAGGAAAAAAAAAAAAGAAAGAAAGAAGAGAATAAGGAAAAAAACAGTTATCTATGCAGGCTGTGTGAAGCTATTGAAAGAGAGTAGAAGAAAATTATTGTAATTAGAAGATGAACATGAAACATTTATGAAAGTCACCATACATTTTATAAAAACACAGTAACAATGTGTTGGTTCTGTGTAAGAAGTTATAGAATTAAGTGCTAAATTGTATCTTTTTCAGAGGCCACTATTTAAAAGTCAGAATGAATGTTGGCTTTACAGAATGAATTTATTCCTGTAATTTATCTTGAAGCTATTATCTCAGAACCATATAGTGTCTTTCACCTAACTGCTTTTATATGTACATAAGTGTATGTGTGTAAAGTTGCATTTTGATTAAGTGTTATTTTTTTCTAAGAAATATCTTGTAAGCTTTAACTTATTTTTTATTACCATTCTTTGAACAGTACTCCAAGCCAAATACTATTTGTATATAAATTATATTTTTTCTTTTTTGATTTTTTAAGAGTACAAAGTTTCCCCCACTCTGCATAGTAATATTTTCTTGATATAACTTAAGTATGGTAATGAATTTAAACTTTTTCATCTATACCTATTGATAGTTTCTTTGTGGAGATTTTGATAAATATTTTGCCACCTTATAAATTCAACTGAAATAAAATTCTATGATAACAAATTCTATCAGAACAAAAATTTCTGCAAAGATTGCCAGTTACTCTCCAGCTGGTGACCTTTTTCTTTGTAGCAGTAATTTGTATAATAGGGTTTTGTTTAGCCAAAGAATTAGGTTAATTCAAAAACATTTTCTGGGACTTGATTAATTTAAATAAACAAAAGATACATAATTTATTGGTAGCAGAGTTGATCAGGGTTAAATTATTTCAGGTAATTTTCACAACTGTTACTTTGTACTTAATGATATACTACTTATTATTCTAAAAATTAATGTTTTCTTCTCAGCCAGATACTAAGTTCTCCAATGGACTCCTCTTTTCCTTCTTTTCTGTTTCCACTTTTTTCCTTTCTTTTTCCCCATTTTTCTCTATTTCTTTTGTATCCACAAATACTTCTGTGCTCTATATAATATTGAAACTCATTGAATGCTTGCTGATTAATCTTGAATGATTTCCTCGAAAATTTAGTCTCACTAAGGCTCTCTGATTTTAATAATATCTAGTGTATAATGAATCAGGGTTTTAAGTTAGAAAACAAACTCTAATTTTGTTTCTTTTCATTAATTAACTCAGTGATTTTAACCTCTCTGAACATTTTATTGTCTGTAATTTACATAGGGCTAATATTTGCTTTTGCTATGGTCTATTTCATAGCATAATGTGAAGATAATACGAGATAATTATAAGAATGTTATTTTAAAATTTAAAAGTATTTGATACGCATAAATGGTTAGTGAGGCCCTTCATGCATGGTTATGGTGATTAAATGAGATGATGTATATATATAAAATGCCCAGCACAGTGCTTGACACAGAGTGAACACTTAATAATGGTGGTTGCTGATAATATTATTTAACTTGAATATGGATTTATAAATTTCAGTCATTTTATATTTCACATTTTTTGCTTAATAGTCTAAAAAATATTACTTTTTTATAAATCTATTTTTTATGTTTCTTATTTTCTGTGGCTCTCTTAAATAGAAAGATCTTTCTCTCCAAATCTGGTCCATTGTTTTGTTTCTTATACCTATTTTCCATTTTATAAATTTTTGTATATAAAATTGTTAAAATTCATAATTGGATAATTAAAAATTTAAAAAATTCACAGTAATTCTTTGACAGTTATTTCTGTGGTATTGAAAAATTTGAGTTCCCTATTCTGAATTCTGATAATTTGGATTATTCAATATTTAATCATGTAATAAGAGGACATTTAATTATCTGAGTAATAGCAGTTCCTTTGAATTATACAATTTTCTCTGATTATATTTTATCCTATATCAGATAATAAAATTATGTTGCATTTAAAAAAATTAGCAACAGATACTTCACCCAGAAGGGGAAATTTCAGCCAGTTGAAGATAAAAAGTATAAAGACAATTTAAATTTAACAATTTAAGACCTATATAGGTAATTATATTTTACTTATTTATAATATTTCTATGGCTTTCTTCATATTGTTGTCCTCAAACTATTTGTATTTTTGTTTTTCTGCTAAAACAGTGATTCCATTATAGTAATTGGAGACTTCTTACTTTAAACATTGATAATTCAAGCCTTTGCAATTCAAAATTATATAAATGGATTATTGTTCAAATAGTTTAATTATTTCTAAAGAAGAAAAAAAGTGTTCATGTGTGTGTGTTTGTGTGATTTAATTAAATTACTATTCTTTTTTTCCTTCCGGGAACCTTTCCCAAAATGTTAGCAGAGGGACAGAGAAACATTGGCAACTTTTGTTTCACTTGGTGAAGGAGTCAGGAACTGTTTATGTGCAATAATCCAACATCAGCTTAAGTTTTTTGGCTGTCTTTTCACATGAGCAAGAAAAAGTTTTGCTTCCAATTCCTGCACATTATTTTTTTTAATTGTTTAGTTGGATTTCCCATTCAGCACCACTTTATTTTCATTCTTTTGGTTTTTCATCTGTTCATTTTGAAAGGCTAAGTAATTAAAACAGGTTTGAAAACGTTTGTGTGTATGCCTGTGTGTGTGTGTGTGTGTGTGTGTGTGTGTGTGTGTGTGATGCTTTGTTGGAGCATCTACAAAAGTAATGAAAATGCTTGTCCAAATCCTCAAGATGCAGATGTTGTTATGAATGTTCTGAAGGCAGGAAACCATGCAATCCTATTTTAAGAAATTCTTAAAATCTGATTTTTAAGTCAAGTAAGTTTCCTCCCTACTCTTTAAAGTACCTGACTGGCAGAATTTTTATGGCACCCATTTACAGAAAACAAAACAAAACAAGCCTTCCAACTGATGTTTGAATACCACAGCTTTTGGAGACGGAGATCTAGGGCTTAATTTTGAGTTAGCTTACATTTTAATCTACCTGATTGCTGACTTCTTAAAATTGTGTTAATTTTTCATCTGTTTTTCTATTTCCTTCAGTATAATTACATCGTCTTCTTAACCAAGAGAATGTCTGTTCTTCTCCTCAGCACTGTATCATTAATGAAGATCTTTAACTGTGTTTCCAAACTCGCTACAGGTTAGTACTTGACTTTTGGTTTGCACAGATTCATAATCAGGATTTTGCTGACTATATTATCAGTCCTTTATTTACTTTTTGTGTCATAAGTTATTTCCTAAAATTACTGTATTTTGTTTTCCTAATTCTGTTCTCTAGTTACTTTATCTTTCATACAGGTTCTAATAAAAATCAACCAATTAATCATAGCAAACCCCAAAAACCCTTCCTGCCTTCCTGAAAATCTTGACTCTTCATATTTAGTTACCTTTTTATTTTATTTCTTGATTATTACCTTCAAAAATGACTTGAAGTCTGGTAGTTTCTGCCTCTAGAAATTTTGCTTATCAGTTCTTTTTTTCAAAAAACCGTTGTTATAGAGGTGGTAAATATCCAAAATGAGATGAAGACTTGAAATTATCCAATAAATCAGAACTGCCTTGGCATCCAAACCAGGTAATACAGATAAAAATAAAATTCACTTTGGGACAACAGCTACTTGGTTGGTATTATCTTAGATTGTCTTCCAAGATAGTCCTCTTTTAGATTTTTGGTATGTGTATGAACAATTGATTCCAGTTTTCCCTTCTCTGTAGAAGCTTTGCAGCATAAATTAATGTTGGCCTCATTGATGTTGGAGAAAGGAATTCCAAACCCTTTGTTGAAGAGGCTGTGGGCATTCTGAACTAGGCATCCCAGGAATGGTGTCTGACAAAGGGTTAAGTGGAGAAGGATGGTTTATAGTTTTGTTGTTACACTTCTTTGATCTTTGAATTCCTTCAGTGATTTTGTTTTCCTAAGGACAGAACATAGCAACAGACTTTCTTCCGTGTTATTGTGGATCTCCTTAGACCACTGTTATTTCTTCATAGTATTTCACTGTGAAGTACTTCACTGTACTTCACAGTGCATCACTGTAATTTTCCCTAAAGGTTGGAATTCCCAGGCTCCTGTCCTTTATTCTCTTTTTCACCCCGTGTGCTGTCAGTCTTCCCACCCTCATTTCCATTCTTGCTATATAGATATCTTCTATTTTTAAATCCTTAGGCATCACCTTTAGGTATCTCTGCTCCCAACATTCCCTCTAAGTCAAGACATATATTTAATTGCCTGATGGACATATCTGCTTAGATGGCACAAAACACCTCATTTTTAGCAAAACCAAAACTAAACTAATTTTCTCCCATACTTACTCTTTCTCCTGTATTTTCCATTTCAGTTATGTGGCACCTAGCCAAGAGGCCAAAAATGTTGAAATCGCCTTAACTCTTCTCTTTAAATCCTATGAGTTTGTGCTGTCTTTATTCCTAACACTTCTCAAAACTGCCTCTTCCATATCAGTATGATTTCCAGAGTCTAATAAAGTGATCAGTCTAAAACAAACGTGAACAGATCACTCCTCGTTAAAAAAAACCACTTAATAACTCCCCATCATCTATAGAAAAAAATAAATCAATGATCTAGTTCCTGCCAACCTCCTAACACTTATTTTTGGCAATATGGGACTATATGTAATTTCCAGAATTCATTATGCTATCTTCACACCTCTGTGCTTTGGCTTATGTTCTTTCTTGCCTAATATTTTATCCCTTTCTCACTCCGTCCTTACCTGGCTAACTACTGTTCATCAAGATTCTAGTTGGATATCATTACTTTTAAGAAATCTTACTGGTTGGTCATGTGACCCTGTTTCTTTTGATTTTCCATTGTAGGCTTTGCTTAACTCTATCATGGCACTTAACTGTTTAAGGCTAGTATTCACTAAAGAATGAGCTTTTTGAGGGCAAGGGCCAAATTATAGTTGGCTTTTTGACAGAAAGTATTGTAAAAAATACTTGTTGAGGCCAGGTGTGGTGGTTCATGCCTGTAATCCCAGCACTTTGAGAGGCCAAGGTGGGAGGATCTCTTGAGCCCAGGAGTTCAAAGTGAACCTGGGAAACATAATGAGACCCTGTCTCTACAGGTGGGTGCGATGGCGAGCGCCTCTGGTCCCAGCTACTCAGGAGGCTGCAGTGAGCCTTGATCACACCACTGCACTCTAGCCTAGGTGACAGAGCAAGACCTTGTCTCAGAAAAAAAAAAAAAAAAAAAAAAATCCCTGTTGAACTAGACTTCTGTCAGGTCTACATAAAAAAAGTTGTATGTGCGGTGAAGGGTGCTGATAAAAGGGAAAACCAAACAGAAAAGCACATTATAGGTTTCTCATAGTTTTATTGACAGAAGGCAACTGATCCAGTAACCTAAACTTTTAACATTTTCCTATTCTGAATCCTTTCATGATGAGGGAGTCAGCCATAGCATTACAACCTGAACATTCTGGGTCAAGGGAATTTTTTCTTTTCTTTTTTGAGACGGAGTTTCGCTCTTTCACCCAGGCTGGAGTGAAGTGGCACGATCTCAGCTCACTGCAACCTCCGCCTCTGGGGTTCAAGCGATTCTCCTGCCTCAGCCTCCCAAGTAGCTGGGATTACAGGCGCCTGCCACCACGTTTAGCTAGTTTTTTTGTATTTTTAGTAGAGACGGGGTTTTGCCATGTTGGCCAGGCTGGTCTTGAACTCCAGACCTCAGGTGATCCACCCAACTCGGCCTCCCAAAGTGCTAGGATTACAGGTGTGAGCCACTGTGCCTGGCCAGGAATTTTCTATTTCCTTTGTGGAACTGTCTGACTTGGACAGTTTTTGGCATGACTAATAAACTCTCAGATCATTTTAGAAATGATAAACTCTGTGTAGCAGGTGTGTTTCCCAGTGTATGCTGACAACAGAAAGAAATATATAGCTAACTGATTCCACCTCCAGAACAACCTCAGTCTATAGCCATTCTCCAAAAGCCTTTGGCAGGAGATATATTGGAATGATCTGACTGTCTGCATTCTTGGATGGATGACAACAGAACAAGTTACTTTTCACCCAGCCAGTTTTCTACAGTTCATGAAGCTTAATCTCTCAAAACACTTTTAAAAGACAACAGAATTTTAAACACATTTAATAAAGCATATTTTGTTATTTGTATATATTCATGGAGTACAAGTGAAATTTTGCTGCATTGGTATATTGTGTTGTGGGAAATCAGGGCCTTCAGTGCATGCACCATTGGAGCAATGCACAGTGTACCCACCAAACAATAAGGACACATATTAATGTTAATCTCTATTTCTACCCATTCCCATAGAACTTGGACTCAGTCCCCATATATTTCTGGGAGAAGAACTTCCCTAGAATTCATGGGAAGTTAGCATTTTAAAACAGTGATGAGAGGCCTGGCGTGATGACTCACACCCATAATCCCAGCACTTCGGGAGGCAGAGGTGGGAAGATAGCTTGAGCCTAGGAGTTTGAGACAAGCCTGGACGAGGTAGTGTGACCCTGTCTCAATTTTTTTTTTTTTTTTTTTTTTTTGTAGAGAGAGTGTCTTGTTTTATCGCCCAGGCTGGAGTACAGTGGCACGATCTTGGCTCACGGTGGCCTTGCTTTCCCAGGCTTAAGCCTCTGAGGCTTATTAAGCCATCCTCCCAACTCAGCCTCCTGAGTAGCTGTGACTACAGGTGCCCACCACCACATGCAGCTAATTTTAGTATTTTTGTAGAGACGGGGTTTTGCCATGTTGTCCAGGCTAGTCTCAAATTCCCTAGCTCAAGCAATGTGGCTGACTTGGCCTCCCAAAGTGCTGGGATTACAGACATTAGCCATTGCACCTGGCCCTCAAAAAAAAATTTATTTATTTATATATATTTTTTGAAACAGAGTCTTGCTTTGTCACCCAGGCTGTGCCTGGCCCTCGAAAAAAAAATTTTTTTTTTTTTCAGACGGAGTCTCACTCTGTCACCCAGGCTGGAGTGCAGTGGCAAGATCTTGGCTCACTGCAGTCTCAACTTCCCATGTTCAAGCGATTCTTGTGCCGCAGTCTCCCCAGCAGCTGGGACTAAAGGTGTGTGCCACCATGCCTGGCTTAAGTTTTGTATTTTTTAGTAGAGACAGGGTTTCACTATGTTGGCCAGGGTGGTCTCGAACTCGTAACCTCAAGTGATCTGCCTGCCTCGGCCTCCCAAAGTGCTGGGATTACAGGTGTGAGCCACCGCGTCTGGCCAGAAATATTTAAAAAATTAACCGGGTGTGGTGGTACACGCCTGTAGTCCCAGTTTTTTGGAGGCTGAGGTGGGAGGATGGCTTGATCCCAGGAGGTCAAGCCTGCAGTAAGCCATGATCCTGCCATTGCTCTCCAGCCTGGGTGACAAAGGGAGACCCTTCTTCAAATGAATAAAACAGTGATAAGATTCATACACATTTTGAAGGGTACATATGTACTTGTCAATTTATTTATAAGAAGGGTGCAAGAAATGTTATGCATATAGTTTATGTGAGTTGCATTTTTGCTAAATTGTTCAATTAACACTATTTTTTTCAGTTGCTTCATTAGGAGCATATTAAAACCACCTTGTCACTTTATTATAAAAGATATAAATGATTAGTTTTTTAGATATAGTTAAAATTTATTTATGACTGGCAGATAATTATATTGATTATTATCAGATACTATATTTAATTCATCTAGACTAGTGCTGCACAATAAAACTTTCTATGCTGACAGGGTAGCTAATAGCTATATATGGCTATTGAGCATTTGAATGTGGCTTTGTGACTGAGGAACCAAATTTATAATTTTATTCCATTTTAATTAATTACAATTTAAATCTAAATAGCCACATGTGGCAAGTGACTGCCATGTTGGACAGTGCAGATCAAGGCTATACAATATTATCAATAAAGTTTTTAAAAAACTGTTAAATAAGGCACGTGGCATAAGAAAAGTACTATCCATAATCAGCTTATCCATAATCCATAGTACTGATGATATGTTTTCCTACTAGGGAGATGCAAATTTTTTTTTTTTTTTTTTGAGACAGAGTCTTGCTCTATCACCCAGGCTGGAATGCAGTGGCACAATCTCGGCTCACTGCAACCTCCAGCTCCTGGGTTCAACCAATTCTCATGCTCCAGCCTCCCGAGTAGCTGGGATTACAGGCGCGTGCCACCCCGCCCAGCTAATTTTTGTATTTTTAGTAAAGACGGGGTTTCACCACGTTGGTCAGGCTGGTCTCAAACTCTTGACCTCGTGAACCGCCCACCTCGGCCTCCCAAAGTGCTGGGATTACAGGCATGAGCGAACCACCGCGCCCGGCCTTTAAAATTGTACTTTTTTTTTTTTTCCAGACTGAGTTTCGCTTTTGTGGCCCAGGCTGGAGTACAGTGGCACGATCTTGGCTCACTGCAAACTGTGCCTCCCTGGTTAGAGTGATTCTCCTGCCTCAGCCTCCCGAGTAGCTGGGATTACAGACAGGCGCCATCACGCCTGGCTAATTTTGTATTTTTAGTAGAGTCGGGGTTTCTCCATGTTGGTCAGGCTGGTCTCAAACTCCCGATCTCAGGTGATCCACATGCCTTGGCCTCCCAAAGTGCTGGGATTAGGGGCATGAGCCACCGCGCCTGGCCGGGAGATGCAAATTTTTTATGAAAAATATCTTCATGGCCTGAAAAACTCAATGTATTTGATATTTTTAAAATAACTGAATATCTTAAAAGGATACTATCATTGTTCTCAACAGATCTATAATGTCAGTATAGAAAAGATAATAAATGATGCTAGTTGTATATTAAGAATTTTAATGTAAACCCACTGACATCTTTTGTAAGAGTCTTTCATTATTTTTGCTGAGAATCTCTAAGACCTGACTAACATTTTTGGAAACTGAGAGCCAGAAATTGTACATATTACATAATCAACATCTAAGAATTTCACCAGTATAAGGATGTAATCAAACAATTTTTTTCAATTAAAGTCTGTGCATTGGGGTTAAGGGTGGAGGGAATTACCAAAGGAAGGAAGTTAAAGGGGAAGGATAAAGGAATAAGTGAGGTAAATATAGCTAAGTTGATTTAGGAAAGCTGAAATTAACTAGAATATATGCAGAGATTTTTAACTAGACTGTTGTGATCCACAATTACTTCAGAGCTTTGGGAATACGGATATTAAAAAAGTGAAAAAGGGCTGGATGCTGTGGCTCATGCCTTTAATCCCTGCACTTTTGGAGGCCCAGGCGGTCGTATCGCTTGAGGCCAGGAGTTCGAGACCAGCCTGGCCAAAATGGTGAAAGCCTGTCTCTACTAAAAATACAAAAATTAGCCAGGCATGGTGGCGGGTGCCTGTAATCTCATCTACTCTATAGGCTGAGACACAAGAATCGCTTGAACCCAGGAGGTGGAGGTTACAGTGAGTTGAGATTGCACCACTGCACTCCAGCCTGGGAGACAAAGAGAGACTCTGTCTCAAAATAGAGTAGAGTAGAGTAGAGTAGAGTAGAGTAGAGTAGAGTAGAGTACAGTAGAGTAGAGTAGAATAGAGTAAACTAGACTAGACTAGACTAGACTAGACCAGGAGAGGAGAAGACAAAGAAAAACTGCCTGGAAGTTATTGTTGCTGAGTGGGAGATAAGATTAATGGATAGCCTTAAGAGCCCGGAATAAGTCAGAAATTTGGTCTGGTCTAATCCCACTTAGTGCTTCTGTTAGATTGGAATGAAAATCACCTTTGTCACCCATTCTTTATTTCAAATGGTCCTTTATTTCCCCAGTTTGTAGATGACTGATCTCAACTAAAGTATGTGAAATATTTGCTATGTGACACTTTAATGTTTCTTGCTGGGTGCCTAAAATATTTTTGCTATGTGAAAAGCCACTGTCAACCCTATCTGTAACACCCTCTAAACAGAAAAAGAGGAGTCAAATAAGGAAACTACAGTGAATTTTCCAACATTCACAGAGGTGATAGTTCTACCAACCTGAAACTAATTAAGCAGTTAAAAGCAGTAGAAATGCATTATTTCAGAGTAAAAAAACCAATGCAAGTCTTTACCATTAATTTATATACAACCCATTTGACTTTCTGTTTCAGTCATATTAAATTTTTGGTGATGGGCTTGTACCTTTGTGCAGGCAGGTTCTATTTAGATTTTCAAGTAGAAGAGCCAAATAAAATGTCTTAAGACATTCTTTGGCACAGTTAGAAGCATGAAGGGCCAAAAATTTCATGAGAAAAAACAACCTGTTTTCTTAGTTTCTAGTCCGACTAGGCTCCTAATTCCTAATATTATTCTCAGTTTGTGGAAGAGAAACCAAAGACTAGAGATGAAATAACAGAAAGCAGAGTGGCAAAAGGGTGTTACTACCTGCTTCTTTGCTTGATAGAAGAGAAAGGTAAGTGAGTGCATGCACTAGCACAGGTATAAAGCATAAGCTTCAGGGTTCAAGGTCAGTCCAAATAATGAGTACTGAAGCTAATTTGCTCTGTTTCCAATTTTAAAAAACAGTTTAATGAAGAGAAAAGTTCTGTAACTTGCTTAAGGTCACATAATTAGTAGATGCCTTGTCTTTTAAATCCACATCTGCCTGACTCTAAAACCTCTGTTCAGTTTGCCTCGTTTTATCCCTTTCTATGTATTCTTCAATTCTATTTATGCTTCCGGCTTTTCTTCTCCTTCTCTCTTTTTTGGCACCAATTTTTCTGTGAGTATTCCTTCTTCCATATGCTTTCCCAGCTTTTCCTCACTACCTCTCGAACTCCTTTCCTTTTCTCTTAAATAACAATTTTGTTTTTACTCTACTGAAAAAGATGAAGTGGCATCAAAAGATGATTGCATGTTTAGATTAAATGTCTTAAAATTGTTTATCCTGACCTCATAATTCCCTTTTTAAGAATTTTTCTAAATAATCAGAGATATAGGCAAAATGTGTATACAAGGAAGAAAATCCAAGTATCATTTATAGTATTAAAAATTAGAATAATCTTAATGTCTAATGGTAGAGTTAAATAAATCCTTGTGTGTGTGTGCATACATACATATATAAAATATAATGAACAAATTATAGTTACTTGAGATAATGAATAATGACAGAAAAATGTTCATTATATATTTAAAAATTCATCATGAGCTCATTTATTATAGTTAGAACATTACCTGTTTCTTTAAATACCATGTAACACCCACCTGACAGTAAGTAAAAAACAAAAAAGTGTCTTAAAAATAGTGTATAAAAAAAGACAATAATATGTTCCATATAACGTAAATATAGTGGAAAAATACCTGTATAGAAGAGGACTGGATATGTATGCACTAAAATGTTAGCAGTTGTTACCTCAGAATGATGGCATTGTGGTTAAATTTAATTTTTGAATTTCTAGTTTTTTTCTTTTTCAATGAACATTTATCAGGTTTAAAATAAAGATGACCATAACAAATATTTTACATATATCATTATTAAACTTTATTATTATTTTCCTTAGGAGAAAGGGTAGGTTGAAAAGTCAAGATTTTTTTTTTTTTCCTTTAGGCTGGGAAGACTAATCAGAGAGACTGCGAAGTAAAAGGGTTGTTTATGATTCACCATCAAACACATGTCTTTAATTATCACTCTGAATCCACATAACAATATTCCTTTTTGGCACAAGGTCTGTACTAGATGAATGATAAAAAAGAGCCATAAGTGTGTAAGTGCCATAAGTGTGTAGTATTCAGAGACAGACAAGATCCTCTCTAGTTGCAGTGGTCAAAAAGTCTTATCGAGTAGGAAGGCTTTGACATGAACCTTTTTTTTCTAAGTTTAAAACTATTTTATTTATTTTTTCAGAGACAGGGTCTTGCTTTGTCACCCAGGCTGGAGTGCAGTGGCGGGATCATAGCAGCCTCAAGCTCCTAGGCTCAAGTGATCTTCCTGCCTCAGCCTCCCAAGTAGTTAGGACTACAGACATGTGCCACCATGACCAACTACGTTTTAAATTTATTTTTGTAGCAACAGGGTCTCCGTATGTTGCCCTGTCTGGTCTCAAACTCCTGGCCTCAAGTAATCCTCCTATGTCGGCCTCCCAAAGCACTGGGGTTACAGGCATTAGCTACTGTTCCCAGCTTTCATTTGGACTTTAATGGATAAGGAAGACTTAGAGCAGCATTATCAAATTCTTTGGCCTTAGGACCCCTGTATAACACTCTTCAATATTATTGAGGACCCCAAACAGGTTTTGTTTATATGGGTTATATCTATCTGTATTTACCATATTAGAAATTAAAACAGACAATTTACAAATATTTATTAATTTATTTTAACCTAAATTACATGTTAACATAAATATTTTTATGAACTATATTTCCCCAAACAAAAACAGTTAGCAAAGTGGTATTGTTTTACATTTTGCATTTTAACAGGAGACAGGTGGGTTCTTATATTTGCTTCCGTTGTGATACTGCATGTCATGTAGCCTCTGGAAAACTCTACTGTACACCTGTAACAGAATGAGAGTAAAAAGGCAAATAGCATCTTAGTATTATTATGAGCGTACCATTGACATTGTGGGCCCCCGAGAAGCACTCTGAGAACCACTGATTAAAAAAGACTAAGGGCAAAATAGAGGGATGGCATAATTTTAAAGGTAGGAGGGTATAAGGCATGTTACAGAGAGAGCAAACAGACCAATCTGGTAGTTGTGAAAGATTCACATGGGGGAGGTGGAGGAGATATGGCTAGAAATGTATACTGGGGGATCGTGTTATATCAATTAAAAAATACTAGCTTCCTTAATTATGACCATCTTCACTGACCTCTAATTTTGGCATCAGTAAGCTTCAGGGTAGGAATGATAGAAGAGAAATTCATATTGGTTTCAGGCAACTCTAAAGTTATGTGGCTGACAGTATTCTAATTGATTTGTTGATTGCTTTATCTATTTAATGTATTTAGTGTTTACTACATTCAAAGAAGCAACATAAGAACTAGTGATACAACGATGATAAAGACACAGTCTCTACTTTATAGGAGCTCCCAATTGAGTGGAAGATTCAGATATTAAAATAAGCAATACACTCATTAATCTGGAGGAAGACAGAGGAGAGGGCTGCTAACTGTGCCTGGGTGGTGTCATAGACAGCATTGTACAGGAAACCTTTAAGTCCCAAATACTAATAACCACTGATACATGACCATGGTGAGAAATACTTGATGTATAAGGATGACAGATTCAGTACTAGAGTTAATACAGTAGTTCTGGTGAGATAGTCAGATAGTCTATAGAAAAATTTCCTGAATATATGTTCTCTTTTGAAAGTAAGAGTGTACAAATTTTCTTTCTCCTAAAGCCCTGCAGCATCTTTCTACTGCTAGGCCTGGGAGACACCATCAGTTATCTTAATGTCTCTATTTTCTTCAGTTTGATCACCTTTTTAAATCTTTTTGTTCTCTGTGACTCAGTAACAAGAGTGAAGGGGAGGAAGAAATTTAGGTAATTACAACAGCTTTAAACTAAGAACTGAGAACACCTTTACTAACCCAACTAATTATGATTAAATACGTAAATAGAGAACCTATCTCCCAGCACCACCTGCAGGGGATGAGGAAGTCTGCAACAGGATTCAACACTTCCTTTTCTGCCAACATATCTTTAGCCCAACATTCCATTATTGAGAATCTACCAAGTTAAGAGCCTGCTTTTAGTGGCTGAGGAGAATACAAAGACCAATAAGGATAATCTACCCATACTCTGAGGAACATTATTAAAACTTGGGGATGTTTGTGATAATTAAAATAGCTTGGAAAGAACTGATTAAATCGAAGAGAATCAGACTTCTTTTGTGAAGATTGAATAGTAAAGCAACTACTGCATTGCCATTTTACATCCCCCACTGATAGAAACTAATAACAAAGGTGATTCCACAGTTTTAAAAGTAAAATAATAATGATTAGTTTTGGATCTTCAAGTCTGTTAAGTTTGCAATATGATGGGAAAAGCCTGTGTTGCACACCATCTTATATGGACCTGTTAAGCATGCTCTTTTCCTAATTTAAGGCTGGCCCCAGACAGCTACCTTAGGGCTCTCTGCTAGTCATTAGAGGAATCAGATGGAAAAAGATACATGGATTAGTATAAATCCATATGCACCTATTCAGTAAGTAATAAGAACTTTTTCCAGTAAGAGCTTTTTCTTTACTTATCAAATCATGTCCTAGAATTTAAAGAGAATGAGGTTTTCAAAAGTTCCTAGTCTTTTGAAATCTCACAAACAAGGATAAAATATTTGTTTTTTGATTTCAGAATTTAACAAAGAAGCAGAATATACCAGACACACAAGAAGCAAAAGAAATGAAATGAGCATTCATAACAACACGCTTAGAGCACAGAAAGCCTTATCCTGGGTGAGTGATCAGGAATATGAATAAAGCTGATCTGTAGGATGGCTTTCAATGTTTTTGTTTAGATGTGCAGTCTTACTATATGTACAGGCAAGATTACTAGAGGGAACAGTCAGTCAGCTATCACCCATCCTACAACCCAAGAAAATGCTCACAGGCACCTGGGTAGTCATATTCAGGTGTTCTCAGTCTTTTTTCACTAGAGTTTTGAACTGCCTATTGTATATTAAGGCTTGAGTTACCACTCCCAATTTATACCACTTTCCAAAATCACACCACACATTATAAAAACAATGATATGGATTGGTAATTACAATAATACACCGTCAGAGGTAAAGGGATACAATATGTCATGTAGACCAGTTATTTCTCAACGTATGGGTTCTATATCTGCAAAATAATGTATTGCTTATTACAAATTCAGACTACTAGGCTCCATGTCAAAACGAATCAATTTCAAGCCAAGGATGGAATCCAAGAATCTGCATTTTTGACAAGCTCCTTAAGATGATATGTGCATTAAGGTTTGGGAACCATTCATATAGTCAAACTCCTTCATATGACAGATAAGGACATCATATGAGAGAAGTTAAGTGATTTGGCCAAAGTGGACAGCCAGTCAGAGGCAGAAACCAGACTCACACTTAAATCTTGACTCCTAAGCTACAATTTTTCCAGTTATAAATAGTTTGTATTTATTTGTAAATTCCCGGTACACCTAAATGAAAACGGAATTTGAGGTCTTTGTTCCTTGACATTCCCCAAAGGTTTAATACCAATAATTTACTATTAATGGGCTCCCAGCACTTGCTAAGTAAGCTGTTGTCTTCCGATTTAGGGAATATCAACTATAGAAGCTTGTGGACAAAGGTGTTTTGTTAACTTGTTACCATCCCATTCCCCTTCACAATAAGACATGCAAGTTCATTTATCAACAAGAGCATATACTCATTTTTCTCAAATCACAAGAGACAATAAAAAGTAAATGGAAAACCCTGCTACTAGTGTTAAACAAGAATATCCCAGCCTCTATAACAACATACCATATGGTATTTCCCTACCTTGTTCAGTATTTAACCTAACAATTTATTGCTAGGCTTCTTGGCAGCAAGCTGTGCAAGTTGAAGTGGAATCTGATTGAGGTGAGTTAATTAATGTGGTGGCAGCTCGGAATGTTGTCCAGCTGCCAGTGAGAATTATGTTTGTTTGCCTTTGGCCCAAGTGTGAAATGGCTGGCTGTTGATTTCAGAAGTGTGAGTGTACATTTTTATATCTCACATGAATGAATACATTTTTTGTATCCTACACATTTGGGGAAATGCTAAAATTTATTGGGTCATGTTATTTACCACTTGTGTGGCAGAAAGAGAAAGGTGGAATTTTGCCCCAGAGGTTGACTTTGCATCTGTAGAAAAAGCAAAAGCAGGTGGCATATAAATCCATGAGCAGGTAAATAAGCTGTCTGAAATTAGCTCATCTGGCCTAATGTTTTAAAGAATAACTTTTAAAAGGAGGTAGGCAAGATTTTTGAACCAGAAAAGAATAACTCTTGTAATGATGAAAGGATTTTGAAAGTAGGAAACATAGTTTTTAGATTTCCCTGGAAAGACATGGCTTTTGGATTTACTGTTGACTTACATTTACAATTCTTATTTTTACTACACACAACCTTCTATTGAATACATCATCTCACTGTGCAATCTTCCTTTCTATCTATAACTGATGACAGTGATTTCTGTGATGTGTTCTTAATGTTCTTGATAATTTTGACTAGCTGTTACTGATATGAGCAGGGGGTTCTCCAATTCAAGCAGTCAATAACTGACACTAAACTAACAAAGTTCAAAGAACATTTGAAGTGTGTCAGATATTATTCCCCTATTTTTTTCTATGTAATATCCTGTTAAGTTAAAATGCCTTGAGAAAAGTTTACCTTAGATTAAGGAAATAGATACTTAAAAATATAATGTATAAATATTTCTTTTATTTTACCATTTTGAACAAAATTAATACACTAAAAGCAAAGGAAATAGCATGGAAGTGATGTAAGAGCAAATAATATGAAAAGTTTGCAAATCTAACAAAGCATTACCAAAACCCTTTTTGATGACAAGCAGATTTCCTTAAATTTTGATGTTACCATGAGGATATTAAGAAAACTTTAAAATAAAAGTGTTCATACTTTGGAAGACATTCAATGAAATTAGTCTGGTAAAAAATCTAGTAAAAATAGTATTTTAGATGCAGAAGTATATAGAAAAAACACAAGTGAATTAGTGCAGATATAGGACCATGGATTCACAGAACTTTAGAGAATAAAGAGAAAGTAAGGAAATTTGAATAAAGTATGAATTTAGTTAGTAATAATGGATTGATATTTGCTCATTGATCATTACAAATGTACCATACTCATGTATGATGTTAATAATAGGAGAACTAGACAGATTCCTAGGCTAAGTTTCTGTGCTGGTAAAATTCATATACATATGAAGTACTGAATGAATGGTATCATTCTTAAGGTATTATAACTTGTGTTGATGTCAGTAATCATCTAGTACATGACAACTTCTAGAGATTCATAGGATTGTGATATTTGTTATGCTAAGGCCTCCTGAACAAAAATGGCACTTTATTTAGAAGGTGCATCAGTGTATTAGTTATTTGTGTTAAGAATTACCTCAAGGACAGGTGCGGTGGCTCATGCCTGTAATCCCAGCACTTTGGGAGGCCAAGGCAGATGGATTACCTGAGCTCAGGAGTTCGAGACCAGCCTGGCCAACATGGTGAAACCCCGTCTCTACTAAAAATATAAAAATTAGCTGAGCATGGTGGTGGGGACCTGTAATCCCAGCTACTCAGGAGGCTGAGGCAGGAGAATTGCTTGAACCCGGGAGGCAGAGGTTGCAGTGAGCTGAGATCACGCCATTGCATTCCAGCCTGGGTGAGAAGAACAAAACTCCATCTCAAAAAAAAAAAAAAAAAAAAAAAAAGGGGGGGAATTACCTCAAAATCTGGTAGATTAAAGCACTAAATATTATCTCATAATTTCTGCTGTGGTTCAGGAATTTAAGAGCAGCTTACCTAGGGGGTTCTGGCTCAGGGTCTCTCATGAGGTTGCAGTCAAGATGTCATCCTGAACTAGAGTTATTTTATTTTTTTACACAATGAATTACTTTTATTTCGGTATGCATCCACATTTCAGCATTTAATGGTCCTGAACAGAAAGTGGAAAGACGCACCAATTTCCCAGGAGGTCAAGCCCGCCAATTTCAGGGATCTGCTATGCACACTGGGTTCTTTCTTAATCCCTGCTGAGGATCTTGAGAAGCAGCAGCAGCACCAAAACCAAGGCACGCACTGGATTCAAGGTTCTTTTTGTTCCAGTTGTCAGATTCCAAACTAGACCTCAATGGATTGCAAGGATGACCAAATGAAAGCCCTGTTTAAAACTTCTTCAGTTTTTAAAAGCAAAAGCAATTACAGGAAGTAAAACAATTCAGAGGGATCACGTGTGCTTACAAGTGTCTTCTTGTGGTCTTTCTCCAATTTCAACCACCAAGGACTCCGAGAGCTGGCAGGTCTGAGTAACCCTGGTGACTTTCCTTTTCACCTTATCAAAACCTGAGCTAAAAACAACGCATCAGCTGACGACAGCAGAGGGTGGCAGGGCTGAAAACCCAATATTCATTTCCCAGGCTGATGGAGAATGAATAAGTATGGTTCCAAAACTAAACAAGGGAGGTTAGAGACTTTCTAACCTTACCTGATGGCTTCTGCCCAAAGCAAGGAAGTGTCATGGAAGGTATTGAGTGGTGATGGTGCAGAAAGCAACTTGAGGAGGGAAGAAAAAACAGCATCCCTCGATAAAGGTGGGGGAGAGAAGATACTGGGAAAGCCCTGAATTCCTTACCAAAGGCCAATCTTAGAGGGGAGCGGAGGGGTTACAACCTATGCTTCTGCCAAAGGCAGGAGTGGAGGAGTGTGGGGACAGGATGACGGATTGGAAGGTGCATAAGACTTAAAGAAACCAGGGGTGCAGGTGAAGCACCCCACACACCTAGCAGTAGTCCCACAGGCTGCAACCTGAAACCTTCACATCCACTCTAACAAGCCAAGCTAGAGGGCTGTTGCAGGGAGGGTGGGAGGCAGGAGGGTAAGGGGAGAAGGCAGAGACCCCCAGGCCATGTAATCAGCAAGGTGATTGTGTGATGTTTCTTTTCACAGTTGAGTTAGATATGCCCCACTAGTTATGATGGGAATCAATTTAATTAGAATTTCTCGATTCCAGAAGTTCAACTACGTGGACAGTGGTTACACTTGATAGGATGATTTGTTATAGCAAAACTTATATATTTCAAATGGATAATTAGTATCATTTACAGTATCTTAAGATAAATTTCCTTTGAATTGGAGCTTCCTTTCCAGTACTTTGAGGTCTACATGATGTATCTAGAAAATTTACTACTGTGGAAAACGAAGACTGCTTAAATCGAATCGGGCGGGGGGAAGCGGAAGGGCCTGTGGTTTTTCTTTTTGATTAATTGCTGTAACACTGTCCTGCCGGTGGCTGAGGGAGTTTCATATTTTCTTTAGACATCAATAGGCACTGAAGCTCTTGCAGGACAACTTTGATGCTATATGAATTCTGCCATTTTGCTAGCACTGATATGGCTCTTGGGTCCACTACTCCATTAGAACTATTAACTCCATTTACATTAATTTTTGTTACAAATCTTACAAAGGGGGGTGCTAGTGGGTATTTAGGTCCACATTCTATTTTAAGGCTGTATATTTGGTTTTCATAAATTGTTCTTGGAGGCCCAATTATCATCCCTGTCCATCTTTTGTCATGTCTTCATCATCTTCTAGACCTCAGCTAACTGTGCCATCTCCTACTCCTTTCTGGCCTTCTCTGAGTTCTTCCAACAGTCAGAAATTGTGAGGGACTTTTACTCCCGAGCCCATGGTGGCTGCCGTCTTGCGTTGCTGACGCTTGAAGGCCGGCCCCGAACTACAGTCATTTTAAGGCTGACTGTGCTCAGATAGCCCAAGTTCTTGGGTTTCCTGTTGGCAAGAGGACTGAGTTTTTGCCATGTGGACATTGCATAGTGCAGCTTGAGTATCCTTATGACACAACAGCTGGCTTCTCCCAGAGCGAATAATCTAAGTCAAAGAACAAGGAGAAAGCCACAAAGTCTTTTATGTCCTAATTTTGGAAGTCACAAACGGTCACTTCTGCCACATTGTATTGTTAGAAGTAAGCCAATAAATATAATCCATACTCAAAGGGAGGAGAATTAGGCTCCAACTTTTGGAGGGGGTATAATTAAATAATTTGTGGACATATTTTAAAATCACTGCAACCAATAAGGAAATTCATGTAGAAAAAGACTTTAAAGATGTTTCTGATGTTGCTAACTTAGGAAAGTATTCACCCTTTGTCACCATAACCAGGCAGGTGGACCTAGATTTCCTATAACATTTCCTTACACCAAATTTATTCCCCCAGTTTTCTTCTTAAAATATGACTGCTACAACAAATTACTGTAAACTGGGTGGCTTAAACAACAGAAGTTTATTCTTTCACAGTGCTGGAGGTCAGAAGAAAATCAAGGTGTCAGCAGGGCTATACTCTCTCTAGAGGCTCTAGAGGAGAATCTGTTTTTGCCTCGTCCAGTTTCTGGTGGTTCTTGGCATCCTCAGCTGTTAACGGTGTCATTCCAGTCTGTGTCGTCATGGTGGCATTGCTTCCTCCTATCTGTGTTATCTTTCTTTGCCTCATTCTTGTACAGACACTTGTTACTGGATTTAGAGCTCACCTGGAAAATCTAGGATAACACTCCTCTCAATTTTTTTTTTTTGAGATGGAGTCTCGCTCTGTTGCCCAGGCTGGAGTGCAGTGGCACAATTTTGGCTCACTGCAACCTCTGCCTCCTGGGTTCAAGCTACCTCAGCCTCCTGAGTAGCTGGGATTACAGGTGCAGGCCACCACACCTGGCTAATTTTTGTATATTTAGTAGAGATGGGGTTTCGCCATGTTGGCCAGGCTGGGCTTGAACTCCTGACCTCAGGTGATTCACCCACCTCTACCTCCCAAAATGCTGGGATTACAGGCATGAGCCACCATGCTGGCCCTTAAAATTCTTAACTACATATTTTGCCCTATAAGGTAATATTCAGTCTGTTACTATATATGGGAATAGTAATGGGTTCTGGGGATTAGGCCATGTCTTTTTGGTCACCATTTAGTCCACCACACCTAGTATCTCTATTAATTAGCATGGCAAAATTGGAGAACAAAAAGATCTCTATTGGCCAGTTGTGGTGGCTCATGCCTCCTAGTACCTTAGGAGGCCAAGGCTGGAGAATCACTTGAGGCCAAGAGTTCAAGGCTAGCCTGGGCAATATAGTGAGACCCCATTTCATATACATACATATATATATATACACACACACACACACATACATACATGCATATATATATACACACACACACGTGTATATATATACACACACACACACACTTATATGTGTATATATATACATACACACACACATTTAAAATTAGCCAGGTGTGGTAATGCACACCTGTAGTCCTAATTACTCAGGAGGCTGAGGCGGGAGGATCACGTGAGCCTAGGAAATTGAGTTTATAGTTAGCTACATGATTGTACTACCATACCCTAGTCTGGGCGGCAGAGTCAGACCCTGTCTTGAAAAAAAAAAAAAAGATACTTAAGATAACCCTAAAGATTGACCACAACTTTTTAAAACATTTTAATTTATTTATGTTTTTATACGGAGTCTTGCTCTGTTGCCCAAGCTGGAATGCAGTGGCATGATCTCGGCTCACTGCAACCTCCACCTCCCCGGTTGAAGTGATTCTCCTGCCTCAGCCTCCTGAGTAGCTGGGACTACAGGCATGTGCCACCACGACCAGCTAATTTTTTTGTATTTTCAGTAGAGATGGGGTTACACCATGTTGGCCTGGCTGGTCTCAAACTCCTGGCCTCAAATGATCTGCCTGCCTTGGTCTCCCAAAGTGCTGGAATTACAGACATGAGCCACTATGCCTGACTGTATTTATTTTGAGAGAGGGTCTCACTGTGTTACCCAGGCTGGAGTGCAGTGGTGCGATCTCGGCTCACTACAGCCATGACCTTCCAGGCTCAAGCAATCCTCCCACCTCAGCCTCCCAAGCAGCTGGAACTACAAGCATGCACCACCATGCCCGGCTAATTTTTTGTTTATTTTTTGTAGAGATGGTCTTACTGTCTTGCCCAGGCCAGTCTTGAACTCCTCAGCTCAAGTGATCCTCCTGCTTGGCCTCCTGAAATGTTGGGAATGATTACTGGCATAAACCACTGTGCTGGGCTTCTTATTTTTATTTTACCTTATTTATTTTTTTAGAGTCAGAGTCTTGCTCTGTCACCCTGTCTAGAAAGCAGTGGAACAATCATAGCTCACTGCAGCCTTGATCTTCTGGCCTTAAGTGATCATCTCACCTCAGTCTCCCAAGTAGCTGGGAGTATAGGTGTACACCATCATACCTGGCCAATTAAAAAAATAAAATACACACACACACACACACACACACATTTTTTTTTTAAAGAGATGGGGTCTCACTATGTTGCCCAGGCTGGTCTCCAACTCCTGGCCTCAAGTGATCCTCCTGCCTTGGCCTCCCAAAGTGCTGAGATTACAGGTGTGAGCCACTGCACCCAGCAACGTTCCTTTAAAATTTGCTACAGATAATTAAGATAATAAAATACCTGTAAATTCCTGTTTGGAAAAAGTGAGATGATTTTTTTTCAAAGTGTGATATAAAATTAAGAAATATTATTCTAGTTAATTTTAATAATCAAGTATTTTGAAAAAAATATGAATAACACCCATGTACTCAACACCTATCAAATATTAACATTTTTCCTTTTGTAAAATAAGGAAAACATTACAGATACAGTTGAAATACCCAGTATTCCCTTCCCGTTTTATTTTCCATGTCTTCTTCTTCAGAGGTAATAATACTATCCTGAATTTGGTATTTACCTTTCTCATAAGTTTTAAAAATTATTCCTTTATATAAATATAGGTATCACAATATATAGCATTTCTTGAATACCATATACATGTATATGTATGTATGTGTATATATACATATATATACACACACTATATAATATGCTATACTTGTTATTCAGATTTATTCATGTTGATAAATATATAACTTTGTTTAGTTTTTTTTTTTTTTCAAACTGTAGGTTTCAAATCATTAGTAGCACAGAAAATCAATATAGCAGGTCATGAACTGCTTTAGAAAAAACAGAACAGTAAATAAAATGTATCATAAGTACTCAATTTAATGCCTATATACATATATGTATGTGATTATATATAAGCATATATATATTGAGTCATGGTATGAAATATATTTCTCACTGTAGGTAAAATATTTGAAAGTCATAACATTCATTTTCACTACTATGTAATATTCTATTGTATGAATATGATAGTTAACTACTGTCCTACTGACATTTCAATTGTTTCCACTGTTTTACTAATACAGGTTGAACATCCTAATCCCCAAACCAAAAATGCTTCAAAATCTGAACGTTTTTGAGTGTATAATATGCATGACCCTCAAGGAAATGTTCTTTGGAGGATTTTAGATTTTTGGATTAGGGATGTTAAAGTGGTAAGTATAATGCAAATATTCCAAAATCTGAAAATAATTGAAATCTGAAACAGTTCTGGTCCCAAGCATTTTGGATAAAGGATACTCAACTGGTACAAACAATGCTGCAAAATAGTGTTAAACATATCTCCTTGTGCATACACACAAGTTTCTTTCTTTTTTTTTTTTTTTTTGAGAGACAGAGTCTTGCTCTGTCACCCAGGCTGGAGTGTACTGGTGCGATCTCGGCTCACTGCAACGTCTGCCTCCTGGGTTCAAGCAATTCTCCTGCCTCAGCTTCCCAAGTAGCTGGACTGCAGGCGTGCACCACCACACCTGGCTAATTTTTGTATTTTTTTTTTTTAGTAGACATGGGGTTTTACTACATGTTGGCCAGGCTGGTCTCGAACTTCTGACCTCAGGTGATCCGCTTGCCTCGGCCTCCCAAAGTGCTGGGATTACAGGTGTGAGCCACTGCGCCTGGCCTGCAAGTTTCTATAATACTTACAAGTAGATTTGTTGGGTCATAGGGTATATGCGTCTTCAACTCTGCTAGATATTGCTTAATTCCTCTCCACTGTGTTGTTCTCAGCAACAGTGCACTAGGTTCCTATCATGCCACTCATTAACATTATACATTAAAAATATTGTCAGTCTGATAGGTATGGAATAGGTCATTATTGTTTTAAATTGAATTCCCCTGATTAGTGGAGCTGAACATGTTTTTTGTGATTATTACACATTTGGGTTTCCTCTTCTATGAATTGGTTGGTTTTCTATTGCATTTGTTCATTAATTTGTAGTGTATTATAAAATGAGTTCTTTTTCTTTGTTGAGTAATGAACATTTTTCATCATCGTCACCCAGCTTGTGGCTTGTATTTTGACATGTGCTTGTATTTTGACATGTTCTTTGATGAACAAGCTTTTTTAATTTTAATGTATAAACTTACTAAGCTTTTCATTGAAAGTTTGTCCTTTTTATGTCTTTGTGCCTTACCTTATTTAAGAATTCCTTCCTCTCTGAGGCATAACAATTTTTGTCCTATAATTTCTCTAAAAATTAAAAAAAATATTGAATTTTTAATCCATTTTGAGTTTATTTTTGTGTTCGTTGTGAACAGAGGTAGATTTACTCTACCATCACTTGTATAAGCTCTTTTCAAGGCTCTGGGAGAAGCCCAAGTAATGTTCACATGGGTTGTGTTTTTACAAAATTTTCAAAAGTTAATTTATTTTGGAATTTCCTTAGGAATCCCCAAATTATAAGTTTTTGGCTTCATAAAACTTGGACTTCTTTCCTACATCTGAGGTAGGAATCTAATTTTTCTCCATATAGGTAGTAATTGTTCTAGTATCAATTACTGAAATATGCACTCTTTGCCATTGATTGTCATATATAAAGATGCCATGTTTGAAGGGGTTTCTTTCTGGGCTCTTTATTCAGTTATATTGGCATGTTTGCCTATCCCTCTGATTTGTTTTGATGTAGTAGAGATTTCTAGGACTCTATCTGTCTTCCAAAAGGGTCTTAAACTAGGTCATTCCATTGATGATTTATTTTAGTGAAAATTACAGTTTTCTGATTTTGCTTGAAAGGCTTAGGTCAGTGGAAAAAAATACATTGTTATCTGTAACTGGTAACTCCTCTCTTAAACCTTGACTGATTTTCTCACATAGTTCTAAATGATTTTTTACAGTGTCCCACAGCACTTTTTACATAATCTACTTAATCATATAATATTTTAATAGGTCATTTATATCTGTGATTCCAATGAAACTGAGCTCCTTCAATGTGGGCATGCCTAAGTGACTGGTATGCTGTAAAACACATAGTGGGCATTCAAAGAATGTCTCAGCTAATGAGTAAATTCAGAATATTAAACTAACATACATAAATAACTTGAGCCAATGATGATTAGTTTCTTGCCAACTGGACTTATGATCTATACTGTGCCCAATTTTCATAGTGAGATAATATCTACGTGACTTGGATATTTGTTTACACTTAACTCTGAGGGTATATTAAGAATCTTTACATGCTGTAACTCTTTAGGAAGCCAGTCAGAAGCGCACTGTACAGCTGCTTAATGTGTATGACTTTAAATCCAGAAAACTGTTGTTCTATTGATTGTAGTAATTAATGGTTTTTCTTTTTTCCTTCTCAAAAGGGAGAAATAAAGTCAGAAGACTTTGGTTGATTACAATTTTAACATTTCTGAAACAAAGTTGAATTAAGATCAGCTTATGTCTATTATATGAATTGGTTAAAATAATACTTCCTGCTGTGACAGATAACCCTCCAAATCTCAGTAAGTTTAACAGTAGTTTATTTCTAAATCATGGAAAATCCTAATGGATGTTACTTATCAGCAGTTGTTTCTCTAGGCAATGACTCATAAACTCAATCTCCTAGTTTTTGTCCTTAACATCTCCTTGGACCTTGGAGTCCTCTGCACACTTTTATCCTGCTTGGTGACGGAGAAAGACTAAGGCTGTCATGTGGGAGGCTTTTATGAGCCAGGCCTGTGCCTACATCACTTCTATCCACATTCAGGTGGTCAGAACTCAGTTACTTGACAACACCTGGCTGTTAGACAGCCTGAATAATAATCTAGCCCTGTGTACACAAGGAAAAGGTAAGCAGATTTCCTGAATAATTGTTAAAGTAAATCACTGTCATAACCTATTAGGTACCACATAATATGCAAGGCATTAGGGATACAGGTCCCTGTAGTTGAAGATCCCATATATATATCACACATAATAGAAAACTAAACAAAAAAAGAAGCCTTTCTCTACCTTTTTCAATCTTTTAATCTTGCAGCTAGAAAATCTAGGCAGGGAGATGGAAATAAATAAGAAAATAAAAAACAGAAATGAAGAAACAGAATGGTTAATAACCTTCTAAAGTGGAAAACACTGTGCTTAGGTGGGTTCATTGGTGAGTAATATCAAACATTTAAGGAAGAAATTATACCAATTCTGTATAATCTATTCCAGAAGATAGAAGCAAAGGAATACTTCCTAACTTATTCATGAGCCCAGCCTTACTATAATACCAAAATCAGATAAAGACATTATAAGAAAACCAAACCAATATTTCTCATGAACATAGATGCAAAAATCTTCAACAAAATACTAGCAGATTAAATCCAACAATGTATAAGAGGAAGTATAAGCCATGACCAAGTGGGACTTATCCCAAGTATGCAAGGCTGGTTAAATATTCAACAATCAATTATTGTAATCAATCACATTAACAGGCTAAAGAAGAAAAATCACATGTTCATATCAATAGATGCAGAAAAAGCATTTGACAAAATCTAACACTTATGTTACGATAACTCTCAGCGAGCTTTAGCTTGCTAAAGAACATCTACAAAAACCCTACAGCTAACAACATACTTAATGGTGAGGAACTTGAAGGTTTTCTGTTAAGACCAAGAACCAGGCCTGCCTCTACAGAACCAACCTGCCTCAAAGTCTTGAGAACACTTAAACAATATTTGTGGGGGGAAGAAAAATCTTACAATACAAAGACATAATAGATTTGGAAAAGGCTTAACATTTGACAATTTAAAAAATGAGCAATGAAACTATTAGTGAAAAGGAATTAAATTTATCTTCACTGCTTATGGTAAAGGGCACAGTGGAACACAGATTGAAAACTACAAATTTTTTGATACTTAAACCAAAACACAGTGCCCAGATAATTTTCCCAAGCCAGGAATTTGTCTATTTTTTGTTGGTTCCAGGAGAAAAATGGCATACGTTTAGCATTCCATATGTTTAGCATTCCATATGTTATTTGTTCAAACATCTTAGTCACATTTCTACTCCTATATTTGGCCAATTTATCTTAATATAGTGTTTTTATTTAATAGATCACCACAGAAGAAAACTAGGCCCTTTTTCTCTAGAAAAACGACAAGACCTGGAGCTACTGTTGTAGACTGCTGAGAGGTTCTATACAATTAGCGGAACCATTTTCTTTACGTTAAAACCTCTAAGTCATGGCTTTGACCTGTGTTTCAGATGAAGCAGATAACAGAAAAACAAATTAATTCATTTGTATAATTTGGCAAGTTTTGATAATACTCAAATATTTGAGTTATTATGGCATTTTTGTGAAGGAACAGCTGCTCTGAATTGGCAATTAGCTGCTGCTTCTTTTGGTGAAACTTATTTCCTTATTTTCAATCACAAAATAAACCTAAACACCTTGGCATCCTCAGGCCTCTTTTCTGTTGCAGTTACTGAAGCTCTTTCAAGAAATGGTAATTTTGAATTCCAGGAAAGAGCTTTAGGCATGGGTGGGTATTTAATAACCTTTTAAGAAATCTAGTTTCTGATTTTTTGTTTTGTTTTTCGACAGAGTCTCATTCTGTCGCCCAGGCTGGAGTGCAGTGGTGTGATCACGGCTCACTGCAGCTTCCACCTCTGGGGCTCAAGTGATCCTCCCACCTCAGCCTCCTGAGTAGCAGGGACTACTGGCACCATGCCCAGCTTATTTTTGTATTACTATTATCTTTGTAGAGACGGGTTTTTTCCATGTTGGCCAGACTGGTCTCAAACTTCTGCGCTCAAGCAATTTGGAGGCCTTGGCCTACCAAAGTGCTGGGATTACAGGCATGCATCACCGCGCCTGGCCAGGAGTCTAGTTTCAAAATGCAGTTGTAGGTGTTTTCTTCAGCGATAACCAAAAATAAGACAATCTGGGCAAAACTTGGGGAGCATGTCCTATGCGATTCCTTGAAGCCCAGTGTATATTTTCCGAGTTAATGTTTGAGTTTCTTGACTTTGTTAGCTTGTAAGCTATTATACGGAAAGGTAATATTTTATACTCATTACAGCCTAATAAAACCAACACCGACCCTTACAACTCTGAATTCATTACTTATCAGTTATTTTCACTTTGTCTCTAGAACTCTCAATTCTGTCTTCATTTTGGTTATTCCCGCAGCTTCCCTAAATCCCACGTCAGACTGCAATCCTATGGTTCCCCGCAATATTCTCTTTGACCATCCCTTCCCCCGCCCCTCATCAGCAAACTAGGGAGTACTTTACCATTGCTTTGTGAAAGTACCAGAATGCGAGAACTTGTCTACACGTTTGGCCAAAACGCATCCTCCAACGGTGTATGTCCTAATCCCTTCAATTTTCTTCCCACATCCACCCTCCTTCCAGCAAATAAACCTTGGAACTAAGTTGAAATCTGTCACTTATTTCGCTCCTCCTACCAGCGGCCTATTGCTTCTGCCCTCCCCAGTGAACCCAACCAAGTTCCTCTTCCCAGTCCTCCCATTTCTCAAGAAAAACAACCACCTCTATTTTTTCAGGGCTTTACGTGCTAGGTGTGGTTTCTTCCTCTGCATCGAACCAGCGACCTGGGTGCCTCCCCACCCAAGACGGACCTCCACATCGGGAACCGCCGCCGGCGCAGCGGCCCCAGCAGCCGCAGCCACCTTCTCCCCGGAGCGCCACTTCCGGATCTCGAGTGTTTCCCCTTTACGGTTCCCCCCACCCCCTTAGACACCTCCTAGAGCTTTGTCCTAACTAGCAGGGTCGGAGCTGGGACCCTGGCTAGCAGAACGCAAGAGTTCTCCTTCACGAAGACGCGCAGAGTAGCTTCTCCAGCCTGAGAAATCCGGTCCGGCTGCGTAGAGTGGCAGCCGTGGAGGGACAGTTTGTTTTGAGCACCAAGTGGGACACACCCGGAAGTGGCGCGGTACAGGAGCAGCACTGCCGGCGGGGGCGGGTGCCAGGGACTTGGAGGTGGAGGGGACGCGGCGGTACTCTGGCGTGTGAGCCGAGGGTGGAGTGCAGAGGGAGCGGGAGCGGGACGGGAGGTCTTCTAGCTTTGGTTCTATGGTGGCAGATCCGGCTGGGTTCCGGGAAGCGAGGGCCTCGCGGGGTGGCTGGGTTGGTGAAGGGCTACTGCGGCCGAAGGGGAGCCCGCCTCACTTCATTCTTCCACTCTGAGGGACCCGCTCTCTTCTGGTCACTACGTCTTCCTCCCTCACTTCGCTTGGCGAAGGGTGTTGTACTTGTGAGGAAGTCGCAGCTGGAGCTGGGAGTCCGCTGGAGTTTTTCTCTGTTTCTAAGAGGAGGCGAACGGCCGCTTTGGTGGGGACTTACTGCTTTCGGCCTGAGATAACGAACGCTCTTTCCTTCACTCTACCGCCGACTTCTAACGTTTCTGTCTACTCCTTTCAGCTTCCGACTTCGACTCCTTACCTTAAAAGATGCTGGAGTCATATGTAACTCCAATTTTAATGAGCTATGTGAATCGCTACATCAAGAACTTAAAGCCGTCGGATCTACAGCTTTCACTATGGGGTGGAGACGTGGTACTCAGCAAGCTCGAGTTAAAGTTGGATGTGCTGGAACAGGTAAGCTATTTAGCTGTCATTAACTGGAAACAGTTTTCAGCTTGTTTAGACGGTAATCTATTGTTTCCTAAGCTTTGACTTTATGCTGTAAAAACGTAACTTTTCTACTGATGTATTTTGAGCTACCCTGAAACAAGGGGGCTTTATTTTACACTATTTTCTTTTTCTTTCTTTCTTTTTTTTTTTTTTTTTTTTTTTTTGAGATGGAGTCTCGCTTTGTCGCCCAAGCTGGAGTGCAGCTGCGTGATCTCGGCTCACTGCAACCTCCGCCTCCGGGACTCAGGCAGTTCTCCTGCCGTAGCCTCCCTAATAGCTGGGATTACAGGCGCGCACCACCACGCCTGGCTAATTTTTGTATTTTTAGTAGAGACGGGGTTTCACCATGTTGGCCAGGCTGGTCTCGAACTCCTGAGCTTAGGTGATCCGCCCGCCTCAGTCTTCCGAAGTGCTGGGATTATAGGCGTGAGCCACCGCGCCCGGCCTGCATAATTTTTAAAAATAGTTTGTTCCCAGTTTTGGTATATTAGAATGGGATTACTTAAAGTTGCTTTGACAGAAAGACGATTTCATTGTTCATGTCAGAATTGTTCGGTCTACTTACTCAATTTTCAAGCATTATGAATGTGCTAATTTATGTTGTCAAAATTCTGTATGAGCCTGGAAAACATCACATTCTCATTCTCCTTTTTGGGCAATGGAAGGGTTTGAAAGCCAGCAGGAAGGGTGGCTGGCTTGTGGGGGTCGAGGAAAAAAAGACAAAAAAAAAAAAAAAAAAGAGCAGATTCAGATCATGAGGAAAGATGACATTTCCCACGGCATCCTCAGAGTGTTGAGTAGATACATTGAGAATGGCAGTAAAATTGGAAACTTCTTTATTAATCGTTTTAGTTTCTTTTAACATGAGATTTGTCTGATGCAAAAGAACCGTAACTTCAAAGATCACATATTCATTAATTCATTTATTACATTTATTAGTAACATGCCAAGAAATTCTGTTAGGCTTGAGGATCTGTGCAAGCTCAGAAGAGTCAGAGACCAACTGCTTTTTAGGAGATAAGGGAAGACTTAATCTGACAGTGATGGTTATTTATAATTTTTAGTTATAGTCCACAGCCTCTTTTATTACTCTTTTATTAAGTCAATCTAGACTTAGCACTAAGAAATAATACTCCTGGCTGCTTCTTTTTCCTCTTCCCAAGGTTAGTTGAGTGGCTTAATATTTAATATTTTCATTTTATTTTATTTTTTAATGAGCACAAATCCCAAGTGTAACAGCTCAATTTTTTTTTTTTTTTTTTTGAGACGGAGTCTTGCTCTGTTGCCCAGGCTGGAGTGCAGTGGCACGATCTCGGCTCACTGCAAGCTCCATCTCCCGGGTTCATGCCATTCTCCTGACTCAGCCTCCTGAGTAGTTGGGATTACAGGCGCCCGCCACCACGCCTGGCTAATTTTTTGTATTTTTAGTAGAGATGGGGTTTCACCGTGTTAGCCAGGATGGTCTCGATCTCCTGACCTCATGATCCGCCCGCCTCAGCCTCCCAAAGTGCTGGGATTACAGGCATGAGCCACCGCGCCTGGCCAACAGCTCAATTTTAAAATGTTTTACACCTGTGCAACTACTGTCCAATAAAAAAATGGAATGTTTCCAGCACCCCAAAAGGCTCACCTGTTTTTGTAAGTACTCCAGGCCGGGCACGGTGGTTCACGCCTGTAACCCCAGCACTTTGGGAGGCCAAAGCAGGCAGATCATGAGGTCAGGAGTTCGAGACCAGCCTAGCCAACATGGTGAAACCCTGTCTCTACTAAAAATACAAAAAATTAGCTGGGCTTGGTGGCATGTGCCTGTAATCCCAGTTATTTGGGAGACTGAGGCAGGAGAATTGCTTGAACCCGGGAGGTGGAGGTTGCAGTGAGCCGAGATCATGCCACTGCACTCCAGCCTGGGTGACAGAGTGAGACTCCATCTGGGGCAGGGGAACGTACTCCCCACTCCTAAAAGAGGCGACTGGTAATCTGACTTCTGTCAACATAGATAAGTTTTACCTGGTTTTGAACCTCAAAAAAATTGGAATCATTTATGTTTGGCTTTTTTCTTTCAACCTTTCTAAGATTAACCCATGTTGTTAGAAGAGTTTGTTTTTCGTATTGTCAGTACTATTCCATTGCATAAAGATTCCACAATTTACTTACTCATTCTCCTGTTGATGGACACTTGGGTTTTTAATATTTTTGGCTGGTGAAGAAAGCTTCCATAAACATTCCAGTACATCTATCTTGGTAACGTAAGTATTAATTTCTCTTAGGTGTATACCTAGAAGGTAGGCCTGTGTTTAGCCTGTGTTTTCATTTTATATTGCCAAATAGTCTTCCAAAGTGGTTATATCAATTCCAGTCTTACCAACAACTTATAAGCATTCCAGGTATTTCACATTTTTGCTACTACTTGTTATGTTTGTTATTTTAATGTTAGCCTTTCTAGTGGGTGTGTAGTGATAACCTCATTGTAATTTTAACTTGTATTTTCCTAATGACTAATTATGTTTTTATATTCTTATTGGCCATTTAGCTATCTTTTTTTTTTTTTGTGAAGTCTAAGTCTTTTTTCCTTTTTTAAAAATTGAGTTTTCTGTCTTATTGATATATAGGAATTCTTTTTTTTTTTTTTTTTTTTTTTGAGACGGAGTCTCGCTCTGTTGCCCAGGCTGGAGTGCAGTGGTGCGATCTCGGCTCACTGCAAGCTTCACCTCCCAGGTTCACACCATTCTCCTGCCTCAGCCTCCCGAGTAACTGGACTGCAGGCGCCCGCCACCATGCCCGGCTAATTTTTTGTATTTTTAATGGAGACAGGGTTTCACCATGTTAGCCAGGATGGTCTCGATTCCCTGACCTTGTGATCCTCCTGTCTCGGCCTCCCAAAGTGATGGGTTACAGGCATGAGCCACTGCGCCCGGCCAGGAATTCTTTATATATTTTGGAAATGAGTCCTTTGCCAGATAGATGTTTTGCAGTATTTACTCTCAGTTTGTGGCTTGTCTCTTTACTCATAAAGGTGTCTTGATGAATAAAAGTTAATAATCTTACTGAGGTCCAATTTATCAATCTTTTCCCTTGTGGTTAGGGTTTTTCTAGTCTTGTTTAAGAAATCTTAGCTTACACCAACATCGTGAAAATATTCTTTTATATTTCTTTTAGGAGCTTTATTGAATTCCATGATTCATCTCAAATTTTTTTTCTGCATATGAGTAATAGAGGTTAAGGTTAATTTTTTTCCATTGATAGTCAGTTGATCTATACCATTTGTTGAACTCTTCTTTCCCTACTCAATTACAGTAAGCCTTTGCTGTAAATCAGGTTGCCATATGTGTGTGGATTTGTTTCTGAACTCTTTATTCTATTGAGTGGTCTATTTGTCTATTCTTGTGTCACTCCATATGGTTACTGTAGCTTTTATAATAAGACTTGGTTGGTATCTCAGTGTAATTAGTACAACTTTGTTCTTTTCTCCTTCAAGATTGTCATAACTATTTTAGGTCCTTTGTATTTCCATATACATTTTATTTTTTTATTTTTATTTTTTGAGACAGAGTCTTGCTCTGTAGCCCAGGCTGGAGTGCAGTAGTGTGATCTCGGCTCACTGCAACCTCCACCTCCCTGTGGAGCAATTCTCCTGCTGCAGCCTCCGTAGTAGCTGGGATTACAGGTGTGCACCACCACGCCTGGCTAACTTTTGTATTTTTAGTAGAGACGGGGTTTCACCATGTTGGCCAGGCTGGTCTCGAACTCCTGAGCTCAGGTGATCCACCCGCCTTGGCCTCCCAAAGTGCTGGATTACAGGCATGAGCCACCACGCCCAGCCTATCATATACATTTTAATTTCAACTTATAACTTTTAGAATTAATTTCTAAAAAGGAAAGCTGTTAGTGTTTTTTGCTGAGATTACATTGAATCTATCGATCAATTTTGGATGAATTAACATATTAACATTGAGCTGACATAGTTTTGAGTTTTTCAATTCATGTACAGAGCATTGCTTTTCATATTTTTAGGCCTTTAATTTCTCTCAGCAATGTTTTGAACTTTTTAGAGAAATTTTGCATGTATTTCATTAAATTTTACCTCTTTTTATGGATGTTTAAGTAGCATTTTAAAAACCTCTATTTTCTGGTTAGGTGTGGTGGCTCTTGCCTGTAATCAGTCACAGCACTTTGGGAGGCCAAGGTGGGTGGATCACTTGAGGTCAGGAGTTCGAGATCAGCCTAGCCAATATGGCAAAACCTCGTCTCTACTAAAAATACAAAAATTAGCCAGGTGTGGTGGCTCACGCCTGTAATCCCAGCTACTTGGGACGCTGGGGCACAAGAATCACTTGAACTGGGAAGGTGGAGGTTGCAGTAAGCTGAGATTGTGCCACTGGACTCCAGCCTGGGCGACAGAGTGAGACTCTGTCTCAAAAAGCAAACACAAAAAAACCTCTATTTTTAAATAATTTGTTACCAGTACAGGAAATAAAATCAATTTTAGTATGTCGACCTATCCAGTGGCCCAACTTGTCTAACAGTTTTTGGTAGGTTCTTTTGGATTGTCCATGTTCAATCATGTCACCTGCAAATAATGACAGTTTTACATCTTTCTATCCAATACTTGTATCTTTTATTTCATTTCATTTCATTATTGCAGTGGGCTAGGACCTTTTATATAATGTGGAGTAGAGGTCATGAGAATAGACATCCTTTTTTGTTTCTAATTTCAGTGGGAAAGTATTCAATGTTTTACTATTAAGTATGTTGTTAGCTATAAATAACCTTTACTGAGTTGAGATTCTTTTCTATTAATGATTTTCCAATGAGTTTTAAAAAATCATAAATGAATGCTGAATTTGATCAAATATTACACTTAATGAGTTGATATATGATTTTTCTCTTTTATTTTGTTAATGTGGTAAATTACATTGTTTTCAAATCTAAACCTTGCATTCCTGGAATAAACCTGATTATATATTATCTTTTTTACATATTGTTGGATTCAATTTGTTAAATTTTGATTGATTTTGTTGTGTCTTTGCTTATAAGTGATACTAGCCTATGATTTTCCTTTCTCGTAATGTGATTACCTGGTTTTGAATGTCATATATATATATTGGCCTTATTGATTTATTTGTGAGGTATTCCCTCTTTTTATAATCTCTAACAGTTTATGTAAGATCAATGTTAGTGGTTTTTTTAAAATTGTGATAGAATATGTATAATACAACATTTATCATCTTAAACATTTTTTTTTTTTTTTTTTTGAGATAGAGTTTCACTCTTGTTGCCCAGGCTGGAGTGCAGTGGTGCGATCTTGGCTCACTGCAACCTCTACTTCCTGGGTTCAAATGATTTTCCTGCCTCAGCCTCTCAAGCAGCTGGCATTACAGGTGCCCACGACAACACCCGGCTAATTTTTCTGTATTTTTAGTAGCGATTGGGTTTCACCATGTTGGCCAGGCTGATCTCAAACTCCTGACCTCACCCACCTTGGCCTCCCAAAGTGCTGGGCTTACAAGCATGAGCCATCGTGCCTGGCCCATTTTAATCATTTTTAAATGTACGATTCTGTGGTATTACGTATGTTTACATTGTTGTGCAACCATCACTACTACTCATCTCTAGAATATTTTCGTCTTCCCAAACTGAAATTCTGTATCCATTAGACACCAACTCCCTATTTTCCCCTGTTCCCAGCCCCTTGGCAACCACCATTCTACTTTATGACTGTATGAATTTGACTATTTTAAGTACTTCATATAAGTGGAATCATTCAGTGTTTGTTCTTTCGTTATTGGCATATTTCACTTAGCACAATGTCTCAAAAAGCTTATCTATGTTGTAGCATATGCCACTATGTCCTTTGTTTTTATGTCTAAATAATCTATTATATGTACATGCCACATTTTGTTCATTCATTTATTCGTTGATGGATAGTTGGGTTGCTTTCATCTTTTGGCTATAATGCTGATATGAAGGTAGGTGTACAAATATACCTGAGACTGTGCTTTTAATTTATTTGGGTATATACCCAGAAGTGGAATTGCTAGATCACGTGATAATTCTGTGTTTAATTTTTTGAGGAATCACCATACTGTTTTCCACAATGATTGCATTGTTTTACATTCCTACCAGCAATGTGCAAAGGTTCGAAGTGCTCCGTATCGTCACTAACACTTGTTGTTTTACGTGTTTTTTTTTTTTAAATATAGCTATCCTAATGGGTATGAAATGATATCTCAATGTGGTTTTAATTTGCATTTCTCAAATGATTAGTGATGTTGAGCCTCTTCTCATGTACTTATTAGCTATGTTTGTCTTCTTTGGAGAAATGCCTATTTGAGTCCTTTGCCCAATTTTGAATCGGGTTCTTTGTTTTTTGTTGTTGTTGAGTTATAGGAGTTCTTTATGTATTGTGGATATCAATCCCTTAGCAGATACATGATTTGCAGATATTTTCTCACATGCTGTCAGTGGCATCTTACTCTATAATAGTGTCCTTTGATGCACCAAAGTTTTTAATTTTGATGAAGTCCAACTTAGCTATTTCTCTCATTCATTGTCTGGATTTTTGCTGTCATATCCAAGAAATCATTGTCAAATCTAATGTCATGAAGGTTTTCTCCTATGTTTTCTTCTAATTTTTTTGTTCTTACATAGTATAAGGTAGTGTTGCAACCTTTCTCTCTTTTTTTAAAATGTGGATATTCAGTTTTCCTAACACCATTTGTTGACATCTGTACTTTCACATTGAATGGTCTTGGTTCCTTTGTCAAAAATCATTTGACCATAGATGTGAGAGTTTATTTCTGGGCTCTCAATCCTATTCCATTGAGTAATATGTCTGCCTTTATGATACTATCACACTGTTTGGATTATTGTAGCATCGTAGTGAGTTTCAGAATCAGGAAGTGTGAGATCACCAACTTCTCAGTTTTTTAAGTGTTAGGAAGAATTAAACATGAAGTCATCTGGGTAATGATGTAAAGTTATAAACTGCTGATTTAATTTAAGACATATAGGATCATTTAGACTTTTATTTCTGGTGTTGTCAGTTTTGGTGAGTTGTATCTTTCAAGGAATTTCCCTATTTCTTGAAAATTAGGGATCAGCAAACTGTGTCCTGGGCCTGCTTTTGTAAATACAGTTTTATTGAAACATAGCTATTCATTTTGTTTATTGTCTATGGCTGCTTTCGCCCTAAAACAGAAGGATTAAGTAGCTAGGACAGAGATTGAGTGGCTTGCAAAAGCCTAAAGTATTTACTGTCTCCCTCTGTACTGAAAAAGTTTGCTGTCCTGCTCTAAATCGTTATATGTAAGGAATAAAGTTGGTTTTTTTGTTGTTTACTTTTTAATTTTTTGAGCCAAAGTCTCACTGTGGCTGGGCACGGTGGCTCATGCCTGTAATCCCGGCACTTTGGGAGGCCGAGGCGGGTGGATCACGATGTCAGGAGTTCGAGACCAGCCTGACCAAACTGGTGAAACCCTGTCTCTACTAAAAATACAAAAATTAGCTGGGTGTGGTGGCGGGCGCCTGTAATCCCAGCTACTCAGGAGGCTGAGGCAGGAGAATTGCTTGAACCCAGGAGGCGGAGGTTGCAGTGTGCCGAGATCATGCCACTGCACTCCAGCCTGGGCAACAAAGCAAGACTCCATCTCAAAAAAAAAACAAAAACACAAAAAAACAAAGTCTCACTCTGTTGCACAGGCTGGAGTGCAGTGGCATGATCATAGCTCACTGCAGTCTTGACCTCCCAGGCTCAAGCTATCTTCCCACCTCTGCCCCCTCTGAGTGCCAGTGCCACCATGCCCGAATAATTTTTATACTTTTTGTAGAGACGAGGTCTCACGATGTTTCCCAGGCCAGTCTCAAACTCCTGGGCTCAAATGATCTTCCAACCTCAGCCTCCCAAAGTGTTGGGATTACAGGCGTGAGCCCCTTATGCCCAGGCTGGTGTTTATTATAAAGCTGCCTGATTTACAAAAATGTATCTATAGGATCTGCTGTGATATCTTCTTTTCATGTCTGATGCTCGTAATTTGTATTTTTTTCATCGATATTGCTAGGGTCTTATTAATTTTATTAATATTTTCAAAGAACTAATTTTTCTTTTTGTTGATTCTTTTTTGAATTGTACTTGTGCTTTCTTTGTCATTTATTTTTGTTCTTATTTTTATAATTTCTTTCACTTTTTTTGGATTTGGTTTACTTTTCTTTTTTCTAGTTTCCTGAGTTGGAAACTTAAGTCATTGCTTTTTTTCAGTCTTTTTCTACTCAAATATATATATATAATGCTATAATTTTTTTCTCTAACCATATATTTAGCACTGTCATGTGGGATTTCATGTTGTCTTTTCATTAAGTTAAAAAAATTTTATAATTTCCATTTTGATTTCTTTAATTATTGGGTTATTATTTGGCTTACTTAGAAGTATATTGCTTAATTTCCAAACATTTAGGAATTTATTAATTATCTTTCTGTTACTGATTTCTAATTTAATTCCACTGTGGTCAGCAGCACATTGTCTGTATGATTTTAATTTATTAAAATGTATAAATATATAGTCTGTTTTTGTAAGTGTTTCATGTGCAATTGATAAAAAGTGTGTATTCTGCACTTGTTGCTGTAGCATTCTGTAAATATCACTTACCAGAAATTGGTCATTAGAGTTCTTCAAATCTTGTAAATCCATATGGATTTTCATTGTTTGCTTATTCTGTCAGTTACTAGATGATGAGGTATGTCTGGAGATATGGAGATTGTGAATTTGTGTATTTCTCATTTTTAGTTTTGTTAGTTTTCACTTTATATATCTTAAAGTTATGTTATTAAGTGTATACAAATTTAGTATCATGAATCTCATTGTTTAATATACTTGAAAAAAATCATTCTGAAAAGTGTCCCTCTTTTTTTTCTTTTTGGTATTGTGGTCCCTCTTTTTCCTTGTTTTGGGTTGGGTTTGATTTTGTTTTTCTACTCTCAAGGTGGACATTTTAGGTTATTGATTTGAGATCTCTCTCTTTTCTTTTCTTTTTTTTTTTCTTTTGGACAAGGCGTTGCCCTGTTGCCCAGGCTAGAGTGCAGTGTTGATCATTGCTCACTGCAGCTTCGACCACATGGGCTCAGGTGATTCTCTTGCCTCAGCCTCCCAAGTAGCTAGGACCACATACATATGCCACCATTAACCATCTCTCCTGCTTGCCCCTCCCACCCCTTCTACCCTTCCCAGCCTGTGGTCCAGCTGTAATTTTGTATCTGTTAATAAACATCTTCCTAGTCCCCATTTTTTCTTTACCTTCCTAGTATCTAGTAACCACTGTTATACTCTCTACTTCTATGATATCAACTTTTTCAGCCCTATGTATGAGAATATGCAATATTTGTCTTTCTGTGCTTGACTTATTTCACATAACATAATGACCTTCATTTCCATTCATGTTGCTGCAAAAGACAAGATTTTTTTTCTGGCATAATAGTATTCCGTTGTGTGTACACACCACATTTTCTTTTCTTTCTTTCTTTTCTTTTTTTTTTTTGAGATGGAGTCTTCTCTGTTGCTCAGGCTGGAGTGCAGTGGCGCAATCTTGGCTCACTGCAACCTCTGCCTCCTGGGTTCAAGCGATTCTTCTGCCTCAGCCTCCCAAGTAGCTGGGACTACAGGTGCACGCCACCACACCTGGCTAATTTTTGTATTTTTAGTAGAGACAGGGTTTCACCATATTGGCCAGGCTGGTCTCGAATGCCTGACCTCGTGATCCGCCTGCCTTGGCCTCCCAAAGTGCTGGGATTACAGGTGTGAGCCACTGCACCCAGCTTATACCACATTTTCTTTATCCATCATTCCTTTGTAGATGGATAGTTAGGTTGATTCCATATCCTTGTATTGTATATAGAGCTGCAATAAACATGGAGGTACAAGATATCTCTGTCATACTAATTTTATTTGTATGTACACCCAGTAGTGGGATTGCTGGATTATATCTAGTTCTATTTTCAGCTTTTTAAGGAACTTTTGTGGTGTTTTTTATAATGGCTGTACTAATATATGTTCCCACCAAAAGTGTGTAAGTGTTCTCTTTTCTTTATATCCTCAGCAGTATTTTGTTTGTTTGTTTGTTTGTTTGGGTAATAGCTATTCTAACTGATATGATACCTTATTGTGGTTTTTATTTCCATTTTCCCTGTGATTAGTGATGTTGAACATTTTTCATATACCTGTTGGCCATTTATGTGTCGCCTTTTGAGAAATGTCTACTCAGAGCAATTGCCTATTTTAAAATTGGAGTCTCTTTGTGCGTGTGTGTGAGAGCGTGTTTGTGTGTGCATGCGCACATGTGTGCTATTGAGTTGTTTGAGTTCCTTGTGTATTATGGATATTAACCTCTTATAAAATACAATAAAATATTTGTCTAGACCAAAGTCCCAAAGCATTTTCTCTTATGTTTTCTTCTAGTAGTTCCATAGTTCCAGGAATTACATTTAAGTCTTTAGTCCATCTTGAGTTGATTTTTGTATATGGTGAGAGATCGGGATCTAGTGTCACTCTTTTGCTTATGGATATCCAGTTTTCATGGCACCATTGATTGGAGAGACTGTCCTTTCCCTAATGTGTGTTCTTCATGCCTTTGTTAAAAATCCATTGGCCATAAATATGTGGGTTTGTTTTTGGTTTTGTTGTTCTGTTCTCCTGGTCTGTATGTCTGTTCTTATGCAAGTACCATGCTGTTTTGATTACTATAGCTTTGTAGTTTATTTTGAAGTCAGAAATTGTGATGCTTGCAGATTTGTTCTTTTGCTCAGAATTGCTTTGGTTATTCAGAGTCTAGTAGCCAAATACAAATTTTATCTTTGCTTGTTATGTATCTGTAAAGAATAGCATTGATAATTTAATAGGAATTGCATTGAATCTGTAGATCTTTTTGGGTCATTTTAACAACAGTTTTTCCAATTCATGAACATGAGATGTCTTTCTAATTTCTTTGTGTCTTCCTCAATTTCTTTCACCAGTGTCCTGTCATTTTTTTTTGTAGAGATCTTTTACCTCCTTGATTAAATTTATTCTAAGGTATTTTATTTTTTGTAGCTATTCGAAATGGGATCACTTTCTTGATTTCTTTTTCAGCTAGTTTGTTATCGTTGTATGGAAACACTACTGATTTTTGTAGATTTTGTATCCTGCAACTTTACTGAATTTATCAGTTCTAAGAGTTTTTTTGATAGAGTCTTTAGGTATTTCTGCATATGAGATCTTGTCTTCTGCAAATAGGGACAGTTTGACTTTTTCTTTTCCAATTTTGATCCCTGTTTCAAAAAATTTTTTTCCCTTGCTTAATTACTCTGGCTGGGACTTCAGTACTATGTTGAATAAGGGTGGTGAAAATGGGCATTTTGTCTTTTTCCAGTTCTTAGAGGAAAAGCTTTTTGGCCCATTCTTGCATTCCTGGGATAAATCCCATTTAATTATGGTGTATAATCATTTTGCTGTGCTATTAGATTTGGTTTGCTAGTATTTTGTTGAGGATTTTGCATCTATGTTCATCAGGCATATTGTCTTGTTTTCTTTTTCTGTTGTTTCCTTGTTTGGTTTTGTTATTAGGGTAATACTGGCCTTGTAGAATGAGTTAGGAAGGATTTTCTATCCTTCAGTTTTTTGGAATAGTTTGAGAAGAATTGGTATTCTTTTTCAAAAGTTTAGTGGAATTCAGTAGTGAAGCCATTCAGTCCCAGGCTTTTCTTTGTTGAGTGATTTTATTACTGATTCAATCTCATTACTCGGTATTGGACTGTTCAGGTTTTCTGTTTCTTCTTGGTTCAATTTTGGTAGATTATATGTGTCCGGGAATTTATTTGTGTTCTCTAGGTATACTAATTTATTGGTGAATACTTGTTCATAATGGTCACTAACGATCCTTTGTATTTCTGTGGTTTGGTCTCTTTTTTTCTTAGTCTGTGTAATAGTTTGCTGATTTTGTTTATCTTTTCAAAAAACCAGCTTTTCATTTTGTTGATCCTTTGTATTGTTTGGTCTCTATTTCATTTATTTTGTTCTGATCCTCATAATATCTTTCCTTCTACTAATTTTGTGTTTGTTTTGTTCTTGCTTTTCTAGGTCCTTGACATGCATTGTTAGGTTGTTTATTTGAAATCTTTCAACTTCTTGATACAACTGTTTAATGCTAAAAACTGTTTGTACTGTTTTTGCTATATTCCGTAGGATTTGCTATGTTGTATTTCTATTTTCATTTGTTTCAAGAAATTTTAAAATTTCTTGTTTAATTTTTTATTGATCCATTGGTTGTTCAAGAACATGCTGTTTAATTTTCGTGTATTTGTACAGTTTCCAAAGTGTACTTGTTACTGATTTTTAGTTTTATTCTATTGTGGTTAGAAAAGAAACTTGATATGACTTGGACTTTTAAAATTTTTGGAGAATTTTTTTGTGTGCTAATGGCAAGAATGTATCCCGCAGCTGTTGTTCTGTAAATATCTGTTAGGTCTATTTGGTCTAAAGTGCAATTGAAATTTGATATTTTTGGCTGATTTTCTGCCAGCGATCTGTTCAATGCTATGAGTGGGGTGTTCAAGTCCCCAACTATTATTGTAATGGAGTCTATCTCTCTCTTTAGATCTAATAATATTTGCTTTATCTATCTGAGTGTTCTAGTAGTGAGTGTGTATATATTTATAGTTGTTATAGATGCTTGCCAAATTGACTTCATTATTATTATATGATGACCTTCTTTGTCTCCTTATATAGTTTGTGACTTAAAGTGTATTTTTTCTGATATAAGGATAACTACTCCTATTCATTTTTGGTGGAACTTTTTTCATTTTTTCATTTTAAGTTTATGTGTATGTTTACAGAAGTGAGTTTCTTATAGGCAGCATATAGTTGGGTCTTGTTTTATTTATTTTTTTTTTCCCCCGCTCCGAGACGGAGTCTCACTCTGTCACCCAGGCTGGAGTGCAGCGGTGCAATCTTGGCTCACTGCAAACTCTGCCTCCCAGGTTCAAGTGATTCTCCCGCCTCAGCCTCCTAAATTGCTGGGATTACAGGCACCCAACATCATGCCCAGCTAATTTTTGTATTTTTATGGAGATGGGGTTTCACCACGTTGGCCAGGCTGGTCTTAAAACTCCTGATCTCAGGTGATCTACCTGCCTCGGCCTCCCAAAATGCTGGGAGTACATGTGTGAGCCACTGTGGCCAGCCAGGTCTTGGTTTTGGTAATCCATTCATCCAGTTTATAGCTTTTAATTGAGGATTATAGTTTTTAATTTGGGGTTTTTATTTGTTTACATTCAAGGTTATTATTGATAGGTGAGGAATTTCTGTTGTCATTTTGCTAATTGCCTTTTTTTTTTTAAATATATATCCATTCTTCCTTCCTTACTTTCCTATTGTTTATCTTTGCAGTTTGGTGGTTTCTGTGGTGATAAGTTTTACTTCTCTTTCTCATTTGTGAATCTGCTTCATCAGTGAGATTGACACTTCTTCATGTTTTCATGATGGTAGTTATAGTCTGTTCGCTTTCAGTTCTAGGATTCCCTTAATCATTTCTTCTACATCTAGTCTAGTGGTGATAAATTACCTCATTTTTTGCTTCTCTGGGAGATTTTAGTTTTCCTTCATTTCTGAAGGGTAGTTTTACTAGATATGGTAATCTTGGCTCACAGTTTGTTTTCTTTCATCATTTTGAATATGGCATCCCATTGTCTCTTGGCCTATGTTTCTGCTGAGAAATCTGCTGTTAGTTTTTTTTATTTTTTTATTTTTTTATTTTTTATTTTTATTTTTATTGATCATTCTTGGGTGTTTCTCGCAGAGGGGGATTTGGCAGGGTCATAGGACAATAGTGGAGGGAAGGTCAGCAGATAAACAAGTGAACAAAGGTCTCTGGTTTTCCTAGGCAGAGGACCCTGCGGCCTTCCGCAGTGTTTGTGTCCCTGGGTACTTAAGATTAGGGAGTGGTGATGACTCTTAACAAAGCACATCTTGCACCGCCCTTAATCCATTTAACCCTGAGTGGACACAGCACATGTTTCAGAGAGCACAGGGTTGGGGGTAAGATCACAGATCAACAGGATCCCAAGGCAGAAGAATTTTTCTTAGTACAGAACAAAATGAAAAGTCTCCCATGTCTACTTCTCTCCACACAGACCCGGCAACCATCCGATTTCTCAATCTTTTCCCCACCCTTCCCGCCTTTCTATTCCACAAAACCGCCATTGTCATCATGACCCATCCCCAATGAGCCGCTGGGCACACCTCCCAGACGGGGTCGTGGCCGGGCAGAGGGGCTCCTCACTTCCCAGTAGGGGCAGCCGGGCAGAGGTGCCCCTCACCTCCCGGACGGGGCGGCTGGCCGGGCAGGGGGCTGACCCCCCCACCTCCCTCCCGGATGGGGCGGCTGGCCGGGCGGGGGGCTGACCCCCCCCACCTCCCTCCCGGACGGGGCGGCTGGCGGGGCAGAGGGGCTCCTCACTTCCCAGTAGGGGCGGCTGGGCAGAGGAGCCCCTCACCTCCTGGATGGGGCGGCTGGCCGGGCGGGGGGCTGACCCCCCCCCCCACCTCCCTCCCGGACGGGGCGGCTGGCCGGGCAGGGGGCTGACCCCCCTCCCCCCTCCCGGACGGGGCAGCTGGCCGGGCGGGGGGCTGACCCCCCCCACCTCCCTCCCGGACGGGGTGGCTGGCCAGGTGGGGGGCTGACCCCCCCACCTCCCTCCCGGACGGGGCGGCTGGCCGGGTGGGGGGCTGACCCCCCCACCTCCCTCCTGGACGGGGCAACTGGCCGGGCAGAGGGGCTCCTCACTTCCCAGTAGGGGCGGCCGGGCAGAGGAGCCCCTCACCTCCCAGATGGGGCGGCTGGCCGGGCGGGGGGCTGACCCCTTAAGTTAGCGCTTATGGGGGCTGACCCCCCCCACCTCCCTCCCGGACGGGGTGGCTGCCGGGCGGAGACGCTCCTCACTTCCCAGACGGGGTGGCTGCCGGACGGAGGGGCTCCTCACTTCTCAGACGGGGCGGCTGCCGGGCGGAGGGGCTCCTCACTTCTCAGACGGGGTGGTTGCCAGGCAGAGGGTTTCCTCACTTCTCAGACGGGGCGGCCGGGCAGAGACGCTCCTCACCTCCCAGACAGGGTTGCGGCCGGGCAGAGGCGCTCCTCACATCCCAGACAGGGCGGCGGGGCAGAGGTGCTCCCCACATCTCAGACGATGGGCGGCCGGGCAGAAACGCTCCTCACTTCCTAGATGGGATGGCGGCGGGGAAGAGGCGCTCCTCGCTTCCTAGATGGGATGGCGGCCGGGCAGAGACGCTCCTCACTTTCCAGACTGGGCAGCCAGGCAGAGGGCTCCTCACATCCCAGACGATGGGCGGCCAGGCAGAGACGCTCCTCACTTCCCAGACGGGGTGGCGGCCGGGCAGAGGCTGCAATCTCGGCTCTTTGGGAGGCCAAGGCAGGCGGCTGGGAGGTGGTTGTAGCGAGCCGAGATCACGCCACTGCACTCCAGCCTGGGCACCATTGAGCACTGAGTGAACGAGACTCCGTCTGCAATCCCGGCACCTTGGGAGGCCGAGGCTGGTGGATCACTCGCGGTTAGGAGCTGGAGACCAGCCCGGCCAACACAGCAAAACCCTGTCTCCACCAAAAAAAAAAACGAAAACCAGTCAGGTGTGGCGGCGCGCGCCTGCAATCGCAGGCACTCGGCAGGCTGAGGCAGGAGAATCAGGCAGGGATTTTGCAGTGAGCCGAGATGGCAGCAGTACAGTCCAGCTTTGGCTCGGCATCAGAGGGAGACCGTGGAAGGAGACCGTGGAAAGAGGGAGAGGGAGAGGGAGAGGGAGACGGAGAGGGAGAGGGAGAGGGAGAGGGAGAGGGCTGTTAGTTTTATGGAGAGTCCCTGGTATGTTACTTCACACTTTTCCTATTTTTAAAATTCTCTTTGTGTTTGAATTTTGACAGTTTCACTATAATGTTCATCTTTTCTCAGTTTGACTATAATGTATCCTGAGAGGACCTTTTTGGGTTGAGTCTATTTGGGAAACTTTGAGCTTCCTGGACCTGGATGTTTATATTTCTTCCGTGACTTGAGATGTTTTCAGCAATTATTTATTTAAATAGGTTTTATATGCTTTGTCTGTTCTCTTCTTCTGGATCTCCAAAAATACATGCTTTTTTTTTTTTTTTTTTTTACTTAATAGTATCCCATAGGCCCTGTAGGCGTTCTTCTCATTCTTTTTAATTATCTGTTTTTTTTGTTTTTTTTTTTCGGCTAACCTGGGTACAGCAGGACCTCAAAATAATGTTCAGCGTTGTTTAGTTATAATGTTGCTGAGACAAAAATGATTTCTGGTTAGGACCTCTGTCTTTATGGAGTTTGCTTGTTCTCCCCATGTCTGCATGGGTTTTCTCCGGATACTCTGGTTTCCTTCTGCTTCCCAAAGATGTGAATGTTTGGTTAACTGGTATGTCTAAATTGTCCCAGTATGAGTGAGTGAGTGTGTGTGTGTGTGTGTGTGTGTGTGTGTACCATGATGTAATGGTGTCCTGTCCAGAACTGGTTTCCACTTTTTACCCTGAGTGTCTGGATAGGCTTCAGCCACCTGTGACACTGAACTGGAATAAGCAGGTTGGAAAATGAATGATCACGTTACTATAAAATAAAAATGCGTAAAGTATATGATAATCATACAAATGCACAATATATTATGCGTTCAGAAAGCACTCAGTGATCTCACCATATTCATTGTTTTTTTAACTGTGTGGCATTAGAGGATGCTCGTTTTCACTTTGCAAACATTTATTTCATGATTTCATTCATAACCATTGTGACTTCTGTCATTCGCCAATTCATAAATTTGGTAAATATTTATTAATCTTAATTTTATTAATTTAGTAGTGTACTAATTTGATACTAATTTAATAATTTCATTAATCTTTCTTAAATGTACATATAACCTACATCTATTTCAGTATTTGATATTAGAAGTGGTTTGACTCTTTACAATATTGGTGATGTTTTTGTGACTAGACGTAGGCTGTAGGAACTTTTGTTTATATCAGTTAGCCTAGGTAAAATTAGTTTTGTTACATGTTGTTTCATTTAAATCACAGTTTCCAAGAACCCACTGATGATGTCAGGTGAAGATTTCCTGTATTTCAAAAGACTTATGTTCAAGTTCACAAATTCTTCTGCTTGATCTAGTGTATTGCCGAAGCTTTCAATTGTATTTTTTAATTTTATTCACTGACTTCTTCAATGCCAAGATTTCTGTTTGGTTCTTTTTTATGGCATATATCTGTTCGTTGAATTTCTCATTCAGATCATGAATTGTTTTTCTGATTTTGTTGAATTAACTATCTGTATTCTTTTGTATTTCACTGAGTTTCCTTAAGAAATTACTGTGAATTCTTTTCAGGTATTTTATAGGTTTGTCTTCCTTGGGGTATGTTATTAGAGAATTACTGTATTCCTTTGAGGTGTCATGTTTCCATGCCTTTTCGTGTTTCTTGTGTCCCTAGCTTGATATCTGTTTATCTAGAGGAACAACCACCTCTTCCAATTTTATGAAGTAGTTTTCGTAGGAAAAAACTTTTTCCTGTAGATTTGACTTACAGTACTGGTTGAGTAGGGTGTTTAGGCTTTTTTCCTCATTGGGTGCAGTAGTGTAATTTCTATGTGATTTCTTCACCCGTCATCAATATCAGCATTTTCTGTGAGTGCCTCAGTGGGCTAGATTGTGGGTGTTTGTGGAGGCAGTGGTGTGGCTTTGCTTGGGGTGAGGAATGCTAGGCAGGCTGGTCCTTAGTCCCTGAGAAATGGCTGCTATTTCTCAGCTGCCATTTTCTGATTACAGTGTCCAAGGGATGTAGAGATGCCAGGGCTATTGAGCCCCAAGGCAGAATGCACTCCAGCAGTTGCTTCATTCTCCAAATGATATAGTACTGCAGCAACTTGGATCCTGAGGAATTCAGTGGATCAAATGCGAATTCTCTCTTTGGAGCAATCCAGCCTTATGGACCTCAGGTAGCTCCCTATACTGGACTCAGGGCTTGTGAGGACTGTGGAACTGCCCTGTAGCTTGGATTGCAAGTATCCACAGTGGTCATGGGGACTGCTGAGGATGTCTTGCTTAACTTTTCTCGTCAATAGGGAGTCCCTTCTGGCTCCAGGCTGATCTTGGCCAGGTGCTCTCCTTTCCCCTTTATGCTGACATGTGGAGTTTCTGTACCTCAGAAGATCTTCATTACTTCCTGATGAGTTCCATTGTTCTCCCATAGACACTAAACTCAAACTGCTCTATTTGTTGTTTTGGTTTTTCTTTGTGGAGGAGATGAACATTGGGTACCATTTTGATTGAAGTTTTTAATCTGTTCACTTCTAATTTTTATTCATATGATTGGATTTACATTTATCATTTTGCTATTATTTTCTGTGTGCCTCATGTCTTTTTTGTTCCTCTGATATTTATTAATTTCTTTTGTAATAAATTGATATTTTTGATGTTCTATTTTAATTCCTTTATTGATTTTCAAATTGCTTTTGAATTACTTTCTTTCTTTCTTTTCTTTTTTTTTTTTTTTGAGACAGAGTCTCGCTCTGTTACCCAGGCTGGAGTGCAGTGGCGCGATCTCAACTCACTGTAAGCTCCGCCTCCCGGGTTCACGCCATTCTCCTGCCTCAGCCTCCCGAGTAGCTGGAACTATAGGTGCTCACCACCATGTCGGGCTATTTTTGTTTTTTTTTTTTGTATTTTTAGTGGAGACAGGGTTTTACGATGTTAGCCAGGATGGTCTCGATCTCCTGACCTCGTGATCCACCTGCCTCAGCCTCCCAAAGTGCTGAGATTACAGGTGTGAGCCACTGCGCCTGGCCCGAATTATTTTCTTTGTGATTGCTTGGGGGATTATAATATGCATCTGATTTACTGCAAACTAGTTGAGATTATTGATAACTTTATTCCATTAAAATAGAGAACATTTCTCTACTATAGCTCCATTTTCTTCTGCTGCTTGTGCTGTTATTGTCACATATATTGCATCTTGTTAAAAGTTCAACTATACAATTTTATCATTATTGTTTTATGCAATTTCCTTTTAAACCAGAAGAACAAAGGAGAAAAAAGCATTTATACTGTCCTTTACTAGTCACCAACATAATTACCTGTATCGTTTTGTTGTGTGAATTTGTTGTGTGAAGTAGCTGTTGCTACTTCCTTTCAGCCTAATGAACTTCCTTTAATATTCTGCTAGGAATCAATTATCTTATTCTTTATTTGAGTATATTTTAATTTGCTTGCATTATTGAAGGATAATTTTGCTGGATATAGAATTCTTGGAGAAATTAGGTGTTAATCTACTAAAAGTTTCCTTGTACCTGAAAAATTATTTTTGTCTTTCTGCTCTCAATATCTATATATTTTTTGTCCCTGGCTTTCTGCAGTTTGACTATGATATATTTGGATTTGAATTCACTGATTCTTTTGCCAATTCAAATCTGCTGCTGAGCCCTTCTAGTGAATTTTTTATTTTGTTGATTGTACTTTCAACTCCAAAATTTTCATTTTTTTTGTAATTTGTTTTTATTGACATTTTCTAATTGATGAATCACTGTTGTCATATGTTTCTTTAATTATTTGAATATGAGGCTGGGTGCGGTGGCTCACACCTGTCTGTAATCCCAGCACTTTGGGAGGCTGAGGTGGGTGGATCACTTGAGGTCAGGAGTTCAAGACCAGCCTGACCATCATGGTGAAACCGCATCTCTACTAAAAATACAAAAATTAGCTGGGTGTGGTGGTGGGTGCCTGTAATCTCAGCTATTCGGGAGGCTGAGGCAGGAAAATCATTTGAACCCGGGAGGCAGAGGTTGCAGTGAGCCAAGATCATGCCATTGCACTCCAGCCTGGGTGACAGGGTGAGACTCCATCTCAAAAAAAAAAATTATTTGTATATGGTTTCCCTTATTTCTTTGAACATATTTGGAATTGATGTTTTGAAGTCTTTGTGTACCAAGTCCTGTATTTGATCTCCTTCACAGATAGTTTGTTTCTATTGACTATTTTTATTTCTGTACACTTTGCATGTGTCATAGTTGTTTGTTGTAAATTGGACATTTTGTGTAATATATTGCAGCAGCTTTGGATTTTGATTTCTTCTCCCCCAGGAGATGGTTGTTGTTTCAGGATTATTTGTTTATTGACTTGCCTCGACTAATTTTGTGATGTCTGTTTCGTGTGCCTTCTGATTTCTCTGCTCATTAAAACAAATTCTCTTTTCTATTTTTAAGCCTGGCATTCTAGGAATTTCGCTGGGTTACTATAACTTAGTCATCAGCCAGTGATTGTTTGGAGGTTGTTTAAACCTTTGAGCTAGTTAGGTATTTACTCTTTGGCATGGGATATATACATTTATTGGGTAATACTTTCAAAGTCAGGAGATTATAAGTCTGTTTTTTTTTTTTTTAAATTCTCTATGTTCATGAGGCCTCATGGTTAACTCGAAATGAGTAGCTTGCTAGTTACTGCCCTCTCTTTGTGGTTGCTTAGGGGATTATATCTGTGTATCTGGTGGAACAACAGATATACAGTCTTCTGAGTAAGTACTATCTTGCACATGCATACAACTTTCTAGACTACCAGTAATATATATGTGAGACCCTGGCAAGACCCTGTTGGGCTATATCATTTTCCAGATTTCTCTGTTAATTTTTGGGCTGGTTTGCTGTTTTGTTGCCTGACCCAAATTGTATTGTGACCCTATGCTAGCCTTACTCTTATTGCTGCTGAGCTGTCTGTTGTTTTTGACAACTTTGTCCTGTTTTGTCATTGCTTTTTGGGGAGAGGATTTGCCGAGCTCCTCATTCAGCACTCTTGAAGTCTTGTCGCATGCGCGCGCGTGTGTGTGTGTTCCTGTAGTAACAAACATGTGACATAAAATTTGTCATTGAGACTGGGCATGGTAGCTCGTGCCTGCAATCCCAGCACTTTGAGAGGCTGAGATGGGAGGCTAGCTTGAAGCCCAGGAGTTGAAGACAAGACTGGGCAACATAGTGAGACTCATCTGTGCCAAAAATTAAAAAAATTGGTTGGGCGTGGTGACGTGCATATAATCCTAGCTACTTGGCATGCTGAGGTGGGAGAGCCCAGGAGTTTGAGGTTTCAGTGAGCTGATTGTGCCACTGCACTCCAGCCTGGGTGACAGAGTTAGACCTTGTTTCTTAAAGAGAAATGACCATCTTAAGCACTTTTAAGTGTATACTATATTACTATTAATTATATGCACATCCTTGTGTAGCAGATCTTCAGAACTTTTTTGTCTTGTAAAACTGAAACTCTCTATCTATTGAACCAATGACTCCCTTTTTACCTTTCCCCTGCCCCAGCCCTTGACAACCACCAGTCTACTTTCTAAGAGTCTGACAATGTTAGATACCTTATATATGTGGAATCATACAGTATTTATCTTTTCGTAACTGGCTTATTTTATTTACCATAATGTCCTCATGTTTCATCCATGTTGTGGTATATTATGGGATTGGCTTATTTTTTTAAGGCTGAATAATATCCCATTGTATGTGTGTATTACATTTTGCTTATCCATTCATCCTAAAATGAGTATTAGAGTTGCTTTTACTTTACAGCTATTGTGATTAATGCTGCTTTGAACATGGGTGTGTGAATATCTCCTTAAGATTTTCTTTTAAATTATTTTGGGTATATACCCAGAATTGGGGTTTCTGGATCATTGTAATTCTGTTTTTGATTTGTTGAGGAACCTCCATATTATGTTCTGTAGCAGTTGTACCATTTTATGTTTCCACTAAGAGTGTATAAGTATTCCATTTTCTCAACACTTACTATGTTTTTGATAATGGCCATTGTTATGGCTGAGAGATATCTCATTGTGGTTTTTTTATTTGTATTTCCCTAATGAGTAGTTATGCTGAGCTTCTTTTCATATACTTATTGGCCATTTGTATATCTTTTTTGTGGACATGGCTTCAATTCCTTTGTCCATTTTAAAATAGAATTATTGTTATTTTGTTGTTGATTAGTCATAGGACTTGTTTATATATTCTAGATATTAGTACCTTATCAGATAGATGGTTTGCAAATATTTTTGTCCATTTCATAGGTTGTCTTTTTTACTCTTTTTCCTTTGTTGTGCAGAAGTTTTAAAATTTGATGTCTCATTTTTCTATTTTTGCTTTTGTTGCCTGTTATGTTCATTTTAAAAGTATCCCTTTTCTCTGTTATTTTATAATACCTTACCTAGAATTAGATTTTTGAGATATATTCAACTCTGTTCTGAAATTCTTTGCTACTAATATCCTTTGCATTATCATAGATGTTCTGATTTTAGGGATGCATTTTACATGATGTATTAACTAAAAGTTATACATAAATAAAGTATTTTTAAGTTGTAGACATATATTTCAAGAAGGGAAAAGAATGAAAAGAAAATTCCTTTTTTGGTTATCTTAAGGAAGATCCATTTGTTATAACAATCATCATTTGTGTTTCACCTTTTACTATATATGTATGTTGTTTATTTTTCCTTCCTCTGTGATTTTGAAATTGAAACTATCTTGCTTATAGTCAGATCATATGGCTCAAAATTCCATGTTCTAATCCAGAAAGCCACCTCTTGTGTTACTGTTTGGTTAGTAGCATTCTGATGATACTAAGTTCTTGAGTTTGATTCAGGTGTCTTTAAACATTTGTACTCTGAGAACTCTGAGACAATCTGATTTATGCCCTTAGACTGCAACTTTGGTAGCCATTTTGCAAATATATCATTGTTACACAAGGCGTAGGGTGGTAGAGGTGGAATTGTAATGTGCTCATTGTCCAGTTAGATAGATAAATAGCCAGTGGAAACATTTTCAGTGCTGATAATGGAAGTATAGAGGCAGTATTATAGTGGTTAATTGCCATGGCTGTGGAATAATATTTCTTAATTTTGAGTCCAGGCTCTCCTAGATGACTCGTTTTGGGAAGATTCCTGACCCTTCATGTCTCAGATTCTTCATTGTAAAATGGGGATAATGCTATTTACATTTTGTGATTCTTAGGAGGAGTAAATGATTGTATACGAGTAAGGTGCTTAGAATAGCGCCTGGTACATACTCAGTGCTTATTGCTTTTGTTACAGGCACTGATCAATATATAATCTTGTGCTAGCTGAACAATGCTTGAAGAAATTAATGCATTTTAAAAATACTGTGATAATGACAAATATCTAAAAATTGTAACATTCCATTAGCATAGAGTACTAACAATAGACTTAATAGCTGACCTTTAAAAAAAAACCCTCTGGTTGAAGAAACAAATTAGGCCCACACTTTTGTAATAATAATAATAATAATAAGCACCTTTATAATGATTTCTCTGTGAGGAAGGTAGTATTCTAAGCTTTATATAGATTAATATAATATTCAAAATGTAGTCTTTTTATACAAATTTTACAGATAATGAAACTGAGGCACAGATACAATAAACTGTCTGCTGGCTGCAGAGTTATTGGTCTTAATCACTTTGCTATACTGTCTGTATTTAGGCATATTGTTACTGTGTTGCTGAACCAACTAGGTAGACTAAAATGTGAATGAATAAGCTTAATATTTTTATTAACTTTCACAAATAGAGTTACAATAACTAAAAATGTGATAGAAATACATTTTTTTCTTCCTCCTTTGTTGATTTGTAAACAAATTATATCTAGAAGTGAGACAAATGAGCATAAAGCAATTTTGGTGACATTTTTCATGCCTAACCTTTTATCTAATGATAATGAAAAGCAGTCAGAAAACATTTAAAATTTATGACCAAGTAGTATCCAGTTCAATTTTACATTAGGTGAAGTGGAATACTTTTTTTTTTTTTTTTTAAGTTGATCAGTTTTCATTTTGTCAGGTTATTTTCAAATCTCCAATTGAGCTCCCCTTTCAACTTGACTTAGAATACTGTTCTATTAGTTTAAAATATATTTTGAAGACATATTTTTAGATGGAGACTTAAAAAATTACATCATTTCAGTTATTTGAAGTACTGCTGCTATATACTGTTGCACTATCATATATCAGCCTTCATCATGTACTGAGTATTATATATTATTTCCATTCAGCAAAGTAGGAGACAGGCCTAGAGTGCTTAAGGAACTTATTAAATGTAACTTGTACCATAAATTATTGTTATTTATCATTAACTATGGCCTAACAAGGTATTTGATGCTACTTTTTGATAAACAGTAATTCTGAAAATATTTTTGTGTTGGACATTTTATTTCTCTTTTAAGAAAGGAATTTGTATATTAGAATGAAAAATATTAAGCACTAAACAATAAGTCTCTGAATATTCTTGTGTTGGAAATTTTATTTTTTAAAAAAGAAATTTGCATATTATAATAAAAAATATTAAGCACTTACTAATTTTTATGTAATGTTTTGTGTTTTAAGGAACTGAAATTACCATTCACTTTTTTAAGTGGACATATTCATGAATTGAGGATTCATGTACCATGGACAAAACTGGGTTCAGAACCAGTGGTAATTACCATCAATACTATGGAATGCATTTTGAAACTTAAGGATGGGATACAGGTAAGAAATTATTGAACCAAGTTGTTTATGTTAACTAATTTTAGTAGTATTTGACATTTCTTTACCTTTTCAAATATGCCAACTGTTACATAAACATATCTTAGCTTATATACTTTTTTTTTTTTTTTTTTTTTTTTTTGAGATAGAGTCTTGCTCTGTTGCCAGGCTGGAGTGCAGTGGTGCGATCTCGGCTCACTGCAACCTCCTCCTCCTGGGTTCAAGTGATTTTCCTGCCTCAGCCTCCTGAGTAGCTGGGACTACAGGTGTGCGCCACCACGCCCAGCTAATTTTTATATTTTTAGTAGAGAAGGGGTTTCACTATGTTGGCCAGGATGGTCTTGATCTCTTGACCTCGTGATCTGCCCACCTTGGCCTCCCAAAGTACTGGGATTATAGGCATGAGCCACTGTGCCTGGCCTTTAATTTGTATATGCCTGTTTAAGTGACATGACTATTTGCAAAGTCATTTTTAAATTTGAATAAAGTATGTAAAGGTTGTTTTCATACAGATTTTACTTTGTCATAGCTCTACTAGGGACCATGCAGATTGCTTATTACTTACATCTACAATGAAAGTGCAGCCTAATTGTGTCCGATTTTTACATTAACATTTTTAGATTTTTGCAAAGGACCTGTATGTATTTTTTCTTTACATAATTTTTCTAAATCTGAAGGGAATTTCTCAGGTTATTTTTTGGGAAGATGAAAATATATTTACACCAAATTTTATAATTGTTTTTGAAGTTTTGGTATAAGAAACTGATTTTTTCTTTTTTCAGATTTATTTATTTCTTCTCTGACCCATCTTACATTTCTTGCTAGTGTTTTTTTGCAGATGTAATATTGGTTTTAAAGAGTTTCTACCAAAAATTTTCCAATCTAGGAAAGCAAAATAGGTCAGGACCATAGCTTATTGTGGAGAATGTTTCCACTTTCACCTTGCAGAAGAGTAGTGTGTCTGTCATTCATTTTTATTAGGTTTTTTTTTTTTTTTAGCACCCACTTAATATTTAACTTTTAGTTTTAAGGAAGATTGGCTATAATCAAGTAAATTGATAAGTATTATTAAAATGACTTCATATGAATCTGTAAGTTTAACGTATTCTAAATGTAACTTTAATCTTTGTGAAGTTAGGGTTATGTATGAACTGTTAAAATTATTTCCTATTTTAAGTGGATGCTTTGAGTGCCATATCAACCCAGTGGACTCAGATCTTTTTTCCATTTATGAAATCTTTGATTCCAAACACGTATTATCCAATTTAACTTAATATAGTTTCTAGAAGTTAATAGACCAATGTTATATTCTCATGAAAATGAAAAGTTACTTTGTGAACTTCTAATATTTGAGAGATTAATTTAGAAATCTGTGGATAGTTACATTACAACAAAGTTTTACTTTCCATTTATAGTTGGTAATACTTAAATGTTAAGTGGTTCTTAATTATTATCTTTTCTTGGAATTTATTTTTTTTCAAAGTCTGGACTTGGTTATACCACCCATGCAGTGTTCCATATTAAAAGAGAAAAAAAAAATCCAGACACTTAAGTACTTTTTTCATTGAGAAGGTAGAAGTTTCAAGGCCAGATGTCCCTTAAGAAACATGTTTTAACAGAGGCAAATTACAACTAATTATAGAGGCTGCAGAAAAAGACTTGTAACACATGACTTAGTGCAACCTAGAACTAATACTTGATATTGGACTATGCAGATGGCTACTGCAGGAATGATCAGATTTCCTGCTTGCATGGTATTTGGGACTTGAATTTTGTGGTTTGTACAGCAAAAGGTTAAATGTCATGAATGTAAACCACTCTCAAAACAAGTATTTTTTACAGATGTTTAAAATTTTGGGTTAGAAAGGATTTTTGAAAATTGCAGTTGACATTTGGACAAATTATTTAGCAGTGTACACCTCTGGAGAGTAATGCTTGGGTTTATGCTAGTGATTGGAATTAAATTTTGCGTAAAAACATTGTAGATGAAACAGATTTTAAAATAGTTTATTTTCCTGTTTTAAGCTTTGATTAGTATAGTATGTAATTAAGCAGGTACTAGTAAAACTGAATTAGTTTATATTCAAAGTATTTCAAGTTATTACATTGTAGAATCACCACGAAGAAAAGACGTATTTTCTAAATAAAATTGTGGTTGGAATGGTAGGTTCAGTGAAGGGGCCTTTTAGAGTTACAGGTACTCAAAGATATGAATCTGTTAAAAAAAACTATTATGCATAGGAATGTATTGAAGTATGATTAAAAGGTAGGAATATGAGGCTTAAATCAGATAAGATCATTCCAAAAATAAGATTTTGTTAAATGCCTTGATAAGAAGGCATGTCTTGTTTGTGAAGGTCAATTTAATTCTACCAACATTTGTTGGTTGTCTACTCTGTACTGCACTGAAAAGCATTGCTAAAATATTTATATAATCTCAGCAAAAGACACTTAGAAAAAGAGATTCATAATGATTGTGATTCTAGTGGTCATGGTTTTAATATACTGCCTTAACATATCCTTACAATCAGTTTTACTTATAGAGATTTTTAGGATGACAGGGTGACCGAATTGTTGTGTTAGGTAAAATAAAGTCCATCTTGATGTTTACTCTGAATTTTAAAAAATATATTGAAACTTCACTCATGAAATAGTTGTTAATGATTTCCTATTCACTCTGAGAGATGTATCTATGTCAGTCATTGCCCTCACTTTTAAATCTTGCAGAGTTACTACTTGTAAACTGTTTATCCTGTTTTTGATTTCAGATACACAGTTTTTGATTCATGACACATCATGTCCATGCTAATCTAATAAATACTTGTTAACATAACTCAAGAGCTAAAACATTATCAGTAACTTCCATTTAACTATGTGCTCCTCTCCTTTTTCATATTCTTTTTTGTTCAGCCTCTAGGGGCCTCATCTGTAAAACAGGACAAGACTTGCTATACAATTTAAAAAATTATATGATTGATGTGCTTTCTTTGATCATTGAATTAAGTCTTGGCTGGGCATGGTGGCTCACGCCTGTAATCCCAGCACTTTGGGAGGCCGAGGCGGGTGGATCACGAGGTCAGGAGATAGAGACCACCCTGGCTAACAGGGTGAAAACCCGTCCTTACTAAAAATACAAAAAATTAGCTGGGCGTGGTGGCCGGCGCCTGTAGTCCCAGCTACTCGGGAGGCTGAGGCAGGAGAATGGCATGAACCCGCGAGGTGGAGTTTGCAGTGATCCGAGATTGTGCCACTGCACTCCAGCCTGGGCGACAGAGCGAGACTCTGTCTCCAAAAAAAAAAAAAAAACTTCTTCAACCTAAAGAGAGTAATAAATCTGTTTCTAAACCACCTATTCTGGTTTTTGTACCACCTGGAACATAAATGTTAAATCTTTTCATCTAATAAATGTAACTATTTGTAAGGCTGTTTATAGAAGTAATACTTATTTTTCTTAAAAAATTTGAAAAGTGGGAGGCTGAGGCAGGAGAATTGCTTGAACCCAGGAGGCGGAGGTTGTGGTGTGCAGAGGCCGCGCCATTGCACTCCAGCCTGGGCAACAAGAGTGAAACTCCATCTCAAAAAAAAAAAAAATTTGAAAATCATCTTTTGAACCTAAAAATCTGAGATTATCTTCTAATAGGAGAAATACTTGTAGTTTCACTCCAGATTAAACTTATTTTTATGTATATATTCTTACCATCTTTCTCCTTTTTAGCTTAACTTCTTTTAAAATCATTTTTGCAAGTTTCATTTTATTTCTTTACTGTCATTAACCTTTTACCACCTTTCTCCTTTTTAGCTTAATTTTCTTTAAAATCATTTTTGCAAGTTTAATTTTATTTCTTTACTGTCATAACCTTCTAATTGTTGATATGGCTCTTTAAGATTACAAAAATATTCTGTTTGAAAACCTAAGGTGATTTTATCCTTTTATCTCATGTACCTACAGGTTTAGCTAGATTTTAAACAAGAAAGTGAAAATATTTGTATATGTAGTATTTTAAATTCAGAGATAGTTTTCTGTTTCCCATAAGCACGGATTCCTTTCTTAAACATTTTAAGTCAGATACCAGTAAGCCACTTTTTGTTTGTTTTGTTTCTGTTTTTGATACTGCGTCTTGCTGTGTTGCCCAGGCTGGTCTCGAACTCCTGGCCTCAAGTGACCCTCCTGCCTTGGCCTCCCAAATTGCTGGAATTACAATCAAGAGCCACTGATTTCCAGTATTAATAAGAAAAAAATTTTGGTCCTGACAGCCCATAGATTTAGGTGACCTGATCAAAAAGTGATATGTTATTACTCTTGACTGTGGCATTTTATGTCAACTCTTTTTATAGTTTCATCTTGTACTTTATTTTTGTTTTTCTACAAAGTCTGTGTCAGTGTAATTAGACTTAAAGATCTGAGGCAGCTGTTTTGATTTGAATGTCTAATTCTGATGAAGGGCTTCAGAATTATTTTTTCCACTGTAGAGCAGGGAAATAAAGCTTTCTTTGATTGGACACCAGCACCTATCTGCTCTATCTAGCAGAACTTTTCTGGGATCTAGAGAATTTCCATACTTTCACAGGACGAAGTTTTTTTTTGTTTTTTGTTTTTTTTAATTTTGTTTACATTTAGATAGGATTTTTTATTTACTGGATGGTCATTTGATCTGGCCATCAATGTGCTCTGTTTACCATCAGGGATTTGATGGATTTACTTGTAGAAATTTTACATGTGATCATTGGAATTTTAAGTGTGGATTATTATGAATTAGTACAGTTGTTTTGGTAGACTATTAATAATCAGTCTCTATTAATTGATTTTAAAAATCAATTAGTTAGAATTTGAGATTAGGAGGCCTACAAGAGAGGTATCACCTCTCTCTTAGCTTGGCTGAAGTCTGTGTTTATCGTCACTGTTATTGGTGAGGTCATTGCTTGAATGTTATAATAAATGGCCTTCTAATTGGACTGACTCTAGACCATTACTCTTCTACACACACTCACAAATATCTCTTATTTTTTTGAAGCTCATGTGACCTGACTATATAATCATTTGTGGTCCTCTGATAGCTATCATCCATTGATTTTGTGGTCCCTCCCCCACTGTGACTGAAAATTTTGTTACCTGGTTCACAGACTTTTTTTTTTCCAATTGAAGTTCATCCATCTTGGGTCATTTCAGTGTCCATATGGATTCTTACATAACTCTCTAGCAACACAATTCCTTGATTTTTAACTCTGTCATCCTTATTTCTGTTCCATTTCAGCCAATCCCTTTATGGTTATGTTGTGGAGTTTGCTGTTCCTTGAAGCATTCTCTTTATTGTGGATCCTGTCTCTGTATCTTAAGTATCTCACTTTAACAGTATTCCTTCACTTCAATCTCTCATTTGATTTATTGGCACTTTGCTATCATTTAAAGTGCTTATTTCTCTGCTACATTTTGGGGAAATACTTTCCTGCAACCATGTTTCCCTCTCTAGCTTCTTTTCTTTTCTTTATAACCACATCATTTCTTTTTTTTTTTCTTTCTTTCTTTTTTTTTTTTTTTTTTGAGACGGAGTCTGCTCTGTTGCCCAGGCTGGAGTGCAGGGGCGCGATCTCGGCTCACTGCAAGCTCTGCCTCCCGGGTTCACGCCATTCTCCTGCCTCAGCCTCTGGGGTAGCTGGGGCTACAGGCGCCCACCACCTCAACCAGCTAATTTTTTGTATTTTTAGTAGAGACGGGGTTTCACCATGTTAGCCAGGATGGTCTCTATCTCCTGACCTTGTGATCCGCCCACCTCAGCCTCCGAAAGTGCTGAGATTACAGGCTTGAGCCACCGCGCCCGGCCTCTTTTTTTCTTTTTTAAAATAAGTCAATGTTTGTGTGTGTGTGTGTGTTTTTTTAATTGAAACGAAATTCACATAACATACAATCAACCATTTTATTTTTGTTTATTTATCTTTTAAATTTTTTTATTTCTATAGGTTATTGGGGAACAGGTGGTGTTTGGTTACATGAGTAAATTCTCTAGTGGTAATTCGTTAGATTTTGGTGCTCCCATCACACAAGCAGTATACGCTGTACCGAATTTGTGTCTTTTATCCCTTACCTCTTTCCCCCAAGTCCCCAAAGTCCATTGTGTCATTCTTATTCCTTTGCATCCTCATAGCTTAGCTTCCACATATCAGTGAGGACATATGATATTTGGTTTTCTATTCCTGAGTTACTTCACTTAGAATGATAGTCTCCAATCTCCTCCAGGTCACTACAAATGCCATTAATTCATTCTTTTTTATTGCTGAGTAGTATTCCATTTTATACACACACACACACACACACACACACACACACACACACACACACACCACCCCCCGCCCCCACGGTTTCTTTATCCGCTCGTCGATTGACAGGCATTTAGGTTGGTTCCACATTTTTGCAATTGTGAATTGTTTTGCTATAAACATGTGTGTGCTTTAAACCCATGTGTGCAAGTATCTTTTTTGTATAATGACTTCTTTTCCACTGCGTAGATACCCAGTAGTGGGATTGCTGGATCAAACGGTAGTTCTGTTTAGTTCTTTAAGGAATCTCCACACCATTTTCTATAGTGGTTGTACTAGTTTACATTCCCACCAGCAGTGTAGAAGTGTTCCTGGTTTACTGGAGCCATGCCAATATCTATTATTTTTTGATGTTTTGATTATGGCTATTCTTGCAGGAGTAAGTTGGTATCACATTGTAGTTTTGATTTGCGTTTCCCTGATTATTAGTGATGTGAACATTTTTTCATATGTTTGTTGGCCATTTGTGTATCTTCTTCTGAGAATTGTCTGTTCATGTCCTTAGCCCACTTTCTGATGGGATTGTTTTTTTTTTCTTGCTAATTTGCTTGTGTTCGTTGTAGATTCTGGATATTAGTCCGTTGTCAGATGTATAGATTGTGAAGATTTTCTCCGACTCTGTGGATTGTCTGTTTACTCTGCTGACTGTTCCTTTTGCCGTGCAAAAGCTCTTTAGTTTAATTAAGTCCCAGCTATTTGTTTTTATTGCATTTGCTTTTGGGGTCTTGGTCATAAAATCCTCGCCTAAGCCAATGTCTAGAGGGCTTTTCTGGTGTTATCTTCTAGAATTTTTATAGTTTCAGGTCTTAGATTTAAGTCCTTGATCCATCTTGAGTTGATTTTTGTATAAGGTGAGAGATAAGGATCCAGTTTCATTCTCCTACATGTGGCTTGCCAATTATCCCAGCACCATTTGTTGGATAGGGTGTCCTTTCCCCACTTTATGTGTTTGTTTGCTTTGTCAAAGATCAGTTGGCTGTAAGTATTTGGGCTTATTTCTGGGTTCTCTATTCTGTTTCATTGGTCTATGTGCCTATTTTTATACCAGTACCATGCTGTTTTGGTGACTATGGCCTTATCATATTGCTTGAAATCAGGTAATGTGATACCTCCAGATTTTTTCTTTTTGCTTAGTCTTGCTTTGGCTAGGCAGACTCATTTTTTGGTTTCCTACGAATTTTAGGATTTTTTTCTAGTTCTGTGAAGGATGATGGTGGCATTTTTATGGGAATTGTATTGAATTTGTAGATTGCTTTTGGCAGTATGGTCATTTTCACAATATTGATTCTACCCATCCATGAGCATGAGATGTGTTTCCATTTGTGTCATCTATGATTTCTTCCAGCAGTGTTTGTAGTTTTCCTTGTAGAGGTCTTTCACCTCCTTGGTTAGGTATATTCCTAAGTATTTTATTTTATTTTTGCAGCTAATGTAAAAGGGGTTGAGTTCTTGATTTGATTCTCAGCTTGGTTGCTGTTGGTATATAGAAGAGCTACTGATTTGTGTACATTAATTTTGTATCCATAAACTTTGTTGAATTTTTTTTTTTATCAGTTCTAGGAGGTTTTTGGAGGAGTCTTGATAGGGTTTTCTAGGTAAACAATGATATCATCAACAAACAGTGACAGTTTGACTTCCTCTTGGCCGATTTGGATGCCCTTTATTTCTTTCTCTTATCTGATTGCTCTGGGTAGGACTTCCAGTACTGTTTAAGAGGAGTGGTAAGAGTGGGCCTCCTTGTCTTGTCTTCCCTAAAAGAATGCTTTCAACTTTTCCCCATTTAGTATTACGTTGGCTGTGGGTTTGTCATAGATGGCATTTATTACATTGAGGTATGTTACTTGTATGCCAATTTTCCTGAGAGTTTTAATCATAAAAGGATGCCATATTTTTTTTGAATGCTTTTTCTGTGTCTAATTTTTGTTTAAATTCTGTTTATGTGGTTTAGCACATTTATTGACTCGTGTGTGTTAAACCATCCCTGCATCTCTGGTATGAAACCCACTTGATCATGGGTGGATTATCTTTTTGATATATTGTTGGATTCAGTTAGCTAGTATTTTGTTAAGGATTTTAGCATCTATGTTCATCAGGGATATTGGCATGTAGTTTTCTTTTTTGTTATGTCCTTTCCTGGTTTTGGTATTAGGGTGATATCGGTTTCATAGAATGATTTAGGGAGGATTCCCTCTTTCTCTATCATGTGGAATACTGTCAATAGGATTGGTACCAATCCCCCTTTGAATGTCTGGTAGAATTTAGCTGTGAATGCATATGGTCCTGGACTTTTTTTTGTTGGTAATTTTTTTTATTACTATTTCAGTCTTGCTGCTTGTTACTGGTCTGTCCAGGGTATCAAATTCTTCCTGATTTAAGCTAGGAAGGTTTTATCTTTTCAGGGATTTATCCATCTCCTCTAGGTTTTCTAGTTTGTGCATGTAAAGGTGTTCACAGTAGCTTTCAATGATCCTTTGTATTTCTGTCTTGTCCGTTGTAATATTTCCCGTTTCGTTTCTAATTGAGCTTATTTGGATTTTCTCTCTTCTTTTTTGGTTAATGTTGCTAATGGTCTATCTGTTTTACCTACCTTTTTAAAGAACCAGCTTTTTGTTTCATTTATCTTTTGTATTGTTTTTTGTTTCAGTTTAATTTATTTCTGCACTGATCTTGGTTATTTCCTTTCTTCTGCTGGCTTTGGGTTTGGTTTGTTCTCGTTCTCTAGCTCCTTGAGGTGTGACTTTAGATCATCTGGTTGTGTTCTTTCAGACTTTTTGAGGTAGGCATTTAGGGCTATGAACTTTCTTTCTTTCCTTTTCTTTTTTTTATTTTTGAGATGAAGTCTTGCTTTGTCACCCAGGTTGGAGTGCAGTGGTGCGATCTTGGCTCACTGCAACCTGCTCCTGTGGGGTTCAAGCAGTTTTTGTGCCTCACCCTCCCAAGTAGCTGGGACTACAGGCACCTGCCACCATGCATGACTAATTTTTGTATTTTTAGTAGAGACGTGGTTTCATCATTTTTGCCAGGCTGGTCTTGAACTCCTGACCTCAGTGTATCCACCCACCTTGGCATCCCAAAGTGCTGGGATTACAGGTGTGAGCCACTGTGCTCTGCTCTATGAACTTTCCTCTTAGCACCACCTGAGCTGTATCCCAGAGGTTTTGATAGGTCGTGTCACAATTGTCATTCAGTTCGAAGAAATTTTTAATTTCCATATTGATATTATTGTTGACCCAATGATCACTCAGAAACAGTTTACTTAATTTGCATGTATTTGCATGGTTTTGAAGGTTCCTTTTGGAGTTGATTTCCAGTTTTATTCCACTGTGGTCTGAGAGAGTGCTTGATATAATTTCAATTTTCTTAAATTTATTGAGGCTTGTTCTGTGGCCTCTCATATGGACTATCTTGGAGAAAGTTTCATGCACTGAGGAATAGAATGAATATTCTGCAGTTGTTGGATAGAATGTTCTGTAAATATCTGTTAAGTCCATTTGCTCCAGGGTATAGTTTAAATCCATTGTTTCTTTGTTGACTTTCTGTCGTGATAACCTGTCTAGTGCTGTCAGTGGAGTATTGAAGTCCCCCACTGTTATTGTGTTGCTGTCTATCTTGTTTCTTAGATCTGGTAGTAATTGTTTTATAAATTTGGGAGCTCTAGGCTGGGTGAGGTTGCTCATGCCTGTAATCCCAGCACTTTGGGAGGCCGAGACGGGCGGATTACCAGTGGTCGGGAGTTTGAGACCAGCCTGGCCAACATGGTGAAACCCCTTCTCTGCTAAAAATACAAAAATTAGCTGGGTGTGGTAGCGAGCGCCTGTAATCCCAGCCACTCAGGGGGCTGAGGCAGGAGAATCAGTTGAACCTGGGAGGCGGAGGTTGCTGTGAGCCAAGATCAAGCCACTGCACTCCAGGTTGGGTGACAGAGCAAAACTCTGTCTCAAAAAAAAAAAAGAAAATTTGGGAGCTCCAGTGTTAAGTGCATATGTATTTAGGATTCTGATATTTTACTGTTGGACATAGCCTTTTATCATTATATAATGTCCCTCTTTGTCTTTTTTAACTGCTGTTGCTTCAAAGTTTATTTTGTCTGATATAAGGATAGATACTGCCTTTTGCTTTTGGTGTACATTTGCATAGAATGTCTTTCCACCCCTTTACCTTAAGTTTATGTGAGTCCTTATGTGGTAGGTGAGTCTCTTGAAGGCAGCTGATGGTTGGTGAATTCTATCCATTCTGCAATTCTTTATCTTTTAAGTGGTGCTTTTAGGCCATTTACATTCAACATTAGTATTGAGATGTGAGATACCATTCCATTTATAGTGCTATTTGTTGCCTGTATACCTTTTTTTTTTTCAAATTGTATTTTTGTTTTATAGGTCCTGTGAGATTTATGCTTTAAAGAGGCTCTGTTTTGATATGTTTCCAGGATTTGTTTCAAGAGTCAGCTCCCCTTTTAGCAGTTCTTGTAGTGCTGGCTTGGTAGTGGCAAATTATCTCAGTATTTATTTGTCTGAAAAAGACTCTATCTTTCCTTCATTTATGAAGCTTAGTTTTGCTGGATACAAAATTCTTGGCAGATAATTGCTTTGTTTAAGGAGGCTGAAGATAGGGCCCCAATCCCTTCTAGCTTGTAGGGTTTCTGCTGAGAAATCAGCTGTTAATTCAATAGGTTTTTTTTTTTTCTTTAATAGGTTACCTTGTGCTTTTGCCTCACAGCTCTTAAGATTCTTTTCTTTGTCTTAACTGTAGATAACCTGATGACAGTGTGCCTAGGCGATGATCTTTTTGTGATGAATTTCACAGGTGTTCTTTGAGCTTCTTGTCTTTGGATGTCTAGGTTTCTAGCCAGGCTGGGCAAGTTTTCCTTGATTATTCCCCCTAACATGTTTTCCAACTTTTAGATTTCTCTTCTTCCTCAGGAATGCCAATTATTCTTAGGTTTGGTCATTTAACATAATCCCAGACTTCTTGGAGGCTTTGTTCATATTTTCTTATTCTTTTTCCTTTGTCTTTGTTGGATTGGGTTAATTTGAACACCTTGTCTTTGAGCTCTGAAGTTCTTTCTTCTGCTTGTTTGATTCTGTTGCTGAGACTTTCTGGAGCATTTTGCCTTTCCTTCTTTTATTTTTTTTTAACTTTTGTATTTTTATTTTTTTATTTATCTTTTTTAAATTATACTTTGAGTTTTAGGGTACACGTGCACAACGTGCAGGTTAGTTACGTATGTATACACGGGCCATGTTGGTGTGCTGCACCCATTAACTCGTAATTTAACATTAGGTATATCTCCTAATGCTATCGCTCCCCCCTCCCCCCACCACACAACAGGCCCTGCTGTGTGATGTTCCCCTTCCTGTGTCTATGTGTGCTCATTGTTCAATTCCCACCTATAAGTGAGAACATGCAGTGTTTGGTTTTTTGTCCTTGAGATAGTTTGCTGAGAATGATGGTTTCCAGCTTCATCCATGTCCCTACAAAGGACATGAACTCATCCTTTTTTATGGGAGCATAGTATTCAATCGTGTATATGTGCCACATTTTCTTAATCCAGTCTATCATTGTTGGACATGTGGGTTGGTTCCAAGTCTTTGATATTGTGAATAGTGCCTCAATAAACATACGTGTGCATGTGTCTTTATAGCAGCATGATTTATAATACTTTGGGCATATACCAAGTAATGGATGGCTGGGTCAAATGGTATTTCTAGTTCTAGATCCCTGAGGAATCGCCACACTGACTTCTACAGTGGTTGAACTAGTTTACAGTCCCACCAACAGTGTAAAAGTGTTCCTGTTTCTCCACATCCTCTCCAGCACCTGTTGTTTCCTGACTTTTTAATGAGTGCCATTCTAACTGGTGTGAGATGGTATCTCACTGTGGTTTTGATTTGCATTTCTCTGATGGCCAGTGATGATGAGCAAGTTTTCATGTGTCTTTTGGCTGCATTAATGTCTTCTTTTGAGAAGTGTCTGTTCATATGCTTTGCCCACTTTTTGATGGGGTTGTTTTTTTCTTGTATATTTGTTTGAGTTCATTGTAGATTCTGGATATTAGCCCTTTGTCAGATGAGTAGATTGCAAAATTTTTTTCCCATTCTGTAGGTTGTCTGTTCACTCTGATGGTAGTTTCTTTTGCTGTGCAGAAGCTCTTTAGTTTAATTAGATCCCATTTGTCCATTTTGGCTTTTGTTGCCATTGCTTTTGGTGTTTTAGACATGAAGTCCGTGCCCATGCCTATGTCCTGAATGGTATTGCCTAGGTTTTCTTCTAGGGTTTTTATGGTTTTAGGTCTAACATTTAAGTCTTTAATCATCTTGAATTAATTTTTGTATAAGGTGTAAGGAAGGGATCCAGTTTCAGCTTTCTACATATGGCTAGCCAGTTTTCCCAGCACCATTTATTAAATAGGGAATCGTTTCCCCATTTCTGGTTTTTGTCAGGTCTGTCAAAGGTCAGATGATTGTAGATATGCGGCATTATTTCTGAGGGCTCTGTTCTGTTCCATTGGTCTGTATCTCTGTTTTGGTACCAGTACCATGCTGTTTTGGTTACTGTAGCCTTGTAGTATAGTTTGAAGTCAGGTAGCATGATGCCTCCAGCTTTGTTCTTTTGGCTTAGGATTGACTTGGCAGTGCAGGCTCTTTTTTGGTTCCATATGAACTTTAAAGTAGTTTTTTCCAATTCTGTGAAGAAAGTCATCAGTAGCTTGATGGGAATGGCATTGAATCTATAAATTACCTTGGGCAATATGGCCATTTTCACGATATTGGTTCTTCCTACCCATGAGCATGCAATGTTCTTCCATTTGTTTGTATCCTCTTTTATTTCATTGAGCAGTGGTTTATAGTTCTCCTTGAAGAGGTCCTTCACATCCCTTGTAAGTTGGATTCCTAGGTATTTCATTCTCTTTGAAGCAATTGTGAATGGGAGTTCACTCATTATTTGTCTTTCTGTTTGTCTGTTACTGGTGTATAAGAATGCTTGTGATTTTTGCACATTGATTTTGTATCCTGAGACTTTGCTGAAGTCGCCTATCAGCTTAAGGAGATTTTGGGATGAGATGATGGGGTTTTCTCGATATACAATCATGTCATCCACAAACAGGGACAATTTGACTTCCTCTTTTCCTAATTGAATACCCTTTATTTCCTTCTCCTGCCTGATTGCCCTGGCCAGAACTTCCAACACTATGTTGAATAGGAGTGGTGAGAGAGGGCATCCCTGTCTTGTGCCAGTTTTCAAAGGGAATGCTTCCAGTTTTTGCCCATTCAATATGATGTTGGCTGTGGGTTTGTCATAGATAGCTCTTATTATTTTGAGATATGTCCCATCGATACATAATTTATTGAGAGTTTTTAGCATGAAGCGTTGTTGAATTTTGTCAAAGGCCTTTTCTGCATCTATTGAGATAATCATATGGTTTTTGTCGTTGGTTCTGTTTACGTGATGGATTACGTTTATTGATTTGCGTATGTTGAACCAGCCTTGCATCCCAGGGATGAAGCCAACTTCATCTTGGTGGATAAGCTTTTTGATGTGCTGCTGGATTCGGTTTGCCAGTATTTTATTGAGGATTTTTGCATAGATGTTCATCAGGGATATTGGTCTAAAATTGTCTTTTTGTATTGTGTCTCTGCCAGACTTTGGTATCAGGATGATGCTGGCCTCATAAAATGAGTTAGGGAGGGTTCCCTCTTTTTCTATTGATTGAAATAATTTTGGAAGGAATGGTACCAACTCCTCCTTGTACCTCTGGTAGAATTCGGCCGTGAATCCATCTGGTCCTGGACTTTTTTTGGTTGGTAAGCTATTAATTATTGCCTCAATTTCAGAGCCTGTTATTGGTCTATTCAGAGATTCAACTTCTTCCTGGATTAGTCTTGGGAGGGTGTATGTGTCGAAGAATTTATCCATTTCTTCTAGATTTTCTAGTTTATTTGCATAGAGATGTTTGTAGTATTCTCTGATGGTAGTTTGTATTTCTGTGGGATTGGTGGTGATATCCCCTTTATCATATTTTATTGCGTCTATTTGATTCTTCTCTCTTTTCTTCTTTATTACTCTTGCTAGCGGTCTATCAATTTTGTTGATCTTTTCAAAACACCAGCTGCTGGATTCATTGATTTTTTGAAGGGTTTTTTGTGTCTCTTATTTCCTTCAGTTGTGCTCTGATCTTAGTTATTTCTTGCCTTCTGCTAGCTTTTGAATGTGTTTGCTCTTGCTTCTCTAGTTCTTTAATTTTTTAATTATTTAATTATTTATTTATTTTTTATTTTTAGTATACTTTAAGTTTTAGGGTACATGTGCACAACATGCAGGTTTGTTACATATGTATACATGTGCCATGTTTGTGTGCTGCACCCATTAACTCGTCATTAAGCATTAGGTATATCTCCTAATGCTATCCCTCCCCGCTCCCCGCACCCCACAACAGTCCCCATTGTGTGATGTTCCCCTTCCTGTGTCCATGTGTTCTCATTGTTCAATTCCCACCTATGAGTGAGAACATGCGGTTTTTTTGGTTTTTTGTCCTTGCGATAGTTTGCTGAGAATGATGGTTTCCTGGTTCATCCAGGCCCCTACAAAGGACATGAACTCATCATTTTTTATGGCTGCATGGAATACTATGCAGCCATCATTCTATTATACTTTCTGTTTCTATGATTTTGAGTATTCTAAGTACCTCAAGTAAGTGGAATCATACAGTTTTTGTCATTTTGTGTCTGGCTTATTTCACTTAGCACAGTGTCCTCAAGGTTCATCCATGTTGTGGCATATGACAAGGTTCCTTTTTTTTTCCTTTTTTTTTTTTTTTCTTGCTTACAACTCTTTTTTTTTTGGTTTTGATACAGAATCTCACTTGGCCACCCAGGCTGGAGTGCAGCGGTACAGTTCCAGTTCACTTCAACCTCTCCCTCCTGGGTTCAAGTGATTCTCCTGCCTCAGCCTCCTGAGTAGCTGGGATTACAGGCGACTACCACCACCCCCGGCTAATTTTTATATTTTTTAGTAGAGACTGGGTTTCACCCTGTTGGCCAGGCTGATCTCAAACTCCTGGCCTCAGGTGATCCTCCTGCCTCGGCCTCCCAAAGTGCTGGGATTACGGGCGTGAGCCACCACGCCCAGCCCAGGGTTTCCTTTTTTCTAGGGCTGAATAATATTTTTTTGTGTGTATTTACCCCATTTGGTTTATTCATTCACCGATGGACACTTGGGTTGCTTTCATCTTTTGGTTATTGAGTATAATGCTACAATGAACATGGGTGTGCAAATCTCTCTTTGAGACCCTGCTTTCAGTTCTTTTGCATATATACTGAGAAGTAGAATTGCTGGATCATATAGTAATTCTGTGTTCACTTTTTTCAGGAATTTCCATACTGTTTTCTACAGTGGCTGTACCATTGTATTCTCACCACCAGTGTACAAAGGTTTCAGTTTTGCCACATCTTCACCGACACTTATTTTCTGTTCTTTGGATAGTGTCTATCTTAATGGGTTTGCAATCTTTGACCATTTTAAAATTCAATTGTTTGTCTTTTTGTTTGAGTTTTAAGAGTTCCTTTTGTATTCAAGGTAGTAGAGTAGGTCCTTAGCAGATTATGATTTTCAAATATTTTCATCCATTCTGTAGGTTGTGTTGTCACATTCTTGAGAATGTATTTTGATGCACAACGTATTTAATTTGGATAAAGTCCAATTTGCCTATTTTTAACTTTTATTGCTAGTGCTTTCGGTGTTATATCTAAGAGTTCATTGCTTTATCTAAGGTCTTGAAGATTTCCCCCTATGTTTTCTTCTAAGAGTTTTAAAGTTTTAGCTCTTATATTTAGGTTGTTGATCCATATTGAATTAAATTTTGTATATGGAATGATTAATTTTATATATGATATGTTGTATATGGGTTCAACTTCATTCTATGGTTATTTGGTGGTCCAAGCACTATTTGTTGAAGAGTCTTTTCTTTGCCCACTGAATGGTCTTGTCACTCTTGTTGAAAATAAACCCTATAGGCCTATGCTGGCCATAGGGTTTATTTCTGGACTCAGCATTTTATTCCATTGGTTTGTGTGTGTGTTCTTAAGCCTGAACAACACTATTTTGATTATTGTGCTTTGTAGTAAGTTTTGAAATAAATAAGCTTCCTATTTTGTATTTCTGTTTTTTTTTTGTTTTTTTTTTTGTTACAGGGTCTCACTCTGTTCCACAGGCTGGCATGCAGTGGCATGATCTCAGCTCGCTATATAACCTCTGCTTTCGTGCTTAAGTGATTCTCCAGCCTTAACTTCCTGAGTAGCTGGGACTATAAACATGAGCCAGCATGTTTGTCTAACTTTTGTATTTTTGGTAGAGACAAGGTTGTGCCATGTCGCCTAGGCTGATCTCGAATTCCTGAGCTTAAAGCAATCTGCCTGCCTCAGCCTCCCAAAGTGCTGTGATTACAGGCGTGAGCCACCATGCCTGGCCCTATTTTATATTTCTTTTTCAAAATTGTTTTGGCTCTTTGCAGTTGTATATGAATTTGAAGATTAGCTTTTTCAGTTTGGTTCAAAAGGCCATTGGAATTATAATAGGGATTGTACTGAATCTGTCAATTGCTTGGTAGTATTAGCATCTTAACGATGTTAAGTATAGTGATCCATGAACATGGGATGCCTTTCTATTTATTTAAGTAATCTTTAATTGTGTCAGCAGTGTATTATAATTTTCATTGTGTCTTTCACCTTCTTAGTTGAATTTATTCCTAGGTATATTATTATTTTGGGTGCTATTGTATGTAGAATTGTTTTCTTAATTTCCATTTTGGATCATTTGTTGCTAGTGTACAGATACACCACCAATTTTGGTGAGTTGATCTTTTATTTATTTATTTTTGAGATGAGGTCTTACTTTGTCACCCAAGCTGCAGTGCAGTGATGTGATCATGGCTCACTGCAGCCTTGACCACCTGGGCTCAAGCAATGCTCCCACCTCATCTTCCCTAGTAGCTGGGACCACGGGCACATGCCACAGTGCCTGGCTAATTAATTTTTTTTTTTTTTTTTTTTTTTAGAGAGAGGGTCTTGGTATGTTGATCAGGCTGATCTCGAACTTCTGGGCTCAAGTGATCTTCCCACCTTGTCCTCCCAAGGTGCTGGGATTACGGGTATGAGCCACCATGCTTAGCTGTGAGTTGATCTTTTTTGTTTGTTTGTTTTTTTTGAGACAGGATTTTGCTCTGTTGCTGAGGGTGGAGTGCAGTGGTGTGATCTCAGCTCACTGGAACCTCCATCTCCCAGGCTTAAGTGATCCTCCCACCCCAGCCTCCCAAGTAGCAGGGACTACAGGTGTGCGCCACTATGCCCGGCTAATTTTTTTTGTGTGTTTTTGTAGACATGGGTTTTCATCATGTTGCCCAGGCTCGTCTTGAACTCCTGGGCTCAAGCGATCTGCCTGCCTCAGCCTCCAAAAATGCTGGGATTGCAGGCGTGAGCCATCATGCCCAGCCTGTGGGTTGATCTTTTATCCTGCACATTTGCCAGATTCGTTTGTTAGCTGTAGTAGTTTTTGGTGGATTCTGTGGGATTTTCTATATATAGAGTCATGTTATCTGAAAATATATAGAGATAGTTTTACTTTTCTGTCTCCAATTTGGATGCCTTTTCTTCCTTGTCAAATTTCTTTGTCTAGGACTTCTAGTACAGTGTTTAATAGCAGTGGTGAAAATGGGCATCCTTGTCTTGTTATTTATCTTTGACGGAATGCTTTCAGCCTTTAACTATTGGATATGATGTTAGGTGTGTGTTTTTCATAGAAGTTTCCTTCTATTCCTCATCCTCATTCCTCCATCCAGTGGAGGTGGCAGGGGGTGAAATGGACTCTGTGAGGGTCATCCTTAGTTTTGGTTGTTTAATGCTCTATCTTTGTGCTGGTTGGCCTTAAACATGTAGATGAATTTCACAGGAATATTTTTACTGTGTTGAGTCTTACAATCCATCTACACAGTACGCTTCTCTAATTATTTAGATTCCTTTGTATTTCTTTCATCAGCATTTTCTTTTTTCAGCATGTAAGTCCTATATATGTTTTGTTAGATTTATACCTAAATATTTTATTTCCTTTGGGGCATTTTTAATATTATCATATGTTTAATTTTTTATTTTGATTGTTCATTGTTAAGTTATAGAAATGCAATTTATTTTTCTGCATTGATCTTGTGTCCTGTGACCTTGCTTAACTGTTTAATTTTAGGAGTTTTTTGGGTGGATTCCTTTAGATTTCCTCCATAAATAATAATACCACCTACATAGACAATAATATCACCCACAAAAAGTATTTTTTTTTTTGTTTCCAGTCTGTATGCCTTTCTACCCTTTTTAAACTTATAAGTTAATATTTATACCTCATGGATTCTGCCTCCATGATGCCGTTGTAAGCACTTTGGCAGAGCTCATTAGTAACATCAAGCTTAAAAAATCCAGTGTATTCTTTTCATTTATTTTTTGATTCTCATTTACCTTTGCCATTTAATACTTGTCATCTCTTTCCAAAAACTTCACTTTCTTGGCTCCTCTGATTCTTTCCCTACATCTTTGGCACCCTGTCTCTGGCTCCTGTTGTTACTTTTCTGCTACCTATCCCACATTTAAATAGGAGTTTTGTAGGTTTTCGTTATTTTAGTGCTCACTCTCCTTGGATAATTTTATTCCCAATGGATTTAGTTATCATTATATATTTTTTACTCACAAAATGCTATTTTAGGGGTCAGTCTTTTTTTTCCTGAACTCCAGCATAAGAGCTAAATGGGCCTTCACCTATATGTCCCATAGAATGTTCCAAACTGAAATCATCTTAAACCTCAAATCCTTTCCTCTTTATGTATTTTCTGTGTCAGTGAACAATTCCACTGTGTGCTTTCAATCCAAACCAGGAACCCTGAGGTCGTCCTTAACTTTACCCATCCCTTATATCAATTATTCATCAGTCTGTTTTCTACTGCTTTCCTATCTCTTGAGTGTATCTATTAGCTTTCATTGGTACTTCGAATCATTTTTCACACTGTCTCTAGACATGATATTCTTAAATGTGGGTCATTTCCTCAAAACTTCTTTTCTAGTTCAGTGATTTTCTCAGATCATAAACTTATGTGCAACTCATAAGAAAGAGACTGAAATTTTTTGTAATCTAGTTGTTTTCGAAGTGTGATCTGAAGACCTCCAGGTGTTCCCAAGTTTTTTCTTTTTATATACAAAATCAACATTATTTTTCTAATACTAAGACATGATTCATGATTTACTTTTTTCACCCTCATTTTCTCATGAATGTAGTGTGGAATTTTCCAGAGGTTATGTATGGCACTGGAACAGACTGACGGCAGAAGCAAATATGAGAATGTAGCTGTCTTCTCTTAAGTCAGATTTAAAAAAAAATATAATGCCCCCTTTTTTTATTTTTGTTTTAGAAAATATAGCTATTTTTCATAAAATATGAAAACCCTAAAATCTATCATTTATTTTAAATTATCCATAATATAATTATAATTAACAAATAATGGATTTATTTAAAAATAAGTCATAAAATATATAAACATATATATTAGAATTTTTTTCTTTTGTATTTCTACTATGGTAAATATGTGATTCTCAGTAATTTTTAACACATTAAGAGGTCCTGAGATTAAAATATATCAGGATTGCTGGTCTCATGCATATTAATACATAGCAATCAAAATTGAATTATTTTAAATTGGCAAGCAACTTGACTGAATTTATAATTTTGGAAGTTGACTTTTTTCACAGTGGAGGGGAAGGGATTGGAGGAAATAATTTCAGAGAATTAGTTAGATTCTTTTTGCCATATTTTAGAAGAAAAGTTATGGAGCCCAGATGGAACTAAGTCATTGTCTGTGGCATTGGAGAGGTGGTGATAGGTTGTGAAGGAGGATATACAGAGGAAGTTCTGGGATGACTTATGGAATTTTACTTTAGGATGATTGGTGTGGATTTTGGTGCTGTTGATTTAGATTCTTTTCAGACTTGTCTGTCTAGCTCATCATATGCTAACATTACTAGTAATTAGATCTCACTGAAGGATAATACAGAAAGTAGGCATAGTACATTGTGTGTAAACCACATAGAAAATTACCATTTTAGTACTTATTTCCTTTCTTTGAAGGAAAAGTTGAAAAGTTCTTTATTCAACACATGCTTACTGAGTTTTATAACACTGTACTGAATGCTATGGATATAGTAGTTAGTGATACAGACAAAAACTTTCTCTTCTTTTGGAGTTTATGTCTTTTTGAGAGAAGGTCTCACTCTGTTGCCCAGCCTGGAGTGCAGTGGCTTGATCTTGGCTCATTGCAACTTCTGCTTCCTGGGTTCAAGTGATTCTCCAGCCTTAGTGTCCCAAGTAGCTGGTACTACAGGCGGAAGCCACCAATGCCCGGCTAATTTTTGTATTTTTTGTAGTGATGGGGTTTTGCCCTAATTTTTGTATTTTTGGTAGAGACGGGGTTTCGCCATGTTGGCCAGGCTGGTCTCAAACTCCTGAGCTCTTAGCTATTTTCCCACCTTGGCCTCCCAAACTGCTGGGATTACAGGCATGAGCCACCATACCCAGCCTCTTTTTGGAGTTTTAAGAAGACTGTATCAATTGATACAGTCTGCCCTCTGTACCACGGATGTGAAGCCCATGGATGCAGAAGGCTGACTGTAAGGTATTTGAGCATCCACAGGGGTCCTAGAAACAATCTCCTACAGATACTGAAGTATGACTATCTATCATGAGTGGTTTATGATTTTAATTTTAACATGAAGTATTGTTTGTAATCTTAGAATCATTGGATACTAAACTTTTGTTTTAGGTTTAGCTTCTGCTTTTTTTTTTTTTTTTTTTTGAGACAGGGTTTTGCTCTGTCACCCAGGCTGCAGTGCAGTGGTGTGATCTTGGCTCACCACAACCTCCACCTCCCAGGTTCAAGCAATTCTCCTGCCTCAGCCTCCCAAGTAGCTGAGATTACAGGTGTGCGCCATTATGCCCAGCTAATTTTTGTATTTTTTTTCGTAGAGACGGGGTTTCAGCACATTGGCCAGGATGGTCTTGAACTCCTGACCTCAGGTGATCCGCCCACCTCGGCCTCCCAAAGTGCTGGGATTATAGGCGTGAGCCACTCTGCAGGCCAAGGTTTAGCTTCTTTTTGAGGTGAAATAATTGGGGTCATTTGAGAACATTATTGAAAAAGAAGTAAAAAAACTACAAACCACACACTGATACTTGTAGATGGATGACAGTGTAGGTAAATTTTTTTCAAATTGTATTGTGTTCCCTGAGAGTTTGGGAACACAAGAAATCATGGTTTCTTGAACTTCAGCTTGTGTCTAGATCCTAGAAGTAATAGAGGATTCTTTTTAGTTAGCTATTTGGGAGATATAGTGTGTTATAAATGTTTGATTCTTTAAAAATACATAAATTGGGCTAGGCGTGGTGGTTCACCCATGTAATTCCAGCACTTTGGGAGGCTGAGGCAGGTGGATCACTTGAGGTTAGGAGTTCGAGACCAGCCTGGTCAACATGGCAAAACCCCATCTCTACTAAAAATACAAAAATTAGCCGGGTGTGGTGGCAGGCACCTGTAATCCCAGCCACTCAGGAGGCTGAGGTGGGGGAATCACTTGAACCTAGGAGGCGGATTTTGCAGTGAGCCGAGATCACACTACTGCACTCCAGCTTGGGTGATAGAGCGCGACTTCATCTCAAAAACAAAAAAAAAAATTGATTTAAATAATATAATCTTTTATTATATGATGTATAATCCTGAAATTTATGGCATATGAAAATGAAACTTGGCATAAAGTGGATTTTTTAGTTCAATAATACTTTTTTTTAACTTATTGAGGATGTTTTAGTTCTTGTTTGCCATAAGTGAAACTTTTTGGAATTCTGTATTTGTTTCACAATTGGGAAGATTTTTTTTTCTTTTTGAGCTGAAAAAGGTATATTTTATTTTTAGTCTGTCAACTATTTTAAGTAAGAAGAAAACATTTAGATCAAGACAAGGAAGGCTTTAGTTTCATCAGGGACTTTCTAAGAATGTTATGAATGAGTGAAAATATGGGGTTGTAACAGAAGTGCAAATATAACCTTAATTGTAGTGTTCAGTGCTTTTGACACTATAATTTATGTCTAAATGCTGCAAACTGAAAGAACCTTAGTTTGAAACTTTGAAGTTGATGGTGGTTGCAGGTTTTCTTTTTCCCTTCAGTTTTATGCCATCTCAATGTGTTATCTGGCATTAAAGACATAAGGAACACAGATTGCAGCTTCCATTTTTTTGGCATGTTTTTGATTTCTATTTGATTCATATGCTCTGGAGGTTCCTTTTGAATCTATAAAATGCAACAGTTCTCTGATTTTGTTTTGATGATTAGATGCTGCTAATTTTCTTTTTTTTTTTTTTTTTTGAACTTGTTCATTTTGCCATGACTATTTTTTGAAACTTGAGATGTCTGGTATTTAGAAACTGTACTGAGACTTTAGTTTTTCTATCTGACCTGAGTTTTCTATGGACAGATTATAGTGGGGTCTTACTAGTCTGACAATTCCTGACTATTCATTGGAGTGTTTACTTTTATTTAGTTCTAAATGTGGTTAGGTTTAAGTTTAATGTCTTCATATTTTACTGGTCCCATCTGATTTTTGTTCCTTTTTTTCTTTTCCTGCCTTCTTTGGGATTGAGTATATTTTAGCATTCTATTTTCTCTTCATTATTAATTAACCATACTTTATTTTTTAGTAATTGCTCTAGGGTTGACAGTATGCATGTTTAACTTATCAATGTCTACTTTGAAATAATATTATAAAATACCACTTTATAAGTAACGTAAGTATTATCCCTTACCTAGAATGTTTATGACAGTATGCTCCTCTTCATGTCCTGTCATGATTTGTGCTAATGTTGTCATAACTCTTACTTCTGTATGTTACACACTCACAATGGTCAATAATAATAACTATTACTGCTTTGAATAATTTTTAAGAAATTAAAACAAGAGTGTTTGTTGTGTTTACCCACACTGGATTTTAAGGAGTGAATCTTGTTTGGTGTTCGTTGTTATTTTGTGCTTCTGTGTACACAAAGGTGCCTATGATGTTTCACCTTAGTTGTTAAATACTTCCTTAAGTCGAAGCTCATGTCTCAACAGTATACTGTTCAGCCCTCCTGGGATATGTTTTTGCTTCCTTCAACTTGTCTAAATCCACATATTCCCCCGAAGTTAGATCGATTCTCAACTTCAGTATCTTATTTAGTAAAACCATTATTTGCTTCTGATTCCCTATGCGTTTTATAGGGAAGATAGGACATGCCATTTCCTGTAAATAAGATTAGTCTAACATTTATAATACAAATGCCAATGCTACAAAAGGGAAAACTGTTCTTATTTAGGGTTCTGTTTATGTAGCAGTTCATACAGAGAATTTTCATGTGCGTCAAAACCAATAAGAGATTAGATATGCCTTTACAAAACACAATAAATTATCATTATTCTTTTCTTTTATTCAAATAAGACAACCTTTCAACTGTTGAAGAGCATGGGCCCTGAAAAATAACTTTATTATATGTTTATTTTTTTTGAGGCAGAGTTTCGCTTTTGTTGCCCAGGCTGGAGTGCATGGGCGTCATCTCGGCTCACTGCAACCTCCGCCTCCCAGGTTCAAGCGATTCTTCTGCCTCAGCCTCCCGAGTAGCTGGGATTACAGGCATGCGCCACCACGCCTGGCTAATTTTGTATTTTTAGTAGAGATGGGGTGTCTCCATGTTGGTCAGGCTGGTCTCGAACTTTCGACCTCAGATGATCCACCCGCCTTGTGGATCCCAAAGTGCTGGGATTATAGGTGTAAGCCACCACGCCTGGCCTATGTGTTTAATTTTTAATTCCTTAATACATAAGAATACATTATTCTCTTATAATAGTTTAAGGTATTCAGATATTTTCTTAACCATTACTGAAAGTATCTGTGGATATAGATGGGCACTCAAGTATAGAATAGATGTTAGAGGATTGCAACTACAAAATAAAGTATTTCTTAATTATTTTAAAAATGAATATAGTAAACATTATGGCCTTTTTTCCTTTATTTACTTATTTTTAAAGCAGGATGCATTTTTTTAGGAGCCAGAGTCTCTTTTATAGCAATAGTGAAATGAATTATTGTAATCTGAACACTTAACAATCCATAAATTGACTCTTCCAAGATGGCCCAGTAGGAACAGCTCCAGTCTGCAGCTCCCAGCGTGATTGACACAGAAGACGGGTGATTTCTGCATTTCCAACTGAGGTACCTGGTTCCTCTCATTGGGACTGGTTGGACAGTGGGTGCAGCCCACAGAGGGCAAGCCGAAGCAGGGCGGGGCGTCGCCTCACCCGGGAAGTGCAAGGGGTCGGGGGATTTCCCTTTCCTAGACAAGGGAAGCTGTGACAGACGGTACCTGGAAAAACAGGACACTCCTGCCCAAATACTGTACTTTTCCAATAGTCTTAGCAAACGGCATACCAGGAGATTATATCCCATGCCTGGCTTGGTGGGTCCCATGCCCACAGAGCCTTGCTCACTGCTAGTGCAGCAGTCTGAGATCGACCTGCAAGGCAGCAGCCTGGCAGGGGGAGGGGTGTCTGCCATTGCTGAGGCTTGAGTAGGTAAACAAAGCAGCCAGGGAAGCTTGAACTGGGTGGAGCCAACCACAGCTCAGCAAGGCCTGCTGCCTCATAGACTCCACCTCTGGGGACAGGGCATAGCTGAACAAAAGGCAGCAGAAACTTCTTCAGACTTAAACGTCTCTGTCTGACAGCTCTGAAGAGAGGAGTGGTTTTCCCAGCATGGTGTTTGAGCTCAGAGAACAGACAGACTGCCTCCTCAAGTGGGTCCCTGACCCCTGTGTAGCCTAACTGGGAGACACCTCCCAGTAGGGGCCAACTGACACCTCATACAGGCAGGTGCCCCTCTGGGACGGAGCTTCCAGAGGAAGGATCAGGCAGCAATATTTACTGTTGAGCAATATTTTCTGTTCTGCAGCCCTTCGCTGGTGATACCCAGGTGAACAGGGTCTGGAGTGAACCTCCAGCAAACTCCAACAGACTTGCAGCTGAGGGACCAGACTGTTAGAAGGAAAAAGAAGGAAAACTAACAAACAGAAAGGCATAGCATCAACATCAACAAAAAGGACATCCACACCAAAACCCCATCTGTAGGTCACCAACATCAAAGACCAAAGGTAGATAAAACCACAAAGATGGGGAGAAACCAGAGCAGAAAGCTGAAAATTCTAAAAACCAGAGTGCCTCTTCTCCCCCAAAGGATCGTAGCTCCTCGCCAGCAACAGAACAAAGCTGGATGGGGAATGACTTTGAGGAGCTGACAGAATAAGGCTTCAGAAGGTGGGTAATAACAAAATTCTCTGAGCTAAAGGAGGATGGTCGAATCCATTGCAAGGAAGCTAAAAACCTTGAAAAAAGATTAGACGAATGGCTAACTAGAATAAACAGTATAGAGAAGACCTTAAATGACCTGATGGAGCTCAAAACCATGGCATGAGAACTATGTGAAATATGCACAAGCTTCAATAGCTGATTCGATCAAGTTGAAGAAAGGGTAGCAGTGATTGAAGATCGAATTAATGAAATAAAATGAGAAGAGAAGTTTAGAGAAACAAGAGTAAAAAGAAATGAACAAAGCCTTCATGAAATATGGGACTATGTGAAAAAACCAAATCTGCTTTTGATTAGTGTACCTGAAAGTGATGGGGAGAATGGAACCAAGTTGGAAAACACTATGCAGGTTATTATACAAGAGAACTTCCCCAACCTAGCAAGGCAGGCCAACATTCAAATTCAGGAAATATAGAGAACACCACAAAGATACTCTTCGAGAAGAGCAACTCCAAGACACATAATTGTCAGATTCACCAAGGTTGAAATGAAGGAAAAAATGTTAAGGGCAGCCAGAGAGAAAGGTCGGGTTACCCACAAAGTGAAGCCCATCAGACTAACAGCTGATCTCTCAGCAGAAACTCTACAAGCCAGAAGAGAGTGGGGGCCAATATTCAACATTCTTAAAGAAAAGAATTTTCAACCCAGAATTTCATATCCAGCCAAACTAAGCTTGATAAGTGAAGGAGAAATAAAATACTTTACAGACAAGCAAATGCTGAGAGATTTTGTCACCACCAGGCCTGCCCTAAAAGAGCTCCTGAAGGAAGCAATAAACATGGAAAGGAACAACCGGTACCAGCCACTGCAAAAACATGCCAAATTGTAAAGACCATGAATGCTAGGAAGAAACTGTATCAACACAACAAAAAAAGAGAATTTCAGGTTGATATCCCTGAATGAACATTGATGCGAAAATCCTCAGTAAAATACTGGCAAACCAAATCCAGCAGCACATCAAAAAGCTTATCCACCACGATCAAGTCGGCTTCATCCCTGGCATGCAAGGCTGGTTCAGCATACGTAAATCAATAAACATAATCCATCACATAAACAGAACTAAAGACAAAAGCCACATGATCGTCTCAATGGATGCAGAAAAGGCCTTCGACAAAATTTAACAGCGCTTCATACTAAAAACTCTCAATAAACTAGGTATTGATGGAACGTATCTCAAGAGCTATTTATGACAAACCCACAGCCAATATCATACTGAATGGGCAAAAACTGGAAGCATTCCCTTTGAAAACCGGCACAACACAGGGATGCCCTCTCTCACCACTATTGTGCAACATAGTGTTGGAAGTTCTGGCCAGAGCAATCAGGCAAGAGAAAGAAAGGAAGTTGTATTCAGTTAGGAAAAGAGGAAGTCAAATTGTCCCTGTTTGCAGATGACATGATTGTATATTTAGAAAACCCCATTGTCTCAGCCCAAAATCTCCTTAAGCTGATAAGCAACTTCAGCAAAGTCTCAGGATACAAAATCAATGTGCAAAAATCACAAGCATTCCTATACACTAATAACAGACAGAGAGCCAAATCATGAGTGAACTCCCATTCACAATTGCTTCAAAGAGAATAAATACCTAGGAATCCAACTTACAAGGGATGTGAAGGACCTCTTCAAGGAGAACTACAAACCACTGCTCAATGAAATAAAAGAGGACACAAACAAATGGAAGAACATTCCATGCTCATGGATAGGAAGAATCAATATCGTGAAAATGGCCATACTGCTCAAGGTAATTTATAGATTCAATGCCATCCCCATGAAGCTACCAATGACTTTCTTCACAGAATTGGAAAAAACTACTTTAAAGTTCATATGGAACCAAAAAAGAGCCTGCATAGGCAATACAATCCTAAGCCAAAAGAACAAAGCTGGAGGTATCACGCTACCTGACTTCCAACTATCCTACAAGGCTACAGTAACCAAAACAGCATGGTACTGGTACCAAAACAGATATATAGACCAATGGAACAGAATGGAGGCCTCAGAAATAACACCACACATCTACAACCATCTGATCTTTGACAAACCTGAGAAAAACAAGCAATGGGGAAAGGATTCCCTATTTAATAAATGGTGGTGGGAAAACTGGCTAGCCATATGTAGAAAGCTGAAACTGGATCCCTTCCTTACACCTTATACAAAAATTAATTCAAGATGGATTAAAGACTTTAATGTTAGACCTAAAACCACAAAAACCCTAGAAGAAAACCTAGGCAATACCATTCAGGACATAGGCATGGGCAAGGACTTCATGTCTAAAACACCAAAAGTAATGGCAACAAAGGCCAAAATAGAGAAATGGGATCTAATTAAACTAAAGAGCTTCTGCACAGCAAAAGAAACTACCATCAGAGTGAACAGGCAACCTACAGAATAGGAGAAAATTTTTGCAATCTACCCATCTGACAAAGGTCTAGTATCCAGAATCTGCAAAGAACTTAAACAAATTTACAAGAAAAAAACAATCCCATCAAAAAGTGGGCAAAGGACAGACACTTCTCAAAAGAAGACATCTATGCAGCCAACAGACACATGACAAAATGCTCATCATTACTGGTCATCAGAGAAATTCAAATGAAAACCACAGTGAGATACCATCTCACACCAGTTAGAATGGCAATCATTAGAAAGTCAGGAAACAACAGATGCTGGAGAGGATGTGTAGAAATAGGAACGCTTTTACAGTGTTGGTGGGAGTGTAAATTAGTTCAACCATTGTGGAAGACAGTGTGGCTATTCATGAAGGATCTAGAACTGGAAATACCATTTGACCCAGCCATCCCGTTACTAGGTATATACCCAAAAGAATATAAATCATGCTGCTATAAAGACACATGCACAGGTATGTTTATTGGGGCACTATTCACAATAGTAAAGACTTGGAGCCAACCCAAATGTCTGTCAATGATAGACTGGATTAAGAAAATGTGGCACATATACACCATGGAATACTATGCAGCCATAAAAAAGGATGAGTTCATGTCCTTTGTAGGGACATGGATGCAGCTGGAAACAATCATTCTGAGCAAACCGTCACAAGGATAGAAAACCAAACACCGCATGATCTCACTCATAGGTGGGAACTGAACAATGAGAACACTTGGACACAGGGCGGGGAACATCACACCCTGGGTCCTATCATGATGTGGGGGGCAGGGGGAGGGATAGCATTAGGAGAAATACCTAATGTAAATGATCAGTTAATGGGTGCAGCAAAACAACATGGCACATGTATACCTACGTAACAAAACTGCACGTTGTGCACATGTACCCTAGAACTTAAAGTATAACTTAAGAAATCCATAAATTTTGGAATGCCTTGGACACAACAGCAACAAGAATCTATAAATATTATGCTTGCTAATAGTATAATGTATAATTTAACCCTTTTAACCTTTACTTCAATTCCTTAAAGTCTTTAAAATCTCAGTTGGCATCAAAAGTATTACTGAGAAAATTCTTTTGTGCTTTACCGCAAATTTATCTGAAATGCATTCTTTTCTTCTTATACATTGAATACTCTCGGAGTTCGTTGTTTTGGAATTATATGTGATTATAAGATATTTCCTGTTTTTTCCTCCCATGCTCCCATTGTTTTCCCATGACACTTTTAGATATTTATCATGTTGGCTAGATTTCGCCTTTTACTTTTGCATATGTTTGGAATATGCTATTTTATATTATGTAGCTCTTACGTGTATTATTTATTTTCCGAAATATTTGTATTTTTCTTCTCCCTTGAGCCTCTTTATCTTCTTCAGCCCATTTTCTTACAGATACTTCCTTTCCTTTCCTTTCTTTTCTTAACCCTTTAGTCTTTCATTAGAACTGTTAAGGAATAACAGAAGAAATACCTTGTCTTCTTTCCAGTACTTTTGCCAAGCATAAATTTTGTGCTTTTTTCTTCCCTAGCTGTTTTATAGATTTTCTTATAATTCAGACATATTTGTGGTCTGAACTTTTTGCCTTTTATAATGAAATCACTAGGTTACAAAGCATTTATAAGTTGTGTAGTTTATTCTGTAAATTTTTAATAAAGACAGATGATTTAGAGTAGGGGTAATCAAACTATGCCCCATGGGCTCACTGCCTGTTTTTGTAAATACAAGTTTTTTGGAACACATCCACTCTTACTTGTATAAATATTGTGTTTGGTTGCTTTCATGCTCCAATGGCAGAATTGAGAAGTTGCACATATTAGGCCGTTTTCACACTGCTATAGAGAACTACCTCAGACTGGGTAATTTATAAAGAAAAGGTTTAATTGACTCACAGTTCTGCATTGCTGGGGAGGCCTCAGAAAACTTACAATTATGGCAGAAGGCGAAGGGAAAGCAGGGCACATCTTAGGTGGCAGCAGGGGTGGGGGGAATGCCACACTTTAAAGGCCATTAAATCTCATGAGAACTCACTCACTATCACGAGAACAGCATGGGGGAAACCATCCCTGTGATCCAGTCACCTCCCACCAGGTCCCTCATTTGATTTGTGGGAACTACAATTCTAGATGAAATTTGGGTTGGTACACAGAGCCAAACCATATTATTTTGATAAAGCCTAAATGGCTTGCAAGCCTAAAATATTTATTGTCTGGCCCTTTACAGAAAGTTTGCCTACTCTTATTTTAAAGTATATGATCATTTAAAAGTGACATTTAATTCTATTAAAAGTAAAAGCATAAAATAATTTAAAAATTATATATATTTTTCTAGATTGTTATAGGAATTTGCATGTTGGTAATTGCTAAAATTTGATAACATAATACCTACATAATTTGAGCCCTTAAATAAATGGAGTCAGGCTGGGTATGGTGGCTCACTCCTGTAATCCCTGCACATTGGGAGCCTGAGGTGGGCGGATTGCCTGAGCCCAGGAGTTAGAAACCTGCTGGGGCAACATGGTCAAACCCCATCTCTACAAAACAGTACAAAAATTAGCTGGACTTGGTGGCACAAGCCTTTAGTCCTAGCTACTCTGAAGGCTGAGGCAGGCAGATGGATTGAGCCAGGAAGGTTGATACTGCTGTGAGCTGTGATCACACCACTGCCAGCCTGGGTGACAGAACAAGAGCATGTCTCAAAAGAAAAGGAGTCATTTTGTGATTGAGAGACAAAAGAACAAGTTAATAATGACGTTTGTCAATTATTAGAGTATGTAGTTATCTAATAAGTTATTAGGGTGTGTGTATATATATGTGCACATACATTTTCTAATAATTTGTGTATGTATGCATCTGTATACACAGATATTTACATGTCTAGATTTCACAGTAGGTTGATCTGAGAATGACAGCATGATCTACTATTACTGAGTAAATTATCATTACCATTCAGGGTTATGATTCTTGGAAATTATATTCAGAATGGCCTAAGAGAGGTTGTTATATTCAGTGTGTTGAACTTGAGAAGGAAATTGGAAGAGTATTGGCAGAAAACTTTAGAGCGCATATAGTTTACTTTTAAAAATTCTAAATACATTTGAAAAAAATTCTCTTGCTCCTTTTTCCATGAATTTTTAATTGTTTTAATTAAATTTTTGAAAAAAGTTTTAAAGTTTTTAAAAACAATTTTAGACAAGATCTTGCTCTGTCCACTCAGGCAGGAGTGTGGTGGCACAGTCACAGATCTCTGCAGCCTCAAACTGCTGGGCTCAAGTGATTCCCCCCGCCACGGCATCCCAAGTAGCTAGGGCTATAGACATGCACCACCATGCCCAGCTGATTTTTTTAATTTTTAATTTTTTGGTAGAGACTAATTCTCATTGGGTTCCCTAGGCTTGTCTTGAAATCCTGGGCTTAAGCAGTCCTCCTGCCTTAGCCTCCCAAAGTGCTGGGATTACAGACGTCAGCCAAAGCACCTGGCCCCATGAAATTTTTTTTAGTTCTTCGATTATCTTAAAATATGTGATCTGTTATATCCTGTTAGTAGGTTATTAACATCCTAAAGTACTAAGAAATTTTCTATCCAGTCAGTTAAATATTTTGAAGTGTTTTGGAATGGATGCATGAAATTTTTCTGTGAAAACTTTAATTCTTTCTTTGTATTATAGTACATACTTTGGGAATTATATCCTGAGTTTTCTAGAACAGTTCCAATTTCATACTTATTGAAATTAACTACAACTGCTTGAGATTAAGTATTTGACTGCTTATGGCTGCCATGAAAGTAATGCTTGTTGCAAAATAATTCAAATGGTACAGAAGTAAATAAGTAGTAAAAGTTAATTTTTTTCTCTTTGTTTTTTGTTTTTCTGATACTCCCCTTCAGAGACATATATTATCTATAGGTTTCCTCTCCACTGTCTACATTACCTTCTTTTCTCGAATTTTATTTCTTAGTTTTCTCATTCTGCATACTGTATTTATTGTTCAAACTGTTACGTCATTGAGTATTATTTCGAGATCTTGTGGCTGTGCTTCAGTCTTCCATTATTCTTTTTTCTTTTGTCTCCTGTATGTATTTTCAAATAGCCTGTTTTCAGTCTCACTAATTCTTTCTTCTGCTTGATTAATTTTGCCATTGAGAGGTTCTGATGCATTCTTCAGTATGTCAATTGAATTTTTCAGCTCCAGAATTTCTGCTTGATTTCCAAAAATTATTTTAATCTTTGTTAAATTTATCTGATAGGATTCTGACTTCCTTCTCTCTGTTATCTTGAAGTTCGTTGAGCTTAAAAATAAGTATTTTAGGTTCTCTGTCTGAAAGGTCTCATATCTCTGTCTCTTCAGGATTGGTCATTGGTGCTTCATTTGGTTTGTTTGGTGAGGTCATGTTTTGCTGTATGGCCTTGATGCCTGTGGATGTTTGTTGGTTTTTGGGCATTGAAGAGTTAGGTGTTTATTGTAGTTTTCACAGTCTGGGCTTGTTTGTATCCGTCCTTCTTGGGAAGACTTTCCAAGTGTCTAAAGGGAAGTGAGTGTTGTGATCTAAGTCTTTGGTTGCTGCAGCTGTATCGCACTGGGGGCACCTGAAGCCTAGTAATGCTGTGACTCTTATAGACTTGCAGAAGTATTGCCTTTGTGGTCTTCAGTAAGGTCCAAGAGAATTTCCTGGATTACCAGGCAGAGAATACCCTGGATTACTGAGCTCCATGCTGAACTGCTTCAGGCGGGGAAAAAGGTGACACAAGCATCCATGTGGCCACCACCACTATGACTCGTTGGGTCAGACCTGAAGCCAGCATATCACTGGGTCTTGTCTAAGGCCTACAGTGACCACTGTGTGGCTACTGTTGTTGTTCATTTAAGGCACAGGCTCTTTTGGCAGCAAGTGGAAAATCCAGCCATGCTTGTGTCTTTCCCTTCAGAGTGGCAAGTTCTCCTGTAGCCCAGGGTGGGTCTAGAAATGTCATCTAGGAGCCAGAGCCTAGAGTCTGGGAATCTTAGAAATCTGCTTGGTGTTCTGTTCTACTGCAGCTGAGCTGGCACCCAAGCCACAAGACAAAGTTCTTCCCACTGTTTCCTCTCCTTTTCAGAAGCAGGAGACTCTCATTGTGGCCATCATCACCCCAGGTCTGCAGTGAATACTGCATGGCTACCAGTGATGTTCATTCAGGGGCCAAAGGTTTGTCAGTCAGCTTGTGGTGATTGCTTCCAGGCCTGGGTCTGTCCCTTTAGGGCAGTGGGCTCCCCTCTGGCCCAGGACAGACCCAGAAATGCCATCCAGAAGCCAGGGTCTGGAACTGGGGACCCTAGCAGCCTTCTTGGTGCTCTGCGATTTTGTGGTTGAGCTGGTGTACCCAGGCAGCAAGACAAAGTCCCCTTTATCCTTCCTCTCCTTCCATCAAGCAGGAGGAGCCTCTCCTTGTGGCCACCACAGCTGGGAATACGCTGGGTCACACCTGATGCCAGCACAGCACTGGGTCTCACCCCTAGACCCACGGTGAGTACTACCTGATTACTGCTGGTGTTTATCCACTGCCCAAGGGCTCCTTAGTCAGCGCGTTATGAATCCTGCCAAGACTGGTTCCTTCCCTTAAAGGTAGTGGGTTTTCTTCTGGCCCAGGATGGTCTAGCAATGTTATCTGGCAGCTAGGGCCTGGAATGGAGGCCTCGAACTCTTCCTGATGCCCTATGCTACTGTGGTTGAGGGCATCCAAGTTGCATGACAAAGAGCTCTTTAGTTTTCCCTCTCCTCTCCCACTCCTCAAGCTTAAGGCAGGAATGTCTCCTGGGAGCTTGTTTGGCAGGTGGAGCCAGGGGTGCGGGGCCGAGGTGGTATAGGCACTCCCCTGGCTGGGTGGTTTAACATAATACCATTCGTGTATTTCTGTTTTTATTGTTTGGGGTTTTGAGGTCATAACCGTAAAATCTTTGCCTAGATGAGTGTTCTGAGGTGTTTCTCCTGTTTTCTTTTAGTTTTAATAGTTTTATAGTTTCAGGTCTTAAGGTTAAGTCTTTAATCCATTTTGAGTTGATTTTTGTATGAGTTGGGAGATAGGGTTCCAGTTTCATTGTTGTGCATGTGGATATTCAGTTTCACTGCACCATTTATTTTAGAAGATGTCCTTTCCCCAGTGTGTGTTCTTGGTTCCTTTGTCAAAAATCAGGTGGCTGTAAATACATGGATTTATTTCTGGGTTCTCTTTTCTGTTTCATTGGCCTGTATGTCTGTTTTTATACCAATATTGTGCTATTTTGGTAATGATAGCTTTGTAGTATATTTCAAAGACAGTGTGATGCCTGTAGGTTTGTTCTTTTTGCTCAGGGTACCCAGGCAGCAAGACAAAGTCCTCTTTACCCTTCCTCTCCTTCTGTCAAGCAGGAGGAGCCTCTCCCTGTGGCCATCACAGCTGGGAATGCTCTGGGTCACACCTGATGCTAGCACAGCACTGGGTCTCACCCAGTGCTTTGGCTATTCAGAGTCTTTTGTAGTTCCAGATTAATTTTAGGGCTGTCTTTTCTATTTCAATGAAGAATGTCACTGGTATTTCAATAGGGATTGCATTGAACCTGTAGATTGCTTTGGGCAGTATGGCCATTTTTAACAATATTAATTCCTCTAATCTATGAACATAGGATGTCTTTTCATTTGTATCCTTTTCTGTTTCTTTAATGAGTGTTTCGTAGTTTTTATTGTAGAGTTATTTTTTACCTTTTCTGTTAAATTTATTCTTAGATATTTAATTTTTTTGTAGCTATTGTAAATGGCATTGCTTTCTTGAGTTCTTTTTCTGACCATTTTTGGTGTGTGGAGATACTGCTGATTTTTCTATGTTGATTTTGTATCCTGCACTGAATTTATCAGATTTAAGAGCTTTCTGGCAGTCTAGGTTTTTCTGTATATAAGATCATGTTGTCTGCAAAGCAGAGCAGTTTAACTTCCTCCTTTCCATTTGGATTTTCTTTCCTTTTTTTTTTTTTTTTTTTTGGTGTGGAAACCCAGGACTTTCTTTTCTTTCTTTTATTTTTTGTTTCTTTCTTTCTTCTTTTTTTTTGGTCATAAAGTTTCACTCTGTTTCCCCATGCTGGAGTGCAGTGGTGCGATCAGGGCCCACTGCAGCCTCAACCTCCCTGACTCAAGTGATCCTCCGTTCTGAGGCTCCCAAGTAGCTGGGACCACAGGTGTGTGCCACCAGGCCTGGCTAATTTTTTTATTTTTTGTAGAGATAGAGTCTCCCTATATTGCCCAGGCTGGCCTCAAACTACTGGGCTCAAGTCCTCCCACCTTGGCCTCCCAAAGTACTGGGATTACAGGTGTGAACCACCATGCCCAGCTGTCTTTATTTTGCCTGATAGCTCTGGCTGGGACCTTCTGTACTGTGTTGAGTAAGAATGGTGAAAATGGGCATCCTTGAAAGCCTTTCAGTTTTTCTCATTTCAGTATGATAGTAGCTGTGGGTTTGTCATATATGGCCTTTATTATGTTGAGGTGTGTTCCTTCTATCCCTAATATGTTGGGAGGTTTTATCATGAAGGTATGTTGGATTTTATCAAATGCATTTTTAGCACCAATTAGATGATCATATGGTTTTTGTCTTGATTCTGTTAATGTGTTGTATCACGTTTATTGATTTGTGTATGTTGAATCGTCCTTTCATCCCTTAAGTAAATCCTACCTGATTAGGAGAATGGCGTGAAACCGGGAGGCAGAGCTTGCAGTGAGCCGAGATCGCACCACTGCACTCCAGCCTGGGTGAGACAGTGAGACTCCGTCTCAAAAAAAAAAAAAAATTCTACCTGATTATAGTATATTATGATGCTTATTTGTTGTTGGGTTCAGTTGGTTTGTATTTTGTTGAGAATTTTAAATCTATGTTCATCATGGATAATGGCTTGCAGGTATTTTGTTGTTATTGTTTGTTTGTTTTTGAGACAATCTTGTTGCTCAGGCTGGAGTGCAGTGGTGCAATCTCAGCTCACTGCAACATCTGCCTCCCAGGTTCACACAATTCTCCTGCCTCAATCTCCTGAGTAGCTGGGACTACAGGTGTGTGCCACCACACCTGGCTAATTTTTGTATTTTTTGGTAGAAACAGGGTTTCACCATGTTGGTCAGGCTGGTCTCGAACTCCTGACCTCAAATGATCAGCCTGCCTCTGCTTCCCAAAGTGCTGGGATTATAGGTGTGAGCCACCACTCCTGGCCTGCAGTTTTTTAATTGTTGTTGTGTCCTTGTCTGTTTTTGGTGTTAGAGTAATCCTGGCCTTGTAGAACGAGTTAGTAAGCTTCCCTTCTCATCATTTTTTTGGAATAGTTTAAGAATTGGTTCTTCCTTGTAAGCTTGATAAATTTAGCAGTAAAGCCATTTCATCCTGGGCTTTTCTTTTTAGGGAGAGTTTTTACTACTCATTGAATCTTGTTACACATTATTGATGTGCTATACTATTCTTGCGATGTTATAAAGGAATACCTGAGACTAGGTAATTTATAATGAAAAGAGATTTAATTTGCTCACAGTTCTGCAGGCTGTATAGTCATGTAGCCGGCATCTGCCTAGCTTCTGGGGAGGTCTCAGGGAGCTTTTACTCATAGCAGAAGGTGAAGCAGGAACAGGCATGTCACATGGTGAGAGCAGGAGCAAGAGAGAGTGCTGGGGAGGTACCACACACTTTTAAAAACTCAGATCTTGCAAGAACTCACTATTGTAAGGATAATTCCAAGGGTACAGTTCCAAACCATTAATGGGCAGTTTTTCCCCATGATCCAGTCACCTCTCACCAGGCCTCACCTCCAACACTGGGGGTTACATTGAGGGGCCAAATTCCCAAGCTATATCAATTGGTCTGTTCAGGTTTTCTGTTTCTTTCTGGTTCAGTCTTAATAGGTTGTATGTGTTCAGGAATTTCATTTCCTTTAGGTTTTTAAGTTTGTTAGTATACGGTTGTTTATTATAGTCTCTAGTGACCCTTTGTCATTTTGTAGTATCAGTTGTAATGTCGCCATTTTGTTTGTGATTTTGTTCATTTGGGTCTTTGCTCCTTTTAACATGGTTAGTCTAGCTAAAAGTTTGTTGATTTTATCTTTTCAAAAAGCTAACTTTTTGTTTCATTGATCATGTATATTGTTTAGTCTCTAGTTATTTCTGCTCTGATCTTTATTGTTTCCTTGTGCTAGCTTTGTGTTGGTTTTTCCTCTTCTGGTTTCTTGAGAGTCATCATTAGGTGGTTTTTTTGAAATCTTTCTACTTTTTTGTTGTAGGCATTTATTGCTATAAACTTTCCTCTTAGTATCGCTTTTCTTGTATCTCATGAGTTTTCGTATGTTGTATTTCTATTTTTGTTTAATGAAATTTTTTAATGTTTTAAATTACTTTATTAATGGAGTCATTGATCATTCAGGAGCATGTTGTTTGATTTGTCTCTATTTGTACAGTTTCCAATGTTCCTCTTGTTACTGATTTCCAGTTTTATTCTTGTGGTCTGAGAACATATTTGACATGATTTTGATTTTTAAAAATTTGCTGAGACTTACTTTGTGGCCTAATATATGATTTACACTGGAGAATGTTTTATGTGCTGATGAGTCGAATGTGTATTTTACAGCTGTTGGATGAAATGTTCTGTAAATATCTGTTAAGTCTGTTTGGCTTATAGTGCAGTTTACATCTGATTTTTTTGGTTGATTTTCCATGTGGATGATATGTCCCATGCTGAGAGTGGGGTATTCAAATGCCCCACTATTATTGTATTGGAGCTATCTCTCCCTTTAGATCTAATAATATCTGCTTTGTATATCTGAGCATTCTGGTATTAGGTGCATATATATTTAGAATTGTTATATCTTCTTGCTGAATTGATCCTTTTATAATTAATGACTTTGTCTTTTTTTTTTTTTTTACAGTTTTTCATTTAAAGTCTGTTTTATCTCATCTAGGTGTAGCTACTTCTGTTTGCTTTTGTTTTTTGTTTATATGCAATATCTTTTTCCATTCCTGTACTTCTAGTCTATGTGTATTTACAGTTAAAGTGAGTTATTTATAGGCAGCATACAGTTTGGTCTTTTTCTTTTTAAAAATTCATTAAGCCAGTCTATATCTTTTATCAGGGGAATTTAATCTATTTACATTCAAGGTTATTATTTATAGGTGAGGACTTATTTCTGTCATTTTATTGTTTTCTGGTTGTTTTATATATCCTTTGTTCCTTTTTCATTGTTTATTTTTGTGGTTTCGTGTTTTTCTGTATTTGTAATGTTTGGTTCCTTTCTCTTTCTCTTTTGTGTATCTGCTCTACCAGTGAGTTTTATACTTTCATGTGTTTTCATGATGGTGGATATTATTCTTTCACTTCTAGATGTAGGACTCCCCTAAGCTTTTCTTTTAGGGTGGTTTAGTGGTAATGAATTCCCTCAGTTTTTCCTTCTCTTAGAAAGATGTTACTGTTCTTTCATTTTTTTTTTTAAAAGGAGTTTCACGCTGGTTGCCCAGGTTGGAGTGCAATGGCGCGATCTCAGCTCACTGCAACCTCCGCCTCCCAGGTTCAAGTGATTCTCTTGCCTCAGCCTCCCGAGTAACTGGGATTACAGGAACGTGCCACCACACCTGGCTTTTTGTACTTTTAGTAGAGACAGGTTTTCTCCCTGTTGGTCAGGCTGGTCTCGAACTCCCGACTTCATGTGATCTGCCTGCCTCGGCCTCCCAAAGTGCTGAGATTACAAGCTTGGGTCCCCGTGCCTGGCCTGCTCTTTCATTTTTGAATAGCACTTTGCTGGAAATAGTTTTCTTGGTGGGCAGTTTTTTTCTTTTAATATTTTGAATATATTATCTCATTCTCTCCTGGTCTTAAGGTTTCTGCTTAGAATTGTGATTTTAGTCTAGTGGGGATTTCTTTATATGTGTGTTGACACTTTTCTCTCGCTATTTTTAGAATTCTCTCTGTGTCGTTGATTTTGATAGCTTGAGTATAATGTACCTTGGAGGACTTTTTCTGGTAGAATCCGTTTGGGGTTCTTGAGCTTCCTGTATTGAAATTTGTATGGCTCTTGCAGGAGTTGGAAGTTTTTAGCTATTATTTCATTAATTAGGTTTTCTATGCCTTTACCCATCTCATTTCCTTCTGGATTTTCTAAAATTTTCTGAATTTTCTAAAATCTAGTTAGATATTTAAAAAAGAAAAAAGTTATCTTAAAAGACTTGTCTTCAAGTTTAGAAATTCTTTCTGTTGCTTGATCTATTGTTGAAGTGCTCAGTTGTATTTTTTATTTTATTCATTGAGTTTTTCAGTTATGGGATTTTGTTTGGTTGTTTTTTTAATGACATCTATCTCTTTTGAATTTCTGATTCATGAATTTTTTTTTATAACCTTGTATTATTTATGTGTTTTCTCCTGTTTCTCACTGAGGCTCTTCGTTATCATTTCAAATTCTTTTTCCTTTTTCTTTGGATCTGTTACTAGAGAATTAGTGTGTTGCTTTGGAGGTGTCATGTTTCCTTGCTTTTTTATGTTTCTTGTGTCTTTATGTTGATATTTGTGCATCTAGTGTACCGTTCACTTCTTCTAGTTTTGCGGATTGTCTTTTGTTGGGAAAGACTTTTTTTCTTATAGATGCATCTATTATGTTGCTTTTGTAGGGTGCTTTGTCTTTGATTCTTGGTGGGTGAAGTAGTATAGTCTGCATGATTTCTTTGGCTGGAATCAGGATTAGTCTTGTCTGTGATTTCCCCAGTGGCTTAGGCTGTGGTTCTTAGGTAAAGGCTTTGGTGTGGCTTTTTCTTGGGAGGAGGAAGACAGGCAGACTAGTTCTCAGGCACCACTGGTGGCAGTGATGGGCTGCGCATGACAGTCCTTGGTGCCCTGTGTGGCATATGCAGGTGATTGTGGTGATGGGTCTAGATGGGCCAAACTTTGGTTGTCCAGGCAGCTTTTCTGGGTGCCAGAGGTAGAAGTGGTATGGTGAGTCTGGTGGGTCCTCAGAGTCTTGGGTAGTGTGATGGCATTGGTGGTAGCAATAGCGGTGGCAGGCCAACCATTGGGTCTCCAGTGGCAGGCCAGCAGTGGTGTTGGGCTGGGTGTGCCGGTCCCCAGTCCCCTAGGTGGTATGCATAGGTGAGTGCTGGTGATAGTGGCAAACTGAGCAAGTTGGTATATAGGCCCCTGGGAGATGCATGCTGGTGCCAGCAGTGGCCATGGTGGGTGTCTGTCTAGGCCCGCAGATAGTGCACATGGTAAAGGTGGCTGTCTGGGCAGATTCATCCTCAGGCTGCTGGAAGGTGTGTATGGGTTCTGGCAGTGGCAGGCCGGTAGGATCAATCTCCAGGCTCCCAGATATCAGGTGCCAGATGTGGTGAGTCAGTCTCCAGGGCTCTGGAGAATGGGCGTAGGCAATGTTGGTGGGCACGGCTGGTCTGTCCCCACAGGTTGGATGGGTTGATCCCCAGGCCCCAGATGGTGTGTTTTGATGGCAGTAGCGGTGGGTTGGGTGTGCCTGTCCTTTGATTCCTGGATGGTGTGTGCAAGTGGTGGTGGCAGGTGGGGTGGTCTTGTTGTCAGGCCCCCATCATGGTGTGTCTGATTATCAATGACAGCAGGTTGGGGCAGATCAATTCCCAGGCCTCCAGATGACACCTGTGGCTGTGGTGGCAGTTTGGGTGGGCTAGTCCTGTCCTTACTCCCACCTCCCCAAAATTGAATGTGGTTGTGGTGGATGTGGACAGAGCAGGTTGATACCTAGGCCCTGGTTGGCATGCTATCCATGTTGATATTTTACTCTAGTTTATAAATGTTAACTGCTGTATAGTATAGTGTTTAATGAATATTAAATAATGATCCTACTATGAATTTTTTTTATTTCTCCTTGTGTATAGATTTTAGAGTTCTAAAGTGGATTGTTGAGTTGAAGTTTATGTACATTGATTTTCCCCTTAATATAAAATTGTTTTTTTAGGTTACACTGTAAGAGAATTTCTGTTTGTCTATAGTGAAATCAATACTTGATAGTTTCATACTTGAATTTTGCCAGTTGAGTGGTTTTGAAATGTTAGCTCATCATCATTTTTACTTACATTTTTATCATAAAAAGTGGTTTTCCGGGAGGCTGAGGCAGGAGAATCGCTTGAACCCGGGAGGTGGAGGTTGTGGTGAGCCGAGATGGCGCCCCTGTGCTCCATCCTGGGCAACAAGAGCGAAACTCCATCTCAAAAAAAAAAAAAAGTAGTTTTCATTTTAAAAAAATTGCCTGTTCAAGTTTTTTTAGTTTTCTTAATAATGTATCATATTATAATTAATAATGTGTAAATATATACTTGTGTATTATATTGTATATTATCTATATCATATAAATTATATATAACATTAATGTTTCTTTTATTTTGTCTTTTTCTTACTGCAGGGGTCATTATTCAGAATACTTAATTTTGTTGCATGTTAGGTGTATTGCAAATATATTCTGTCACTCTTTGGATTTTCCTTTAACTTTCTTTAGTGTGTCTTTTGTGTAGAATAGCTTATTTTTGTCTTAATGAAGTTGGGTTTTTCTGGTTTTTGTATTTTTCTTGCTTTTGTATTTTTTGCTTTTTTGTTTCATGTGAAATTTTCAACTGACCTGTGGTCATAATAAAATTTCCTATGGTTTCTTGTAGTAATTTTAAACCTTTATTTTTTAATTTATATCTTTTAATCAGTGGGGTTTGTTTTCCTGTATAGTGTAAGGTATGGCACTTTATATGTCTAACTGGTTCTTCCTGTACCATTTGAATTGTTTCTCTTCCCCTCTGATTTATAATGCTACCTGTGTCATATTCCATGTATCCATATATATCACGATCTGTTTCTGGGCTCTCCTCTGTTCCATTGGCTTGTTTAAATTATTATGGTTCTAAAATAAATCATAATGTGGGGTGGAGGTAATTTCCCCACTTACTTTATATTTTGTGTTTGTTTGCATAGATATTATTCAAGTATCTCTGAGAATCCTAAACACAATTGTTGTAAGATTGTTTAAGGCTGTTCTAGAAGATTAATTTTATTGTGACTTAATTTTGTTGATTTCCTTAGCTGTCTTAGCATTAGATTTCTTCGTGTGCTTTAGAATGGTGGTTTGTAAGGTTATTTTTAACAGAAAGGTCATTATCTCTCTATTTCACCATCTTCTTCTTGTCTTACTCAAGCCCTTCCTCTGCTCATTGTTAGTGTTATAGTTACTTCCTCTGGTCTATGGTCTAGAATCCAGTTTTACCTTGACAGTTCAAGGCTCTTGCATTGCTGTATTGGGTGATAGCAAAGCATTGCTTATTTCGTTTTTCATGAGGTTTGTTTACTTCTGACACCCTTTATACATAACTTCATGTTAAATTCTAGGCAGTGGTTGGCAGTAAGTTTTTTCTGCCTCCTTCAAAATTGGGGATTCACTCTGTTACTGGTTTTAAGCGTTGAGCTTGGTAACAGTCTCCCATCCTTACATGACAATTTTCAGTTCTCTTTATTCTTCATCTGCCTCTGCCAGGTTTTACATCTTTTGCATGGCCACCTGTCTTTCTCAATCTGACTAAATGCTTTGAGTCTGGTTAAAATTTTTCTCTTTTTTATGTTATTGCTAGTATTTCTTGTCCTCCCCCATCCTCAATGTTTTTATCTAGTCAGCCTTTATCAGAAGTATAAATCCTTTTTTCTTTTTATTGGAAATCTAAAAGCTTCAAAGATTACTTTTTTTATTATACTTTAAGTTTTAGGGTACACGTGCACAACGTGCAGGTTTGTTACATATGTATACATGTGCCATGTTGGTGTGCTGCACCCATTAACTCGTCATTTAACATTAGGTATATCTCCAAATGCTATCCCTCCCCCCTCCCCCAACCCCACAACAGGCCCCCACCCCACAACAGGCCCCCACCCCACAACAGGCCCCGGTGTGTGATGTTCCGCGTCGTATGTCCATGTGTTCTCATTGTTCAATTCCCACCTATGAGTGAGAACATGCAGTGTTTGGTTTTTTGTCCTTGCGATAGTTTGCTGAGTATGATGGTTTCCAACTTCATCCATGTCCCTACAAAGGACATTAACTCATCATTTTTTATGGCTGCATAGTATTCCATCGTGTATATGTGCCACATTTTCTTAATCCAGTCTATAATTGTTGGACATTTGGGTTGGTTCCAAGTCTTTGCTGTTGTGAATAGTGCCTCAATAAACATACATGGGCATGTGTCTTTATAGCAGCATGATTTATAATCCTTTGAGTATATACCCAGTAATGGGATGGCTGGGTCAAATGGTATTTCTAGTTCTAGATCCCTGAGGAATCGCCACACTGACTTCTACAGTGGTTGAACTAGTTTATAGTCCCACCAACAGTGTAAAAGTGTTCCTGTTTCTCCACATCCTCTCCAGCACCTGTTGTTTCCTGACTTTTTAATGAGTGCCATTCTAACTGGTATGAGATGGTATCTCATTGTGGTTTTGATTTGCATTTCTCTGATGGCCAGTGATGATGAGTATGTTTTCATGTGTCTTTTGGCTGCATAAATGTCTTCTTTTGATAAGTGTCTGTTCATATCCTTTGCCCACTTTTTGATGGAGTTGTTTGTTATTTTCTTGTAAATTTGTCTGAGTTCATTGTAGATTCTGGATATTAGCCCTTTGTCCGATGAGTAAATTGCAAAAATTTTCTCCCATTCTGTAGGATGCCTGTTCACTCTGATGGTGGTTTCTTTTGCTGTGCAGAAGCTCTTTAGTTTAATTACATCCCATTTGTCCATTTTGGCTTTTGTTGCCATTGCTTTTGGTGTTTTAGACGTGAAGTCCTTGCCCATGCCTGTGTCCTGAATGGTATTGCCTAGGTTTTCTTCTAGGGTTTTTATGGTTTTAGGTCTAACATTTAAGTCTTTAATCATCTTGAATTAATTTTTGTATAAGGTGTAAGGAAGGGATCCAGTTTCAGCTTTCTACATATGGCTAGCCAGTTTTCTCAGCACCATTTATTAAATAGGGAATCGTTTCCCCATTTCTTGTTTTTGTCAGGTTTGTCAAAGATCAGATGATTGTAGATATGTGGCATTATTTCTGAGGGCTCTGTTCTGTTCCATTGATCTACATCTCTGTTTTGGTACCAGTACCATGCTGTTTTGCTTACTGTAGCCTTGTAGTATACTTTGAAGTCAGGTAGCCTGATGCCTCCAGCTTTGTTCTTTTTGCTTAGGATTGACTTGGCAATGCGGGCTCTTTTTTGGTTCCATATGAACTTTAAAGTAGTTTTTTCCAATTCTGTGAAGAAAGTCATCAGTAGCTTGATGGGAATGGCATTGAATCTATAAATTACCTTGGGCAGTATGGCCATTTTCATGATATTGATTCTTCCTACCCATGAGCATGGAATGTTCTTCCATTTGTTTGTATCCTCTTTTATTTCACTGAGCAGTGGTTTGTAGTTCTCCTTGAAGAGCTCCTTCACATCCCTTGTAAGTTGGATTCCTAGGTATTTTATTCCTTTGAAGCAATTGTGAATGGGAGTTCACTCATGATTTGGCTCTCTGTTTGTTATTGGTGTATAGGAATGCTTGTGATTTTTGCACATTGATTTTGTATCCTGAGACTTTGCTGAAGTTGCCTATCAGCTTAAGGAGATTTTGGGTGAGACGATGGGGTTTTCTAGATATACAATCATGTCATCTGCAAACAGGGACAATTTGACTTCCCCTTTTCCTAATTGAATACCCTTTATTTCCTTCTCCTGCCTGATTGCCCTGGCCAGAACTTCCAACACTATGTTGAATAGGAGTGGTGAGAGAGGGCATCCCTGTCTTGTGCCAGTTTTCAAAGGGAATGCTTCCAGTTTTTGCCCATTCAATATGATGTTGGCTGTGGGTTTGTCATAGATAGCTCTTATTATTTTGAGATATGTCCCATCGATACATAATTTATTGAGAGTTTTTAGCATGAAGCGTTGTTGAATTTTGTCAAAGGCCTTTTCTGCATCTATTGAGATAATCATATGGTTTTTGTCGTTGGTTCTGTTTACGTGATGGATTACGTTTATTGATTTGCGTATGTTGAACCAGCCTTGCATCCCAGGGATGAAGCCAACTTCATCTTGGTGGATAAGCTTTTTGATGTGCTGCTGGATTCGGTTTGCCAGTATTTTATTGAGGATTTTTGCATAGATGTTCATCAGGGATATTGGTCTAAAATTGTCTTTTTGTATTGTGTCTCTGCCAGACTTTGGTATCAGGATGATGCTGGCCTCATAAAATGAGTTAGGGAGGGTTCCCTCTTTTTCTATTGATTGGAATAGTTTCAGAAGGAATGGTACCAACTCCTCCTTGTACCTCTGGTAGAATTCGGCCGTGAATCCATCTGGTCCTGGACTTTTTTTGGTTGGTAAGCTATTAATTATTGCCTCAATTTCAGAGCCTGTTATTGGTCTATTCAGAGATTCAACTTCTTCCTGGGTTAGTCTTGGGAGGGTGTGTCGAGGAATTTATCCATTTCTTCTAGATTTTCTAGTTTATTTGCGCAGAGGTGTTTGTAGTATTCTCTGATGATAGTTTGTATTTCTGTGGGATTGGTGGTGATATCCCCTTTATCATATTTTATTGCGTCTATTTGATTCTTCTCTCTTTTCTTCTTTATTACTCTTGCTAGCAGTCTATCAATTTTGTTGATCTTTTCAAAACACCAGCTCCTGGATTCTTTAATTTTTTGAAGGGTTTTTTGTGTCTCTGTTTCCTTCAGTTCTGCTCTGATTTTAGTTATTTCTTGCCTTCTGCTAGCTTTTGAATGTGTTTGCTCTTGCTTCTCTAGTTCTTTTAATTGTGATGTTAGGGTGTCAATTTTAGATCTTTCCTGCTTTCTCTTGTGGGCATTTAGCGCTATAATTTTCCCTCTACACACTGCTTTGAATGTGTCCCAGAGATTCTGGTATGTTGTGTCTTTGTTCTCATTGGTTTCAAAGAACATCTTTATTTCTGCCTTCATTTTGTTATGTAGCCAGTAGTCATTCAGGAGCAGGTTGTTCAGTTTCCATGTAGTTGAGTGGCTTTGAGTGAGTTTCTGAATCCTGAGTTCTAGTTTGACTGCACTGTGGTCTGAGAGACAGTTTGTTATAATTACTGTTCTTTTACATTTGCTGAGGAGTGCTTTACTTCCGACTATGTGATCAATTTTGGAATAAGTGCGGCGTGGTGCTGAGAAGAATGTATATTCTGTTGATTTGGGGTGGAGAGTTCTGTAGATGTCTATTAGGTCTGCTTGGTGCAGAGTTGAGTTCAATTCCTGGATATCCTTGTTAATTTCTGTCTCGTTGATCTGTGTGATGTTGACAGTGGGGTGTTAACATCTCCCATTATTATTGTATGGGAGTCTAAGTCTCTTTGTAGGTCTCTAAGGACTTGCTTTATGAATCTGGGTGCTCCTTTATTGGGTGCATATATATTTAGGATAGTTAGCTCTTGTCGTTGAATTGATCCCTTTACCATTATGTAATGGCCTTCTTTGTCTCTTTTGATCTTTGTTGGTTTAAGGTCTGTTTTATCAGAGACTAGGATTGCAACCCCTGCCTTTTTTTGTTTTCCATTTGCTTGGTAGATCTTCCTCCATCCCTTTATTTTGAGCCTATGTGTGTCTCTGCACATGAGATGGGTTTCCTGAATACAGCACACTTAATGGTTCTTGACTCTTTATCCGATTTGCCAGTCTGTGTCTTTTAAGTGGAGCATTTAGCCCATTTACATTTAAGGTTAATATTGTTATGTGTGAATTTGATCCTGTCAGTATGATGTTAGCTGATTATTTTGTTAGTTGATGGATTTTCTTCCTAGCATCGATGGTGTTTACAGTCTGGCATGTTTTTGCAGTGTGTAGTACTGGTTTTTCCTTTCCATGTTTAGTGCTTCCTTCAGGAGCTCTTTTAGGGCAGGCCTGGTGGTGACAAAATCTCTCAGCATTTGCTTGTCTGTAAAGGATTTTATTCTCCTTCACTTGTCAAGCTTAATTTGGCTGGATATGAAATTCTGGGTTGAAAATTATTTTCTTTAAGAACGTTGAATATTGGCCCCACTTTCTTCTGGCTTGTTGATTTCTGCCGAGAGATCAGCTGTTAGTCTGATGGGCTTCACTTTGTGGGTAACCCGACCTTTCTTTCTGGCTGCCCTTAACATTTTTTCCTTCATTTCAACTTTGGTGAATGTGACAATTATGTGTCTTGGAGCAACAATTATGTTGCTCTTCTCGAGGAGTATCTTTGTTGCGTTTTCTGTATTTCCTGAATTTGAATGTTGGCCTGCCTTGCTAGATTGGGGAAGTTCTCCTGTATAATATCCTGCAGAGTGTTTTCCAACTTGTTTCCATTCTCCCTGTCACTTTCAGATACACCAGTGAGACATAGATTTGGTTTTTTCACATAGTCCCATATTTCTTGGAGGCTTTGTTCATTTCTTTTTATTCTTTTTTCTCTAAACTTCTCTTCTGGCTTCATTTCATTCATTTGATCTCCCATCACTGATACCCTTTCTTCCAATTGATTGAATCGGCTACTGAGGCTTGTGCATTCATGATGTAGTTCTTGTGCCTTGGTTTTCAGCTCCATCAGATCCTTTAAGGACTTCTTTGCATTGATTATTCTAGTTAGTCATTCGTCTAATTTTTTTTCAAGGTTTGTAACTTCTGTGCCATTGGTTCGAACTTCCTCCTTTAGCTCAGAGTAGTTTGATCGTCTGAAGCCTTCTTCTCTCAAATCGTCAAAGTCATTGTCCGTCCAGCTTTGTTCCATTGCTGGTGAGGAGCTGCGTTCCTTTGGAGGAGGAGAGGTGCTCTGATTTTTAGAGTTTCCAGTTTTTCTGTTGTGTTTTATCCCCATCTTTGTGGTTTTATCTACCTTTGGTCTTTGATGATGGTGATGTACAGATGGGGTTTTGGTGTGGATGTTCTTTCTGTTTGTTAGTTTTCCTTCTAACAGTCAGGACCCTCAGCTGCAGGTCTGTTGGTTTGCTGGAGGTCCACTCCAGACCCTGTTTGCCTGGGTATCAGCAGCGGAGGCTGCAGAACAGTGGATATTGGTGAACAGCAAATGTTGCTGCCTGATTGTTCCTCTGGAAGCTTTGTCTCAGAGGAGTACCGGGCTGTGTGAGGTGTCAGTCTGCCCCTGCTGGGGGGTGCCTCCCAGTTAGGCTACTCGGGGGTCAGGGATCCACTTGAGGAGGCAGTCTGTCGGTTCTCAGATCTGCAGCTGTGTGCTGGGAGAACCACTACTCTCTTCAAAGCTGTCAGACAGGGACATTTAAGTCTGCAGAGGATTCTGCTACCTTTGTTTGGCTATGCCCTGCCCGCAGAGGTGGAGTCTACAGAGGCAGGCAGGCCTCCTTGAGCTGTGGTGGGCTCCACCCAGTTTGAGCTTCCAGGCCGCTTTGTTTACCTACTCATGCCTCAGCAATGGCGGGCGCCCCCTCCCCCAGCCTCGCTGCCCCCTTGCAGTTTGATCTCAGACTGCTGTGCTAGCAATCAGCGAGGCTCTGTGGGCGTAGGACCCACCCAGCCATGTGCGGGATTTAATCTCCTGGTGTGCCGTTTGCTAAGACCGTTGGAAAAGCACAGTATTAGGGTGGGAGTGACCTGATTTTCCAGGTGCCGTCTGTCACCCCTTTCTTTGACTAGGAAAGGGAATTCCCTGACCCCTTGCACTTCCAGGGTGAGGCAGTGCCTCACCCTGCTTCGGCCCACGCTTGGTACGCTGCACCCACTGTCCTGCATCTACTTTCTGACACTCCCCAGTGAGATGAACCCGGTACCTCAGTTGGAAATGCAGAAATCACCTGTCTTCTGCATCGCTCATGTTGGGAGCTGTAGACTGGCGTTGTTCCTATTCAGCCATCTTGGCTCCACCCACTGTTTTTTTGTTTTTTTTTTTTTTTATAGACTGGGTCTGTTTATGTAGCCCAGCCTGGCTGCCAATTCTTTGGTTCAAGCAGTTCTCCACCCTCAGCCTCCTGAGTAGCTGGGATTATAGGAATATGCTACAAAGCCCTGTTTCAAGTATAACTTGTATTTTAAATGAGTCCTAAGTCTTTATATAACTGATCTCTTTCAGTCTCTTCTAGTACACATTCAGCTTTCCTGTGCACATATATAATTGTATGTCATGCCTTTACTAGAAATACCACCTATCAAAAATTGAATTTATTAGGCTGGGCGCAGTGGCTCATGTCGGTAAACCCAGCACTTTGGGAGGCCGAAGCAGGTAGATCAGTTAAGGTCAGGAGTTCGAGACCAGCCTGGCCAATATGGTGAAACCCCATCTCTACTGAAAATACAAAAATTAGCTGGGCGTGGTGGCATGCACGTGTAATCCCAGCTACTCGGGAGGTTGAGGCAGGAGAATTGCTTGAACCCCCGAGGCAGAGGTTGCAGTGAGCCGAGATTGCGCCACTGTACTCCAGACTGAGTGACAGAGTGAGACCCTGTCTCAAAAAAAAAAAAAAAAAAAATTGAATTTACCATTTAACCTTAAATATCAGATCTTAAAAAAAAAATCAATTGGTAATTTCCTGGGTAGTGTAGAGCTTAGAGATTAGTGTTGTCTTATATGACTCATGGTCAGGCATCTGTTTTTCTGTTCTGAAATTTGCAGATCTCATTAGCATCATTTTGCAATGTTAGAGCAGACATAAAAGTTAGATTATATTCTTCTTTCTTAGGAGACTGAGAAGATAATAGTGTCATTAACTGAATTAGGGAATAAAGGACAGAGGATTTTGGGGGAAACAATGGGAGAAGGGGAAAAAGGAGCTGAATCAGTTGCAGAGTTATGAGTTTTGTTTTAGACGTGTTCAATTTGAGGTGCTCACATAAAAAAATTTTTTCTCAGTGCTACTTCCCTCATTATTTAATTTCTAAACTTTTATAATAATCTATTGCTAATGTTTCTGCTTTTGCTCTTGGCCAAATACTCAGAAGAGTCTTCTTCCTAAATGAAATACTTCATCTTTTTATTCTCCCATTCATAAGTTTAATTGGCTTGTTTAATATATAGAATAAAGTTTAAATTTCTTGGACTAATAGGCCCTCTGCCATTTGCCCTAGTTTCTTTTTACAGCTTGATATTTCACTGCTCTCTATTTAACCTAAATTGGGCTATCCATTATCATTTCAGTAAGGCATGTTACCTTGCCTTGTTCAACTTTTCCTTTTTCATTCCTGCAGGTACAGTCTTTTCAAATCTCTTGTTCTTTGTGATGTTTTCCTGACTACTCAATCTCACTCTGATTTTTCTTTTCTCAGGATAAGGAAAGGTTAGGTTGGATAGGTTAGGAAAGGATAGGTTGTTAATTTAGTATTATATTTTTCAGTTCCCTTTTTCTCATAGGGAGGCAGTAGGGCAAAGTGGTTAGTATTGGGCATTTAATAGCTGTGTGATTTTGAAGCATTTAATCTCTTTATGCCTTCGTTTCTTCATCTATAAAATGAGGATATTCTTGCATTCATAGAGTCGATTAGGAGGATTGAGATATGAACATAATGTCTTTAGCAGTATGTGACATATTGAAAGTGTTACAATGTTTTTTCTGTTTGTCTCTTTTTCATCCATCCCTGCCTTCCTTCCTTCTGTTTGTAAACCAAAAAGCATTTGAGACAAGTCTCAATTTAGAAGTTTATTTTGCCAAGGTTAAGGACAAGCCTCAGGACGTCCTGATGACGTGTGCCCAAGGTGGTCAGGCTACACCTTGGTTTTGTGCATTTTATGGAGACATAAGACATCAATCAATATATATCAAATGTACATTGGTTTGGTCTGGAAAAGCAGGACAACGTTAGGAGGAAGGGGCTTCCAAGTAATAGGTGGAATCAAAGATTTGCAGTTGGTTGAAAGAATTTATCTAAAGACCTGGAATCCATAGAAGGGAGTGTCTGAGTTCAGATAAGGGATTGTGGAGAACAAAGTTCTTATTATGCAGATGAAGTTTCCAGGTAGCAGGCTTCAGAAAGAATAGATTGTAAATGTTTCTTAATCACACTTAAAAAGGTGCCAGACTCTTAGTTAATTCTCTCCTGTATCAGAGAAAAGACCACCAGGAAAGGGAAAGGGATTCTCTACAGAATATAGATTTTCCCCACAAGAGACAGCTTTATAGGGCCATTTCAAAATATGTATAAGGGTTATACTTTGATTTCTTTCAGGGCCTGTGATCTGTCATGTGATGCAATACTAGAGTCAGGGTAGAATTTGGTGTCTTATTGCTACAAAAAGTCTTAAGATTTCTGTTTTAATGTTAATACTGGTCAGTTGTGCCTGAATTTCAAGGAGAGGCGGGTATAATGAGGCATGTCTGACCTCCCACTCCCATCATAGCCTGAAGTAGTTTTTCAGGTTAAGTTTGGAATGCCTATGGCTTGAGCGGAGGGGTCCATTCAGATAGTTTTGGGGGCTAAGGATTTTATTTTTAGTTTATGCCTACTCTCCACTTTTCTTAAGAGAAGCTCTACTTTTCTTATCCTTGAAATACTTGCTGCCTAGTAACTGCTATTTCTTTGTGACATGTATAATCATAAACTTTTTTTTTTTTTTTTTTCACACAGAGTCTCTCTCTGTCACCCAGGCAGGAGTGCAGTGGTGCGATCTTGGCTCACTGCAACCTCTACTTCCCTGGTTCAAGTGATTCCCCTGCCTCAGCCTCCTGAGTAGCTGGGATTACAGGTGCAAAGCACCACGCCCAGCTAATTTTTTTGAAGTTTTAGAAGGGACAGGGTTACACCATGTTGGCCACACTGGTCTCGAACTCCTAACCTCAGGCAATCCACCTGCTTCCCAAAGTGCTGGGATTATAGGTGTGAGCCACCATGCCTGGCCTGATTAACTCTTAAATTACTAACTTTTTAGTGTTTACATAGGTTTTGTTATTTGAGTAAATAGGTAAAATACTTAGATAAAGGTATCAATTTTACTACTTTTTTTAAATTTTTTTTTCCTGAAGGTGCCTAACACATACTTTTCTTTGCTCAGACATCTTTTGCTGAGGGAAGTTATATACAAGAAAACAAAGTGCAGTTAAATTAATCTGTTCAATAACCCAGTTCCCCCCAGTGAATTTGGTAAAAATTAGATGGTAGAATGTGGTTTAGACCAGAGTAGTTCTGTATTTACTTTTTTTTTCTTCCTCCCTGAATTTCTGCCTATTTCACCTTCTAAATCTTAGAGTGGATCTCACAGTTTCAATTCTGTGGTTTAAAAAAAGTGGGAGAGGGAGGTGGCAATCGGATACACACCCACATACCCACCAATATGAAGGAAAGGAATGTCATAGGTAGCAATAAAGAACAAATTTTTCATAACATGTTTTGCAATTTCTCTGATATATGTTCTGGCATAGTTTAATAGTTTGATTATTCTGTGGCTGGGGCAGTATCATGGGTCGGGGGCTATGTGGGTGAAAAGAAGGCAGAGGAGAGATGGCTAATGGTTGAGTCATCTGGGAAAATGACTCTGGTCCTTTTACTGAGTAGCATGGGTCTCAGAGATTAGAAGAGCAGAGATTAGAAAAGCACATAGAAGTGTTCACAGTGAATATGGTGATCTCTTTTATTGTTAAAATGTGGCCCAATGAATGTTCAGCTTTTGGTCATTAAGGTTAGTTATATCTTCCTTTGAGATGATCAAATGAAAAGAATACAAGGGAGGGTCATTTCTTTTTCCTTTTTCCAGCCTGTCATAACCCCTTTTTTCCACCCTTGATAGAAGATGGAAACAGCCTCCCTTGTGGACTAAAGTTGATGTGTGAAGAGATTGGTGCTATATATTCCTCTTTATTTAAGCATGCTTGATATATATATTTTTTATGACTAAAGTTAAGGTTTTAAATATTGCTGTTAAGGTAGAGTTGAGTCAGATTTCTATTTTTACCATGAAAGTTAGTGAATGTGTTTTCCCTGGCTCTCTCTTGTGCTCTCCAAGTGTACCTCTGAGTAAATGACTTTATTTAGCTTTCTGTCTTTGAAGTGTGCAGTATTACTCTCAGAGATTCTTTATTGCATCTGGCTGTTGTCATTGTACTTGCTACTGGAGAGGATAGAGGTGAATGTTCCTAAAAGCCTTGTAGCAGTTCATTTCTAAGCCCCTTTGGTGACCAGAGCTGACAGGTGAGTCTTAGTTCTTTTCTGCTTGCGAAGTTTGGTGCCACAGGGTTGAAGAGCATAAAGTACATCACCTCTTAGTTTCACTGTCCACTTTCTCCTTCTTCAGCTCTTTCCTGCATCTTAACCTCTTGCTCTGTAGTTTTAGACAAGGACTTCAATGATGTAGTCACTTGTTTTCAGTTTTATTCTAAATGTTATTCACACTATTGTGAATCTGGGAGTTGATGGTTTTCTAGTTTTAGTTGACAAACCCTGTGAGGGACAGGGAGAAAAGTGAGTAACATGAACTCATGATCTGTCAGTATGAAAGTAATGGATCTGTTTACGTGCAGTGTTTGCCACACATTTTTCCTCTGTTAGGAACTTTTGTAAGGAAATGACATTCTTGCTTGTTTCATGAGGAGCAAATGGCAGTATTTTCAGAAATAGCTATGTGGTCCCCAAGAGAAAACATTCTTTGGCCATGAAATATACTTACCAGACATTTTGGAAAATTGCAACCTAAATAAGATATGACTGTAATGCTTTTGGTGTTAAAGATTATCTTAAAATATTTTAGCTGGTATTTTTGAGAACAGAGTTTCTTTTATTAGTAATTAAGGGCTTTCAATGAACGAAAACTGTGTAATGGTCCACAGTGATGCCTACTGGTTAAAAGCAGATGATGAATTCAAAACTAATGGAAGTAATTTCAGTCTTAATAGTAAATATTATAATTATTCTTATTTTGCTTTATTTTTATTTATTTAATTTGATTGGGGCATGATTTGAATGGAAACTCACTTTTATTTGATACAACTAAAATGTAATTGAAATGAAAGCAAGTTCAAATCATTGAAAGGATTAATTTCTAATTATAGTATATACATTGTCAAAGTTTCCTAACCATAATTAAGAAAGAAGTGTTTACATGTTTGGTAATGTTTGGTTTATAGTATATATTCCTATGAGTACCATGATTAATGCTCATTTTTTAAGCACACCAAAATTTCAAGTTTTTAAAATAAATTTTGTTTAGGCAAATAAAGTTATTTAGTTTGTTTTTCTTTTGAATAATAAATACATGTAGTTTGCAGGGAAGCTTTACTCACTTTTTTTTTTTCAGTGCTATCATTATTTAATTGCTATGTATTATATACATTTTGTATACTTTGGTATATTTTATATTGGTAAAATCAATGGCACCACAAATTAAATATGTCAAGCACTTATTTTTAAAATTACACTGAATGACTCCTAAAGATGTCTATACAAATAATATTATAAATTTTATGATGTAGAGAGATAATTAAATCAATCAAATACAGTATCTTTAATTAAGACAACAGGAAAACCCCAAAGAGGATTTGGTTACTGGAAAGAACAGCACTTGAAAAAGAACAGCCTCATTAAGAAATGTGAAAGTTATGAAGAGTTAAATACAAAAGTGGACAAACATATCTCACTTAGAGTTCTTTACACTGCATACTCTGGGAGTCTATGCTATTCAAAGCACCTCAAATTTGGAAATTTTTTTTTTTAAATTTTTTTTATTTATTTATTATTATTATACTTTAAGTTTTAGGGTACATGTGCACAATGTGCAGTTTAGTTACATATGTATACATGTGCCATGCTGGTGCGCTGCACCCACTAACTTGTCATCTAGCATTAGGTATATTTCCCAGTGCTATACCTCCCCCCTCCCCCCACCTCACAACAGTCCCCAGAGTGCGATGTTCCCCTTCCTGTGTCCATGTGTTCTCATTGTTCAATTCCCACCTATGAGTGAGAATATGCGGTGTTTGGTTTTCTGGTCTTGTGATAGTTTACTGAGAATGATGATTTCCAATTTCATCCATGTCCCTACAAAGGACATGAACTCATCGTTTTTTATGGCTGCATAGTATTCCATGGTGTATATGTGCCACATTTTCTTAATCCAGTCTATCATTGTTGGACATTTGGGTTGAGAGAATACTACAAACACCTCTACACAAATAAACTAGAAAATCTAGAAGAAATGGATAAATTCCTCGACACAGACACTCTCCCAAGACTAAACCAGGAAGAAGTCGAATCTCTGAATAGACCTTTACTCACTTTTTTTTAACAAAAATTTGAAAACTCATCGTTTTCATTTAATCCCATTTTGCTGCTAATAATTTTTAAAAAATAGAGTAAAAATAACTTGTTCTTTCTTTTGCTTTAAAATGTTTGTCATCTCACATATGCCAGATTTATTGGACTGCAGTAGTTTTAGTGCATTTTGGCTGGAATGTTTATTATGACATCACCATAATCTATATACAGTATGTGATTTCAGATGGTTTCAGTGTTAAATATTTTCATAATTATGCTAGTTTTGGCAGTTCACTTGGAACTTTTTCACATCTTTTTAATGAACATGTTTTACTTCTGGGCTTCTGAGACAACCATATGTTTCAAAAATTAATAATGTGCTTTTAATGTTAATGTTGTGCAGAAGTGTATGACTATGGACATTTTTAAGGATTTAAGTTGAACTAAAAGTAATTACAGTGAGGCTTTATTCACAGTAGTAGTCTTTTAGTATTTAAGACTGTAACATCCCCCAAATAACAGAAGATGTCTTTATGAATATTGAATAGTGAAGTTATTTTGTGGAATGAAACCTGTGATGTTTGTTTTTCATTAACTTAAAATGAACATAAGTTCATGAGAAAATTTTCAGTGTTGTTTATGGTTGCAAGTCTTTTTGCTTGTATGAAGTTTCAAACAAATTTTTTTCTAACGTATCACTACCATCTGAAGCCATGCTGTTTTGTAAAACACCTTTTATTGTATATTTCTCTTAGTGTGATAGTGAATAAAAGTTTTCTTAAAGAGGTCTTATTGTCGTTCTTATTTGCCTCTAGTACCCTGTTAGTTTGGTAAACTAGTGATGATTATTCTTTTATATGCTCTTGAAATTTTCCCTTCAAATATATAAAGTAGAAAAACTAAATTTAATACCATTCTTGTAAGTATTATAAAATAGTGTTATTATTGATTAATGAATTCATGGTGCGCAATGCACTCTCAGCTACCCTTTGTGTTGGTATCTTTGATCTCTCACTCCACATGTGCATCTTTACTTCAAGCAAAAATGTATTCTTTTATCCTTAAAAAAGGAACAAGAAGTTAGTTGCCAGCTGATCTTCCCTCATGTTACTACTCTACCTATTTTCTCTTCGTAATGCCTATCTTCGTGAAAGAGCAATTTATTTTAATTGACTCCATGGTAACTTCTCATTCACTCTGAGCTACTCATTTACTGCTCCCACTTCTCTCCCTCTGTGGGAACTGCTAAATCACCTTTCTAATAGGTTAGTGGCAGCCTCCTCCTAATTACCAAATCCTGAAACAGGTCAACTAGAATGAGGACTAAGAATATCTCTATAGTTGTTAACATTACCCCATTTTTATTGAAAGGTCTGTGCCTTTAACTTCTTCCATCTTAGACACTGTATACTCTGGCCTTATTTGACTAATCATCATTCTTTGTACGTGCTACATACGTTGATACTGTTTTGCTTTTGCTTATGGTTCCTCCCACCACCCCTCATTTAGCCCCAGTCTAAACCTAAAACATTTCTACATTTGATTTTGAATGGCCTGATCTTTCTAGTTCTTCCAAACAGAATGACTCTTTTTATACTCCTTATTACTTAAAAACAAACAAACAAACAAAAAGTATTGCTTTTGTAGAATTAGTTATACATGTGTTCGATAGATTCTGAAGTCCCTAAGGACAGGATACAAAGATAAATATATCTAATTTATCCTTGTAAATCCAGCAATTTGGCATGTAAGAGTATTATATACATGTTGAATCAGGACAGGAAAAAAGTACTCATTTGCAGTTATAAATACAGGGATAAATTTCAAAAATATGTATAATTTATTTGTTTCTGTTACTCATATTGAAACCCAGTTAAAACTTATACCTAACATGAATGATAATTTAGTATACATTGTTTAGTATACATTGTTTAGGAGAGGATTATAAGGATTATTAAGATTAATCATTAAAGATGACCAAGATAGCTTGGATTGAAAATAGTGTTTTAACATATAAACAACAAATGGGGAAAAATTAAGAACCTTTTTATTTATTTTGCACTTACATAGAGATGGATGTTGTTTAAAGGCTTTCATTAAGTCATTTTTTCTTTTGCTAGAGCCATAAATAAGAATTCTTTGGAGATTGTCAAGTAGTTTGTTTTGATATCAGCTAAAGAAAGAAGAATTTATAGTTTTAAACTATGAGTTATTAATATTTTTTAAATGCTGTTTGAGAATGCAAATTATGAAAATTGGTTATGTAGTTTTTAGAGCTAAAAAATAAAATTATGTTGATCTTATCTCCTGTAGCTACCATAAACTGCATATATTAAAAAATTTTTTTTCTTAATTCTTGAGTATGATCGATGGTTTTCTTTTTCTTTCTTTAAAATAAAAATAGGATGACCATGAAAGCTGTGGTTCTAATTCTACCAACCGTAGTACTGCTGAGAGCACAAAATCATCAATCAAACCGCGGAGAATGCAGCAGGCTGCTCCTACAGATCCTGACTTACCACCAGGTAACTTCTAATGGGATCAATAAAACCAAATTTCAATTTTTGGCCGGGCATGGTGGCTCATGCCTGTAATCCCAGTGCTTTGGGGGGCTGAGGCGGGTGGATTACTTGAGGTCAGGAGTTTGAGACCAGCCTGGCCAACATGGTGAAGCCATGTCTCTGCTAAAAATACAAAAATTAGCCGGGTGTGGTGGTGTGCACCTGTAATCTCAGCTACTCGGGAGGCTGAGGCAGGAGAATCACTTGAACCTGGGAGGTGGGGGTTACAGTGAGCCAAGATCATGCTACTGCATTCCAGCCTGGGTGACAGAGTGATACTCTGTCTCAAAAAAAAAAAAAAAAAATTGATCATTGTTTTAGTACTTTGTAGAATATATATTTTTAGTATCATAAAACTTTTAAGCTATATGTGCATATGTACTTGCTACATGACTTCAGAACAAATTGGGTCCTGGGATTACAGGTGTAAACCACTGTACCAAGCCCAAGGTACTTTTATCTTGAGACTCTGGTATCTTTTAGGCCAGACTTTGGATTCTGCTGCTTTCAGCCTTTTCAAGAGGAAAGAGTCTGGAGAAGACCTATCTGCTTCTTAATATCCCCAGGCTGGAAGTGATACATATTCCTCTGATCAAATTTCATTGAGGAGAACTATTTGCAGGGATATTACTTATGACTTAGAAGTTAAATCTCAGTAGCAATTCCACATTCCTGAAGTGGGAGCACAAATTATTGATGGATAGCTAGCTTCTCTGCCATACAGGTGTTCTTTCTTATTAATGTATCAATCCATTCTTAAATGGATTATGCTTCAAAGTATTATTTTGTTAATAACCTTCAAGATAGCTGATGTTTATATTTTATTACAGAAAACGTGATCATTAGAGAGCCTTTATTTCATTTTAATTTGACTGAATTTCAAATTATTGTTTAGTGGAGACAGGCTGTTTATTTCCCTAAATGTGTATCACTATTTGAATAATATGCTAGAGCAGCTCATTGAGGGCTATTTTTGCCCTCAAAGAGTTAACTGTTTAGGATAGGAGCCTTTTAAACTATCAATCACAGTACAAAGCCAAAGGAAGATGAGCTCTAATGAACCACAAGTAATATCTTTTGGGCACTAAAAGGAGGGAGTTGTCATGTCCAGGTGTGTGTGGCTTCTGAACACACACATGAAACAGAGGCAAGACAGATCAAAAATGAAAGTATGGGAGATAATATAAGAGACAAATAGTAGCCAAAAATAAATCTGTATCTTTCATATAAAAATGAGGCAAAAATAAGAAAACTAAAGACAAAAAACATTAATGGAGATAGGTAATAAAGATACTAAATTATAATAAAATATATAGTTCTCCAGAAGATACACATTGACTTTGTATGGACCTAACAATGTGACTTTGAAATGTCATAAATCAAGCAGGGAAAAAAAATCTCCAGATTAGTTCACTGGATATCAAAATTTTGTTTTAGTAGATACATGTAAACTCTGCACTAGGCACATAAGACAGTATACATTTCTTTTGATGCACACATTGAGTATCTACAGATATTAACAAAGACTTGGTTGAAAAGGAAGTCTTGAGAAATTTCAAAGCATCACTATCATGTATCTTTCTCTCTGACCACAATGTGATTAAATTAGATTATAATTATTGATGTGGTTGTATTTACTTCTGCCATTTCATTTGTTGTTTTTCTTTGTTCACTCTGTTTTTTGTTCCTGTTTCCCATCTCATGCCTACTATTTACTTTTTAAGAGCCCTGAAGTAGCTGCTCCATACATTCTCTCCAGGTTTTATGGCTTCAGTCACTGGGAAAGACAGGGTGGAGTGTTTACTTTATCTTATCCAGAACTGAAACCGGTTAACATTGTGGTGTACAACCTTTTAGAGAGTCTTTTCTTCCTTTACACACACACACTCACACATATGCACACAAAAACAATTTGTTATAACCTAAATTTTTCATTTAATGTTATGCCAAAAACATGTTTCCAGGCCATTCACATTTTTTACGTTGTTATTTCAATCAGTGGCATACAATCCTGTTGTATAACTCTTCTACAGTTTATTTAACCAGTCCTTTTTTTGGTTTGATATTTAGGTTATTTGTTATTTTTAGTTTTGTAAAATGCTTTAGCAAACATATGTAGGTAAGTCTTTGCATACACCTCTGCTTATATCTTTAGGAAAACTCCTTTCCAATTTATAGAGTCAAAATTTGTGAGCACTTTTAAGGTTTTTGGCATAAAATGGCTAAATTACTCTGTGGAAAGTTTGTAACAATACTTTATTCCAATCACATTTTTAGTGTAATGCTGTTTTTTATTATTAAAAAAATCTCTTAAAACTTTTATAGGTGGAAAATGCTATCATACATTTTATTGCTAATTGGGATTTCCATCTTTACCATTTTCTTTTTATACTTTTTTGTTAGGAAAGCTAATTTTTATATTTTGTTAGCTGACCAGTATTCAGTATTTTTTAGTCGCTTCTTTTGGAGTTTCTATATAAAAAGTACTGTCATCTTTGTGAAATGACTTTTTTCCCTCCTTTGCAATACTTATACACTAATTTCTCTTTTTTCCCTTTATTTCATTGTCTAGAACTTCTGTGACCATCTTAAATAATATAGTATCACCAACTCACATCGGTTTTTTTAGCTCCTACAGTAATTGCCCAAAATTATTATCTAGTTATTAAATCTGATGTTTTTAATTCATATTTTATTGGGCCTGTCTATAACATTGACAGTAAAGATTTTTTATTCTTGCCCTTTTAACAAAGTTTTTATTTTGAAACAATTTCAGCATTTCATAAAAGACAAGAACATTCTAAAGAACTTATTTTCCCTTTAACCATTTGAGCATAAATTTCCTATCTGATGCTACATAATGCTCAAATAAATTTTACACCAAAAACTTGACTACGATGTTTTTATGTACTGTAACCAAGTCATCAACCGTGGCATTTCTGATTATGAGCAGCTTGGCTTCCCAGTGACCACATCAAGATGAATCAATTGCAGATGGTGTCTCTTTGTAACCAAAATTTTTTGATACATGCCATTTAAGACTATCAGAGAAATAAATAAGATACAGTCTTTTTTCTCTAGGACTTCACAGTTTATCAGAGAAGATAAGCATACATATACATAAAAAATGACTAATAGTAACATAAGCCCAAGAAAAGTGGTAGAGACATTTCTCTTTAATGTTGAGGTGTAGGATGGAGGACATTGGAGAAGACAATATAAGGCAGAGGAAAATTATACTGCACCTGAACAAGAAGTGCGAATGGACAAAAAGTATTGTAAAAAGGAGGAAGAACACGAGTAAAGTTAGTGAAAATTAGTGTTTTCATCTGGGCCTGTGGATATAGATGTATGTTTGGAAGAAGGGGTTATATGAGGTATGGGGAGAGGTAGATAATAAGAATTTCTGGAGAAAGGTTGACTAGTAGCAGGCTGTTTTAGAGCCATCTAATATTACATCTTGTAGGTTCTCATCCTTAGTGTGACTTTCTATTTTCAGATGCGTGTGGAGTAGACCCGGATGATGAACAAATATACTCCCAGGGAGTCTCTAAGTATGGAGTGATGAGAGCTATTAGATCTACTTGACACTATCTTGTACCTTGCTTAGAACTAAGTTACTGTGAGGGATTATAGAGACGGTTTGTCATTTATTCCACTGATAAGTTTCTGTTACTTATTTTGACATTGCATTTTTAGTAAGGAAACAGTGATAGTCTTCTACAGAAGTAGTTCTTTCGATATTTGATTCTTTTACTTTGGTGAAGTGGCTTATTCATCTCAATTTGTATGTCAGTTTTATAATACAAAATGGAAAGAAAAAAAAATATATATATTTTGAGACACGGTTTCACTCCTGTCACCCAGGCTGGAGTGTGATGGTGCAACTTTGGCTCACTGCAACCTCCGCCTCTGGTGCTCAAGCGATTCTCTTGCCTTAGCCTCCTGAGTAGCTGGGACTAAAGGCACATGCCACGACACCCAGTTAATTTTTGTATTTTTGTAGAGACGGGGTTTTACCATGTTGCCCAGGCTGATCTCGAACCCCTGAGCTCAAATGATCTGTCTGCTTCGGCCTCCCAAAGTGCTGGGATTATAGGTGTAAGCCACCATGCCCAGCCAGAAAATATTTTTAAAAAGATGAACAATCCATCAGTAGTGTTCTATCAGTTAAAATACATATTGTGTTTTGTTTCTATTACTTTGCATTATACTTCTATGCTATTTTTGATACTGTTTTAAAGATAATAAAAACTCATGAATGCTTACGTGGTTTTTAAGAGTACTGTATTGGCCAGGCATGGTGGCTCATGCCTGTAATCCCAGTACTTTGGGAGGCCAAGGAGGGCGGATCACGAGGTCAGGAGTTCGAGACCAGCCTGACCAACATGGTGAAACCCCATCTCTACTAAAAAAAATACAAAAATTAGCCTGACGTGGTGGCACGTGCCTGTAATCCTAGCTACTCAGGAGGTTGAGGCAGGAGAATCACTTGAACCCGGGAGGCGGAGGTTGTCGTGAGTTGAGATCATGCCATTGCACTCTAGCCTGGACGATAGAGAGAGACTAGTCTCAAAAAAAAAAAAAGTTCCCTGTTCATGACAGGTTTTTGAGAAATAGGGAAACCAATATTAGTCATGCTCACTTGACTTCTTGGAAACATTTTTATTTATTTATTTTTTAGATGGAGTCTTGCTCTGTCGCCCAGGCTGGAGTGCAGTGGCACGATCCCGGCTCACTGCAAGCTCCGCCTCCTGGGTTCACACCATCCTCCTGCTTCAGCCTCCTGAGTAGCTGGGACTACAGGTGCCTGCCACCACGCCCGGCTAATTTTTTTGTATTTTTAGTAGAGACAGGGTTTCACCGTGTCAGCCAGGATGGTCTCCATCTTTTGACCTTGTGATCTGCCTGCCTTGGCCTCCCAAAGTGCTGGGATTACAGGCGTGAGCCACCGTGCTTGGCCCCATTTTTGTTTTTAAAATCTGCATTGAGTAGTAATAATATGGGGTTATGTACATTCTAAGGTTAAAATGTTGATACTTACAATTTCTTTTGGAGGTCTCATTTATTAAGAATTATTTTAGCATCTACTCATGGAAGAGTAATTGTTACTTTAAATCTATTAATATTTTGAATGTTAATTTTATAGCATGTGATAATTGGCACTCTAAAAGCTGCTAATAGTTTCTATATAGGAGAAAACCTCGAATCTAAGTTGTATTACATTTCTTTCCTATTTGCATCATTGGGAATGAATGAAGGAGTTGGGTTTTGCACACGTTATGGTTGAATAGATTTAAGTAAGTCTTCTCTCAGCAGGCTTTAGTGTAGGTGTTAACAATGTCAGATGCTGACAGAAGTTGATTATGTTTTGTCCAGTAAAATTCTGGGTTAAAGAATACAACCATATGGTTATTTCATGAAATAGCTAAAATTTTAATTACCTTTTAAATAGTTTTCTTTAATAGTGGAAATGCATTACCTTTTAGTTAGCTTTTTACAGTGGAAAAGATTAATTTTTTTTTCTCCTGGCTTTTAAAATGCTTTTTATAAAGTGTTATTTATATTTTTAACTAAATTACTCAATAATGTATCCATGTACACACTTACATGAGAAACATAAGTGAGATTATGGAGTATTCCTCAGTAGCATGAAATTAAAAGAAAAATTTTGGAGATTCTAAGCAAGCCATGGAGAAATAGAATGTTCATTAATTACTTTTAGTGTTTGGAGTTAACCTGTATTTCTGTTTCTTTTTCCTATTTCCCTGTGTTCTTATTCTACTTTTATACATTCTCCTTCCTTCCATACTTTTGTTTTTTCATTTTTCTGTCTTCTTCATGGTAGTATTTTAAAAATATTTCTTTAACTCTTCCTGTCTACATTTTCTTCTTCATTCATATTTTCCCCTCTACTCTATTTTAACATTAAATATTAGTAAGTGAGTAGAGTTGAATCCATTATGATGGTCATGTTTCTTCTATCCGAGGCATAACTTTTAAATATTTTTATGGCTAAACTAGGAAGAGATGAAGGTAGCTGGTTTAAAAAGAGGCTTAAGCTTAAAGAAGACCATCTTCTAATATACTGTATAATCAGCATATAGTAACATTGCTTCATTTTGGAAAATGTTTATATAATACAATAAGCAAAAATCAAACAAAGTACTTGTAGAATAGGATAATCATTGTATGGGATCTAATATTATGTTATCAAAAATATATATGGTCTTTGTGGTTTCTCTTAGTATATGAATACTTCACTATAGAACTTCTTGATAATGACGTTTGTTGGGGTCGATCTGCTACTTATTACCTGTGTCACTTTGGCAAGCCTTTTAACCTATCTGAACTTCAGTTTCTCTTTGGGAAATATGCTAAATAATAACCACCTTTCTCATACATTAAGTTCAATAACACTTTAAGAAATAATTATTTACTGAGAGATTTGTGGCTAATTAAATTCTTTTTTTCTATTTTATAGGTTATGTGCAGAGTCTGATTAGACGAGTTGTAAATAATGTAAACATTGTGATAAATAATCTCATACTAAAATATGTTGAAGATGATATCGTCCTTTCCGTCAATATCACTTCTGCAGAATGTTATACAGTAGGTGAATTATGGGATCGTGCATTCATGGATATTTCTGGTGAGTAAATATGGAGAATACCGTATATTTTTCCATAATTGAAACAATTACCTTAACTCTTAACCCTTCTTTGGGCCAACTGAGTTGCTGGTAAATGTTATCAAATCTTCATGCCTCCAGTGTGGGAAAAAAATGCACATATACAAAATGTTGCATATAATTACAGGAGGTTAGTAGACACTCCAAATTCAGAAATCTATACTTGTGGTTTTTGTTTGTTTGTTTTTGAGACAGGGTCTGGCTCTGTTGCCCAGGCTGGAGTGCAGTGGTGTGATCTCAGCTCACTGCAACCTCTGCCTCCCGGGCTCAAACAATCCTCTCACCTCAGACTCTTGAGTAGCTGAGACTACAGGCACATGCTGCTATGCCCGGCTTTTTTTTTTTTTTTTTTTTTTTGAGATGGAGTCTTGCTCTGTCGCCCAGGCTGGAGTGCAGTGGCTCAATCTCGGCTCACTGCAAGTTCCACCTCCCCGGGTTCACACCATTCTTCTGCCTCAGCCTCCCGAGTAGCTGGGACTACAGGCACCTGCCACCATGCCCGGCTAATTTTTTGTATTTTTAGTAGAGATGGGGTTTCACCATGTTAGCCAGGATGGTCTCCATCTTTTGACCTTGTGATCCACCCGCCTCCGCCTTCCAAAGTGCTGGGATTACAGATGTGAGCCACTGCGCCTGGCCAAATTTTTGTGTTTTTTTGTAGAGACAAGGTTTTGCCACATTGCCCAGGTTGGTCTTGAACTCCTGAGCTCTAGCGATTTGCCTGCCTTGGCCCCTCAAAGTGCTGAGATTACAGGAATGAGCCACCATACCTGGCCTATACTTGTTTTTTAATACTTTTAATTTTCATTCTTTCTTACTTGCCACATGCTTGTTTCAAATGTGATGTATAATACAGTCATGCATTGCTTAACAACAGGGACATATTCTGAGAAATGCATCTTAGGCGATTTTGTTGTTATGCAAACATCATAGAGTGTACTTACACAAACCTAGATGGTATAGCCAGTACACAACCTCAGGTATATGGTATTGGCTATTATTGCTCCTAGGCTGCAAACCTGTACAGCATGTTACTGTGCTGAGTATTGTAGATAGTTGTAACACAGTGGTATTTGTGTATCTAAAAACAGAAAAGGTATAGTAAAAATATAGTATTATAATCTTATGGGACAGCCATCATAGATATATAGTCTGTTGTTGACTTAGGTATTGTTATGCAGTGCATGACTATATTTTATAGTGCCATGGGTTGTAGCAATAAAAGTTAAATGATATTTAGTTTGAATTGTTTATGTTTTTGAAAGGTGAAAGGCATCATGTTTCATTTACAAAGCTTGGTGAAGGCAAGGCAATATATCTGATTGATTTATGTTTTAGGCTTGTGTGTTCCAAAGCACATTTGGAATTTCTTCCTTCTTTTCCTCCCCTCTCCCCACCGTCCCCCCTCCCCTCTCCCTTTCATCCTCCCTTCCCTTTCCTTGCTTCTCCCCTGCCCCTTTCCCTCTTCCCCCTTTCCTTTTTGAGAAAGGGTCTCATTCTGTTGCCCAGGCTGGAGTGCAGTGGTGCTACCTTGGCTCACTGCAGCCTCGACTTCCTGGGCTCAGGTGATCCTCCCATCTTAGCCTCCCAAGTAGCTGGGACCACAGGCGTGCACTACCATGCCTGGCTAATTTTTGTATTTTTTTGTAGAGATGGGGTTTTGCCCTGTTGCCCAGGCTGGTCTCAAACTCCTTGGCTTAAGTGATCCACCCACCTTGGCCTCCCAAAGTGTTGGGATTACAGGTGTGAGCCACCATGATAGCCCTGGAATTTCTTGATTATCCTGAAGCCTGTTTTTATCTCTTTTTAATGTTTAGTCATATATTCCTTTATTCATCATAAATCCCAGTTAAAGGGTTAAAGCAAAGTGAAATTGAGTCTCAAGAGTATTTAACTTGCCTGATTAAGGCATACAACTAGGAAGTAGCAGAACTGGAATAGAGTTTTATTATTATGTGTTTTCTAAGCTTTAGTCTTCACATTTAACAAAAGGAGAGTAGTCCTGATTTTACAACTTTGTTGTGAGCATAAAAGTGTAGGTAAGGCCCAAGCATCATTTCTTATATATCGTTAATGCCTCCTTTGCATCTTCTGTGGAAAGAAATATTTGATTAAAAGGCTGGAAGAAGCAGCTATGGAAAATAGAAAACAAATAGAACTGGACAATGTAGGATTGTATTAATGAGTTGACATTTGTGGTGAAGAAATTTTATTTTAATTAATTAATTAATTTTTTTGAGACAGAGTCTCGCTCTGTCACCCAGGCTGAAGTGCAGTGACGCAATCTTGGCTCACTGCAACTTCTGCCTCCCGGGTTCAAGCGATTCTCCTGCCTCAGCCTCCCAAGTAGCTGGGACTCTAGGCGCCTGCCAGCATGCCTGGCTAATTTTTATATTTTTGGTAGAGACGGGGTTTCACCATGTTGGCCAGTCTGGTCTTGAATTCCTGACCTCAAGTGATCTGCCTGCCTCAGCTTCCTAGAATGCTGGGATTACAGGCATGAGCCACTGTGCCCACCCAGAAATTTAATTTTAGTATAGAAGCAATTTAGTATGGTATAGAAATTTAATTTAGTATAGAAGCAATGCCAGTTTTACTTTGGGAAATTATTTATAGTGAATTAGAATTCTGGATCAGGAGTTGGAAGATCTTAGTTTGAATCTTCTCTCCACTGCTAATTTACAGTGCAAACTTGGGTGAGTCATTTATAAAATGACTGCTTCTAACTTGCCAGTGTACTCTTCAGAAGCAAATATACCATATGAAAGCTCATGATGATGGTGGTGATAAAGACAGTGAAAATAGTATCTTCTGTTTATTTAGTACCAGGGCTAGTGTTACATATTTTATATTAATTATCTTGTTTAACCCTTTAACTCTCTGAGGAAGAAACTATTATTTTCCCTTTTATTAGTTTTTTTTTAAATAATTTTTTTTAATTGAAGCATAACATGCAAGAAAGAAAGAGCATTAAGCAAAAACACATAGCTGGCCGGGTGTGGTGGCTCACGCCTGTAATCCCAGCATTTTGGGAGGCTGAGGCGGGCGGATCCCCTGAGGTCAGGAGTTTGAGACCAGCCTGGCCAACATGGTGAAACACCATCTCTACTAAAAATACAAAAAAAATTAGCTGGGCACGGTGGCAGGTGCCTGTAATCCTAGCTACTTGGGAGGCTGAGGCAGGAGAATCACTTGAACCCAGGAGGCGGAGGCTGCAGTGAGTCGAAATTGTGCCACTGCACTCTAGCCTTGGCGATAGAGTGAGACTCCACCTCAAAAAAAAAAAAAAAAAAAACCCAAAACAAACAAACAAACAAAAAACCCATATAGCTAAACGACATACCACAAAATGAACATACTCTTGTAACCACCACCAAGCTCAAGAAATTGAACAATATCAGCACCCAGAAGTGCTTGTTGTACATATACTCACTTACTACTGCCCCTTCTTTCCCCAAAGCAACCACTTTACTGACATCTGACACCATAGTAGGGTTTGGACTCTTTTTAAATTTTTGTATGAATGGAACCATATGTATTTTGGGCCTAGATTATTTTGCTCAATATTATGTAAATGAAATTTATTCAGGTTTTCGTCTGTAACAATAGTTCAGTTCTGCGTGTATATATCTATTCCCTCTCCCTGCACAATCAGGTGAGCAAGGGTTGGGGTTCTGCCTGCACTGGTCTTTCCTGGATATATGTGGGATGGCGAGTTTGCAGGTCTGGTCTGTGTTGTGAATAAAACATTTTTTTGCTCAGTGTACCATTGATATAGATTTAATTATGTCCAGTTTTGGCTATAATGAATAATGCTATAGCGAACATTTTCATACATGTCCTTTGGTGGACATATACATACATTTCTGTTGGGTATATGCCTAGGAGTGAAATTACTGGGTCATAGTGTAGGCCTATGTTAAGCTTCAGAGATACTGACAAATAGTTTTTTCATAATAGTAATGCCATTTTTTTACTAACAAGTAATGCACGAGGCTGTATTAAAATATTGCAGTTAAAATAAGAATTGTAATATCTTTGTGAGGGTAAAAAGGCAAGCCACAGATGGAAGTGTATATTCTTGATACTTAAAATTTGCAACATACTTATATCCACAATATATAACTTCTATAAATCAATAAGAAAAGAATAGACAACTCAGTAGAAAAATGGACAAGAGACTTGAACAAACACGTAAAAAAGAGTATACCCCAAAGACCAATAAACATAAGATGTTCAATTAACACCAAATCAGATTGCACTAAATACTTGCCATAATGGATTAAAAAATAAAATAATTGGGCCATCTATCTATTCCTTCTCCTTTAACTCATTCCTTCCCCTTACGTATTTTTTTTTTATAATTTCCAAGACTTTTATTTCAGTATAAAGGTCTTCAGAATATCTAATCTTTTCTACTATTAGAGGCAGAATCCTATCATCTCCCATGTGGTTGACATTCAAGTTGTTCTAAAATATTGACATTGCCCATAGTGCTGGAATGTACATCCTTTTTTATGTTTCCTTGTTACGTGTTTGAATTCTGTAAATTATGATCAGGAAAAGAATAACTGCATATGTAAACATTCAGTTATGTTTTATATTGCTGAATTGTTCTCTAAAATGATTAAATCAATTTATTACCATCCATACTATCTGTGAGAATTAATATTTCTTTTTATTCCTTTCCAAGTTGTATTTTAGGTTGAGAGGGTACATGTGCAGGTCTGTTACTTGGGTAAATTGCATGTTGCATGCATTTGGTGTACAGATTATTCTGTCACTCAAGTAATGAGCATAGTACCTAATGGTTAGTCTTTTGATTCTTACCTTGCTCCCACCCTCCACCCTCAAGTAGGCCTTGGTATTTATTGTTGCCTTCTTTGTGTCCATGTATACTCAGTGCTTAGCTCCCACTTATAATTGAGAACATGCAGTGTTTGGTTTTCTGTTCCTGCATAATTTGCCTAGGATAATGCCCTCCAGCTCTATCCATATTGCTGCAAAGGACATGATTTCATCCTTTTTTATGGCTATGTAGTATTCGATGGTGGATACGTCTTGTATTTTCTTTATCTACTTCACTGTTGTTGGGCATCTAGGTTGATTCCATGTCTTTGCTATTGTGTATAGTGCTGCAATGAACATACACATGTGCGTGTCTTTATGGTAGAAAGATTTATATTCATAAGCGTGTTGCCTATGCTTTTGAGGTCTTAGTCATAAATTCTTTGCCTAGACCAATGTCAGGTCTTACATTTAAGTCTTTAATCTATCTCGAGTTGATTTTTTTAAATAGTGAGAGATAAGGGTCTAGGTTTGTTCTTCTGCATATAGATATCCAGTTTTCCCAGCACCATTTATTGAAGAGACTGTTCTTTTCCTCAGTGTGTTTTCTTGGCCCCTATATAGAAAATCAGTTGGCTGTAAATGCATGGATTCATTTCTGGGTTTTTGATTTTATTCCATTGGGCTATGTGTCTTTTTTTATGCCAGTACCGTACTGTTTTGGTTATTATTGCTTTTAGTATATTTTAAAGTCAGGGAGTATGATGCCTCTAGCTGTGTTCTTTTTGCTTGGGGTTGCTTTGAGTATTTAGGGTCTTTGTGGTTCCATAAAAATTTTAGGATTGTTTTTTCTTATGTCTGTGAAAAAATGTCATTGGTATTTTGATAGGGATTGCATTGATTTCGTAGATTGCTTTGGATAGTATGGAAATGATTTTGGAAGAATTCCCTCCACTTCAATTTTTTGGAACAGTTTGTGAATATTGGTATTAGTTCTTTAAATGTTTGGTAGAATATGACAGTGAATCCAAAGGTCTTAGGCTTTTCTTTGATTGCTTTTTCCAGGTTTTGGAAGTTTTCTCTATTTCTTTGAATAAGCTTCCTAACCTCTTTTTAAAAATAGTATTCTTATATGTTGTATTTTGGGTTTGTTGTTTTCAATCAATACTATGCTTTTAATATTTCTATATATTGGTGTATATAGTTGTAGAGCCCTAATTTCAGTGATGAATAATATTTTACTGATTAAATTGTAGCACATTTCTAAAGTAAGTACCAGAAACTAGAATTCATTTTCTAAGTTTTTGAAATATAGTTGCTGTTATATTTTGTGTTTAAGAAAAAATACCTTTAAAACAGTAATGTCCTCTTTCACTGAATAATAATTGTCTAGGGTCTAGGGTATCCTTGAAATTTGAATACTTCACTTTTTCTTTCTTTCTTTTTTTTTTTTAAGAGAGAGTCTTAACTCTGTTGTTCAGGCTGGAGTGCAGTGGTGTGATCTTGGCTCACTGCAAGCTCCACCCCTGGGTTCAAGCCATTCTTGTGCCTCAGTCACCTGAGTAGCTGTGATTTTCTGCATTTGCCACCACACCCAGCTAATTGTTGTATTTGTAGTAGAGATGGTGTTTCACCACTTTGCCCAGGCTGGTTTTGAACTCCTGGCCTCAAGCAATCCGCCTAGGCCTCCCAAAGTGCTGGGATTATAGGCATGAACCACCATGCCTGGCCTGAATAGCTTACATTCTTATAGCAAAGTAGATAAGAACATGCACTCTGCAGTAAGGTTGCCAGAGTTTGAATTACAGCTCTGATCTTTATAAACTGTATAACAATAGACAGACTATTACCACTGTGCCTCAGTTTTCACATTTTTTAACAGGACCGTGTAAATATTGTCAGATAAGAGATGTAAAAGACTTAGTGTAGTATCTGAGTAATAGCAAATACTCAGAAAATGATAATTGTTATCATAAAGAGAGGGAAGGAAACATCTACAGGATATCTTTTTTTTTCTCATTTCTGGTCCTACTATTGTAATTTCTTAATTTGTGTACATATATAATATTAGTAACTAAATCATTATTCATATAATATGTAAATTTGAAATATGGTAGTCATATGTCTTTTTCAACTAACAGACAACTTTGAAATTTATCTGCAAATAATACTGTTTAGACACATCTTCTTTAATTTCTACTTTTTAAAAACTTATAAAATAAAATGTTGAATTAATTAGAAGTTGCCAGGATATACTCAGAAATAGTGTTATAACCTGAACTAAAACACATTTTATTGTTTTTTAAATTCCCATGGCTAACTTAAAATCACTGGGCAAGTAGATTTGGGCCTGATATTTACCTAGGAATTGCTTATCAGTTAAGAAATAAGAAATATTGATTTGCTAAAGGCTTCATTTCATACTTTTATACTTTACCATCAATTGTTTTATTTTTATTCCTTTGAAAATATACTCTAGAGTGTTATTGGTGATTTCTTTATTAATTAATGTGGTGGTGTCCACTAGACCTTTCTGTGATAATACAAGTGTTTTATATCTTCTCTCTCCAATATGGTAGCCACTAGCCACATGTGGCTGTTGAGCACTTGAAATATAGCTAGTGCAACCAAGGACCTTAATTTTTATTTTTATATAATTTTAATTAATTTAAATAGCCACATATGGCTGGTGGCTACCATATTGGATAGTGCAAGTTTAGAGTAGCAGTGAGTTTTTTTTAATATAAAATGAATGTTAAATGAATGACTTCTTCAAAAAATTATCTTTAATGTGGATTCTTAAGAATTTTATTGTTATCTCATTGTGTAAGAGAACTGTAGTGAAATTTTTCATAATTAAAAAAAATTTGTAGTTAATGTGCCATGCAGATTGGGGCAAACTAATTAGGTCTCTGATTCTTCATATATAAAATGGGGAGAATTGTGCCTATTTCATAAAGTTGTTGGAAGATTTAAATTGTATAATAAAATGAAAAGTTCATTGCATATGGTCTGGCATTATGTATTAAATGCTCCATGAATCTTATTTTCTGTTATTATTAATTTTATTACTATTTATACTAATAAATAATAGTTGCCTTTCCCCTGCTAATTTTCCTTTTTACTTAAAATGTTTTTTTTTCTTTTTAGCAACTGATTTGGTGCTGAGAAAGGTTATCAATTTTTCTGACTGTACAGTTTGTCTTGATAAACGGAATGCCAGTGGTAAAATAGAATTTTACCAGGATCCTTTATTATACAAATGTTCCTTCAGAACTCGTCTTCATTTTACATATGAAAACCTAAATTCCAAGATGCCATCTGTTATTAAAGTAGGTATCTCTTTTTTTTGCAGTTAAGTTGCATGTCTTTATTTTGTTTATTGACTCTTGTGGATGCTAATCATTATTAACAAATGAAGAAATTAACCTTGTAAATATGTATGCCATTTGTTTTTATAAAAATTTTATTTATGTTTATGATTTTTATGTTGTATTTATACATTTCTGTATAACGTATTCTACTAGAGTTTAGAGACAACTTTTTTCTGTAATTGTTTTTTTTTAGTTTTTCCAGCTGTTTATTAGTGTTTCTCTCTTCAAGTAGATAGAGGAAATAATATTAAAAGGTATATTTATACCCACAGTGGACTGCATATCAGTATTCTGTATTTCAGTTCTTATAATCTGTTCAGCATGATCTGCTATCTATACTTTTTCTTCTCTTTACTAGGTGACTTCGTAAAGCTTGATATACTAACCTAATAGTTTATTGGTTCAAGAAGTTTTAGCTTTTGATTTATGATTTTTAAAATGTAATTAAAATCTTAGGGAGTTATTCAGGACATGTCTTTTTATTTTTTATCTGCATTTTCATTTAAGATTAAGGGATTTGTTACAAGGGTATATTGTGTGATGCTTAGGTTTGGGCTCCCACTGATACCATCATCCAGATAGTGAACATAGTACCCAAAAGGAAGTTTTTCAGCCCTTTTTTCCTCTCCCTCCTTCCCTCCTTTTAGAATCCACACTGTCTGTTGTTCCCATCTTTATGTCCATGTGTACCCAAGATTTAGCTTCCACTTCTAAGTGAGAACAGGACATGTCTTTTGATACATGTGAAAATTTTCTGTCCAATGTAGTGTATGTTTTCAATGTATGTGATTAGTATCTAAGCATAAATATTGTTGTCTTATTTAACAGTTTTCTGAACATTGTTTGTCTGCCTATCATTGTATCTTGGAAAAAGAATTCAGTGACTTCTGATCCCATTAAGTAGGTTTTAATGTGGAGTAAATGTTTATTGTTGAACTACTTGCCTCTGACTGTCAAAGTTCTGTAGATGGAAGGGCTGGACTTAGGTGTCTGAACACTGGTATTAACTACTGTTCCTGTTTGAGTATGGCTGTATAAAAATTAGTTTTGTTTTTGTTACCTTATATTTTATTAAAAATATAGTATTTTCTATTTTACGTAGCCTTACTGTACTTAATATGTAAAATCTACATGTTTTTTTCTTGGTAGTGCTTAGTCACCTGTGTTTTACTTTTTTCCACACGGTGTATAATGCATATTGGTTTGTTTATATTCTGTTACTTTTTCCTTCTATATTTGAATTAGCTTCTTTGGCAAAGATAAACATGGAAAAGAATTAACTCAGTAATAGTGATGGCTCTGTCTCAGGGAAATACGCTTATTTTCTATAGCCTTGGGTTTTCTAGTAAATTTGGGGAATGTGAAGGTAAATTGAAGATACATTGAAAGCAAGTAATGGATATATGGAAGCTTACTATATAAAATACTCTTTTTGATCATTAGTGCAAATGTAATGGTCTATTCTAGGATGTGGTTATATTAGAGGAAGGTAAAAATAGATGAGGAAAAACTTAGTGTTGGCATATAAGTAAGTTTGTGTTCTCAAAACTGATTAGTCATTACATTTCACTGAAAAAGTCCCTTATCATAAATAAACTTGTATAATAGTTGCCAAATATGTGATATCAATGTGTTATACTCAACTGAAATCAATTTTGGAGGTTTTATTTCTTTCTTCTTTTCTTTTCTCTCTTTCTTTTTTCTCCCCTCCTCTCCCTCTCCCCACCCTTCCCCTCCCCTCTGTTTCCCTCCCCTCTCCTCCGCTTTCTCTCCTTTTTTCTTTCTCCTTTTTTCTTTACCTTCGAGGCTCCCTGTCACCCAGGCTGGAGTGCAGTGGCACAATCATACTTCACTGTAACCTTGAACTCCTGGGGTCAAGCGATCCTTCTGTCTCAGGCTCTTAAGTAGCTAGGACTACAGGCGCATGTCTCCATCCCTGGCTCATTTTAAATTGTTTTTTTGTAGAGACGGAGTCTCACTGTGCAGCCCAGGCTGATACTGAACCTCCTAGCTTCAAGTAATTCTCTTGTCTAGGCCTCCCAAAGTGCTGGGATTCCTGGCATGAGCCACCATGCCTGCCTGAGTTTTTTGTTAATACTATTGTAATGTTAAGATTTGCCATTTTGGGTTAGACCCATCATTCTTCCAAGTCCTAATCCTAGGGAATATGTATTAAACAGATATGGTCGACCTCATTAATTACTTCACAGAGGTTTCTCAAAATGTTCCAGATACTATATTTCTTTTCTTCTTTTTTTTTGAGACGGAGTCTTGCTCTTGTTGACCAGGCTGGAGTGCAATGGCATGATCTCGGCTCACTGCAACCTCTGCCTCCCGGGTTCAAGTGATTCTCCTGCCTCAGCTTCCCGAGTAGCTGGGATTACAGGCGCCGGCCACCAGGCCTGGCTAATTTTTGTATTTTTAGTAGAGACAGGGTTTTGCCCTTTTGGCCAGGCTGGTCTCAAACTCCTGACCTCATGATCCGCCTGGCTCAGCCTCCCAAAGTGCTGGGATTACAGGCATGAGTCACTGCGCCTGGCCCCTCTATTTCTTTTCAAATCTTTCATGTATGTTTATTTTGAATGTATTTATATGTTGGGTTGGCTTTTTATAATTTTCCATTTTTTTTGTGTGAGATACATACGTTCTGGTGATTATGATGTTTATGAGATACAGATCCTATGGGTACGTAATTTATTTAACATTTCTCCTGTTTTTAGAAATTTACTTTGCAGTTTCTCAGAGCAGTGAAATTCTGTGCATAGAACTTTGACCACATTTCCTGAGTAATTCCTTAGGAAAGATTTGTATAATTGCAAATATCTTTTTTTTTTTTTTAAGACCTGTGATCTGTATTGCCAGATTGTTTCCAGAAAGATTTAACCAGGTTATACTCACATGAACATTAAGGGGAGTGCCTATGTCATACTCTTATTATCCTTAAATATGATCATATTTTAAAAATTGCCAACTTGTTGAACAACAAATGATATGTAATTTAATTGCCGTTTATTAGTGAAGTTAGATTTTTGAAAACACATTCACTGGTCATTTGTTCTTTGTATTATCAGTTCAGGTTCTTTATCCATTTTTCTACTGAGTATTAATCTTACTCATTTTAAGGAGCTTTTAAAAAGATACTTATGACAGATTCTTTGTTATTGGTTTTGCTGACTGCTTATTACCAGTGCTATTGGTGCAATACAAGATTTAAAAGAATGTGACAGAGGAATTTCAAATTAAGGAAACCTTAGCAGACATGCATACTCCTTTCCTGCTCACCTCCCACACTCATTCCCCGCTTTCTTACCTCTTCATTGTTTATTCAGTGTATGATTATTAGGTCAGTTTTTAAAAGCTTGTGCTCATATTTGAAATATGGTATTTCACAGTCCCCCCATATAGTTTTCTCCCCCTTCACATACATTTTTTTATGTGCTTTGCACCCTAAAAATACGATGATTACCATTACTATTACTTCATCTTTCATAGACACTGAAATACATTAGTCAAAATAAACCTTCTAAGAGACTTGACTTTATGGCATAATTGGTTTTACTCCGTGTTTAGATAACAGCAGGAAACCATTACACTGAAGTTGTGTTTATATTCCACTGATGTCTCTTTCTTTAAGGAGAGCTTTGATTGCTGTATATCCTATTTGCTAGTAGTTAATCTTATTTCTTTGTTATAATGGTTTCATTTTATCAGTTGAATAAGTTTTATGTCATTTAAATCTTATCTACAATTTGGAAAACTTTTGTTATTTAAATCTTACTTAAAATTTGTCTGAAAAACTTTTTTCAACATATATTTCACTTGTTTTTCCATATTTGACAAAAATTTTTATTATTTACATACTTTCATAGTTGTAATACTAGTCTTTTCCCCAGTTAACATATGGTTTTAGGATGTATATGTATTCTTTATGGTTAATAAACCTGGAAAGAATGATTAGAGTTTCACTAAAATGACATAAAATTTTTATTATTCTTGGTTTTGACAGATTGTTCTGTTTTTTGAGGATAATACTGTTATTCTCTTAATGTTATAGAGTAGCTATTTGGTTATATAACTAACTTTGTTTCTGGAATAGTAATCTGGAAATCTAGTGTGATTATACCTTCTCACTATTAATTCCATTTGTATGTACATCATTTGGTTTAATATCGTTTCTATCTAACGTGTATTGATCATCATAGCAAAATTTACTTAATTCCTAAGATCTTAGAGTAAGTATTGTTTTGATTTAAGTATTAAAATGTTTGGAGCATTTCTTTTATGTTATGCCATTTAAAGACTTTAAAACATTTCTTTATGTAAAAAATACTCTTTTTAAACATGCGTTTGTTGGTGTTATGTCTTTTTCAAAATGCAGATTCATACTTTAGTGGAAAGTTTGAAACTTTCTATCACAGATCAACAACTGCCTATGTTTATTCGTATAATGCAACTTGGAATTGCTCTTTACTATGGAGAAATAGGCAATTTTAAAGAAGGCGAAATAGAGGACCTTACTTGTCATAATAAAGATATGCTAGGAAACATTACAGGTAATGTAAAACTTTATTAAACAAAAACTTTATTTTAAGACTATTCTTACGTTTTACCATTGGGAAACTTTAAAAAATGTATTAGCTTGAGTTTTACAGTATTCTAATGAGATGGGCTGATTGTTTTTTGGTTGTTTTACACTATTTTAATTTTTTTGTTTGTTTTGTTTTGAGATGGAGACTAGCTCTGTTGCCTGGGCTGGAGTGCTGTGGTGCAATCATGGCTCACTGCAACCTCTGCCTCTCAGGTTCAGGCAGTTCTCTTGCCTCAGCCTCCCAAGTAGCTGGGATTACAGACATGCATCACCACGCCTGTGTAATTTTGTATTTTTTTTTTTTAGTAGAGATGGGTTTTCACCATGTTGGCCAGGCTGGTCTCAAACTCCTGACCTTGTGATCTGCCCGCCTCAGCCTCCCAAAGTGCTGGGATTACAGGCATGAGCCACTGTGCCCAGCCTACACTACTTTAATTTTATCTACATGCTGGATAACATTCTGATTTTCTCCTATATGCTAAAAATAACTTCTATATTTATAATAGATATAAGTGTTCAGAATGTACTACTTATTTATTTATGAATGAGGGTTTTGCTCTGTCACCCAGGCTGGAGTGCAGTGGCATGATCATGGGTCACTGCAGCCGCGACCTCCCAGGCTCAGGTGATCCTTCTACCCCAGCCTTCCAAATAGTTAGGGCTACAGGTACATGCCACCATGCCTGGGTAATTTTTGCATTTTTTGTAGAGACAGGGTTTTGCTATGTTGCCCAGGCTGGTCTCAAACTCCTAGGCATAAGCTATCTGCCCGCCTCAGCATCACAAAGTGCTGGGATTACAGGCATGAGCCACCATGCCTGACCCAGGATATACATTTGATAAAAGTTGAAGTAGTATACCTCAAGATTTCCTAGTAAATAATAGTATTGGTAATTTTTCTGCAAAAGTTCACTTAAGTTGAATTGAGTTATTTTAGTGCTGTTAATTAATGAAATGTATACTTCATTGAAGGATATGTAATGTGGGAAAATACAGAAATCATTTTGATGTATTTCTTTCCCTTAGAATTTTAAGATAAAATGGGACAGATAGACATGTCAGTAGTTAGTTAAGTATGATGAATGGTAGAATGGCAGAAAGTTTGATAAATATCATGAATGATCTGATGTAGAAAGATGAAAGGATGACTGATTTCAACTTGGTATTGGGCCTGAGACTCAGAAAGTTTTCAGGTGATTAATTTCCATAGATAAAGCCCTAAGAGAAGGGCATTTAAAACTTAGGGGCAAATAACCCAATTAAAAATGGGCAAAGAGACATTTCTCCAAAGAAGGTAAACAAATAGCAAACAAGCAAATCAAAACCTCAGTGAGATACCACTTCACAGGTACTAGATGACTATAATAAAAAAAAATACAAAATAACAGGTATTGGTGAGGATGTGGAGAAACTGGAACTCATATAAGTTGTTGGGAGTGTAAAATGGTATAGTTGCTTTGGAAAACAATATGGCAGTTCTTCAAAACGTGAAACATAGAGTTACCATGTTGACCCAGCAATTCCATTCCTACGTGTATATCAAGAGAACTGATAACATATGTCCATGTAAAAACTTATATATGAAATGTTCATGGTAACATATTCATAGTAGCCAAAAACTGGACACAATTGAAATGTCTGTCAACTGATGAATGGATTATCAAATTATGGCATATTCATACATTGGAGTATTATTTAGCTGTACAAAAAAATGAAATACTGATATAGGCTACAGCATGGATGAACCTTGAAAGCATTATCTTAAGTGAAAGCAGCCAGTCAAAAGATAATACATATGATATGATTCCATTAGAAATGTTCATAATAGGCAGTTCTGTAGAGGCAGGAAGTAGATTAGTAACCAGGAGTTGCGGGGAGGAGAGAATGACTGCAAATAAATAGGTTTCTTTTTGGAATGATGAAAATGTTCTAAAATTAGATAGTGGTGATAGGAGCAAAACTTGTGACTATTAAAAAAATCCCACTGAATTGTACACCTTTAAATGTTGAATTTTATGCTATTTAAACTTTATCTCATTAAAAAAATCTTACTACCTTAAAATAAAGCATAGAGAACAACATTAATCAGAGTATGTAGATATAAAACATACCTTTATTTCACACTAGAGGGTAAATTTTTGTTAGACAATGCATTGCTGAGACAGAAACAGTGTCTTATACCTGGAACAAACATAACATGTAGAAGATACTTGATTTATTTTTTTCCAACTTGACAAATTTCAAATATATGGAAAAGCTGTAAGAGTTATTATAAGGTGAACACTCACAGACTTATCATCTGGAGTCTTCTATTGATATTCTGTTACAATTGCTTCATCACATATTGGTTCATCTAACATCCCTTTCCCTATTTATCAATACAATTGTTTTTGATGCCTTTCAAATTAAGTTACATACATTGCTACACTTCACCCCTAACCCTCAGCTGCCTGTTGTTATCTAGAGTTTCTACTAAGTGGTGGGTCTTTTTATTTTTTTTGGAGGTTAAATCTCCAAAGTAAAATTCAATGAGTTTGAGAAATACATACACCTGTGTGATGCAAAACACTCATCAAGATATAGGTCATTAACATCTGAGATAGTTTCTTATGCCCCTTTCTAGTCATTCCCCTTTCACCTGCCTGCCTCCCCGCGAGAAAACACTGTTCTGAAGTTCCTTAAAACTGTAGATTTAGTTTTGCTGATTCTAGAATTTCATATAAATGGAAACACTCAATATGTATAAAAGGCTTCTTTCATTAAGCATAGTGTGTTTGGTATTTATCTATGTTGTTGCATGTAGCAGTCGTTCTTTCCTTTTCATTGCTACATACACTGTATGAATATACCATGTGAATATACTATAGTTTATTTTACCATTCACTGTTTGATGGACACTTGGGCTGTTTTTCGTTTTTGGCTATTATAAATAAAGCTTTCATAGATATTTTTGTACAAATTTCACGTAGACATGTGCTATTCTTTCTCTTGGGTAAATACTTAAGAGTGGAATTATATGTTTAGTTTTCAAAGAAACTTCCATAACTTTTTTCAATGTGGTTGTACCATTTTATATTCCTATCAACAATGTGTGAGAGTTGCAGTTGGCCTACATCCTTGCTAACATTCAATGGTGTATTTTTTCACTTTTTTGCCATTGGGATGAGTGTGTTGTGGTATCTCATGGTTTTTTAATTTGCATTTTTTGATGGCTAATTATTTTGAATTTTTAATGTGATTATCGGCCTTTATCTGCCTTTGTGAAGTATGTGTTAAATATTTGTCCATTTAAAGCTTTTTTGTGTCTTTTAAAAATTTTATTTTACTTTATGTATTTATTATTTATTTATTGACATAGTCTCACTCTGTTGCCTAGGCTGGAGTATGATGGCATGATCATAGCTCACTGCAGCCTTGAACTCCTGGGCTCAAGCAATCCTCCAGCCTCAGCCTCCCGAGTGGCTGGGTGGGACTACAGGTGCACGACACTGAGTGTGGCTGATAAATTTTGTTTTGTTTTGTTTTTGGTTGAGGTGGGGGTCTCACTTTGTTGCAGTAGGCTGTTCTTGAACTCCTGGCTTCATGTGATTCTCCCATCTCGGGCTCCCAAAGTGCTGGGATTATAGGAATGAGCCAGTGGGCCCAACAGGGTTTGCACCTTATATAAAACTTATTCTGAACTACAATGGCTTAAGTGTCTTGGTACTGTTATTTTAGTTACTCTAGTTAATTCTTATTAAGCCTTTTCCTTCTCAGGTGAAAGAAGGTAAACATTCATAACCTATAAATGTAGAATGTTCCAAGAGTCTCCTGTCATAAGAGTTTAAAAAGTTATAAAGCTTTTTGAGTAAGAAAACCTGTAAGGATGTTATTTAAAGATTTAAAGGAGTATGTGTATTTATAGATTTATCAATGGAGAGTAGATATGAGTGAATATGCTGGAGACTAATTTTTCCATGGTGTTTTTTTTTTGTTTGTTTTTTGTTTTTAGACAGGGTCCAGGGTCTTGCTCTGTCACCCAGGCTGCAGTGCAGTGGTATGAAACATGGCTCACTGCAACGCCTGCCTCCTGGATTCAAGTGATTCTCCCACCTCAGCCTGCCAAGTTGCTGGGACCATAATGGGTGCACACCACCACACCCAGACAATTTTTTTGTATTTTTAGTAGGGACAGGGTTTCACCATGTTGCCCAGGCTGGTCTCGAACTCCTGAGCTTAGGTAATCTGCCCACCTTGGCCTCCCAAAGTGCTGGGATTACAGGTTTAAGTCACCGATCCTGGCCCCTATGAATTTTACACCCGGACAGTTTTTTTGTATTTTTAGTAGGGACAGGGTTTCATCATGTTGCTCAGGCTGGTCTCGAACTCCTGAGCTCAGGTGATCTGCCCACCTTGGCCTCCCAAAGTGCTGGGATTACAGGTGTGAGTCACTGCTCCTGGCCCCTATGAAATTTTTAAAAAGTAATTTTTTTTTCTAAATTTCATGATGCCTCTTTTGTTTATATTGCTATAATTATATTAAAGGACTTTGATGGAGTTTGTCTTTACAAAGGTGGCATAAATTAAAGAGTAGTTGGAATCTAAATCTTTGGTCTGCCAGTTTGTAACCAAATAAAATTTCTTGGCTATAATTTTTTCAGCTGTACAACAGGAAAGGTATAACATATCTTACTTGCTAGTAAGAAAGAGGCCCCAACATTATTATTTTTCTTAACTACATATAAAAGTTGTTTTATTCTAATATTTGCTTTCATTTTTGGGATAATTCTTGTTTGGGCAGGGGAGCATTTTGCCTAGAAGCACTTGCCATTTTTTTTTTCCTCCATGGGTGCTGATCAGGAAATGAAGAATGTTTCTTGGGTCTTTGTGGTATTATGTTTCTGAGAAAAGTCAGTTTTTCAATATATCAGCCTTATTTTTGAGAGGTAGGTTTTTTGTTGTTGGTTTAAAACATTCATGAGCGATGTTAAAGAATTAATTTATTATTTGTCTTTATCAAATACAGTTAAAAGTTATGTGCAGTTGATAAACTACTTTCCACATCACATTAACCATAACCTACTAAAGGAGAAAGATACGGTACAACATACAGAAAGTTGAGAGTCATAATGCTAAATTATTGGTTTCAAATAGTAATAATCACTGTATCATTTGTTTATACCTTATATTAGAAGGATATGGGAGGAAAAATTTTAAAGGATGTCTATTTCTATTCTCTTAGTTAAATCCTTTTGACTTATTTAAAATGACTTAATTTTAATTGATAGGTTCTGAAGATGAAACAAGAATAGATATGCAATATCCTGCTCAGCATAAAGGTCAAGAGTTATATTCACAGCAAGATGAGGAGCAGCCACAGGGATGGGTGTCATGGGCCTGGTCCTTTGTGCCTGCAATTGTGAGTTATGACGATGGCGAGGAAGACTTTGTTGGGAACGATCCTGCATCAACCATGCATCAACAAAAAGCACAGACTTTGAAGGATCCTATTGTTTCTATAGGATTTTATTGCACAAAGGCAACGGTGACTTTCAAAGTAGGTCTTTTCTCTTGCTGTTTATATCTCTATCAACTTTAATGCTTAAATTTGGATTGTTAGTACAATTCTAGCTTTATTCAAGTTTGCTTTGCATTCAGTAGATGTGAGATAGAGTCTAACAGTTCTTACTTCATAAAATTACATGGCTCCTCCACTTGAAATCTTTGAATTCTGATCCCTTCCTGTCTTCTTAGGGCATTCTCCACATTTCTTTTTTATTAGCTTCATGGATAGTTTTTTGCCCTATTGAATCATTCAGTTGGTGTACAAACATGCCTTAATATTGTCATTAAAAAAGAAAGGAACAGCAAAAATTTTCCCGTGAATTCTTTTACCTGTCAGGTACGGTTTCCTTTCTGTGCTCTCCTTCGTAACAATCATAACAATCTCTCTCTCTCTTTTTTTTTTTTTTTTTTTTTTTGAGACAGGGTCTGACTCTGTTGCCTAGGCTGGAGTGCAGTGGTGCAATCACAGCTCAGTGCAACCTCTGCCTCCCGGGCTCAAGACATCCTCTCACTTCAGCCTCCCGAGCAGCTGGGACTACAGGCACGTGCCACTGTGCCCAGCTAATTTTTTTTTTTTTTTAATATTTTGTAGAGTTGGGGTTTTGCCATGTTGCCCAGGCTGGTCTCGCTCCTAGGCTCAAGCGTTTTTCCCCCTTTGGCCTCCCAATGTGCTAGGATTACAGGTGTTAGCTATCACGCCCAGCCTCATAACAAATTTTTTTTTAAAGGATTGTTTACATATAATTATCTCTTTCCTCATCTCTTTCGCTTTTCAAGACAAAATTGTTAACTAGGTCCTCTTCTAGCTATTTTTCCAGCAGTATTTAACATAACTTGACGACTTCCTCCATTAACATAATGCATGTAAAATACCTGTTCTTATCTATACAAAAATATATATGATATATACAAATATGTGTATGTCTAGGTTAAAGAATAATAAAGTAAATACCCCTTTACTTGAAGAAATATAAAATTATGCCAGGCATGGTGGCTCACATCTGTAATCCCAGTACCCCTGCACTTCAGCCAAAATAAATATAAAATTCCTAGTAGCTTTGATCCCCCATGTGTTCTTCTTTGATCATATTTTACCTTCTCTTCCTCTCACATATAACCCAAACTTAATTTTTGAGTTATTTGTTTCCTGGACTTTTATAATGCTATTACCATACATGTAATATTCCTGAATAATATCTTAATTCATTCAACAAATATTTTCAATGCCAGCTGTGTCTAAGCATTGTTTTGTCTCCAGAGATACCAGAGTGAACAGATATAAATTCCTGCTTTTTCAAGCTTAAATTGATATTATAAACAAATAACATATATATTGTGTTCATTGAATATAAAGGTTAGGTAGAAAAATCAAGTGGGGGCCAGACGTGGTGGCTCACGCCTGTAATCCCAGCATTTTGGGAGGCCGAGGCGGCCAGATCACCTGAGATCTGGAATTCGAGACCAGCCTGACCAATATGGAGAAACCCCATCTCTACTAAAAAAAAAAAAATTACCCAATTAGCTGGGCGTGGTGACGCATGCCTGTAATCCCAGCTACTCGGGAGGCTAAGGCAGGAGAATTGCTTGAACCCGGGAGGTGGAGGTTGTGGTGAGCTGAGATTGTGCCATTGCACTCCAGCCTGGGCAACAAGAGCGAAACTCTGTCTCCAAAAAAAAAAAAAAAAAAAAAAAGAAAGAAAGAAAAATCAAGTGGGAAGAGGAATAGTGAGTGCTTTCACCAGAGGGGATATTATGCAGTTTAAAATGGGATGATCAGGGAAGGCCTTATTATGAAGGGAATATTAAAGCAAAGACCTGTGAAAGAGGAAGCCTTATTGATATTTGAGAATGAACATTCCAGTAATAACAAATGTAAAGGCACCAGAGTTCAAGAAACAGCAAGGAAGCCAGTGGGGCAGTAGTGTCATGAGATATCATGAATGAATGTGGTATGAAAGATAAGAGGGGTGATGAGGTTTGGAGTGGTTCACAAGTTGTAAACTGTGTAGATCATTTTTAGGACTTTGTCTTTTATTCTGAGTGAGATAAACAATATTTGGCCAGTTTTTAGAAGAATTATATGATCTGGGTTATATTTTAATCTGGATCACTGTGGCTGCTGTGTTGAAAGCAAAAGTAAGGAAAAGAAATAGATAGGAATGCAATTTTCAAGCAAGAGATGGTAATGACTTGGACTAGGGTGATAGCAAGTGGAGGTGATGAAAAGTGATTGTGTTTTGGATGTGTTTTGAAGGTCAAATAGGCAGAATTTCCTGATAGATTTTATTATGAGACATGAATGAAAAAAAAAAGATGATCCAAGGATGGCTCTTAAACAACTAGAAGAGTTGAGCTGTGACATTTTGAGATGACTGGGATTGGGAGAAGACTAGATTTGAGATGAAGATGAGGAATTTAGTTTTGGATAGGTTTAAGATGCCTGCTGTATATTTAAGTAGAGTAACTTAGTGGAGAGTTGGATATATGGATCTAGAATTCAGATTAGAAGTTTGCCTAGGTGCATATATTTGATAGTCATGATCATATTAAGACTGAAATTAGTGTAGAATAGAAAAAAGAGGTTCTAGAGCCAAGCTCTGAGGCACTGTGATGATAAGAAATTGGAAAGATGAGGAAGAAATAGCAAGGGAAGCTGAGAATAAGTGATCAATATTGTAGGCAGAAAACCAAGAGACTGGAAGGTAAGTACCATAAAGGTTTTAAAGAGGAGGGAATAGATTATTTGTAAGAATGGATCCTTGGATTTGACAATGTGGAAATTACTGGTGATTTTGAGCAGAGCAGTGATATGACACTGTTAGAATCTTTGCTGGAGTTGATTAAAAGCAAATGGGAAGACTGGTAGAAATGTAAAATAGTGCGTCTGCTGTGGAATATAGTTTGGTGGTTCCACAAAAAATTAAACGTAGAATTACCATATAATCTAGCTATTTTATTTCTAGGTATGTACTCAAAAGAATAAAAAACTGGTATTCAAACAAATTGGTGAACATAAATGTTCACAGTAGCACTATTCAGTGATCTCCCAAAATGGAAACAATCCATATGTTCATCAGTGGATGAATGAATAAACAAATTGTGGTATATACATACAGTGGAATAATATTCAGCCATAAAAAAATGAAATTTTGGCCAGGTGTGGTGGCTCATGCGTATAATCCCAGCACTTTGGGAGGCTGAGGTGGGTGGATCACAAGGTCAGGAGTTTGAGACCAGCCTGGCCAACATGTTGAAACCCTGTCTCTACTAAAAATACAAAAAGCTGGGTGTGGTGGTGGGTACCTGTAATCCCAGCTACTCGGGAGGCTGAGGCAGGAGACTCGCTTGAACCTGGGAGGCGGAGGTTGCAGTGAGCTGAGATCACGCCATTGCACTCCAGCCTGGGCAACAAGAGCAAGACTCCGTCTCAAAAAAAAAAAAAAAAAAAAGGAATGAAGTTCTGATGCATGCTAAACATGAATGAACCTGGAAATCTCTATGCTGAATGAAATAAGCCAGACACAAAAGGACAAATATTTTATGATTCCACTTAGATGATGTTCTCTAGAGGGACAGAACTAATAGGCTATATGTATGTATGAAAGGGAGTTTATTAAGGAGAGTTGACTCACACGATCACAAGGTAAAGTCCCATGATAGGCCGTCTGCAAGTTGAGGAGCAAGTAAGCCAGTGATGGATCAGTCGGAGTCCCAAAACCTCAAAAGCAGGGAAGCTGACGGTGCAGCTTTCAGTGTGGGCCAAAGGCCTGAGAGCCCCTGGCAAACCACAGGTGTAAGTCCCAAAGTCTAAAAGCTGAAGAACTTGGAGTCTGATGTTCAAGGGCAGGAAGCATCCAGCACAGGCGAAAGATGAAGGCCGGAAGACTCAGCAAGTCTAGTCCTTCCACATTCTTCTGCCTGCTTTATCCTAGCTGTGCTAGCAGCTGATTAGATGGTGCCCACCCAGATTGAGGATGGGTCTGCATCTCCCAGTTCACTGACTCAATTGTTAAACTCCTTCGGCAGCACCCTCATAGACACACCCAAGAACAATACTTTGCAGCCTTCAGTCCAATCAAGTTGACAGTCAGTATTAACCATCACAGATGAGGTATTTAGAATATGCAAAATCACAGAAACAGGAGTAGAATAGACATGCTAGAGGCTGTAGGATACAGGGGAGTTGAGTTAGTGCTTAATAGGTTCAGAGTTTCTGCCTAGTATGATGTAAAAGCTCTGCAAAAATATAGTGGGGATAATTATGTAATATTTTGTACTAAATGCCACTGAATTGTATATTGACAAGTGGTTAAAACTATAAATTATATTATGTATATTTTATGCAAAAGGACAGATAAAAATGCAAATGGTAGTTGAGTAATTGTTGAAGAGTACAGAAAACTCTTTCAAGACAGTTTTGTTATAAAGAGCACAGAAATGGGGAAATAGCTGGTTGGGGTTGTGGAGCTAAAGACTTTTTTTTTTTTAAAGATGCAGGTAATTACAGCATGTTTGTTTGGTGATATGAGTGATCTAATAGAGAGGAAAAAATCGATATAGGCAAGAGGGGGAGAATTGGCTGGAGTAATATTCTTGAGTGGATAAGAGGGCTTGGCACCTCTTGTAGAGATGGAAAGTCTGATGATCTCTAATGGGACAATAGGTCATTAATTCATGATAGCAGGAAAGAAAGCAATGTGATCTTGCACCCACATAAGTGGTTTGGTAGAAAAGGTGATAGCGGTTTTTGAAAGTTCTCTTTGGATTATTTTTTTCTTTAAATAGTTCTCTTAACTCAGAGTAAGCATGGGGAAGGAGGAGAAGCTTTGAGGAAAGGGAAGAAGGTATAAAATTGTCATCTTGGGGAGGATGAGGAGTAATGGCCTTTGAATATGTATGTTCACTAGGGACACTAAGGACCTACTACACAAAAGTGATCATGAATTTGAAGATATACCAGTCATTGTGGTTGTATGTATTTTTCTGGTCATATTCTGCTGCTTTAGTTAGGGTGATGGTGAAAATAATCTGGAGGACAAGATCAATGCAGAAGAGGTGGTCAAAAAACTGAGAAATCAGACTTTTGGAATGATCATCTCTCTGGATATTGAAATCACCAAGGATTATGACAGTGGTAGTGTGGGACTGAATCCAAAATTAAATCTTCAGACAACTAGTAGAATGATGTGGGATTGATTTATGAGTCTAAGAAAGAGGGATAATGGGTCTTACAGTCTGTTCCATATATTTTGCTATATTTTGAACAATGCTGATGTAAATGTTCTGGTACAGATCTTCTGACATATATATGTGGAAGAGTTTCTTTGGGATATGCTTCTTTTTCTTTAAAAATGTTATCGCTGGGCACAGTGGCTCATGCCTATAATCCCAGCACTTTAGGAGGCCAAAGCAGGCGGATCACTTGAGCCCAGGAATTCCAGACCAGCCATGCAAATATGGTGAAACTCTGTCTCTACAGAAAAATACAAAAATTAGCTAAGCAGGATGGCGTGTGCCTGTAGTACCAGATACTTAGCAGGTTGAGGTGGGAGGATTGCTTGAGCTGGAGGGGTGGAGGTTGAATTGAGCTGAGATCATGCCACTGCCACTGCAGCCTGGGTGACAGAGCGAGACCTTGTCTCAAAAAAAAGAAAAAAAAAAAAGAAAGAAAAGAAAATTATATCTGGGTTACCAGGGACTTTTTTGTAGTCGTTTTTGGTGCTTCTCCTCTTCTGTATGACCTTTAAATGTTGGCATATAGGGCTTGGTCTTTGACCCTCTCTTCTTTTCTATCTACAAACTCCCAAGGTGATATAACTCCATCATGATATAGATGCTGATAGACTACCAAATTTGTGTCTCCACTTTTCACTTTTCCCTGAGCTCTAGAATTCAACTGCCAATTTTATATTTCCACTTTCATATCTGATTGATACTTAACACATACAAACAGAACTCTTGATTTTTCTTTGCAGTTGTGCACCCCCACCCCCACTATTTTACCTTTCATTAAATTGCAACATTATCTACTAATTTGCTCAGGCTTAACATTTATCAGTATCTTTTCTTCTCCCACCACATCTAATCAGTCAGCATGTTCTGTCAGCTGTACCTCTAGGATGCAGTCATTTCTCATCAGCTTTATTGCAACTTATAGACCAGTAGTTTTCAAACTTTTTGATCTCAAGGCTCCAGGAAACCTTTGCATTCTTAAAAATTATTGAGAACTCTGAGGAGTTTTGTTTATTCAGATTACATCTACTCATATTTATTGTATTAGAAGTTAAAACAAATCTTAAGAATATGTATATATTAATTTATTTTAAAATGAATTTATTATATGTTGATGTGAATATCATTTTATAATAAAAGTAAAATTACTGTATTTTAAAAGGTAAGAAGGGACATGCATTGGTTTTATTTTTGTAAGTATCTTGAATGTCTGGCTTAGTAGAAGATAGCTGAATTTTTGTGTCTGCTTCAGTATTCAGTCTGTTAGGACATGTTTTAATTAATGTATATGAAGAACATCTAGCCTCACATAGATATTTATTTGGAAAGGAAGGGGTATTTTAATAGCCTTTTGAAAAATTATGGATATTCCTTTTGATATTACACTAAAGCTCATTAAGTGGTAATTTTAAAAGGTTTGTTGGGCTGGGCATGATGGCTCACACCTGTAATCCCAGCACTTTGGGAGGCTGAGGTGGGCGGATCATGAGGTCAGGAGTTCGAGACCAGCCTGGCCAACATGGAAACCCCGTCTTTACTAAAAATAGAGAAATTAGCCTGGTGTGGTGGCAGGCGCCTGTAATCCCAGCTACTTGGGAGGCTGAAGCAGGAGAATTGCTTGAACCTGGGAGGTGGAGGTTGCAGTGAGCCAATATCGTGCCATTGCACTCCAGCCTGGGTGACAGAGCAAGATACTGTCCCAAAAAAAAAAAAAAAAAAAAAAAAAAAAAAAAAAAAAAAAATTTGTTGTTTCTTCAGCACTTAGAAATTGCCTGGTATGTTTTCTACAAATATTTATTTTTTGAATAAGTATGTGCATCCATCCATTATCCATACATCTGCCCACCTTTTCATCTGCTTTTCAGTTTACAAAAATTTATGGACTCATTTTTCAGGTTTTGTTTCCTCTCCAATTTCATTTTTTGTGGGTTTATTATTTCATGTCTGCATTTTTGTAAAGGAGATAAACCCATGTGAAATGAGCTAAACTTTTGAAATAGTGGTATAGGTATTATTCCAGGCAACTTGTTACATTGTGGGGTTGCAGCAGTGGAAAAAAAAAAAGTTTCTGTTCCCATGGTTTTAAATTTAGCATAGATTTTCTTTGTATTAGTACTAAAGCTACACAATTTATAACTACAACAGATGGCAAGTTATAAAATACTTTAAGATAGCTGGACTCAGTGGCTCACGCCTGTAATCCCAGCACTTTGGGAGGCTGAGGCGGGCGGATCATGAGGTCAGGAGTTCAAGACCAGCCTGGCCAATATGGTGAAACCCTGTCTTTACTAAAAAAAAAAATTTACAAATAAATATTAAAGACTTTTCTACTTAAGATAATTCAATGTTTTCTAATATGACAAAAGTTGAAAAATATAGAGAATAAATTTCAACTAAAGTTTGTGTCATAGCTTGATTGATTTAATTTTTTAAAGTTTGGGCAAAAATTATAATGCATATATTAGCTGTACTATTTTAACATCATTATTCTCAGTTCTACTGAAAAAAATTATTTTTGTGATTGAAATTCACTGATTTAGCATTGATTAAAGGGATAAGGATTCATCTTCAAAATTAAAATATAATAAAATAAGATATTAAAAAATATAATAAAAAGGCAACTGTTGATAAATATTGTTGGATATGTTGTCAGTTTTTTTAATATCAAAAGTCCTGACATATAGCCTGGGCAACATAGTGAGACCCTGTCTGTACAAAAAATAAATAAATAAATTAGCAGGGCATGGTGGCGCTTGCCTGTAATCCTAGCAATTTAGGAGGCTGAAGTGGGAGTATTGCTTGAGTCCTGGAGTTTGAGCTGCAATGAGCCATGTTTTCACCACTGTACTCTAGCCTGGGTGACCAAGCAAGACTGTGTCTCCTTAAAAAAAAAAAAAAAAAAAAAGTCTGACATTTTGTAAAAAGAAAAAAAAGATATATTGTCAGTTTTAGATTGGAATAAAGCACTTATTTTTGTGGAAGATTGTGAGGGAAGTCAAGGATTACAAGTTAAGTACCGTCCTTTCTGGTGATTTTTTCCTGTTTAGTTTTAAATTTGAAATTATTCTGATATATTTCTGTTAACTTGATTGTTGAGAGGAATTATATTCAACGGAATCAGTCAAAATAGGCATTTATCCAACCTGGGCAACATGGTGAGACCCCATCTTTATAAAAAAAAATAGCCAGGTGTGGTAGTGTGCACCTGTAGTCCTAACTACTCCGGAAGCTGAAGTGGGAGGATTGCTTGAGCCCTGGAGGTTTTAGGCTGCAGTGACCCATGATCGTGCTACTGCACTGCAGCCTGGGTGACAGAGGAAGACCCTGTGTCAAAAACACAAACAAAGGCAAACAACAACAAAACAAAATAGTCATTTGTGTATAAAATTTTTATAGACTTCTTGGGCAGTATTTGTCAATAGTTAATATATCTTTTTATAATTTTAGAACATTTATGTTTCTTAAAGTTTGCTCTTAGGGAAATACCTTGATATTAAGGAGGAAAGCATTAGAATTCATTGCTCAGCTTAGATTTGAAGAATGTTTGGAATTAATTTCTGGTTCATATTTTTGTTAAGAAAACAAGATCATGTTTCTACATTAGCATTTTGAGCAGTTGATATCAGTCCAGCAAAAATCATGCCAAATTAAATCTAGCATTTTTCTAAGAATGTTTAAAATTATTCTTGTAATGTTCGGGTCCTTTTTTTTTTTTTTTTTGAGGCAGAGTCTCACACTGTTGCCCAGGCTGGAGTGCAGTGGCGCAGTCTCGGCTCACTGCAAGCTCTGCCTCCCGGGTTCACGCCATTCTCCTGCCTCAGCCTCCCCAGTAGCTGGGACTACAGGTGCCCGCCACCATGCCCGGCTAATTTTTTGTATTTTTTTTAGTAGAGACAGGGTTTCACCGTGTTAGCCAGGATGGTCTCGATCTCCTGACCTCGTGATCCGCCCACCTCGGCCTCCCAAAGTGCTGGGATTACAGGCGTGAGCCACCGCATGAGTCCTTTTAATCAATTAATTGCTTTTTCTCTATAATAATTGTAGACAGCTGAAGAGGGATCAATTTAAAAAAATTCAAGTTTACTTCAGTAATCATTCTAGATTACAGAATTGTGCTTTAAAATAGCTACATTGTATATATCAGTACTAGAAACATCCAAGAAATAGGAGTCTACATTACATAAAAATATAAAATATAAAAAGCTTTATTATAAAGAATGAGAATAATTAGTTGATACTCAATATAGAGAAGTCACTGTGCTTAAAATTGTAACTTTCTAGTTCAAGAACTTTCATTAGGCCTAAGTTAAATATTGGTTTTTTTAAAAATGTGAGCTTTGACTTTGCATTTAAAAGTGATGAATATATCTATGTCGTAAGAATGAGGGGAAGTAAATAATTGGCAAACACATGCTGAATACCTTTTTTAAAAAAGTAACCTTTTCTTTTTGGAATAATTTTAGAGTTACAGACAGGTTGCAAAGATAGTACAGAGAGTTCCTTTATGTTCTTTACCCAGTTTCCCTTATTGTTATGTTATCACAGTATATTTGTCAAAACTAAGAAGGCTTCATTGATGCATTACTGTTACATTTTGAACATTAATTGAATTTCATGATATGTTTTTTCTGTACCGTGATTCAAACCAGGATACCATGTTGCATTTAGAATAGTACTTTTGTAAAATAATTTATGTAATTTTTGAAACATATAAATAATATGTTATAAGCATCTGGGGAGTTAAGAATTTTTTGTTTTGTTAATATCTAGATTAGTACAGGTGTACCTCAGAGATATTGTGGACTTGGTTCCATACCACCACAATAAAGCGAATATAGCAATAAAGCGAGTCACAGAAATTTTTTGTTTTGCCTAATGCATAAAAAATTATGTTTGCACAATATTGTAGTTTGTTAAGTGTCCAACAGTATGTCTAAAACCACTATATATACCTTAATTAAAAATACTTTATTGTTAAAAAATGCTAACAATCATCTACACTTTCAGCAAGTCATAACTTTTTGCTGGTGGAGGGTCTTGACTCAGTATTGATGATTGCTGTCTGATCAGGGTGGTGGTTGCTAAAGGTTGGAGTGGCAGAGGCAATTTCTCAAAATAAGACAGCAATGAAGTGTGCCACGTTAATTGACTCTTCCTTTCATGGAAGATTTCTCTGTAGCATGGGATGCTGTTTGACTGAATTTTACTCAGAGTAGGACTATTTTTTTTGAGACAGAGCCTCTCTCTGTCACCCAGGCTGGAGTGTAGTGGTATGATTTTGGCTCACTGCAACCTCCGCCTCCCAGGTTCAAGCAATTCTTGCACCTCTGCCTCCTGAGTAGCTGGGACTGCAGGCATGCACCACCACGCTTGGCTAATTTTTGTATTTTTGGTAGAGATGGGGTTTCACCACTTTGGCCAGGCTGGTCTCAAACTCCTGGCCTCAAGTGATCCACCTGACTTGGCCTCCCAAAGTGCTGGCATTACAGGCGTGAGCCACTGTGTCCGGCTTCAGAGTAGAACCTCTGTCGAAATTGAAGTCAGTCCTTTTCAAACACTACTGCTGCTTTATCGACTAAATATACAGAACATTCTAAATTCATCGTCATTTCAACAATGTTCCCAGCATCTTCACCAGGAGTAGATTCCATCTTCAGAAATCACTTTCTTTCTTTATCCATAAGAAGCCAGTCCTCTTCAGGTTCCACTTCTAAATCTAATTCTTTAGTAGTTACTTCCTCCACCTAAGTCTTGAATACCTCAAAGTCATCCAGGAGGGTTAAAATCAACTTCTTTCAAGCTCTTGTTAATGTGGATAGTTTGACCTCTTTCTATGAATCACAAATGTTCTTAATGGAATCTGGAATAGTAAACCCTTTCAGGAAAGTTTTTGATTTACTTTGCCTAGATCCATCAGAGGAATCACTATCTATGGTGGCTATAGCCTTACGAAATGTATTCCTTAAATAATAAGACTTGAACATCAACATTACTCCTAATCCATGGGCTGCAGAATGGATGTCATTTTAGCAGGCATGAAAAACAATATTCATCTCCTTGTATGTCTCCATCAGAGGTGTAGGGTGACCAGATGCATTGTCAGTGAGCAGTAATATTTTAAGAGGAGTCCTTTTTTTTGAGAAGTAGGTTTCCATAGGCTTAAAGTATTTAGTAAACCATGCCATAAACAGATGTACTGTCATTCAGTCATTTTTTTTCCATTCATAGAGCACAAGCAAAGTAGATTTAGCATGATTCTTAAGGGCCCTAGGATTTTCAGAATGGTAAATGAACACTATCTTCAACTTAAAGTTACCAGATATGTTAGCCCCTAACAAGAGCATCCGCCTGTATTTTGAAGCTTTGAAGCCAAGCACTGACTTTTCCTCTCTAGCTCAGATGACATCTTCTTCCAGGAGAAGGCTGTTTGGTCTGTGTTGAAAATCTGTTGATTAGTGTAGCCACTTTCGTTAATTATCTTAGCTAGGTCTTCTGGGTAACTGCGTGCAGCTTCTACGTCAACCCTTGCGCTTTTATGGTATGGAGACGTCTTCGTTCCATAAGGCTCATGAACAGACCTCTGCTACTGTCGGACTTTTCTCCTGCAGCTTTCTTACGTCTATTAGCCTACATAGAATTTAAGGGTTAGGGCTTTACTCTGGATTCAGCCTTGGCTTAAGGGAGTGTTGTGGCTAGTTCGATTGTCTATCCAGACCACTCAAAATTCCTCCATATCAACAGGCTGTTTTACTTCCTTATCACTTGTGTGTACAATTTTAATTTCCTTCAAGACTTTTTCTTTTGCATTAATGACTGGGCCAACTGTTTGGCTCAAGATGCCTATGTTTTGGCCTGTCTTGGCTTTTACATCCCTTCTTCACTAAGCTTAATCATTTCTAGCTTTTGATTTAAAGTGAGAGACAGGGACTCTTCCTTTCACTTAAATACTTAGACCATTGTAATATTACTAATTAGCCTAATTTCAATATTGTTCTGTCTCAGGAAATAGGCCCAAGGAGAAGGGAGAGAGGGGAGTGGCTAGACAGTGGAACAGTCAGAACACACACATGTATCAATTAAGTTCTCAGTCTTAAATGGGCATGTTCATGGTGCCCCAAAATAGTTCCAATAGTACTATCAAAGATAACTGATTACAGATCACCATAACAGATAATAATAATGAAAAATTTTGAACTATTGGGAGAATTACCAAAATGTGACACAGAAACACAAAGTAAGCATGTGCTATTGGGAAAATGGTGCTGATAGACTTGATTCATGTGGGGTTGCTACAGACTTCCAATTTGTAAAAAGTGCAATATCTGCGAAGTGAAATAAAGCAGAGTGCAATACAATGAGGTTCGCCCCTACTTCTTATCTAGCTGGCTTTCAATAAGTATTTGTTGCATGATTGAATGAGTCTATGAGATTTAGTAGGAAACATCTTTTGAAAAGAAATATGCTTGATTCTATTTCCTTCATAGGAACTAGAAAGAGCCTGTTTTATCTTTTTGCATTTCATCACCACTTTCTTTTTTATTTCAAATAGTGAGAAGTCTTGGAAATGACTGAAACTACACGTTGTTGAATGTTTTGTTGAATATAAAATGAACTGAGGTTATACTATATGTAAATTTTTGGCAGAATACATAAATGATTTTGTGAGTATGGGACTGTTATTGCACACAGCTTTCACTTTTTAAAACAATATTAAGAAGGAGTTTAAAAAGTATTTAAATTCTCTATATACGTTGAGACTAGCATATTCAACCTTTATACCATGGATAATCTGTTACAGCTGTTTTTGTTGCACCTGCTTTCCTGCTTAATATTTAAATTTCCTGAATCTTAAAATTGGCCTTGTTTTAATCAATTAATCATCATAATGACAATTTATTGCTCTTTAATACTAAATTTGATTTACTTAATATTCTTATATTTCTTAGCTCACAGAAATGCAAGTTGAGAGTAGTTATTACAGTCCACAGAAAGTAAAATCTAAAGAAGTATTGTGTTGGGAACAAGAAGGAACTACAGTTGAGGTAATCTTTCAATATTGAACCTGTATTTTTAAATATTTTGTTCTTTAATATTTTATAAATACCTGTTTTTATCAGATGTAGTGTATTTAAAAATACAAGTAAGATGTTTGTTTCTTATTTTAATAGAGTTTACTATCTCATGGATAGTATAAATAAATAGTATAGAATAAATTTAAAAATGACATAATTCTAAAGATGTTTAACTAATTTAGAGATTCTACAAGGAAAGCCTCTAACATTTTTATTAAATTCAATTCTTAGTTCTAATGTTTCCTTTCGTCTTATAGGCCCTTATGATGGGAGAACCTTTCTTTGATTGCCAGATTGGGTTTGTTGGTTGCAGAGCCATGTGCCTTAAAGGAATTATGGGTGTTAAAGATTTTGAAGAGAATATGAATAGAAGTGAAACTGTAAGTCCGTTTCCTCCATCCTTTTTTGGATAGGATATAGGAATAATTAAGTGCTTACTGAAGTGTTTAACCATATAATATCTGTTAGACTATATATATCTCAGGCTTGAGAGAGGAGCTTTACTATTTCTCCCTGTGTTTCACCTGCCAGAAATTATAGATCTCAGGGAAGTTTAGAAAGTTGGTAGCGCCTAACACCTGGACAGTAGTTCCAACTACTTTCTTATTCATGAATCTTTCTTCTTTTTTGTTCATGGCAGTTATTTGGAGTTTCCTTTTGGTTTGTAAAAATGATCTTTGGCAAAATAGTCAATGAAGGTGGAGCAGCAGCATTCCTTATCTTTCTGTTTTAGTGATTTCTTTTGACTAGTAAATGGGCATCATAAAATCAAGGTTTTATTTTGTTTAACAGGCTAATGGTTTTTCTTCCCATTTATAAATTTTGCATTTGTTTTCAGGAAGCCTGTTTCTTCATTTGTGGTGACAATTTGAGTACGAAAGGTTTCACATACCTTACAAATTCATTGTTTGATTACCGAAGCCCAGAAAATAATGGTACTCGCGCAGAATTTATCTTGGATTCAACTCATCATAAGGTTAGAGAATATATATTTGAACCAAATTCTAGGCTGTGTTTGGGTGGACACATTGTATGAATACTTGTGATTTCTAGCTTTCTTTTCAAATAATGCCTTCTGAATGCTAATTGTTTATTAAAACATTTAGAATGCATTTATACAGTATACATGTAGAAATGTTTGAGGAGTGCACAGAGATCTTTTATTGAATATGTAAACATATTTTGCTTATTTATGCCCTGCTTCAAAAATAATCGTGGAGGAAACATGTTGAATTACCTCTGTTAATTTTTGTTACTTTTAATGTGTGGGATTGATGTAAAGAAATGAGGAATTTACCTTTTTACTATCTATACTTCTTAGTGTTTTTTAAATGTAAGAATATATTAATATGTTTATGGAATATTAATACATTTATGAAATCAGTTAAAAATTCAGATAATTACCTGAAGATTAATGCAATAGGATAATTTACATTTTACTCTTTTTTTATCAAGATTTACTTCCATTGTTAAAATATTTAATGTTGACTTGCATAATTAACATACATTTAGAATATTTCAGTATATCTTTAGTGTTTGAATTGTTTCATGATATGAAGTATTTAAGGATTAATTCTATTTGAGAGTATACATTATTAGACAGTTTTGTGATAGTGATAAAGGTCAGGAGTGTACTATCTCCTCCATTGTAGGTATTTATTAACTAGACATGATTAATAAAGTGGTCAAAATGTCTCATAAAAGTATGGATGTCTTTTTTGTGTGGTCTGTAATAGATGGAATATTACCTTTCTTAGAAGTAAATTCTTGGAATAACCTCTGTTCTTTTGGTCATCCTTTGTGTTGTTATACATTCTATATAAAGATATGTGTCTAACCTATCAAGCTTTAAACTCAAAAGTTTCTTTTATACAATGTTTATTCTGTTTGCATTGCTTTGTTGGCAGGAGACATACACTGAGATAGCTGGAATGCAACGGTTTGGGGCTTTTTATATGGATTACCTGTATACAATGGAGAACACTAGTGGCAAAGGTATTGGCTTCTTTCCTTTATGTGTGCCATTTCTTGAACAACTGAAACAAAGCCTTCCTCAGAATCAATTGGTCCTTGACTGGTTGTACTCTGCTACATAAGATTTATCTTCTAGTACTTTGGGGAGTGGTTTAATTTTAACATCATGTTAGAATTGTCTTAGATTCTTGTCATTTCAAATCCATTCTTTATACAGCTGACTGAAGACATTTTGTATAACCTGTTAGAATTAGTTCTCATGTGTACCATATATTATGATTCTGATATATCAAATTTTATATTACATTAAATTTTTAAAAAGAATAAACCTTTTCTATTCTAAATACACTTTGAAGGTGATACTAATTTTTAATTAAAAAGAATGTGTTGTATCAATCAGAAAAATAGAAAATCTTCCAGAGACTTTAGATGTATATATTGTATTATTTTATTATGTACCTTATTATTGTATTATTTTCTATTTTTTGGAAATAAATGACGTTTAAAACATTTCAACACTTTTTTTTTTACTTCTATATCAATATATGATGTACTTACTATTTCAGTCTTTTTTATGTTGAAAAGTTAGCGAAAATAGGTTCACAGTTTTTTTTGGTGAATTTTTCATGTTTTATAAAAATGATTTCAGTGTATTAGGTGATATGTTAGGTACAGATGAATGCAATGAAAACCAAAGCATTTCCCAAAGAGCCAATAGGTGGTGTTGAACTAGGCATTTAAGTAAATGATTATAACGTAGCATGTTAAGAAGAGTAGTATAGAGAACTAGAAGTGTGGGTAAAAAAAAAAAAAAATGACAACTTTTGCTTGTGAGATTGAAACTTCGCAGAGTTGATCTTGAAGTAAATTTGTTTTTGATGAAGAAAGAAGGAAAGAGCAGTAAATTTCTGGCTTCTGCTTTTGGAATGGTTTCTAAATGTTGATGTTTTCATTGGTCAATCCTTAATTTCTTTCCCTAAACTTTCTCCCAAGTTAATTTCATTCTTTTCCATGGATTTAAGTACTTTCCATATGTTGTTGATACTCAAATTTGCATTTTATAGTCCAAAGTTCTCTAAGATTCAGAATTAAATATCCAATGCATACTTGACGTTTTTGCCTCTGTGTCTTTCAGATATCTCAAAACTGATTTTGTCCAAAATTGAGTTATTAATAAATATTCCTATGACCACTTACTACCTCTGCTTCTTTATTTTTAGGCTTCTCTTCTTTGAAAATCGTACTATCCTCTTCTTGTTGCTCAAGCCAGAAGCCTGGGAGTCATCATGACACACCTTTTCCCTCGCTCCTAGCCATCTGGTCCACAGATGATAACAGTGGTATCACTGTTACCATATGGACTAGCATTTAGTTCATATGTACCATCATCTCTAGATTCTAATATATATATATTTTTTGAGACAGAGTTTTGCTCTGTTGCTCAGAGTGCAGCGTCATGATCTCGGCTCACTGCAACTTCTGCCTCCCTGGTTCAAGCGATTCTCATGCCTCAGCCTCCTAAGTGGCTGGGACTACAGGCATGCGCTGCCATGCCTGGCTAATTTTTGTATTTTTAGTAGAGATGGGGTTTGGCCATGTTGGCCAGGCTGGACTTGAACTCCTAATCTCAAGTGATCCATCCACCTTGGCTTCCCAAAGTGCTGGGATTATAGGCGTGAGCCACCGCACTCAGCCAGGTTCTAAAGCTTTCTTACTGGTCTTCCTGCTTTCATTGTAGTCCTATAGTTTCTACTGCAATCACAGGGATTTAATTCTCTGCTGTTAATTTTCATGGGCCTGACATTGGTTTGTTTAAAAACAAAATTTAAATAGTTTACTAGATTCTGGTCTTGAGTTACTTGGTGGATAGTGATAACTATTAAGAAAGCTAAATAAGAGGAAAATTTTTGGAGGAAAAGATGAGTTTTGAGATAACTGTGGACATTGAAGTGTAAATATTCCTTAGCCAGTTATATATATGAAAGTGCAACTCAGAAGTCTTGTGTTCTAATAGCATTGCAAATTATTGTAGTGTTGTAGTTGCCACTTGTAAACTGGTAGGTTTCCTCTTGTTCAATATAATGTCTTATGCATGTGCTGTGGATTCCATGTCTTGTGAGGAGGTGAAGTATGTAGTAGTTACCTTTTAAGCAAAGGAAACCTAGCACAGAACATCTTTATTTGTATATATGCCTCTCCTGCAGTTTTTAAAAGATAGAAACATGATTTATGTTTGTTAGATTGTTTATATATTACTTCTGAGAAGCCAGTAGTTTGTTAACTTTTGGGTTTTTCATATTTTTCACTTCCATGAATACTATACAGTGTTACAGATATTATAGTCCTTAACTTTTAAAACAAAATATTGAATATTGCACATGTACAGAACAGCAAATAATTTAAAACTGAACACCTGTGTATTCTCCACGCACACCAAGAAATAGGACATTGTTAGCATCCAGTAAGCCTCCTATGTGTTTCTTTTCTACCACACTCTGCCTCCTTTACTGGAGGAGATTGCTGTTTTGAGATTCATGAGAACCACTGTCTTGCTTTTGGTTTATCCCCATTTTACAGATGAGGAAACAGCAAACCCAATACAGGTAAAGTAACAAGAACCAAGATCACACACAGTATGTGGGATTTGAACCCAACCTATCCAGCTCTAGAGCCTACATTTATAACTATTCTGTTGATATTTCCTTTTTTTTTTTTTTTTTGTTTGAGACCGAGTCTTCCTCTGTCGCCCAGGCTGGAGTACAGTGTTGCAATCTCGACTCACTGCAAGCTCCGCCTCCCGGGTTCATGCCATTCTCCTGCCTCAGCCTCCCCAGTAGCTGGGACTACAGGCGCCCGCCACCACGCCTGGCTAACTTTTTGTATTTTTAATAGAGACAGGGTTTCACCATGTTAGCCAGGATGGTCTCGATCTCCTGACCTCGTGATCCACCCGCTTCAGCCTCCCAAAGTGCTGGGATTACAGGTGTGAGCCACTGCGCCCGGCCCTCTGTTGATATTTCTTTCTTTCTTGGTTTACCTGAAACAAGAAATTTGTAGAATTTTAAGTATTAATGAGCTAGGAAAAGTAATGAGTTCCTATAAGAGGATACTTGTAAATACTTAAAAAAAAAAAGCTTTATCTAAAACTCTTGTTTTTTTGTGACAACTTTTTTTTTGTTTCTATAGTCTACATTATCAAAAAGTGCCCTAAATTTTATTAAGTAAATATCTAAACACGTATTGAGCCAATATTTTTACAGAGTTTGTAGTGAATCCTGATAGTTTGAAGGCGGATTTGATTTTGTGTGTTTTAAGTAAGTTCATGGCAGTATTCTAATTAATGTAAGAAACTAGGCTGAGCGTGGTGGCTCATGCCTGTAATCCCAGCACTTTGGAAGGCTGAGGTGGGCAGACCATGAGGTCAGGAGTTCGAGACCAGCCTGGCCAACATGGTGAAACCCCTTCTCTACTAAAAATACAAAAATTAGCCGGGGGTGGTGGCAGGCGCCTGTAATCCCAGCTACTTGGGAGGCTGAGGCAGGAGAATCACTTGAAACCGGAAGGTGGAGGTTGCAGTGAGCTGAGATCATACCACTGCACTCCAGCAGCCTGGGCAATAAGAGTGAAGCTCTGTCTCAAAAAAAAAAAAAAAAAAAAAAGGAAGTAAATACAGTAATAAAGGAAGCTTCTATTATTTATTTTTCTTGTAATAAATGATAAAATAGTATCTTGTCCACATTATACTATGGCATATAAATAAAAATTAAGTTTCCTCTGCTACTATTTGGTATTGATGATAAGCTGCTGCTTCTCTTCTTCTCCTCCTTCTCCTCCTTTCTTCTTGCTGCTGCTGCTGCTTCCTCCCTCTCCTCCCCTTCTCTTCTCCTCCTCTCCTTCCTCCTCCTCCCCCTCCTTGCCTTCCTCCCCCTCCTCCCCGTCCTTCTCCCCTTCCTCACCCTCCTCCTCCTCCTCCTTCTCCTTCTTTGTGAGTATACTTTAGTCATTTTTGTTTACAACTGAAACTCTGGAAAAATTAACATCTTTTGCCCAGGAGCTTCTTACAGACACCAGTAAAAGTTTGAACCTTGTGTTCCACAAGATAAGCATCTTCTGACAATTATTTTACTTTTTTTTATGGTACTTGAAAGCAAGTGATGTTTTAAAAACTAAATGGAAATATTTATTATTAATATAATTGTGTAAATATTTGTTAATGTTGTAATGACTACCTTTCTAGTCTTTTCTGTTTAAGGGGGTTATTACAAATGTTATGGACCCTAAAGTAGATAGCTGAAATTGTAATGTACAACAGGAAGATTTTAGAGATAACCAATTTTAGAGATACAATAGGAGATAAATCTGAAACAATTAAGTTATTGAATTGAAGGGCAAGAATTGAGAAAGAGTCTTGACTCTTAATAAGGGCAGCCAAACATTCAGGGAGCTGGAGTGGCCAGATGCATGAAAGGTGGGCACAAGTAAATAGCTGAAAATATATAGCTAAAAGCCAGTTGTGTTTTTACATTTCAGACAAGCCATGGTATCTAAATTTAAACTGCATTATATTCAGTTTTCATTATGGGGGGCATTGGCCTGTATTATTTTAGAGACAATTTTGTGTCTAAAAGAAGAGTCTTGTTATACAGTGACATCATTTAGGGAGTCTATTATCCCCTAAAGGACGCATAGCAGGGCATTTTTATTGCTTTTTGAGTATTTTGATTTGTAACCGAAGTTCTATCTTTAAGTTACCTCATTCTGTCTTACATGTAATTCTAGAAATGTAATGGTTTTAGCTATGAAAAGTAATGGTTTTGATGTGAATGGTATGTTATTTATACCTAATTCCTAATGTGAGTCAGTATTAATCATACATCTTACAAAATATGTATAAGATTAATTTTGTATGTTTTATTTGATGTGACATTGGGCTTATAGATTTTTACTTGTATTATATAGTTAACTTTAAAATAATCTTTGCACTAAGTCGTCTGGTTAAAAATATGTGAGTAATAAATCTAATTAATTTTTGGCCAGGCGTGGTGGCTCACTCCTGTAATCTCAGCACTTTGGGAGGCCGAGGTGGGCGGATCATGAGGGCAGGAGATTGAGACCATCCTGGCTAACATGGTGAAACCCTGTCTCTACTAAAAAAAAAAAAAAAAAACAAAATTAGCCGGGCGTGGTGGTGGGCGCCTGTAGTACCAGCTACTCGGGAGGCTGAGGCAGGAGAATGGCATGAACCCAGGAGGCGGAGCTTTCAGTGAGCCGAGATCACGCCACTGCACTTGAGCCTGGGTGACTGAGACTCTGTCTCAAAAATAAATAAATAAAAATCAATCAATCAATTAATCTAATTCATTTTTGTTCATATGATGAAGACTAAAGATTGAGCTGTACTCCTTTGCATGAAATAATGGAAATATATTTTTGTATAAAAGTATTAGAAGGTATAGATATAAAAGTTTTGTGTAAGTAGGCTTTTCTAGTTTCTAAGGTTATTAAATCCTGGAAAATTCTTTCTTCTTTTTGTCTGAATAAACAAAATGCATTATAAATTAAAAATCATTTTTATCACAATAATGGATTCATGTATACAAAAAACCTCTCATTTAAGAGATGTACATATTAGATAATGACACATGCCTATACCTGGGGCCAATATCTTATTTAGAAAACAGTGTATGAGGAGATGAGGAGTCTAGGAAGTAGGATTCTGTACCATGGAACATCGCTATAATGAATCTATTCTAGAAAAAGTTCAAAGCAGGTAATACCTACTGTTCATTTCCATGGTCATTATAAAACTCTCAAGGCACCCTGTGATCATGTTACTTAAATAACCCAATTTTCAATAGACTAAGATAATTTACTAAGATAAATTAGTAAAATGGAGTTTCCTCCAAAGTACCCCCTCTCAGTCAATGCATATTGTGTATAGAATTACTAGATATAAGCCAATTAGGTTTTGCAGAATAATTTTCTAAGAATGACAATTTTGATTTTATATTGCTTGTTATAATATTAAATAACAGGAATAAATTTTAATGAATTGCTTTTTATCAGTAATTTATTATATGCACAGAGAAATACAAATCAGCAGGGCTCTCTGTATGCAGCTGATTGGGAATTTGTTTTAAGGCATTAAGCTACAAGCTATAAAAATGAGAGAAGAGCGATTTTAAAATATTTACTTGGTATATCCAATTGATGCTTAAAATATAAAATTTGACTTCTTTTAGGTTCCACAAATCAACAAGACTTTTCTTCAGGGAAAAGTGAAGATTTGGGAACAGTTCAGGAGAAGTCCACCAAAAGCCTTGTTATAGGTCCTCTTGATTTTCGTTTGGATAGCAGTGCGGTGCATAGGATTTTGAAAATGATTGTGTGTGCCTTGGAACATGAATATGAACCATATAGCAGGCTAAAATCAGGTTTGTTTCTGGATTAATTTTGAATCTTTTGCCATTTGTTTTGAGAATAATTATATAATCCAATTTGTGTTGTCTTGCTAACTTTACGTTTTTAGTGTAATTTGCCTGTTTGCAAGGACTTTGATATATGTAGCTGTTTATTTAAAGAATAAACTTGTGTGTAGAAGTTGGAGAGATCAAGATTTGAAAATTATTGCACAAGTACTTTATTTGCCAGTATTTGTCAGTATTTTATTGTTATACCTTTTTGATACTTTTTCTAGTGGATACTTGTGAATATGATTTTTTTTTTTCACATTAATGGATTCTAAGGAGCCAGATACAAAATTGGGCTCTAAACACACAAATTTAACATTGAAGAAAACTTAGGCACTGCTGGTTTAGAAAAAGTTGCTGTACAACTAATTTTTTCTACATGGTAGATAGCTATAGTTGTCATAGTTTCATAAAATACGAATTCCTTTTTAAAGCAGTAAAGCAACTCTAGAGTAGAGCATAATAGTGTAATGAGGAAGTATAAGATAATGAAGAACTCACCCTGTGGAGTCAGACTGTGGTTTAAAATTTGACCCTCACTTCTTAGTATCCTTAAGAAATTTAATTAACATCTTTGATGTTTCATTTCTCTGTCTCTACAATACGTTTAGTTACTGTGACAGAGATGGCTAATTGTCTCCTCAATATCCATCCTTTTTCATAGTAATAGAAATTTCTATAACAGAAGTAAAGACTATACATTTAAGGGATAGTCATATGACTAGGTTCTGTCTACTGGGATGGGAGCAGAACTTTATGTGATGTTTTGGGCCATGACTTTAAAAGGAAAAGAGCATGCCTTCCTTCTTTTCTTCTCTTCTTTCTTCTGGCTGGAAAATAAATACAATGGTATGGGCTGGACCTGCCATTTCAGATCCTGAGATTAAAGCTGCATGCTGAGGATGACAGAGTAGCAAGATAAAAAGCACCTAGGTCCTCAGTACTGTGATGGCACCATGTCCGCCCTGGATCCTTTAGACTCAGATTGTTTCATGAAAAAGAAATAAGGACTGAGCATGGTCACTCATACCTGTAATCCCAGTAGTTAGGGAGGCCAAGGCAGGAGGATTGCTTGAGCCCAGGAGTTTGAGACCAACTTGGGCAACATGGCAAGACCCAGTCTCTACAAAAGATTAAAAAAAAAAAAATTAGTTGGGTGTGGTGGTACATGGCTGTGGTCTCCGGGCTGAGCAGGGAGAATTGCTTGAGCCTGAATGGTTGAGGTTGCAGTGAGCTGTGATTGTGCCACTGTGCTCCAGCCTGGCCAACACAACAAGACCCTGTTTCAAAAAAAAAAAAAAAAAAGCTGCTGTTTTTGTTGAAATTTCTATTACTTTACTTTTGTCCCAGCAACTTTACTGTTACCTTAAATGATACACTGATAGGACCTACTTCCAATGATTGTTCTGAGCACTAAATGAGATAGTGCACATAAAAGCACTTAACCCAGTGTACAGTAAGTGCTTGACACATTCATGCATTCATTTATTATACCTTACTTGAATGCCTACCCTGTGCCAGACATTCTTTATGTGCTAGGATAGTATAGCAAACAAGACATACAAAGCCTTTGGTCTCATGGAGCTTATATCCTCATGGGGTAGACAAATAGTAAACAAGTTAAAATATTTCAGTCATTGATAAATACTAGAGAAGAAAAATAAAAGGAAGTGTGAGCAAGAGTGCCAGAAACAGAAGGAGGGGAGAGCTGTTTTAGTAGGGACTTTAGGAAAGTTTTCTCTGAAGTTTATATGTGAGCTAACTTGTGAATGATGTAACGGAGTGAATCATGCATGTATTTGTGAAAAGAGGGTTTTATGTAGACAAGTGCAAGAGCCTTGAGGTAGGAACAGTTTGGCAATATACAGGGATACAAACAGGCTAGAATAGCTGAAGCACAATAAATGTTTGTAAGTCATAGAGGTAGACATCAATCACCTTGTTGGGTTTTAGGGACCATGTAGTCTGGATTTTATTCTAAATGTGATGGGAAATCATCAGTAAGTTTTGAATAGGAAGTTATTAACTTATTATTTTAATAGTAAATAGTATGGTTGGCATATGTTTTCATTTTAAAAAATTTAGATTTTCCTAGTTTTACTTGCACTCATTTGTGTGCATGTGTATTAAGTTCTATACAATTTCATCACCTTTGTAGGTTTGTGTGTTCACTACCATGGTCAAGAAAATGAACAGTTCCAATACCACAAGGATCTGGCATGTTGCTCTCTTACAACCACACCCACTTCCCTACCATGTTCCTTTCTCCTCCCTCTTTTCCAGGGGCTAGGGATAACCCCTGGAAACTTTTGTCTTCCATTTCTAAAATTTTGTCATTTCAACAGTGTTAAATAAGTGAAATCATACAGTATGTAAGCTTTTGAGGTTGACTTATTTTGCTGAGCATAATTCTCTGGAGACTCATTCAAGTTGTTGCATGTATCAGTAGTTTGTTTCTTTTCCTGCTGAGTAGTATTCCATTGTATACATATACTATAGTTTGTTAATTCCCTCACTTATGGAAGAATATTTGGGATTATTCTAGTTTTGGGCTATTACAAATAATGCTGCTCTGAACAGTTGTGTACTGGTTTTTGTGTAAACATTTCTTCAGGATAAATTGCTGGGTCATATGGTAGTTGCATGTTTATTATTTTTTTTAAAGAAACTACCAAGCTGTTTTCAGGAGTGGCCATACCATTTTACATTACCATCCAACGATGACTGTGTGATCCAGCTTCTTTACATCTTCCCAGCATTTTGTTTTGTCACTGCTTTTTATTTTAGCCATTCTGATAGATGTGTAGTTTTAATGAGCAATCTGCCATCTCATTGTGGTTTTAAAGTTGTGTTTCCTTATTGGCTAATGATGTTGAACATCTTTTTATGTGCTTATTTGCCATTTTTATTTCTTCAGTGAACTGCATATGTCTTTTGCTCAGATTAATTGGGTTAATCTGAAAGTTTTAATGTTTTTCATTTTATACTCAAGTATGTCATCATTTTGAATTAATTTTTTACATAAGGAGTGAGGTTTAGATAGGGGTTTATTTATGTGTCTTTGAATTTTCAATTGCACTAGCACCATCCTTTCTTTATTGAACTGGTTTTTTACCTTTGTAAAAAATCAATTGAGCATATTTGTGTGGGTCTGTTTCTGAGTCCTCTAGTTTGTTTTCAGTTAGTAGACCTGTGGTATTTCCCACTGTCAGTACCATGCTGACTTAATTACTGTAACTCTATGGTAAACCTTTATATTGGAGGGAGAAGTTATTCATTTTGGTTTTGAGGGAACATTTGCTTAGGTTAGAAATAACCTCATTATAACTTTCATTTACATATATCTCTAATGGAATATTGGGTTGGCTGTTTCGTTTTGTTTTTGTTTGGAGATGGGGTCTCACTTTGTCACCTAGGCTGAAATACAGTGGTGTGATCATGGTTCACTGTAGCCTTGATATCCTAAAATCAAGTGAGTCTCCTGCCTGAGCCTCCTGAGTTGCCAGGACCATAGGTGTGCACCACCAAGCCCAGCTAATCTTTGTTTTTTTTGTAGAGATGAAGTCTTACTATGTTGCCCAGGCTTATCTTGAACTCCTGGGCTCAAACAATCCTGCCTTGGCCTCCCAAAGTCCTGGGATTATAGGCATGAACCACTGTGCTGGCACTTGACTCTTTTAATATAGATCTATTGGTGTTATTTATTTTTCTCATGGAAAAGTCCAAGTTGGTCAGTATTCCAGGGAAACTGTTTTATGAGGTTGTCTTAGACCCAGATTCCTTCTATTTTATTGTTCTGCCAACCCCAGAGATATGCCATATATACATGGTCAGAATTGGGTCACCATTATAGTGTGTAATTTTAATCAGGAGGAAGGGGGAACAAGACTATAAAGGAAGGTATGTAGTCTTATTTATTTATTTATTTAAGATGTAGTCTCGCTTTGTTGCCCAGGCTGGAGTACAGTGGCGTGATCTCGGCTCACTGCAACCTCTGTCTCCCGGGTTCAAGAGATTCTCCTGCTTCAGCCTCCCGAGTAGCTGGGATTACAGGCACCTGCCACCATGCCCAGCTAATTTTTGCATTTTTAGTACAGATGGGGTTTTACCATGTTGGCCAGGCTGGTTTCGAACTCCTGACCTCAGATGATCTACCTGCCTCAGCCTCCCAAAGTGCTGGGATTACAGGTGTGAGACTATTTCTTAACAATTTTTAGGAGTTTTTAAAATTTTTGTTTTTAATATGCTGTGGATACAAGTCCCTCATGGAGCTGGATCTTCCCCCTCCCCATCTATCTGTAGCAAATATTTTCTGTCAGTCTGTGTCTTGCCTTTACATTATCTCAATGGTATTTTACTGACCAAAAGCTGTTACTCTTTTAAAGAAAGAAATTGGGGATTTCTTAAAGATATATTAAAATGAAAAACTGGTAAATTTTTATATAACAAAGATACATTTACATTCGAGAATAGTGCAACTTATATTTGTTAAAGGTAACTTATTATTTTATACCTGCTTCATTGTTGAAAAGAAAAACAGGATTTGACCTTATAGTTTGGAGAACTAATTCATTTTTCAGTTGTTTAAGAATATTATTTAAAAATATTCTTTATTAATTTTTTATCATTTTAATTTTAGATATTAAGGATGAAAATGAAACAATACTGAATCCTGAAGAGGTGGCTCTTCTGGAGGAATATATTCCTACTCGACATACAAGTGTTACTCTCCTCAAATGTACCTGCACAATTTCCATGGCTGAATTCAACTTGCTGGACCATTTACTACCTGTCATTATGGGAGAAAAGGTATATTTTGTGATTTGCTATATTTTTTTTCCCTCATATATGGATTTTTTTTTTTTTTTTTGTCATTTACTGAAAGAATATCTGCAGCCGGGCACAGTGGCTTGAGTGTGTAATCCTGGCAATTCAGGAGGCTGGGGCAGGATGCACACTTGAGGCCAAGAGTTTGAGACCAGCCTAGGCAACAGCAATACCTTGTCTCTAAAAAAAATTTGGCACGGTGGCACATGCCTGTATTCCCAGCTCTTCAGGAGGCTGAGGTGGGAGGATTGCTTGAGCCCAGAAGTTTGAGGCTGCAGTGAACTATGATCACGCCACTACACTTCAGCCTGGGTGTCACAGTGTGACCCTGTCTCAAAAAAAAAAAAAAGAAAAAGATAAAAGTATCTGCTTATATAGTTATCCATGATGAAGTAAAAGCAATGTAACTATGAACTAAAAATTAACTGTTAATTTTTAAAATGTAATTTTAAATTTATATTTTTAATAAAATAAACTTAATCTTGAGAGTGTATAAAGAAATGTTGAAGAATATGGGCCTAGAAGTCAGACCATATGCCAGCTATAATGCCATAGACAATTACTTTATATCTCTAAGCCCTGATTTTCTCTTCTCAAAAAGAAAACAATTGTATTTTTTCAAGCAGCCTGACTATTTTAGTTTTAGCCAGTAAAACTGTCAGCCTGCCTAGATTCAGACAGTTTATTACTTACATAGACAGCAGAAGCAAAGTCAGTAATGGTGCCAGCTCCCCTGTCCCTTGTTCTATAGGACAACCTGTAAACAAAGGGCCAAATGACTTCTATTGGTACATGGTGGGGCACCCTGTTGGCAACAATTCAGTTTCACACTGCAGCTAAGCAGTGGTGTAGCTTAGCGCATATGTGGAAAGCCCATAACTCAGCTGAATGAGGAATGCTGATGAGAAAATGTTTCATGGCCGCCTCTCTCAAGATGGGAAGGTGAATGAGAAATGCTCTTTTAGCAGCTCCTCACAAGACCACATATGATCCTTTGTTTTTAGAGGATCACAGGATATTCTACCAAGGTCTGCTGTGGTTGAGTATTGCCTTCATGGCATGGATTTGTGTAACATTATCAGGATGCTGGTACAGACTAGACCCACCATAGTACTTAGCTCCTAGGATTATTTTAAATTTTCATTGAAATAATGCATGTAAACTATTTTGCATGTATTAGGAACTGAGTGATGTCTGCTGTAATTGTTGAGAATGCTTAATATTTGTTTATGGTCCATATACAATGTATTGCTTTCTGAGTTTGACTTATACATACAAGGCCTTATTTGTTCGTTTGTTTGCTTTTTGAGACAGAGTCTCGCTCTGTTGCCTAGGCTAGAGAGCAGTGGTGAAATCTCAGTTCACTGCAACCTATGCCTCCTGGGTTCATGCAACTTTCCTGTCTCAGGCTTCTGAGTAGCTGGGACTATGGGCGCATGCCACCACGCCCGACTAATTTTTGTATTTTTAGTAGAGACAGGATTTCACCATATTGGTCAGGCAGGTCTTGAACTCCTGACCTCAGGTGATCCACCTGCCTCAGCCTTCCAAAGTGCTGGGATTACAGGTGTGAGCCACCACACCTGGCCTATGTGTTTTTTTTTTTTTTTGATATATTTCTTTTGATGTTCATATAATGATCAGGGGTCCCCAACTCCTGGGATGCGGACCAGTACTGGTCAGTTGCCTTTTAGGAACTGGGTTGCAGAGAAAGAGGTGAATGGCAGGTGAGTGAGCGTTACCACCTGAGCTCCGCCTCCTGTGAGATCAGCGATGGCATTAGATTCTCATAGGAGCACAAACTCTATTGTGAACTGTGCATGCAAGGGATCTAGGTTGGCACTCCTTATGAGAATCTAATACCTAATGACCTGAAGTGGAACAATTTCATTCTGAAACCATACCCCTTCTCCTGTCTGTGGAAAGATTGTCTTCAATGAAATTAATCTCCGATGCCAGAAAGGTTGGTGTCCGCTGACAGTGATAATCATAGAAATAAAAAGTGTCCTAACTTTAAAGAAGTTATGTAAGGGAATTAACTATATGCATTAACTTTATTTTTGCTCCCTACTGGCCACTCATCATTAAGTATGGTAGTGTATTACGATTAAGAGATCATGTAGAGAAAATTTCACTGGAGACAATTAAAATATGTCTGCATTTTGTCATCTCTGTTTTTGCTATCATCTAATTTTTAAAATAGATACTATTTTTTAGAGCAGTTTTAGATTCACAAAGCAGAGTGAAAGGTACAGAGATTTTTCATAAACTGACTCCCCCCACGTACATAGCTTCCCTCTTTGTCAACATCCCTCAACAGAGTAGTATGTTTGTTACAATTGATGAACCTGTATTGACACATCAGTATCACCCAAAGTCCACAGTTTACATTAGGGTTCACTCTTGGTGTTTTATGTTCTATGAGTGTTGAAAAATATATAATTATCTGCTATAACAATATCACATAGAGTAGTTTCAATTCCCAAAAAATCCTTTGTGCTCTGCCTATTCATCCCTTCCTCTCCCTAACCACTGGCAACCACTGATCTTTTTACTGTCCTCACAGTTTTGCCTTTTCTAGACTGTCATATAGTTGGAATCATATAGTATGTAGCCTTTTCACATTGGCTTCTTTTACTTAGTGATATGGATTTAAGTTTCCTCTTTGGCTTTTCATGGCTTGATAGCTGATTTCTTCTTTGCACTTACTAATATTCCATTACAGATGTACCACAATTTACTTATCCATTCACCTACTGAAGGACATCTTGGTTGCTTTCAAGTTTTGAGAGTTGTGAGTAAAACAGGCATATACATCCACGTGCACGTTTTGGTGTGGGCATGTTTTCAACTCCTTTGGGTAAATACCAAGGAGTGTGATTGATGGATTGTATGCTAAAAGTATGTTTAGTTTTGTAAGAAGCTGCCAAATTGTCTTCCAAAGTGGCTGTATGATTTTGCATCCCTGCCAGCAGTGAATAAGAGTTCCTGTTTCTCCACATCCCTACCAACATTTGATGTTGTCAGTGCTTCGGTTCTTTGCCATTCTAAGACATGTGTAATGGTGTCTTATTGTTTTGATTTTTTATTTCCTTGATGACATATGGAAACATCATTTCATATGCTTATTTGCCATCTGTATATCTTCTTTGGTGAGGTATCTCTTCAGATCTATTGCCCATTTTTTAAGAGTTGTTTGTTTTCTTAATATTGAATTTTAAGGATTCCTTGTATATTTTGGGTAACAGTCCTTTATCAGATAGGTCTTTTGCAAATATTTTCCCCCAATCTGTGGCTTGTCTTTTAATTTTCCTGTATTTTGCAGAGCAGAAATTTTGAATTTTTAGTGAAGTCCTGCTTATCAATTCTTTGTTTTATAGATTGTGCCTTTTGTGTTATATCTGAAGGTCATCATTATACCCAAGGTCATCAGCTTGTATCCTTTACGAATTGGTCCATTTCATCTAGGTTATCAAATTTGTAGGTATAGAGTTGTTTATAGTACTTCTTTGTTTTTTTTTTGAGATGGAGTTTCACTTTTGTTGCCCAGGCTGGAGTGCAATGGCATGATCTTGGCTCACAGCAACCTCCACCTCCCGGGTTCAAGCGATTCTCCTTCCTCAGCCTCCTGAGTATCTGGGATTACAAGCATGTGCCACCATGCCTGGCTAATTTTGTATTTTTAGTAGAGAAGGGGTTTCTCCATGTCAGTCAGGCTGGTCTTGGACTTCTGACCTCAGGTGATCTGCCCACCTTGGCCTCCCGAAGTACTGGGTTTATAGGCGTGAGCTACCACCGCACCTGGCCTTTTTTAGTATTTTAAAAATTATCATTTTAGTGTCCTTGGGATTTGTAACAATGTTCCTCTTTCATTTCTGACATTAGGAATTTGTATTCTCTTACACTTTTTCTTAGCCTGGCTAGAGAGGCTTACTGATTTTTATTGAGCTAGCTTTTGGTTTTGTTTATTTTCTCTATTGATTTTCTGTTTTCAATTTCATTGATTTCTGTTTTGATTTTAATTCTTTTCTTCTTATTTTGGATTTATTTAATTTCCTGAAGTGTAAGCTTAGGTGATTGATTTTAGATTTTCCTTTTTTGTAATATATGAACTCAATACTATAAACTTACCTCTAAGCATTGCTTTCACTGCATGCTACAAATTTCGATAAGTTGGATTTTTGTTTTCATTTAATTCAAAGTATTTTGTATTTCTCTTGAGATTTATTTCTTTGACTTGTGTTCTTTAGAAGTATTTTATTTAATGTCCAAGTATTTTGACATTTTTTAGTTATGTTACTGATTTTTAGTTTAATTCCATTATGGTCTCATAGCAGACATTGTATGATTTCTTTTAAATTTGTTTAGGTGTGTTTTGTGGCTTAGAATGTGTCTGTGTTGGTGAATGTTCTATGTAAGCTTTAGAAGAATGTGTACTCTGTTGTTGCTGTATGAAGCAGTCCATTGATGTCTATTATATCTGGTTGATTATAAGTTCAATTATGTCCTTATTGATTTTCTGTCTGCTGGAACTGATTATATCTGATAGAGGGATATTGAAGTCTCCAACCAAAACAGTGGGTTTGTTGGATTTTTTCCTTGAAATTTTATCACATTTTGCTTTATTTTTTTGGCACTGTGTCTTTAGGCACATCCATGTTAGGGACTGTTATGTCTTTTTACGGAATTGACACCTTTATCATTATGTAATCCCTTCTTTATATCTGATAGCTTTCCCTGGTCTGATTTTTCTTCTGTCTGAAATTAATATAGCCACTCCTACTTTCTTTTGATTAGTTTTAGTAAGGTATGTATTTCTCTATTTTCTTTTAATCTACAAGTGTCTACATATTTAAAGTGAGTTTTGGCTGGGTGTGGTGGCTCATGCTTGTAATCCCAGTGCTTTGGGAGGTAGAAGTGGACTGATCACTTGAGCCCAGGAGTTTGAGACCAGCTTGGGTAAAACCCTGTCTCTACAAAAAAATACAAAAGTTAGCCAGGCATGCTGGTGTGTGCCTGTAGTTCCAGCTACTTGGGAGGCTGAGGTGAGCGGATCACCTGAGCCCTGGAGGTTGAGGCTGCAGTGAGCAATGATCACACCACTTGCACTCCAGCCTGGGTGACAGAGTGAGACCTTGTCTCAAATAAATACATAAGAAAAATTTTTTTAAAAAGTAGGTTTTTTTGTAGACAATATATAGTTGGGTCTTGTATCTTCAGCTGCCTTGACAATCTGTCTTTTAATTGATGCATTTAGACCATTGATATGAAGTTATTATTGATATAATTGGACTAACATCAACCATACTTCTTGCTATTTTCTATTTTTTGCCCTTGTTATTTGTTCCTGATTTTTTTTCCCGCTCTTTTTTGGCCTTTTGTGGTTTTAGTTGAGCATTTTATATTATTCGATTTTCTCTCCTCTATTAACCTACCTGTTATACTTCTTTTTAGTGTTTGTCCTAGAATTTGCATTATATTTTTACAACTAATTCAAGTCCACTTTCAAATAACACCATACCACTTTACAGGTAGTCAGAGTTTCTTATAATAAAAGAAATACTAATTCTGCCATCCTGCTTCTTGTATCATTGCTGTAATTCATTTTATTTTTATATAAGCATTCATAAGCCTGCCACACACAATCATACGTAATTACTTATTACTATTATTATTTTGACAAAATTTATGTATTAGATCAATTAAGAATAACAAAAATTAAAAGTCTTTTTTTACCTTATGCCTTTTCTGATGCTGTTTTTTTTTATGTAGATGTGAAATTCTGACCTTTATCATTTTTCTTCTCTCTGAAGAATTTAACACATCTAGTAAGGCAGATATACTGGAAACAAATTCTCTGAATTTTTTTTTTTGTCTGAGAAAGTCTTTTTTTCTCCTTTTGAAGGATAATTTCGTGGGGTATGGAATTCTAGGTTTGTGGGTTTTTTCCTCTTAAAATACTTTGTTTTACTCTCTTCTTGCTTACATTGTTTTTGAGTGGAGGTCAGGTATAATTCATATCATTGCTCCTCTATAAGTAACATGTATTTTTTTCTGTGGATTTTTTTGGGCGACTTTATCTTTGATTTCTATGATTTGAAAATGATGTGTCTGTATGTAGGTTTTTTTTGTTTTTTTTTTTGGCATTTATCCTGCTTGGTGTTCTCTGAGTTTCCTGGGTTTCTAATTTGGTGTCTGACATTAATTTGAGGAAACTCACAGTCATTATTGTTTCAGATGTTTCTTCTGTTTCTTTCTGTCTTTTCTTCTCTTGTGGAATTCGTATTACATGTATGTTACATCTTTTATAGTTGTTCCACAGTTCTGAAATATTCCGGGTTTTTTTTTGGTTTGCTTTTCAGTTTTGGCAGTTTCTACTGAGATAACTTCAAGCTTAGAGATTCTTTTGTTAGCCATGTCTGGTCTTCCAGTATGCCTGTCAAAGGGAAAAATGCTAACAAGGAGGTCTTACTCAGAAGGCAGCCCAAAAATTTGTATAAAATTTCCTTTAGATTGTTGGCTAATTCCTAAGCTGCCCATGTGTAATGCAAGACTTCAGGAAACCCAGCAGAAAGCAAAGTATAAATTTGACTATTTGCATGGTGCTGTGTATCTACAATTAGAGTTCAGGCCCTGCCACATTAGCACCTGGGGCCTTCCTTTGAGACCTTATAAGGGCCACACCCTAGGAATAAGTACAGATTGAAATAGATTAGTCTGAGCAATCCTAATTCCAGTCCTGGATAGGACCATGATGATGTACTTGTATTCTGTCTGCTTGCCAAAGAATGGTTAACTTACTTTAGGGGAAGATAGCATTATCAAAGCCTCTATAATTTTTTACCCATGATGTCATCTGCTTGATACAAAATTATGAGGTATACTAAAAATAGAAGCAATTGAATTAAATATAATAAAAAATCAATAATATAAATAGACTTAGAGATGATTAAGGTATTAGAGTTGTTAGACATGGAGTTTATGATTAATTGCTTAAGGAAAAAGACAAAAAGGTGGAAGATTTCCAAAGAGACCTCAATCCATTAAAAAAAAGCACCAAATTAAATTGTGAAACTGGAAAATGTAAGGATACAGGTTTGAAGGAAAAGGATGGAAAAAATATACCATTTGAACACTAACCAAAAGAAAGATAGCATGGCTATTTTACTAAGAGATAAAGTAGATTTTAAGCTAAGAAATATTACTGAAATAAAGAAAGCCACTTCATAATGATAAAAGTGTGAACTGAAAGAAAGAACAACACAGATAATTCTCACAGGTGTAATATTGAGTAAAAAATTATATACTATATGATTTCATTTATATGAAGTTCCAGAAGAGAGAAAACTAATCTATGGCAATTGAAGTGATTGGCTACGTCTGTTGAGGATTTAGTATTGCCTTGAAAGGGACATGGGACAGTCTCATAGGGTGCTTCAGATGGGTGGTGGTTACAGATGTAAAAATTCATTCAGCTCTACCCTTCAGATTTGTGTGCTTTATTCTGTGTTATTTTTTAGTAATCCCAAAGAAAGTCACTTAAAAAAGCAACATAATTCCTAAATAAATGGTGGTTTTAAAATTATTAGTAATGAGTAAAAAATCAGCATTGTATTTTCGACTTAGTTTTAAGCACAGTGATTCTCAGTAATGGCACTTTTGGTTTTTTGGATTGGAGAATTATTATGTAGCATTTACCATCTTTGGCCAATACCCGCTAAAGGCCAATATTATTGTGACAATGAAAGACAGACAAAGCAATGAAACTGCTCTTCTTGCATTTTGTCATATTCTTCTGGATGGGAAGTCATGGCATTCCTCATTGAGAACCACAGGTAGAGCATTTTAAGGGAGTGAGTGAGTGAGTTCTAGGACAGGGATCATTTGCCACTCAGGGTACATACGCTGGACATCTTGAAACTTACCTGTATTTATTTGAAAGCTCAGAAAGATTCTGTAAAACTGAGAATACTGTGCCGTCCTCAAGATTCTTAGGACTTTATGAGCCCTTAACATGTGTATTGTTAGTAGATACGATACAGATAAGGAATTTTTCTTACCTGCAAACATTGCTTATTGTGAATGTTTTTGACATTGTGTGGTGTAGTCCATTTAGTTCTTTAGTCAGCTAAATGTGAATAAAAGAGATTAAAATAAAAGATGCTGACTCTTGGATATCTAGGAAACATTTTGGAATAATTAAGCTTAATAAAATATCTTCATCATACTGAGGCATGTCGTGATACTATTCCAGTTGATTGAAAAAGAAAAAAAGCTTGAGCTGAAAGGGCAATGATAATTTTGCAAAAAATATGCATTCTTTGAAGTCTGGGACATATTTAAAATACATGGAAAGACATTTGTTATTTGGTTATGGCAAGAGAGTTCTGTAGAAAGGCATCATTTCTAGATTGATTTGATATCACTGCAAATGTGCAGATCTGAAGCTTGCATAGAGGGAACTGCAACTCAGTCACTGCTCCACTTTTAAAATATAAAGCGAACACTATTATTTTCTAGAACTCAAGTAACTTCATGAATACTACAAACTTCCAGTCTCTTCGGCCTTTGCCATCCATTCGAATATTGGTGGATAAAATTAATCTGGAACATTCAGTGCCAATGTATGCTGAACAGTTGGTGCATGTGGTCAGCAGCCTTACTCAACCTTCTGATAACCTGCTTCATTATTGTTATGTACACTGCTATCTTAAGGTATGAAAAGTGAATTTTCTTGTTTGTTAGCATGGGTTTGGCTTTGGGATCATCAGATAAGTTTCTTTTTTCTTGATGTTGTAATTTCAGAGAAATAGTACTCTAAAAGGTAAGATTTAAATAAGAAATAAGATGTATTTATTCCAATAAATTAAAGTAAGTAATAAAAATATACTTATTTTAAAGATTTTTCAATTATGTGAGATTAGTAGCTTGATATTTATAAATGAATGGTTAATCATAACTTTTGAATAATTTTATTTATCATTGATGGTAATTTTTATAAGCAATGTGAAAGAGCACTTAGTTTAATATGGATGCTTTGAAGACTCATGTTTTTTTGAAGGGAGCATTTGTGTGAGGCATAATGAGGCATAAAGAGGGCCTAAAACTTTTTTATGTCACCTTTATTTAATTCATGTCAATTTATTGATGCAAGGGAAATTTATTTTAAATACAGGCATATGCCATTTTATCATGCATTACTTTATTGTACTTCATAGTAATTGTGTGTGTGTATGTGTGTGTGTGTTTTTTTTTTTTAACAAATTGAAGGTTTGTGGCAATCTTGCATTAAGCAAGGCTTTGGTGCCATTTTTTCAATAGTATTTGCTCACTTCGTGTCTCTGTGTCATATTTTGGTAATTATCCAAATATTTCACAAGTTTTCATTATTATTTTAGCATTGTGATCTGTCATCACTGTTCTTTGATGTTGCTATTGTAACTGTTTTTCGGGCACCAAGAAGTGCACCTATTTAAGATGGTGAACTTGGTAAATGTTGTGTGTGTTCTGGGTCCTCCACTGACCAGTTCCCCCTTCTCTCTCCCTTATCCTAATCCTTGAGACACAACAATATTGAAGTTAGGCCAATTAATAGCCCTACAATGGCCTGTAAATCTTCAAGTGAAAGGAAGAGTCCCATAACTCTACTTTAAATCAAAAGCTAGAAGTAATTAACCTTAATGAAGAAGGCATGTCAAAAGCCAAGATGAGGCCAGAAAGCTAGGCCTCTTTTGCAAAACAGCCAAGTTGTGAATTCAAAGGAAAAGTCTCCAGGAAATTAAAAGTGCTACTCCAGTGAACACAGGAATGACAAGAAAGTGAAACAGCCATATTGTTGATATAAAGTTTGAGTGGTCCAGATAGCAGATCAAACCAGCTACAATATTCCCTTAAATGAAAAGCAAGGCCCTAACTCTCTTCAATTCTGTAAATGCTGAGAGACTTGAGAAAGCTGCAGAAGAAAAATTAGAAGCTGGCAGAGGTTGGTTCATGAAGTGTAAGAGAAGCCATCTCCATAACATAAAAGTGCAAGGTGAAACAGCAAGTGCTGACATAGAAACTAGAGCAGGTTATCCATATCTAGCTCAGTTAATTGATGAAGGTGGCTACACTAAACAGATTTTCAATGTAGACGAAATAGCCTTCTCTTGGAAGAAGATACCATCTAGGACTTACATAGCTAGGGAGGAGAAGTCAATGCCTTGCTTCAAAACTTCAAAAGGCGGCCGGGCACGGTGGCTCATGCCTGTAATCCCAGCTCTTTTGGAGGCTGAGGCGGGTGGATCACAAGGTCAGGAGATCGACCAGCCTGGCCAACATGGTGAAACCCCATCTCTACTAAAGATACAAAAAAATTAGCCGGGTGTGGTGGTGTGTGCCTGTAATCTCAGCTACTCAGGAGGCTGAGGCAGGAGAATCGCCTGAACCCGGGAGGCAGAGGTTGCAATGAGCCAAGATCAGGCTGTTGCACTCCAGCCTGGGCGACAGGGCAAGACGCTGACTCTCTTGTTAGGGGCTAATGTACCTGGTGACTTCTTAAGTTGAAGATAATGCTCATCTACCATTCTGAAAATCCAAAGTGCTTTAAGAATTAGGCTAAATCTTCACTGCTCATGCTCTATAAATGGAACAACAAAGCCTCAATGACAGTACATCTGTTTATGGCATGGTTTACTAAACATTTTAAGCCTGTGGAGACCTACTGCCCAGAAAAGACTCCTCTCAAAATATTAGCGCTCACGGACAATGCTCCTGGTCACCCTACACCTGTGATGAAGATGTACAGGGAGATGCACATTGTTTTCATGCCTGTTAACATGACATTCATTCTGCAGCCTGTGGATCAAGAGTAATTTTGACTCTGGGGTCTTATTATTTAAGAAATATATTTTGTAAGGCTTATAGCTACCATAGATAGCCATTCTTCTGATAGACCTGGGCAAAGCAAATTGAAAACCTTTTGGAAAAGATTCATCAATCTAGATGCTATTAAGAATATTTATGATTCACAGAAGGAGGTCAATCTATTTACATTAACAAGAGTTTGGAAGAAGTTGATTTCAGTCCTCATGGATTACTTTGAGGGGTTCAAGGCTTCCATGGAGGAAGTAACTGCAGATGTGATGGAAATAGCAAGAGAACTAGAATTGGTGTCTGAAGATATGACTGAATTGCTACAATCTCATGATAAAACTTGAATGGAGGAGGAGTTGCTTCTTATGGATGAGCAAAGAAAGTGATTTCTGGAGATGGCAATTACTCCTGGGGAAGATGCTGGGAACATTGTTAAATGATTACAGAGAATTTAAAAAGTTCTATAAACTTGGTTGATAAAGCAATGGCATGGTTTGAGAGGATTGACTCCAATTTTGATAGAAGTTTTACTACTGTTAAAATGCCATCAAACCTCAAATCAATCATCAATGCCTGCTGTGGAGAAATCTTTCATGAAAGGAAGAGTTAATCAATATGGCAAACTTCATTGTTGTCTTATTTTTAGAAATTGCTGCAGCTAGCCCCACCACTTTTAGCAACCACCATCCTGATTAGTAAGGAGCCATGAACATCAAGGCAAAAAGGTTATTACTTGCTGAAGGTTGAGATGGTCATTAGCATTTTTTAGCAATAAAGTACTTTTTGTAAGGGGTGAGGGCAGAGTCTTACTCTGTCACCCAGGCCGTAGTGCAGTGGCATGATCTTGGCTCACTGCAACCTCCACCTCCTGGGCTCAAGTGATTCTCCCATCTCAGTCTCCCAAGTACTGGGACCACAGGTACACATGCCCATGCTCAGCTAATTTTTTGTATTTTTGGTAAGATGGGGTTTTGCCATGTTGCCCAGGCTGGTCTCGAATTCCTGAGCTCAAGCTATCTGCCTACCTTGCTTCCCAAAGTGCTGTGATTACAGGTGTGAACCACTGTGCCCAGCCAATAAAGTGCTTTTTATTTAAGGTATATAAGTTTTTTTTTTTGACATAATGTTATTGCACACTTAATAGACTACAGTATAAGTGTATACATAACTTTTATTATATGTACTGGGAAACCAAAAATTATTGTGATATTTGTTGTATTGTGGTGATGTGGAACTTGCAGTATCTCCTGGGTATGTCCATCTGGTTATGTAAAGTGAATTATTGGTAGCTTTCCCCAGCTCTTTCAATTTTTAAAAAATAAGTAATACATCCAATGCAGGTATATACAAACAATAACCTCAAATGTTGAACAATACATGTTTTAGCTAAGCAAGCAGAGATGTATAGTTTAAATAGAAATAGTGTGTACACAATCAACTTCTGTTTTATGAACAAAAGAAAACTATAAAAAGTTGAATTTAAGAATCAGTACTGGCTGGGTATCGTGGCTAACGCCTGTAATCTCAGCACTTTGAGAGTCTGAGGTGGGTGGATCACTTGAGCCCAGGAGGTCGAGACCCCCCTGAGCAAAGTGGTGAAACCTCATCTCTACAAAAAATACAAAAATTAGCCAGGCATTGTGGTTGCGTGCCAGCTACCTGGGAGGCTGAGGTGAGAGATTTGCTTGAGCCCAGGAGGTCAAGGTTGCAGTGAGCTGTGATGGCGCCACTGCACTCCAGCTTAGGCAACAGAGTGAGACCCTGTCTCAAAAAAAAAAAAAAAAAAAAAAGGTACTAAAAAAGCACTAATTTTCATGTAATGTATCAAAAGATTAGAGGACTCCACAAATAGGCTCTTGGCCTAATTAGTTTATTTGAAGTTATAAAGTTTTTAAGTATTTGTATATCTGTAACGCAAAAATAAACCAATTTCAAGATACCAGTTTTAGATCACCTGCAGGTGTATATAAATGTAAGATGTTAACATTTGACTGTTTTCAGACCATTGCAGACTAGAAGAACATGTTTTCTTGGTTGTTTTTGCAAAGCCTTTTTTCTCAAGGATGGCTCCTTTGGTGGAAGAACAACAGATCACATTGCAAAAGGGTGTGGACACAGGGAAGTGTGACTCATTGGGGCCATTATTTTAGTGATCTACCATAATGTTTTATGTTATATGGAGAGTAGCAGAAATATTTTCAAAACCTAGATATAAAGATTATAAATGTACTTTATACTTTACAATGCTTTATACTCTATAATTTTCAGATTCAATGCTTTATACTTAAGCTTTATTTATTGTCACAATTAATACATAGAAGTGTACAATTTTAAAAAATATTGGTACAAATTTAATATCAGATTACAGTGTTAAGAATATTTGCTTTGTTTTTTCATGTCAATAATATATTTTATTTAACCCAATATATGCAAATATTGGTTAACATGCAGTCAACATAAAACATTGACATTCAGCTTATAGATAAATGAAGTGAGTCTCTATACTCAAGAAGGATGTTCACCAAAACCATTGGTCATCAATATAGTCACCATCCATACTGACATAAAATTTATTGGAATACTTCTTCACGATTTCTACTTGTCAATATGTTAAAACTCACATTTCCAGTGTAATGTAAAAGTTATTTACAGTGTACTACCGATATAGTTATATTTTGGAAAAAGGGCCTTTGCTACACATGCTGTCTAGTTTTCTTTTATATTTTGGCTTGTTTGAATACAGTCATAATGGATACGTTTAATGTCTCAGGAAGTAAGGTGTTAGGCAGAGTGGGAATAGCATTAATATGCGTGGGAAAACCATTCCCTGGTGTTAAGTGTACTAAATCCTTTTTTTTTTTTTTTTTTGAGACAGAGTCTCATTCTGTCACCCAGGCTGGAGTGCAGTGGCACAATCTAGGCTCATTGCAATCTCCACTTCCCAGGTTCAAGCGATTCTCCTGCCTCAGCCTCCCGAGTAGCTAGGATTACAGGTGTGCACCACCACACCCAGCTAATTTTTGTATTTTTAGTAGAGACAGGGTCTCACCATGTTGACCAGGCTGGTCTCGAACTCTTGGCCTCAAATTGATCCTCCCACCTCGACCTCCCAAAGTGCTGGGATTACAGGTGTGAGCCACTGCGTCCGGCCAAGAATACTAAATACTTTTGAAAATAAAGCCTTGAATCTTGTCTTGAATATTTCATTTCATTTTCATACTTCTACTGTGACATAGGACTTTTGAATACTTTCAGGATGTGGTAGAGAGTTTTTTTTTATACGGCTATTGTGATGTGACTCCATTTACCAGTTTGCTATAAAGTTTATAGCAGTTCATATTACTTGGGTTGATTTTAGTAGCCTTTGAGGAAGTTTTTAAAGTTTTAGTTTTATCATATTACAGTAGTACAGTAGAGGATTCGTGTGTTTGGCATTTTAGTCCATATATAATTTTCAATTAAGTACTTAAACAAATCCTTGAGTTTTAATTTTGTATACTGAACCTTGGCTGTATTGGCTATATGATGAAATTGTGTCCGGAGTTGGTGGGTTCTTGGTCTCACTGACTTCAAGAATGAAGCCGCGGACCCTCGCGGTGAGTGTTACAGCTCTTAAGGTGGCGCGTCTGGAGTCTGTCCCTTCTGATGTTCAGATGTATTTGGAGTTTCTTCCTTCTGGTGGGTTCGTGGTCTCGCTGGCTCAGGAATGAAGCTGCAGACGTTTGCAGTGAGTGTTACAGCTCTTAAGGCAGCGCGTCTGGAGTTGTTCGTTCCTCCCGGTGGGCTCATGGTCTCGCTGGGCTCAGGAGCGAAGCTGCAGATCTTCGCGGTGAGTGTTACAGCTCATAAAAGCAGCGTGGACCCAAAGAGTGAGCAATAGCAAGATTTATTGCAAAGAGCGAAAGAACAAAGCTTCCACAGTGTGGAAGGGAACCCGAGCGGGTTGCCAATGCTGGCTCGGGCAGCCTGCTTTTATTCTTTTATCTGGCCCCACCCACATCTTGCTGATTGGTAGAGCTGAGTGGCCTGTTTTGTCAGGGCGCTGATTGGTGCGTTTACAATCCCTGAGCTAGATACAAAGGTTCTCCACGTCCCCATCAGATTAGTTAGATACAGAGTTTGGACACACAGGTTCTCCAAGGCCCCACCAGAGCGGCTAGATACAGAGTGTCAATTGGTGCATTCACAAACCTTGAGCTAAACACAGGGTGCTGACTGGTGTGTTTACAAACCTTGAGCTAGATACAGAGTGCCGATTGGTGTATTTACAATCCCTGAGCTAGACATAAAGGTTCTCCAAGGCCCCACCAGAGCAGCTAGATACAGAGTGACGATTGGTGCATTCACAAACCTTGAGCTAAACACAGGGTGCTGATTGGTGTATTTACAATCCCTGAGCTAGATATAAAGACTCTCCACATCCCCACCAGACTCAGGAGCCCAGCTGGCTTCACCTAGTGGATCCCGCACCGGGGCTGCAGGTGGAGCTGCCTGCCAGTCCTGCACCGTGCACTCGCATTCCTCAGCCCTTGGGTGGTCGATGGGACTGGGCGCCGTGGAATAGGGGGTGGTGCTCGTTGGGGAGGCTCGGGCTGCACAGGAGCCCATGGAGTGGGTGGGAGGCTCAGGCATGGCAGGCTGCAGGTCCCGAGCCCTGCCCCGTGGGAAGGCAGCTAAGGCCCGGCGAGAAATCGAGCACAGCGCCGGTGGGCCAGCACTGTTGGGGGACCCAGTACACCCTCGGCAGCCACTGGCCGGGGTGCTAAGTCCCTCATTGCCCGGGGCCAGCAGGGCTGGCTGGCTGCTCTGAGTGCGGAGCCCACCAAGCCCATGTCCACACAGAACTCCAGCTGGCCTGCAAGCGCCGCACACAGCCCCGGTTCCCGCTCGCGCCTCTCCCTCCACACCTCCCTGCAAGCTGAGGGAGTGGGCTCCAGCCTTGGCCAGCCCAGAAAGGGGCTCCCACAGTGCAGTGGGGGCTGAAGGGCTCCTCAAATGCAACCAAAGTGGGAGCCCAGGCAGGGGAGGTGCTGAGAGCAAGCGAGGGCTCTGAGGACTGCCAGCATGCTGTCACCTCTCAATCCCCCCTCTAAACAGGACACCCCAATTGCTGTTGGGAATTTGGCCGTTGACTGCTCTAGCTACTTCCTGCTGGATAGGGGCGAAGAAGGGGCCCTGCAGTTGTGGTGTCCTTCAGAGGGGAACTCTCCAGGCCAGGGGAAGTGCCAGTGGGTCGGTCCAGGGGTCCCGGGTAGAAGTTGTTAGTTGAACTCATTTGGGGTTCCATTTGTAAGACCATCTGTTGCTTGATGGTCTCGATTCTAGAGGAAACAAAATTGACAAGAAGGTTAGAAATACAGGGCCCAAAGGTGAGTAACAGCAAGATGGCTGCCACAGGACCTAGAAAGGGGAGAAGCCATGTTGCCCAACTCCAGAGGTTGGTATAAGTATTTGAAAGGCATTGTCTGATTTCAGAAGCCTTTTCCTGTAAACGCCGGGCAGCATCTCGTACTATCCCTGACTGGTTAGTGTAAAAACAACACTCTTCCCCTAAAAAGGTGCAGAGTCCTCCTTTCTCAGCAGTGAGGAGGTCTAGGCCTCAGCAGTTTTGGAGAGTCACTGCTGCCAAAGAGTCTATTTGGGATTGTAAAGTAAGGATAGATTTCGTTATTTCTTGCAAACTGTCTGAGAAGCAAATATGGGTTGAAGACCCACATAAGTAGAATATGCCTTGGCTGGGTAGATAGAAATTTACCCTGGCTTTTAAAGGAATAGGATACACTGTTTTTTCTTTACTACTTCCATCTCTCTCTTTCTCTCTTCGACTTCTTCTTTGTCTCTTCTTCTCTTTTTAACTCTCTCTTTAACTTTCTGTGTCTGTCCCTCTTTCTCTCTGACTCCTTTTCTTTGTCTCTGTTTCTGACTCCCTCTTTGATTTTCTGTCTCTCTGTCTCTTCCTCTCTCTGTCTTTTTGACTTTCTCTTTCTCTCTTCGACTTTTTCTTTCCTTTCTGCTGCCTCTGCCAGCTGCTTATGCTGCTGTTCTCCCCTCTCCTTCCCGTTTTGATGGCTTTGTCAGTGTAAGAAAATGATTCATAATTCCCACTTCATGTAATAAAATTTACCAATTGGGAGAGTTGGCATGGATCTGTATGGAAAATATGCAGATGAAAGATTCCTTTTATTTGTAATTGACAAAATTGTATATATTATTGTTTATAACATGTTTTGAAATATGTATACATTTTGAAATAGCTCAATTTAGCTAACATATATTATGTCACATACTATCATTTTTGTGGTGAGAACTGTTTAAATCTGCTGTCATTGATTTTTTAATAGAATACATTGTTATTTACTATAGTCTTCATGTTGTACAATAGATCTTTTAAATTTATTTCTCCTATCTAATTGAAATTTTGTATGCTTTGCCTAACATCTCTTCAACCTCCTCTCCCCGAGAGATGACACTTGCTTATGGCTTACCAATTCCTCTTTATGTATCTGGCAAACCCATCGTTTGAATATGTATGGTATTGAGTAGCTAAGAGTTTCAAGGCATCTGATATTTGAAACATATGTAGAAAATTTGGTAATGTGACTGCGTTGTGTAATTTGTAGAATAGTATATAACTTTAAGGCCTTATTCATATGGATCAGCTGCAATACATACTTCAGACAGAACAAGGAGTTAGAGTAGGATGGAAACCCTTTGGATTCTTTGGATCTGTTAATTTTTTACCTCAAGAAAATCCCAGGGGATTTGGAGGAAATAATGTTTTCATACACATTTTACGGTTACATAAATTGGCATATTTATTTTGGAAGTAGCAGCATGTAATACATTTGAAAGCACATCTACCTTACCACCCATTTGTTCCAATTTTCAGTGTATACCCTCCAGCAGGGGTCAGCAAAATTTTGCCTACAGGCTCAGTATATATTTTAGGCTTTGTGGACCAAGTGGCAAAATTGAGGATATTATGTAGGAACTTAAATAACAAGAGAGAGAACAAATTTTACAAATGTTGAGTTTATAATATTCAAAATGTAATAATTGAGTACAGTTTTTGGGTAATACACAGTTTTATTTTTCTTTTATTTATTTATTTTTTTGAGATCTAGTTTTGCACTGTTGCCCTGGCTGGAGTGCAATGGCACGATCTTGGCTCACTGCAACGTCCGCCTCCCGGGTTCAAGTGATTCTCCTGCCTCAGCCTCCTGAGTAGCTGGGATTACAGGCACGTGCCACCACTCCTGGCTAATTTTTTGTATTTTTAGTGGAGACGGGACTTCACTATGTTGGCCAGGCTGTTCTTGAACTCCTGAGCTCGTGATCCACCCACCTCTGCCTCTGTCTCCCAAAGTGCTGGGATTATAGGCATGAGCCACCGTGCCTGGCCAGGTAATACAGTTTTATTAATGAGAAGAATGGAACTCTTTTTGGAGGGACAACATTTCACCTAATTGGGATTTCAACTTATTGTTCCCACCATGTTGATTATAAATGTTTATGTGTAAAAATTATTCTTTGCTTGTAGGCTATCCCGGAACAAGCAGTGTGTGGGATTTGGCCTGTAGGCTGTAGTTGGTTTTTGTTCTGTTTTCTTAGAGGTTTATTGTTTAGGAATTAACTTAACCAAGGAAGTGAAAGACTTTTGCAATAAGAACCACAAAACAGAGCTGAAAGAAACGAAGATATACATAAATGGAAACGCATCTCATCTTCTTGAATTGGAAGACTTAATATTGTCCATGCTATCCTTTCTACACATTTTCAGTGCAGACTCTATTACAATTCCAATGTCTTTTTTCAGAAGTAGAAAAACTCATCCTAAAATTCATATGGACTCTCAAGGGACCCCAAATAACCAAAAAGATCTTGAAAAAGAACAAAGCTGAAGGACTTACTCTTACTGATTCCAGAAGCTACTACAGAGCTATAGTAATCAAAACAGTGTGGTACTGTTGTAAACACAGACATATAGACCCGTAGAAAAGAATGCAGTGCCCAGCAATAAACCATTGTGAGAAAGATTGTTTATTTTTCTTTAAGAATAAACAGAGAATCAGCCATTCCTTTTTAGGTGAAGAGAAGGAGGAAATAGAGGAAGGAAGGAAGATCGGGTGAAATTTTGAGTTAATAGATGAGCTACATCAAATGAAGTATCATATCCTTGTTACATCAATATATAATTTCAAAGATGTCCCTAATCCTTTTGGACTTCATTTTTCCTGCATGTGAAATGAGATGATTGAGTTAAATAATCTCTAAGCAGTTTGAGCTCTAAAATTCTTTGGTTGATTTTGATTTCATTCTTTTCCCCTGAAGAGTTTTTCTTCACAAGGTGTTCATTATTATGCTGTACAACCCTAGTTATTATTATTCTTTCTTCAGTTTTTATGTGTTTCAGTGTATTATTGCATACATACCAACTTTTAAAATGAAAGAAATGCTTATTTGTTCCTTTAGTGAAGGGACAAATCTTTATGATGCTGATTATACTATTATGTGTTTTATACTATTATGTGTTTTATTTAATGGTATAAAACTACCATGTGTTTTATAATGGCAGTAACAAAAATTATTTATTGTATATCATAATTATAATGTTTTTATTGTCATTTACAATTAGCATGTGCTTTTTATACTTTTGTCTTTTTAAAATAGCAAATTCTAATTTATGATAATTTTTGGCAAAATCTTACAGAAGTAAGTTGCCATATAATGTTTCTAAATCCATTACAATTTCTTCTATTTGAGATATTAATTCAAGAACATTTGTTGTAAAATGTTAAAATCTTGATGATGTATTCATTTTTGTTATTTACTAATTGGGATTTTTAAAAACAGGTGGCAATACATGTTTAACTTTTTATTTAATGAGATGTGTAAGTTCTCTTATTCAACTTTACAGTTTCCTTTAGCTAAAATTTCTACTGGTAGTTATACTTACTGTTTCATACATTTTTATTGCTCCAGATTATTAGTTTGCAACATTTACCAAACCAGTTTTTGAATATGTGAGCTATCCTTCATGAAAGCAACTTCAGTTTACACTGCTGGTTCTGCTTTTTCCAGATTAAGTATTTATAGTCTTGGTCAAGGGATGTTGACAAATTATTAGCTTATATAGGTTTTGTAAATCTATGTATCTGATTGCTGTAATTTAAAAGAGAGAGTTTAAAAATTTATTTTTAAATAGTTCTTTTTGATTTGGTGGATAATAGAGGAAGCAAAAATATGACTCATAATAATTTGGCAATATTTAGAAGGTAACTTCTTTGTCCAGTAGGTCCTGTTTTATTGTAATTTTCACCTGGTTGAATGTTTTCTTAGAAGCATCTCTAGGCAACACAAAAGTATAATAAAGACTTTTAAAAAAATGACAGAATAGTATGTAGTTTCCCCAAAGCCCTTTGCAATTCTGCAGACAACCAGCAGGGGATCTCGTCTACACCCAATTTCCTTCTGAGTACAGTTGGTAGATAGTGTCTGTGATTATACTGTTGGGGCATTTAATGGAAAATTTGACAGTGGCTTTGAGAGAGTTCTTAGTTGAGCATAGGTAATATGATGTGATAAAATATTATCTTTATTCATAACTCGAAATATTTGGCAGTTGGATATTGTTTTAAAAATGTTTTGTATTGTTATAATAATAACTGTAAATTCCAGAATCCTTTGAATATTTGGCCTTTATGAGGAAATAAGAAATCCTGAAATTGTACAGAAACCAACGCAGTACTTTGCATACATTATTGCTCAGAACAGGTCTTCAAAAAGAATGAATGTGAAATATCTTAATTTTAAGTTATGATTTTAAGTAATCATTTCAGTATTAGAAAGATATCTTTTTCTCAATTCTGTACTTCTTATCTATTGGTTAATAGCAGGTTATAGGTGCTGATGGGTGCATCACTTTTGTTTTCCTTGATAGTAATTACATAAGTAGGTTCTTTGAAATGCAGTTTTCCTTGAAAATGTAATTTTAAAAAATGTTTTATTTCTAAAACATTGTTTTGTTCACTCAAAACTGAGTGTATAAGAAATAATTTGACATTGTCGATTTGATGAATGTTAGGAGTATAATAGCTTTTTGAAACTATTTGGAAGTAGCTTAATACTTTTAAAGAAATTGATAATTATTTTATGCTCATTAAATAGTATTTTGAAATCAGTTATGAAGAAATTCTAAACATATTTTATTATAGAACTTCACAGTTGATATTAATTCTAGAGATATGGAAGTCAGTGCTTTATAAACCCAAGGGATAAAAAACAGTAACTAAAGATAAATGTTGAGATTAAGCTACTTTTACATTTACTGGAAAACAGTAACTCTTTGTTTTGTATCCATGTGTGTATTTCCACTCTGAGGTGTTTATCTTTTGTTGTTTTACAAATAATTGAAGCAGAAATATCATCAGTTCTCTACAGTATTTCATGTAACGTGATGTTATGTTGTTTCTTTCTATTATGACAAATATAGTATCCAGGAATTTCAGGGATTGCTTATAAAATTTTGTAGTATGGTCTGCTTGCTTTAAGCATAGACATGCTTGTACATATGAAGAGTAATTTATGCCATGTACCAAGTTTTCTGGGGTTTAAAACCTCAATCCCACAATTATTTTCACAAAAGAAAATAGAAATAACATTTTAGGATATTTTTCGATATCCTTTTTGTATGTACATTATACAAGGTGAAGACAAAATACATTTTTAAACAGTTTTTCTTGTAGTTAATGTTATTTTAGTCATAAAATATTAACATTAATTTATAAAATTTGTAGTTTACTGTGTAGAAAATGCAGTCAGCGGTTTATATTTATGGAAAAATGTATATTTTAGCAGATAATAAAACACTACCTGAGGAGTATGTATAGAAATAAAATGTGAAACTTAAAAAAATTTGTCAAAAGAGCAGTGATCTTTCAGGGATGTGAAATAAATACTGTATATTTAAGTTTCTTAATTTTGACCTACTGTCAAATTGTATAGAAGAAAATGTTGATCGTTTGGGAAGTGGAAAAAGACTTTGGAACATATTTAGTGTGCAGCTGTTGTAAAGCAAGTTGAAACTGACGTATTTCATCCTGTGCTTATTAAAACTTTGTCTGTGTGAACACTTGCATCTTTTCTTTTTGTTTTAGATATTTGGTTTCCAGGCAGGACTGACGTCTTTGGATTGCAGTGGATCTTACTGCTTACCTGTACCAGTTATTCCCTCTTTCAGCACTGCTCTTTATGGGAAACTTCTGAAACTCCCCACATGCTGGTAAGTCTTACATGTTAAAATGTGATTTATGTTAATTTCCATTTATTAGGAGGGAAAAAACCCCCAAATGTATCTGTCTTATGCCCATGCTAGTTTTATACAAAACTTTAGAAAAAAAATCTAAACTTGTACTTTTACTGAGACACTAAAAGTCTTTTTTAAGTTTCTGAAATCTGTTAGTTCATCATGTCTTTTGTGATAGCAATAACTGTTATTAGGGTAATAACTGTTAATTCATGTTGGATGTGTGTAAAATACTACTTGAGATTATAATAGGAACTGTAAGAGGAAGTGCCTTTTTTTCAAGAGTGGGTATAAAGATTTTAAAAAGTTATAAATTAATATTCAAGACCAAAGTATTTATCTATTAAATAATAATTTCGTATATATTCATACCCACTGACAAAAGTATACACATTATGTAGAGTTAGAATGTATTTACATGTCTAGTAGCTATATTTTATAAGAAATTGATTGTAGCCCTCACCATTTTCATTCCGAATTGAATGCTATATTTGGAGGTCACATTTCCTTAAATTCGGAGAGATTTACAGAAAGAAAGCCAGTAGTTACCAGTTATAAATTTTTAGTTTAAAGGAATGCTTTTAATATATTGTTTAAATATATAAAATAATGTTTAAATATATGAAATTAATTTTTAGTGAACCATTTTTCCAATTTAAAATGTGATTTAGAATATGTCTTTTGTATTCTCATTCTAATTAGTAAGCTTATTTTTGCAGGATAGTTTTTCTATTAGTTTTTTACTAAAAATGACATAACCTTTAGAAAATTAGCATTAATTTCTTATCTAAAATACTTCAGTTGCTAAAAATTTGTTTCTTTAATAATATATAACTTTTAAAATGAAATTATAAAATAATCGCTCATATTTTCAAGAAACTTTGCCTGCTGATACAGAAAATTTTTTTAAAAGTCGTAGTTAAGTCTTAGTACCAATTCCTCTATAAAGTGAAACCATTATTAAATGATAATTCTTAATTTCTAGTGATAAATTTCATTTTGTCCTTACTCCTCCATACCTCTCACATGTCATTTATTATGTTATATAGAGATAGATTTAACTTTTTATTAGCATACATGGTATGTTGCATTTGAGTCAAGTTTTATATTCTGATCTATTAAGAAATAAACTGGGATATGTCACAGTTGATATGGTGATATCAATTTTAATAGGTATTTGTGAAAACTATTTTCTCCGTTATGTGCTGATTAATTTATCATTTCTAGGACCAAAATAGTTTTATTGCAAACAGTGCAATTTACTATAGAAAATTCTTAATTTCTTTAAAAAAGTCCATATTTTTCAAAATGATTATAGCCTTTATATAAAATCAATATTGAAATAAGTAAGACTTATTTGAAGGATACAAAGAGGGTATTATGAATACTGTCAAATGTTACTTAAAATATGCCTACAGACATCTAGAAATAATATTCCAATTAAATACTGAAAGCATGAGATCACAGAATGCCAATATTTTTTGGATGTGTTTTGCTTTTTTGTAGTTAAGACTACTTCTGTGTTATTTCAGTGATATTTTTGCTATGCTTTATAGAAGTATATTGATTTGAAATATTTCTTGAAATTTTCTTAATAAATGTAAAAAAAAACTTTAGTAACTGTAACTTGAAAATAAAGAGAAAACTTAATAAATTGAGATATTGGTTGGTTTTAGTGCAGTTTGAATTCAATAAAATACTGCTTAAGCAGTATGTCCTATAAGTTTAAAGAAAGCAGACAGTTTCCCTGGGACGTCAGAGATAGCTGATGAGATGAGGTCCTGTTAGAATTGGACATTAGTGGATGAGACAGATATCCATGTATCTATCACTGCATACAGTGGGCGAAGAATTTGGACAGTTACTCTACCTTAGACTTGTCCATGAGCAATGATATCTAAATGTTTTAATATGAACACTTAAAGATAGTTAAACCAGTTAATCAAATATTCATTAGTCCCATTTCTTCATGTTCATGTTTGTTAAAGCCTAACTAAAATATAGTCTCAAATTCACTTTGTCCTATAATTGAGGGTTCAAATGTGTGATTCTATTTGTAGAGAAATATATGCAACATATTTTGGAAGTTTGGAGTATAGAAATAGTATATTGGCTTAGAAAGTCATGGAAAACATGGAGGGGTAATTTTTAAGCAGGATATTGAGGAATGGATATAATCTGAAAGAGCATACTATATTGTTTTATACAGTCTTAGGTACCTAGTTAAAGTTCATGACGGTCCTGTGAGATAAGATGATATTGTCTCTTATAAACTCTTTCTAATTTTCAGAGAGGTTAAATAAGTTGTCCAAAGTCACACACTGGCCTCACAAGATTTTCGTAGAGGATTGTCTGATTTGAACATCTTTGATTGTTTTATTACTTGAAGGAGCGAAGGGGACATATATAATCTTCTGTTAATCAGTTTTGAAGGCCCTGTTAATCAGTTTTGAAGGCCCAGTATGCTTTTTGCCTATAGTTAAAGTAAATTTCCATGGAGTGAAAGGCTAGCTAATAAATCTGAACTCTGCTAGTATTAGTTAATAGTATGTAGATATTATTGTAATTCTGATCTTAAAATGATGGATATTAACATTAGGTGGAATCTTAGACATTATCCCAGTTACTGAGTCTTTATGACGTACTTTTGGTTTATAGCCATCTGTGTACTGCTTGAACATTTTATTCAAGGATGTTAGCTACTTTCTGGGCCAACCATTATTGGGCAGCTCTAAATTTCTTTCTTTTATTTAATCAAAGTTTGCTTTTATGAGAAGTTTATACTTGGATTTCTGCCTAAGAATAATGTTTCTTCTCTGATATAATTATTACTTATATATATCATGAGGCATTTTCATTCTCAGAGAAATGTGTGAAAACACATATTTCTTTTTAAGGTTGAGGGACTTCTAAGTTCCCATTTTTTACTTAGCACAGTGCCAATTGTTGATTTTAACTAGCAAAGTTATTGAACAGATCATTTGCAGGGGAAAAATGCTTCTGTGAAATCTTTGAGTTCAGTGTTAATTAGAAGTTACACGACTTGGTGCTGGTAGGCTGGTGGTATTGATGTGGTGTGTGAAGGGCAGGTGAGGCAGATACTGATCCTTTTGCCTCCCTGGAAGTGAAACTGAAGGCATCATTTGCCCCAGCTCAGAGTGACACCAGGGTAAATTCTTTTAGTTTTAATGGATACTGGGACCTTCAAGTCTAAAAAAAATTGCCAGTAATACTTATTATCAACACAATAAGTAACCTTCCAGGGCTTAAAATGATGTTTATACAACTGCCCTGTTCTTCGTAATACCACAGTTCGAGGCCTCAAGAAGCTATACTTGAGTGTTTTTAATGAACCTGGAGATAGATCTTCCTTCCAAAACTGTGTTCATCAGTCTGGTTTTGTGATTAACATTCCCTTTAACTAAATGCCTTAAAACTACTAAGCCTTAAATGGGATGTTAATTCTCTTATCTCCACCTGATAGGTGTTAGACTGATTTTTCAGCTTTGGTTCTGCCATCTAAGATGTGCTTTTATGGAATGTTTTGAACAAAAAAGAAACATTAACATCTGTTACAATCTTCTCATTTCAAAGATGGGAAAACTGAGTTCCAGAGAGGTCAAATTTCTTGCCTAAGACCACACAGTTAATTAATATCAGTGCCTCAATTTGATCCTCTCCTTCTTGATTCAAGGCTCGATCAACTGTACCATTTTGCTTAAAACAATTGCTATTACTATTTCAAAAAATAACTATTTTTAAATGTAAAATTCAGTAGCATTAAGTACATTCACATTGTTGTGCAGTAGTGCCACCATTCAACTTTCTGTCTCTATAAATTTGACTATTCTAGGTACCTCACTGAAATGGAATCATTCCATATTTGTCATTTGTGTCTGGCTTATTTCACTTAGCATAATGTTTTCAAGATTAATCCGTGTTGCAGCATGTAGCAGAATTTCCTTCCTTATTCATTCGTTTGTAAGACTGAATTTTATGTATTCATTTTATGTATATGCCACATTTTGTTTATCCATTTATCCATTGACAAATACCTCTCACCTTTTAGCTATTGTGAATGATGCTGCTGTGAACATGCATGTACAAATATCTGTTTGAGTCTCTGCTTTCAGTTATTTTGAGTATATACCTAGAAGTGGAATTGCTGTATCATATGGTAATTCTGTTTTTGAGAGCTGCCATACTGATTTTCACACCACTTGACACCTGCAACAGTGATGGAAAAAGGTTCCAATTTCTCCATATTTTCATCAACACTTATTATTTTCTGTTTTTTGATAATAGCTATCGTAACAAATATGAGGTGATATCTCATTGTGGTTTTAATTTGCATTTTCCTAATGATTAGGAATGTTGACCATCTTTTCATGTCCTATCTATTCAAGTCCTTTGCTCATTTTTAATTAGTTTTTTTCCTTGAGTTGTAGAAGTTCTTTATGTGTTGTGTAAATTAATCCCTTATCAGATATATGATTTGCAAGTATTTTCTTCCACTGTGTGGAACCATATTGCAGGGTCCTGGCTGGAGATGCATCAATAAACAAAATAGGCAAGTTATTTCCCCTCATGGCAATAGAGAATAAACATTCTCTTAATTAAGGGAATTTTAAGGAGAGAAAAATTGCTCCATGTAGATTGTCTTTTAAAATTGAATCATAAAATCATCCTTTTTGCTGTACTGAGCCTTGAAAGGAGGTGTTTAAATAGTTCTTGATAGCATAACACTTTTGGATTACTTAACATTTTTCTATTTATTATTTTTTATGTTTCAGTGAATGCAGCATTTTTACTTTTTCTTAATGATTCATGTTTGAACTGAAAACCATCGAATTAGGAGTAGAGCAAACAGTGATAGGAATTGAAATATAGATTCTTGCAGATAAATGAAAAAACCCATTGGATAAATTAAATATATTTTTTATTTGCCAGCTCTGAAAACATTCTTCAGTTATTGTTGAATGATGTTGTAGGAGGGTGCATTTGATGATTCAGGACTTAATGCAAGCTTTTCTAAAAACTTGATTTCTCATCAAGTATTTTAACATGTACAGCTTGAACAACATGGGCTTGAACTGTGTGAGTTCAGTTTCTTTCAATAACTATATTGGAAAATTTTTTTGAGATTTGTAACAATTTGAAAATTTGCAGATGAACCATTTAGCCTAGAAATATCAAAATAATGAAGAAAAAGTTAGGTATGTTATGAATGCATACAATTTATGTGGATTTTGTCTATTTTATCATTTACTACCATGCAATATACAAAAATTTATTATAAAAAGTTAAAATTTGGCCAGGAATGGTGGCTCACGCCTCTAATTCCAGCGCTTTGGGAGGCCAAGGTGTGAGGATTCCTTGAGCCCAAGAGTTCCAGACCCCATTTCTAGAAAAATAAAAAGGTAACCAGGCATGGTGGCATGTGCCTATAGTCTCAGCTGTTTAGGAGGCTGAGGTGGGAGGATCACTTGCGCTCGGGAGATTGAGGCTGCAGTGAGCCATGATCATGCCACTGCTCTCCAGCCTGAGTGACAGCGAGACCCTGTCTGTTTCAAACCCCAAAACCAAAAAGGTAAAATTTGTTAAAACTTATGCACACAAATGCTTAGGGACCACACATGGCACCATTCAGAGCTGATAGAAATGTAAACAAACATAAAGATGCAGTATTAAATCATAACTGCATAAAGTTAATTGTAGTACTACATGGTGTACTACTATAATAATTTCGTAGCCACCTTTTGTTGCTACTGCGGTGAGCTTTTGTGTTGTATCTGCTTAAAATGCTGTGTGATGGTAAGCATCTCCATGTGAGCAGTCCCTGAGCAGTTCCTCTCTACAGTATGACTGTGTATTGCAATAGAAAGTGATCTGTCACAGTTCTCACATATTTGTCATTGGGCTTAGTGCAATACTGTAAAATACTATAAACTTTTGTTTTTTTTTTTTGAGACGAAGTCTTGGTCTGTTGCCCAGGCTGGAATACAGTGGCATGATCTTGGCTCACTAGCCTCTGCCTCCTGGGCTGAAGTGATTCTCGTTCCTCAACCTCCTGAGTAGCTGGGATTACAGGTGCTTGTGCCACCACACCCAGCTAATTTTTGTATTTTTAGTAGGGACGAGGTTTCATCTTGTTGGCTAGGCTGGTCTTGAACTCCTGGCCTCAAGTGATCTGCCCACCTTGGCCTCCCAAAGTGCTGGGATTACAGGCATGAGCCACCGCGCCCAGCCCTGTAAACCTTGAATAACACCACAGGGTCCACACAGAGTGATTCTGGAAGTGGTTCCAAGAAGCAGAAAAAAGCCATGATGCTATAAGACAAAGTTGAGTTGCTTGATATGTACCACAGATTGAATTCTGCAGCTTCAGTTGCCTGCCCTTTCAAGAAAGATAAATTCAGCATAAGGACTATTGTAAAAAAATAAAAAATAAAAGGAAATCTGTGAAACCATTGCTTCAGTTTTGCCAGCTAGCACAAACACTTTTCACTTTTTGTGAAATACCTTTTTATTTTGTATTGAAAATGCAGCTTTTATGTGGGTGCAGGATTGCTATAAGAAAGGAATACTAGAGACTCTAATAAGATTTGAGAAAAAGTGAAGTCATTATGTGACAACTTAAAGCAAAGAGAAGATGAAGGATCTGAAGGTGAAGAATTTAATGCCAGCAGATGATGGTTTGACAATTTTAGAAAGAGGTTTGGCTTAAAAAATTTCAAGAGAACAGGAGAAGTACTTTCTGCTACCAAGAAACTCATATTAGTCAGCAGATGAGTTTCCTAGGTGCCATTAAGAAAATTATTGAGGAGAAAGGATATCTACCTGAACAGATTTTAAGTGCAGATGAAAGTGCCCTATTCTGGAAAAAAATGCCACCAAGGACATTTATTAGCAAGGAAGTGATGAGTGCTCACAGACCTGTGCCAGATGATAAGAAGTAGGAGAAGCAGTGCCAGAAAACAAATGGACATTGTACAGTCTGGCAGAAGGGTTCCAGTTATTCAAGATTGCCTTTGACTTTTTTTTATGACATGGACCATCCTATGATAGGGGCACTGCATTATTTGAAATAAATTTCTTGGAAAGACTGACCAGTCTTTGTATATGTTAATGGTCTTGCCAATTTCTGTTTTTCCTTATATTTTTGGTTGTGATTTGATAATGTGTTTAGATAAATAACTTGTCAAAAAATACATACATTTATAGTTTTTAAAACATGGCCTATGTGTATGAAATTAAAAGGATATAAAAAGCACAATTATAGGTAAATAGTATGTATCTTTATATTAGATTTTTTCCCTTTAATTTTTTTAGAAAGGGCACAAAGAGCATTTGACTTGACATATGTTAACAAGCAAGAGAGTGTTGGTCCAATGAGAACAGAAAGTTTCCTTTGATTGTGATTTTGGAAAATTTGATATTTTCCACATGGAATTTTATGGTCAGTTGGGGTGAAGTTGTATAGGCAAATATGATGCATTTCCAATTCCCTAGTTTAATGTTTTAAACTTAGTAAAATAGTTTGTTTAGTGGTGTCCAAATGAGCATTTACAACTCATTCTTAGCTTATTGCCTTTAAATTTGATTTTTGGTTATTGGAGAATATTTCTACATGACCTATATCTATGTCAGAATAATTATATTGACTTTTCCTCAGTATTTGGCTTTGCCTGTGCACAGCAGTGGGAAAATATTATCCTGTGACAACATTCTATTCTAGTGACAGCATTTTAAAAAATGTATCTTTCTTTCATTATTTTTGTGAGGGAGAGTGAAAGTCAGTAGTATTCTTTGAGTTCAAAAGAACTCTACGTTGTTAATGTATTTTTTTTTAAAGCGAAATGGCTTGGTTAGTAATTATTAAATTTAGCCTAGGTTTTCTTTTTATGACTACCTTTAAATTTTTTTCTTAACTGTGTTTTGATGATTTAATTTCTTTTTATTTTTTATTTTATTTTTTTTTTATTATACTCTAAGTTTTAGGGTACATGTGCACATTGTGCAGGTTAGTTACATATGTATACATGTGCCATGCTGGTGCGCTGCACCCACTAATGTGTCATCTAGCATTAGGTATATCTCCCAATGCTATCCCTCCCCCCTCCCCTTGAAATGTAAGAACAAATAATCATTGGCGGTTCCCATATTCAAAAGATCAGATAGTGCTTAGGTTAGTGACAGAAGAAAATTTCTAATAATAGCATCATAATCCCCTTGTATAGCATTTTGTACTTAACTAAGTTTCACTGCATACAGGAAGTTTTTTGATACTCACAACCAACCTTTGAAATAAACAGGTTAGGTATCCTTATTTCTATTTTATAGATCTGGAAATGGAGGATTAGGGAAGGTGATATGGTAGACCTAGAGAGATAAAATCGCTTGCATTGGACATCTTTTATTTATTTTATTTTATTTTATTTTTCTATATTTTGAGACAGAGTCTTGTTCTGTCACCCAGGCTGGAGTGTAGTGGCACGATCTCGACTCACTGCAACCTCTATCTCCTGGGTTCAAGCGATTCTCCTGCCTCAGCCTCCCAAGTAGCTGTAATTACAGATGTGTGCCATGACACCTGGCTAATTTTTGTATTTTTAGTAGAGATGGGGTTTCCGCATGTTGGCCAGGCTGGTCTTGAACTCCTGACCTCAAGTGAGCCACCCGCCTCGGCCTCCCAAAGTGCAGGGATTACAGGTGTGAGCCACTGCGCCCGCCCTAGACATCTTTTGATTAATTGATGTTGGAACTATTAATAGCATGTTGATTAATAGCTATTAATAGCAGGTTCTAGATAAGAACTTTGTATTCTTCATTATGCCTTATAACTTAAAAAATACTGCCAGCTTCTTAGAAGAATCTGTTAATACTTAACATTGTTCAGATTTCAACTGACTAATGAGTCATTTATTCATTAAAAAAAAATTTTGGTGCCTATCATGTTAAAACTGTTGTGTTGTAGGCCTTGGAGTGTGAATACCACTTGGTCTTTGTGTTTCCTTTCTTGATACTTTAAGAATTTAGACAGGTGTTCTTAAATACTGTCTAACTCATACATCTGCAGCCAAGTTTGTTTGTTTGTTTGGCTTGTTTTTGGAAGATCTAATTATGACCTCTTTACTAGAATACTTTGCTTCTTACAATTTATATGGTAAAGTTTAAAAGCTTTAAAATATTCTTTGATGCCCTCTATGGTCTGGCCCCTGCTTGGCTTTCTACACTCATCTGAAACGTCCTCCTCTCTGTCCCCTCCTTCTTGCTTTTAAAAATTTTCTCTCCTTTTACCAAATTGTTCACTATTATTGTTTTACTATTCTGTATCCTAAATAACTGTAACTGACTCCAGATGCTACTCCAGTTGATACTTTTTCTGACCTGGTCACTTCCCCTCTAAAATATGCTTTAAAATATGAGATAATGTTCTTGTTTTTCATTGTACTTTTCATAGAAGTGATTTTACACTGCTTTGTGTGATTATTTAATAGCCTTTCCCACTCGTTTTATTTTAAGCTCCATAAGAAACATCTCTTTTTCTGTGGGGCACGTTTATCGTGAAAACCTCGCATCTGTTGTAGACATGAGTAAATATTTATTGGCATGCGTCTGGCTGTTTCTTTAACAATTTCAATTTTTTTTTTGGTTTTCTGATTTATGAGGTTTTAGATTGTATACTTTTTTGACAATCAAGTTCTATCTCCTATTAGCTCACATTATACATGCAAAACTTACTCTTGGCCAAAGTGAAAATCAGTGATGTTAATTACTTAAATTAAACTAAAATTTTAGTGACTTTTCCTATTCAGAGTTCTCAAGGTAATATTTGAAAGTTATTAATTACATATATAAAATATATTGTATAAACACACTTCATCTCCTTTTTTTCCTGAGCAGTTACATTCTTATTTTAAGTAGATGAATTGTCTGTTTTAAATTAACTTGTCTAGAAGATGAGATAATGTAAAGGCATCTTACTTCTTTTGTATTTTGTTTGTTTGCTACCACACATCAGTTAACCATTATTTAAGCTGTTCCATATTCCGTAATACTAGCACCACTTTTTGGCTCATATCGAGCAAGTATAGTATATAGGCCATTCCCTCCAGAGACTTACAACTCATGCTGCAACTCATTTATAAATATTTATTGGGTCCATGGTATAATTCCAGTCATCATTCTACATGCTGGGAATGCAGTGGTAAACAAAATAGACCTTGTCTCTGTTTCATGGAGCCAATATTCTGAAGAGGTAGAGCCAACACTGCATTAAGACAAATACATGCATTTCAGATAATGGTGAGTAATAAGAAAAATTATGGCCAATGGGATAGAAAATGAATGTTTTGGGGAGTTTATTTGTCTAAAATGGTCAGGGAAGTTCTCTTACATGGATGTGACTTTTGACTCCAACCTAAATGACCAGTCAATGGCAGCCATACAAAGATTTTGGGAAATTGTGTTGCAAGTGTTGGGAATAGCTGGTGCAGGTCTCAAGGTAGAAATAGATATAGTTCATATGAAGGACAGATAGAAGTCAAGTGTGACTGCAACATAGTAAAGGGAGATAGATAAGAGATTAAATTGGAGAGGTGGTCTATTCACAAATAAAAGCAACGTAAGTAGGTATAACCTGAACAATTTTTAGCCTTAATAGTAGAGAAGTAAAGATTTAAACAATGTAGAATTAACCATCTTTTTTGTGTACTGTTAAATGAATATAATATTCAGAATGTTAAGGATTGTGACACCAGTGGTGGAAATTTAATATGACAGATCCTTACAACTTTTCTGCTGTACAGCTTGACTATATCCATCAAAATCTGTAAGCATGAATATCTTTTACTCAGCATGTCCATTTTTAGGAGTTTGTCCTTAGATATAATTAAGCGAATGACCAATAATTAGTTATGATAAAATGGAAAAATGTAAATAGCAAATAATGAAAAACAGGTTGTATAAATTATGTTACACTCATACCAGTTAGCAATATGTAGGATAGCCATTAAAATTTTGTTGTAGTATATGTTTATTGGTATAGAAATGTTCTCATGATAAATATCGAGTGAAAAAAGGTCACAGAACAGAGGGATACAGAGTTAGTCTATTAATCTGAACAAAAAATATGCTTGCACAGGTAAAAAGGCTGGGCTATTGCTAAACTGTTTGTGATGGTGTTATGTGAGTGGTAGGTAATGTGTGGTTTATGTATTATAGTGGTTAGGAGCATGGACCTCAGAACTGGATTCCTTGCATTTAAATATAGGCTCTGCCACTTCCTAGCCTTGTGGCTGAGAAAGTCTTTGTGTCTGAGTTTCCTCATTTGTAAAAGGGGCAATTCTTAATTCTTACCTTCGAGTTATTTTGAGGCTTAAATGAGTTAACAAATATGAGCTGCTTTGAATAGTGCCTGACACATAACAAGTTCTTTATGCAAGTTAGCTGTGATTATTACTATTGCATATTTACTTTTTTCTGACTTTTTTCAGTGAACATACATTTATAAAATTGATGGGTCACCTTTCTCTCAAAGATTGTATAAAGTTTTATTTGACATGCCAAAAAGGAAAAGTTTGTTTTTAATCACATGTATTAATATAATAGGTATAATCTATTAATAAATTTATAAACTTCTATAAAGCAGTTAAGAAAATAAACTGAGGAACAGACTGAGTAAAAAGATGCACAAAACATCTGAAAAAATTATTGTATACAGAATATATGAAAATATCCTACAGTTGAATAAGAAAAAATACAACCAATTAAAAAATGGGCAAAAGACTTGAACAGACATTTCACAAAGGAAGGGTCACCAAACACATAAAAAAGAACCCAACAACTATACATAAGGGAATTGCAGATTAAAACCACGTTGAGAATGATCATAACAGCTTTATTCAAAATAATCCCAAACTGAAATAACCCTGGAGATTAAATAAATTGTGGTATATTTAAACAACAAATACCACTCATCAATAAAAAATAATGAACTACTGATATATACAGTTGTGTTTCCTGAGTGAAAAGAACTGGGCACAACAGAAACATGGTATGATTCTATTTATATGAATTTCTGGAACAGGCAAAATTAATCTGTAGTGGAAAAAAGTCTAAATTGCCTTTGGGAGGATGAAGGAGGAAGGATTGATTGGGAAGAACACAGGGAATTTTCTGGGGAGATGGTGATTTCAGTATCTTTTTGGGGTGAGGGTTATAACACAGTTATGAGTATTTGTCAAGATTCATGAAATTCTACAGTTTTTAGAATATATAAAAAGAATATAAAATTCTTTTTATATTTTACTGTTTGTAAATTTTACCTAAAGAAAAAAGGACTGAAAACAAAATTGAAATCTGTTTGCTTTTTTGCAGTGGAATGAGTTAGCAACTAATGATATGAGTTAAGCAATTCTTAAAGCACTTTCTGTGTATTCTAGGCTTGACTAAATAAGTAGGCTTATTCAGAGTAATGGTATCCAGGTTTTTCACCTGTGGAGAAGGAGTTACAAATATGTTAAAGAGAAAGTCTATATTTATTTATCGTTTTATTTCTTCTTTGAGACGGAGTCTTGCTCTGTCACACAGGCTGTAGTGCAGTGGTGCAGTCTCAGCTCACTGCAACCTCTTTCTCCCAGGTTCAAGAGATTCCCGGGCCTCAGCCTTCTGAGTAGCTGGGATTACAGGAACCCACCCCCATGTCTGGCTAATTTTTGTATTTTTAGTAGAGACTGGGTTTCGGGTTTCATTATGTTGGCCAGACTTGAACTCCTGACCTCAGGTGATCCGCCTACCTCGGCCTCCCAAAGTGCTGGGATTGCAGGCGTGAGCCACCGCACCTGGCTGTGGAAGACTATATTTAATGGTAGGCCGTCATGGAAAAAAAAGAGGAGGAAGACTATAATTCACCTTGGTATTGTATTTGAATTGGAGGTATCAGAATGAACTCATGGTTTTTAATACAAAGATATGTCACATTTACACCTTTTTGTTCATATTGTTGCCGTTTTCTTCTTATTTAACATCAGTACTTTTGTTGAATTTAGACACTAGGTTGAGACATTATGCCCCGCTGCTGCTCTATTGACGGTATATTGAAGTTTATATAGGTTAATGGGGTTTTTGTTTGTTTTTCTTTTTTTTGAAGAATTTTTTCTTTGCATGAAATTTTACTCTGGAGATTAATATGTAAAAAGTTCAACATACATATTGAAATGCTCAGATGGAATTGGGGAGATATGCAGCCTAGTAGTTTGCATTTGGTCTCTGCATGGCAGATGTTTGGATAAACAATGAATATCTTTTGGTATGTTAGATATTAAGTTCTCAGTAAGCACAGAGTGGCTTTTTAACTGTATTATTGTGTAGCATCGAATAGTATCTAATACTTAGTACTTGCCTAATAAATGTGGACTTAAATTGGGTATTTTTTCTTTTGAATTGTAGTGTTTCAGAGTGTTGGAAAATCTTAGTAACTAATATATAAATATATTTTTTCATAAATGTAGTATTGAAGTAATAAAGGTAATCCTTAAGTAAACTATAAGTATTCATTTTTAAAAAATGACTATATTGAGGTATAATTTACATACCATAAAATTAATCTGTTTTTAAGCATACAATTCAATGATTTTTAGTAAATTTACCAAGTTGAGCATTCATCAACATAATCATGTCACCCTAATTAGATCCTCTTTGTTACAGTTAATCCTAATTCTTACCCCAACTTCAAGGAACTGTAGATTTACTTTCTGTATCTCTAGAAATAGAAAATATCTCTAGACATGTTCTGTCCCTGGAATCTATAATATGTTGTGGTCTTTTGTTTCAGGGTTCATCTACCTTGTAACATGTATTAGTACTTCACTTCTTTTTATTGCTAAATAGTAGTCAATTGGTTGGATAGACCACTTTTTATTTATCCATTCACCAGCTGATAGACATTTGTGTTGCTTACACTTTTAAGGCTATTATGAATAATGCTGCCATGAACATGTAGTCTTTGTGTGGACTTAATGGTTTCATTTCTCTTGGGTAGATACCTACAGGGGTATGGTTGGATTATATAGTAAATTTATGTTTAACTTTTTAAGAAACTGCAATCTGTTTTGCAATATGATATCATTTTATATTCCTTCCAACAATGTATGAGGTTCTTGTTTTTTCACAGCCCTGCTGACATTTGTTATTGTCTGTCTTTTTGATTATGTCCATTCCAGTGGGGTTGAAATAGTATCTCATGGTAGTTTTATAAGAATTCATTTTTGTTTGCTTAGTTCATTTTAAGATTTTGGATTTTATGTATGGTAATAAGACATTTATTACACTTTTATTTTAGTGGTAGGCAGCTTTTCTTATATTTTCCTATTTTTCATCTAATATTTTAATTCAAATAAAACTATTCCAGAAATTTGAAAAATGTTAACATATTTTTATATCTCGACAAACAGGATATAATTTGTATTTTATTTGCAAATGCTAAAATCATTGTAATTAAAAATATATGACAAAAGCTGGCCAGGCATGGTGGCTCACACCTGTAATCCTAGCACTTTGGGAGGCAGATGCTGGTGGATCACTTCAGGTCAGGAGTTTGAGACCAGCCTGGCCAACATGGCGAAACCCCGTCTCTACCAAAAATACAAAAATTAGCCAGGTGCAGTGGCACGCTCCTGTAATCCCAGCTACTCTGGAGGCTGAGGCACGAGAGTCTCTTGAACCTGGAGGCGGAGGCTGCAGTGAGCTGAGATCGTGCCACTGCACTTCAGCCTCAGGGACAGAGCGAGACTCTGCTTTGAAAAAAAGAAAAAAAATGGCAAAAGCTAATGGATGTTGAAAAAGATACTCCGATACACTGCTGACGAATGTGAAAATTCAGCGTGATATCATGTATGCATTAAAAAGACCACTGTAGAAGGATTTGTATTCATGTAAAGATCTTAGTGATCTCTAAGATATGTTGTTTACTCATATCAAGTAGGCTGTAGACATACACCTATGTGTATATTCTCATTAAAATTATAAATGTATATTTGAGTGCATGAAATGAATATACAGAGGTCTGCAGGGATATATGATAAACTCATAAAAAGTTGTTACCTGTAGAGTGTGGAGTTGGGAGTAAATAGTATTAGCTTTTCATTTTATCTATTTAATTTTTTAAAACTTTAAAAACTTTTTTTCTTTTCATTGAGTATTGATGTGTAAGTTAAGTAGTCACTGTGTAAAGAAATATACATCTTAGCTTTTTAAACTGTTTTCATTTCTAAGTTGAGTTAGCAAAGAACTGTACTCATTTTATTTTGGAAAAAGTGAACTAATCTTATTTTACTGTACAGGATATGAGTAATAACAAAAATACATTTTTGGAACCAGTTTGTAGGTTCAAACTTTGCATTTTGGGACTCTATATAAATCTTTAGATCCAGCTGTTGCTGAGAATATTCTTTCAATTGCTATGAGGTGTGTTGATTTTAAAAGAATGGATGGCTGTTCCTCAAGTGTACATATGGCAAAAATTTAATGGTATCGCTATGAACTTGAATGGATTGTTTAATTTCTTTGCATCGAGTAGTAAGAACCACACTTCCATCATTTTTATTTAAAATTTAGAAGAAGGAATTTTTTTTTATAGAAATGCCCATTTGGTCCTGAAATTTCATCAGCTCTCTGTTATAGTTTGTCAACAAATGGTACAAGCAAAGTCTTTCAAAGTATTTGTTAATTAGGCCATATTCATTTTTAGTCTTCGCTACTATACAGTCAAGACCTACTTGTTTCTATTTCCTTTAATTTATCCTGGAGTTTGTCCAAGTTGAGTTTTAATGAGTTGTTTATCCCACTAGTTACACTAGGATTTATTTTTCCCTAGAGAGTAATGTTTGAATTGATAGTTTTTAAACCTATTCTGTAAAATGAACATATGTTCAGACTAAGACTTCTGGATATGAGGAATAGGCATGTGTTAAAGAAATTATTTTATATTCAACAGCTTAACTGTTAAAATGGAAATTTAGTGATATTTCAAAATATTAGGTAAGTCCAGAAGTTAGAAATTTTTGGTATGAATTTATATTGAACTATTTTGTTTTAAGTAAAGTTTAATAAATATGTAGTAGTCTAAATCACAAGGAAAAATACACTTTTTATTGTGCATTTTTATTGACACTTTAATGACTCCCCCAAATAGTTTAAATAAAGTTGTAAAAGCTGTTGATCTTTAAAAAATTTTTTGAGGTGAATATGGTATAATGTTATGTCTTGATGAATTGGTAATAGATACATTGAGTATTTGTTATTTTCTACATTTGTTAACCAGTTACAAATATTTCAAAATTGACAAAAACAAAAGAGAAAAACCCCTCTTCATTGGTATTGTTACATTAACAGATAATTGTGTAAGATACCATCTATACCCAAATCATTTTAAATTTATTTATGTCAGTTTAAATACTACTGGAGTATCTAACAGAAGTATAAATAGAATGTATTTTTATTTGTTGTGGGTTACAGCTGAAAAATAAACCACAAAGACATATCCTGTGTGTATAATTGGCGTGTTTATTATTGAATTCTAACTTTTGTACAAAGTAAGCTTCTCCTTTGATATTAAAATAATTAAGGAGAGAATTTTTCCCTACCCTTGGGCATTACTAAAATGTACAATATATTAATCTTTCTGAATTTGCATGTGTTTAAGTTTTTATTCAAGTCTATGTTATCCATTTGGGAACATTTTAGGTGATATAAGCTGGCTTGAAAGGGTACCATATACGGTAGCTGAATTTATTATGAAATAGTAAAGACCTGCTTGTAAAAAAAATGAATCCCATCTATAATATTGCCATACAAATACTTACTGCTGTAGTTATATGAACATGGCTCTTGCTACACGATAGGACCTCCTAATTGCCACAGAGTGCCTGAAGATAGATTAATTGTACATTTTCGTATTATAGGAGATATTCCAAATATCTGTGTTCTTTACTACTTATCACTAATAAAATGTTGTGGGTTTTTTGGTGCAGGGGCGGGGGGCGGTTCAGGAATTTGAACAGAAATTTGAGAACATAGTGGAGAGACCTAGTTAACTATTTTAAAATGCTTATAGAATAAAAAGGAAAATGAGAAAGAAAAGAAAATGTCTTTAAAAATATTCTAAATGTTGGAAAAGCGAAAGGAAATAATAAGGATAATTACATTCAGATTTATGAATTGAGTCATATTTGTTTATCCTTCTATTTCTTTTGATCTCTACTACTTTACCTGTTTGGCATAAGGGATCTTTTATTTACTGCATATTTATTTTCTGGTCCATTCATTCCAATCCTTTGGCTTTTATAGCCAAATATGATCAGAATTGTGGATTGAGGGACACAGGTAGTGTCACATGTTGCTATTAAGGATTTGAAAGTTGTTGGATGGGATAGTGGCTTTCTTATTGGGCAACTGTGTATTTGATTGATCTTACATACTAATTAAGAGAGATGGGTAGGCCGGGTGCAGTGACTCATGCCTGTAATCCCAACACTTTGGGAGGGTGAGGCAGGATGATTGCTTGAGCCCAGGAGTTTGAGACCAGCCTGGGCAACTAAGTGAGATCCTGTCTCTATAAAAAAATAAAAATTAGCCGGGCATGCTGGTATGCACCCATTGTCCCAGTTACTCGGGTGACTGAGGTGGGAGGATTGCTTAAGCCTGGGAGATGGAGGCTGCAGTGAACCGTGATCATGCTACTGCATTCCAACCAGGGCTAGAGTGAGACCCTGTCTTAAAAAGAGAGAGAGAGAGTGACGGAGACAGAGACAGAGACAGACAGAGGCAGGGGTGACCCTAGGCTTTTGTTTTTGTTGTTTGGACATTTTTTTTTTTTTTTTTTTTGTGAGGGAAGGCATTGGTATTTGAATCAGTTTTGCTAAGAACAGAGTTCTAATACTTTAGGGACCTAGTTTGTTTTCATTGAGCTAAAATTTACAACATAAATTTCATCATTTTAAAGTGTACAATTAAGTGGTTTTTACTATATTCACAGTTTTGTGCAGTCATCACCACTATCTAATTCCAGAACATTTTCAAAACCTCAAAAAAGAAATTCTGTCTCTATGAGTCTAGACATTTTATAATAACAGAATAATATAATATGTGACTTTTTGGTCTGACTTCTTTCAGTTAATGTAATATTTTAAAGGTTCATCCATGTTATATAGCATGTATCAGTATTTAATTTTTTATCACTGAATAATATTCCTTTGTATGGATCGAATACATTTTGTTTATTCATCAGTTGGGGTACATTTGTGTTGTTCTCATTTTTTGGCTAAGAATAGTGCCGCAATGAACATTCTTGTGCAATTTTTTGGTATGAACATGTTTTCAGTCCTCTTGGGTATGTATATACCTATGAATATAATTGCTGGGTCATATGATAACTCAATGTTCATCTTTTTTACAAATTGCCAAATTGTGTTTTACATAGTAACTATACCTCTGTGCGTGATGTTCCAATTTCTACCTATTCAGGCCATACTTGTTATTTTCTGCTTATTTTTATTTTTTAAAATTACATCCCTTCTGATGGGTATGAAGTGGTATCTTGTGGTTTTGATTTTCATTTCCCTGATGTCTAATAATGTTGAGCATTTTTTCATGCGCTTATTGGCCATTTGTATATCTTCTTTGTCAAGTGTCTTTTCAGGTCCTATGTTCACTTTAAAAATTGGGCTGTGTATCTTGTTCTTGTTGAATTATGAGAGTTATGAATTATGAGAGCGATCTCGGCTCACTGCAAGCTCCGCCTCCCGGGTTCACACCATTCTCCTGCCTCAGCCTCCCCAGTAACTGGGACCACAGGCACCTGCCACCACGCCCGGCTAATTTTTTGTATTTTTAGTAGAGAGGGGGTTTCATCATGTTAGCCCGGCTAATTTTTTGCATTTTTAGTAGAGAGGGGGTTTCACCGTGTTAGCCAGGATGGTCTCGATCTCCTGACCTCGTGATCCACCTGCCTCGGCCTCCCAGAGTGCTGGGATTACAGGCGTGAGCCACCGCGCCCGGCCAAAGTTCCCTTATATTCTTTTAAGGATGAATTGTGCACATAAATTGACTATGTATACTAGGCTGTTGTAAACAGGGTAGGAAGGATAATAGAAAGTCTGGGAAATTCTGGAGAATTTCATTTTACTTCTTCGTAGCTGCACATTCCTTTATCTATTTGAATGCCCATAGAATTTTTTCCTTATCATTTTTGGAGTTCAGTGGCTTTACTAGGATAATGATCATTCAGAATCAGTATTGTTTGTGACACATTGTGCACGTTGTAGTTTAGGTGTTTATTTTAGACAAGATTTTTTTTTGATAAATATTTCTGTATACTATTTCTTTTCTATTTGTTTTCCTCTTTTCTTTAGGAACACTGATTATGTATATTTTATATTGCCCTTTCCTGTTACTGATATCAGTGTCCTTTTCTAATATTGTTTTATAATTTTTCAAAATTGTTATTTTTGTATTTCTAGATTTTATCTACCACGTTCCTAATTTGAGTTATATTTTATTTGTTGAACTTCTGGCTATTTGGAGATTTATACATAACTTTATGATATTAGTTTATAGTTTAAATCCATTGTGATCAGCACATATATTGTATATGATTTCAGCCTTTTTCATTCTACTTAGACTTGCTTTTATGTTCTTGTAGTATGCCTTGGTGAATGTGTACTCTGCTGTTGTTGGGTGGGGTGTCCTACAAATGTCAGTTAGGCCAAGTTGATTGATAGTACTGTTTTTGTTTTTAATTCTTTACTTACGGTCTATTTGTTTTATCAATTCCTGAGAGAGGAGTGTTGAAATGTTCAGGTTTTGGATTTGTCTATTCCTGTTTTCAGTTCTGTATTTTAAAAAATGTATGTATTTCGGAGATGTGTAGTGCCTACAAACTTAATTAACCATGTTATCATTATGAAAAAAATCTCTCTATATCCATGGTAATAGTCTTTGTTCCAGAGTTTACTTTGTCTAATGTTAATGTGTAACTCTTTTTTGATTAGAATTATGTGGTGTTTGTTTTGCTCGTTCGTTTACTCCTTCATGCCCCTATCCCCTTAATTTTTAACCTATCTACTTTATTATTTAAAGTGGATATATATGGGTCTTTTTTTTTTTAATATAATCGAAGAATCTCTTCCTTGAATTGGTATGCTTAGACGTTTGAGACTTAATACTATATTTTGGGGTTTAGTTCTAGTATCTTGCTGTTTGTTTTCTAGTTGTCCCATCTATTGTTTGTTTTCTTTTTTCTTTTCATAACTTTATTTAGATTCATTCCGTTTCATCCTCTCTATTCCATTCTTATTCCACTCTGTCTACACTATTGCCTTTATTAGTTTTACCTTTTAGTTTTATGGCTTTAGTTGTTCTAGGGTTTACAGTTTACATCTTTTACTTATCACAGCTACCTTCAAATAATGTTATACTGTGTCATACATTGTGTAAGAACCTCCATTTCCCTCTTCCTGTCCTTGGCTATTGACATTGTGCATTCTACTTTTACATATGTCATAAACTCTGAACTATGTTGTTATGATTTTTGCTTTAAACAGTTAATTCTTAATCTTATTAGAAGATAATGTTTCTTTCTTCTTCTTTTTTTTTTAAAAAATTCACCCATATATTTACCATTCCCATTCTCTTCACATTTCTTTGTGTAGAGCCACAAATATTTCCATCTGGTATCACATTCATTTAGCCCGAAGAATTTTCTTTAACATTTTTTGTAGTACAGATATGCTGGTGAGGAATTCTTCCCAGCGTTTAGTCATAAAAAAGCTCTTTTGCTAACATTTTTGAAAGTTTTTTTTTTCCTGAATTTTGGATTCTAGGCTGACAGTTTTCCTTTTTCTTTCAGCATTTCAGTCATGGTATTCTGTTGTCTTCTGTTCTGCATGATTTCTGATGAGGAGTCTGCTTTCATTTTGTAGCTTTGTTTCTTTACATGTGATGTGTTTTTCTCCTTAACACTAGTTTTCAGCAATTTGATTATAATATGCCTTGGTATGTTTTTAATTCTCTTCTGCTTGGGGTTTGCTGAATTTCTTGGATATTTGGGTTTATAGTTTTCTTCAAATTGCTTGATAGTGTCCCACGTCCCATTAAAGCTTTGTTCAGTTATTTTAGTCTCTCTCTCTCTTTTTTTTTTTTTTTTTTTTTTTTTGAGACGGAGTCTGTCTCTGTCGCCCAGGCTGGAATGCAGTAGCGCGATCTCGGCTCACTGCAATTTCTGCCTCCTGAGTTTAAGCAATTCTCCTGCCTCAGGCTCCTGAGTAGCTAGGATTACAGGCACATGCCACCACGCCCAGCTAATTTTTGTATTTTTGCTAGAGACGGGGTTTCACCATGTTGGTCAGGCTGGTCTCGAACTCCTGACCTTGTGATCCGCCCGCCTCGGCCTCCCAGAGTGCTGGGATTACAGGTGTGAGCCACCGCGCTGGGCCTATTTTAGTGTTTTATCTTTCCTGGTCCTCGATTTCCTGGGAACTCCTCAGAGACTAGTCAGCTAGTGGGAGAAGAGAGGGAAGCATTTGTTCCTACATTTCCATCTTCTGCATATATGATTGCAAAGTAGTTTGCTGGTGTCTCATGCTGCATGGTGGCTTTAGGCAATGCAAATGAAAGTGTACATTGAATTGGTCTCCATAGCAGCGGCCAGAATATGAGGTAGGGTGATATACAAGAGAAGTTCTGTACTCTCCATGTGTGGTTACAGTTGGGAAAATGACAAATGGTGGAGGGTTTGTGGGGTTAAGGAAAGAGCAGGTTACATACAGTATACTATAGTAGCATCCTGATTTTTTTTAATCTATTTTTGTTTTATTGTTCTTCTATTTTATCTTGCATGTTTATTAACCTTCAGTATAAACTTGTTGCTCACAGACATATTGAAATGTTTTCTTACTTTGAGGCTTTGTTATTTAGAAAATTTAATTACATAATTCACTTTATTCATAGACAAAACCAAATGAATAAGGGATCAACAAATTAGATATTCCAGGGCAGAAATTTTAAAAATAATTTTCCATGTTACTATCAAGTAGAGTCCTGCATGTAATGTAAATACTTCATAAATACTTCTGAGAGAAAGTATTAGGATAGAGGGCTGTGGATCAGGTTGCCTGGATTTAAATTCTAATTTTTCCTCTTTTTAGTAGTATGACATTTCATACCTTAATATATCGGTGTGTGTCTTGGTTTTCCCATTTGAAAAACTAGTATAATGATAGTACCTCCCTCATAGAGTTATTATGGAAGGATTCAACGTGTTAACAGATAAAAGAAATCTAGAACAATGCAGGTTTGCTAGTAAATCCTTTCTAAGTGTTAAGAAGCACTATTTTTATTTTTACTCAGGATGATTGCCTTGATTATGTAGTAATTGCTTGAGCAGTATATGTGTAGGTGAATATGTGTGTATGGACATCATTCTAGTTTGTATTTTTATATTATTCAGAGTTTCTGAAATAGTGGAACTTAAAGTTAGCAGAATTGCATATCTATTTTGTTTAAGTAGTATGTTTGCATACATACTTTGGATGTATACCCTTTCTTCCCTTGCAACCTAAGTCATTTAGTATTTTGTTGTCTGTAAATGCTATTTACTGTATTGCGATTCTTTCTGTTTTCTTGTGCAGGACCAAAAGATCTCAGATTGCTATAACTGAAGGTATATTTGAACTTCCAAATCTCACAATTCAAGCTACAAGAGCACAGACACTTCTCTTGCAAGCAATATATCAAAGTTGGTCTCATCTTGGAAATGTCAGCTCTTCCGCAGTGATTGAAGCTTTGATAAATGAAATCTTCCTAAGTATAGGTAAGAGCACAGTCTTTTTGATAACTATATGGAAAATTTGTGTTAGAGGCAACTAATATTTTATTATGAAAATCCATATGTCTAGCATGGTCAACTTAAATTGTAATATGTTTCTTTGAATGTAGATATTTATAGCTTATGTTTAAAATCCAGATTATGAGTTAAGCCATCCAGTTTTATTTCCTCGTACCTATTTCTGCATATGTTTCATAATTGCAAAAGATTATTTTTCACCAGCTTCTTGTATAATTTACCCTTTGGATAACTTTTGAGGGTATCAATGTATGTGTTTGAAATGATAACCAAATTAAGTATAAGTACAGTATGTTTGATTATACTGGTAAAATGAAATAAATTCTTACTCATAATATTTGGTTAGTTTGGTAAACAATTTTTGTGTGTGTGTGTGAAAAGCATTAATCTGGCACCCTTAAGGAGTTAATTAACTACTAAAAATACAAATTTCTGCTTTCATATCACTATAAGAGATATCTTCATCTTATCACTCAGTTTGCATGTAAACAAAAAATTATAGAAGCTTTTTAAAGTTGTTTCAGTTCAAAATAATAATGTTATGTTTGTCAGTAACACAAAAGTAGTTTTTAAAGGTTATAATTTAAGTGTAATTATGCTTAAAGTAACATTATTTTTAATTTATCTGTTAAAATAAAGCGACTTTTGTTCTTATATGATGCTTTTGAAGGTTTTAATTTCAGACCTGACATCATAATTAGAGTTTTCTTATTTGGCCTAGCCATTAACTAATGTAAAATACAGGTTGATTATCCCTTATCCAAAGTGCTTGGTACCAGAGTGATTCAAATTTCAGATTTTTTTCAGATTTGGAATGTTTGCACATACATAATGAGATATACTGGAGATGTGACTCAAGTCTAAATATGAAATTCATTTACATTTCATATACACCTTATACACATAGTCTGAAGGTAATTTTATACGATATTTTTAATAATTTTGTGTGACTTAATCACATGAGGTCAGGCGTGGAATTTTCTACTTGTATCATGTCAGTGCCCAAAGAGTTTTGAATTTTGAAGCATTTCAGATTTTGGGTTTTCAGATTAGGGATGTTCAAGTTGTAGTAGTTTTGGTGCTGGCTTTTAGCATTATATAAAGAATAACAAGATAAATGTTGCAGTAGGCTAGAGGTTCTTCACTCGGAGCTTATGAAAAGACTTAGAGTTTTCTGAACCCCCTGAAGTAGTATGCAAATTTTAGTGTGTATATAAACACACACAGACATACATATTTGTATCCTCTTTTTGAATTGAACTTACTGCTCCTGTCTAACTGAAACTTTGTACCCTCTGAACAGGATCTTCCTGTTACATACCCACCCCCACTCCATTCCGCCTACGTTTGGTAACCACCGTTCTACTCTAACTACCATTCTACTCTCTACTTCTATGAGTTTGACTTTTTTAGATACCACATTTAAGTGAGATCCTGCAGTACCTGGCTTATTTCACTTAGTATAATGTCCTCCAGGTTCAACTGTGTTGTCTTAAACGACAGAATTTCCTTCTTTATTTAAGGCAGAATAGTAATCTATTGCGGATATATGCCATATTTTCTTTATCCATTCATCCCTTGATGGATACTTATACTGATTTCATATCTTGGCTATTGTACAGTGAACATGGCTGTGCAGATATCTCTCTAACATGATTTCATTTTCTTTGGACATATACCCAGAAGTGGGATTGCTTATATTTTTAGATTTTTGAGGAGCTTCAATACCGTTTTCCATAATGGTTGTATTAATTTTCTTTTTTCTTTTTTTTGTGAGATGGAGCCTTGCTCTGTTGCCAGGCTGGAGTGCAGTGGCGCGATCTCGGCTCACTGCAACCTCCGCCTCCCAGGTACAAGCAATTCTCCTGCCTCAGCCTCCCGAGTAGCTGGGACTACAGGTGTGCACCACCACACCCAGCTAATTTTTTGTATTTTTAGTAGAGACGGAGTTTCACCATGTTGACTAGGATGGTCTCTATCTCTTGACCTCATGATCTGCCTGCCTCAACCTCCCAAAGTGCTGGGATTATAGGCGTGAAGGTTGTATTAATTTTCATTCCCACCAATGGTATTCTCTTTTTCTCCACATCCTTGCTAACACTTATCTTTCATCATTTTGAGAATGGCCATTCTAACAGGTATGTGGTTATATCTCATTGTGAATTTAATTTACATTTCTCTAGTAATTAATGATGTTGAGTATGTTTTCATATACTTGTTGGCCATTTGTATGAACCATTTATATGTTGGCCGTTTGCATTGTTCAGGAACCCGTTGGCCATTTGTCATCTTTTGAGAAATGTCTGTTCAGGTCCTGTGCCCATTTTAAAATTGAGTTATTTGTTTTCTTATTATTGAGTTGAGTTCCTTAGATATTTTGGATAACAACTCTTTATCAGAGGGATGGTTTGTAAATTTTTCTCCCAGTTTCTGTGTTCTTCCTTCATTCTGTTAATTGTTTCTTTTGCCGTGCAGAAGTTTTTGTTTGATGCAGTCCCATTTTTCTGTTATTGCTTTCATTTCCTGTGCTTTTAGGGTTATAGTCAATGCCCAGACCAATGAAGCTTTGTCCATAAGTTTCTTCTAGTAGATTTACGTTTCAGATCTTATATTTAAGTCTTTAATCCCTTCTGAATTGGTTTTTCCTCATGGTGTTAGATAAAGATTCAATCTCATTGTTCTGCATGTAGATATCCAGTGTTCCCAGCAGCATTTATTGAAGAATCTGTTCTTTCCCCATTGTATATTCTTGGCATCTTCATCAAAGATCAATTGTCCATAAATGTGTGGGTTTATTTTGGATTCTGTCTTGTTTTGTAGGTTGATGTGTCTGTCTTCATGCCAGTACCATGCTGTTTTGATTGCTATAGCCTGTTAGTATAAAGTCAGATAGTGTGATTTCTTCAGCTTTATTCTTTTTTGTTTAATATTGCTTTTGTTCTTTGAGGTCTTTTATTCCATATGAATTTAAGGATTTTTTTACTGTTTTTGTGAAAAATGACATTGGAATTTTGATAGGGGTCGCATTGAATTTGTATATTGCTTTGGGTAATATGGACATTTTAACATTAATTCTCCAAGTTCATTAGCACAGAACATCTTTCCATTTATTTGTGTTTTTTTTTAGTTTCTTTTATCAGTGTTTTATACTTTTTAGTATACAGACCTTTCATATCCTTGGTTAACTTTATATCCACATATTTTTGTTTTTGCTGTTATAAATGGGATTGTTTTCCTAAATTTTTTTTGGATAGTTTTAGTTTTGGACATGTTAATGCATAAAAATGGTACTGATTTTTACATGTTGATTTTGTATCCCACACCTTTACTGAATTCACTTATCAGTTCTAAAAGTTTTTGGATGGAGTCTTTAGGGGTTTTTTTTTTTTTTTTTTGAGTTGGAGTCTCCATTTGTCACCCAAGCTGGAGTGCAGTGGTGTGATCTTGGCTCACTGCAACCTCCACCTCCTGGGTTTGTAACTGAGATTATAGGCACGTCACCACACCTGGGTAAGTTTTTTGTATTTTAGTAGAGACGGGGTTTCACCATGTTGGTCAGGCTGGTCTTGAACTCCTTACCTCAAGTAATTCACCCACCTCGTCCTCCTAAAATACTGGGATTACACGTGTGAGCCACTATGCCTGGCTGGGATTTTTACGTATAAGATCATATTGTCAACAAGTAGAGGCAATTTAACTTCTTTTTTTTCTATTACAATGCCTTTTCTTTCTTCCTCTTGCTTAGTTTTTCTGAATAGGACTTCCAGTACTGTGTGGAAAAGAAGTAGTGAGAATGAACATTCTTGTCAGGTCCCTCATCTTTAAAGATTTCAGCATTTCACTCTTCCATATGATGTTAGCCATGGGCTTGTTCTGCATGTCCTTTATTGTGTTTAGGTACATTCCTTCTATACCTAATCTATTAGTAGTTTTGATCACGAGAGGCTGTTGAATTTTGTCAAATGCCTTTTCTGCATCTATTGAGATGATGATATGACTTTTGTCCTTTATTTTGTTAATGTGGTGTATCATATTTATTGACTTGTATTTGTTGAACCATCCTTGCATCCCAAGGATAAATACCACTGTATCATGGCAAAAGATTATTTTAATGTGTTGTTGAATTTCATTTAATATTTTGTTGAGAATTTTTACATCTATGTTCACCAGAGATATTGGTCTGTAAGTTTGTTTTCTTGTAGTGCCCTTGTCTGGCTTTGGTATGAGGATAATGCTAGCCTTCTAAAATGAGTTTGAAAGTATTCTCTCTTCAGATTTTTGGAAGAGTTTGAGAAGTGATCAATATTAGTTGTTCTGGTAGAATTCATCCAGTCCAGAACTTTTCTTTGATGGGGACTTTTTGTTACTGATTCACTCTTCTTACTCATTATTGGTCTACTCGTATTTTCCATTCTTTCATGATTGAGTCTTGATAGGTTAAATGTGTCTGGGAATTTATTAATTTCTTTTAGCTTATCCAATCCATTGGTGTAGCATTGTTCACAGTAGTCGATTCTGATGAGTCTCTATATTTCTGTTGTTTCTATCAGCTGTAATCTCTCCACTTTTATTTTTAATTTTATTTATTTGAGCATGCTCCTTTTTCTTAGTCTATTGAAGGGTTTATCTTGTCAAAAAACCAAATCTTATACTTCAGCTGCATTTGATAGGTTGTGTATTTTGTGTTTCCATTTTCATTTGTCTCAAGATACATTTTGATTTCATCTTTTACCTGTTGGTAATTTAGGAACATGTTGTTTAATTTTCACATATTTGTGGTTTTCCCCAAGATTTCTTTTTGGGGTGGTGAAAATATTCTGTAATTATATAGTTGTGATGGATTCACAACCTTGCGTTAGGTAATCACCATTAATTTGAATGGCAAAAAACACGATTACATTTGCACCAACCTAATATATATGGTAAAATCCACTTAATTACACACTTTGAAAAAATGAGGGTTATGTTATATGAATTTTATCTTCAAAAAACGTTTTAATTTGATGATTATTTAAGTAGACTGTGTTATTGCCAATCTTGTGGCCGTTATTTTATATGGATTTACTATTCAAAATCTTACCTTTTTGATGCCAGCCCATCTATAAGTTAACTCTACAGTAACATCTTCCTTGGCATTAGCACTTATCACTGTGTGAAACTGTCTAATTCATTTATTTGTTTATTTGCTAAATTTCTATTTCCTGTGATATTTTCTTCAGAGTATTTTTTGGTTTATTGTCTCACAATATTAATGTTTTTTTTAAATTTTAAACTTTTATTTTTATTAATTGGCTTAGATAGCCTGAACATTTGTGTTAGTAAGCTCATGAAATTATTATTTGCTTTTATAATTTTTCTTTTTCCTAGCCAAACCTATTCCATTTTTACTTTTCTGAATTTATAAAATGGACTGTGCTATGAAAAAGCATTTTATTTGAAATTTCCTATTCTAAAAATATTCTGTGTTTAAAAGAATGGTGGCATATGTATTGAAAAATTGATTAGGTAAGTGACAACAGATTGTTATTTGTAACCTCAAGTTCTGTCATTTAGAAACCTAAAATTAGTGGAACTAATTTTTGCATATTGAGGAGTTGAAGAAATTAGAATGATGTTAAGACATTTCTTTGCCAAATAATTTTATTTTTATCAAATGGAATGCCTATAAAATTTATAACAGATTAAAGAGAAACCATCAGCTAAGACAGTTTTAAAAAGCCAGATTTCCAGGTGGTCAGTTTTCTTGTCTTTTTTCCCCCCGAGAACAAAACCTCATTCTGTGCTTTGTATTCTTATGGAGTGCTTAAAGGATTGTGCCTTCAAATAGTTCTATCTAAAGATCCACGAAATGTGTATGTATTTAGGGTGTAAAGTTTTAGCATTTTATTATTTTGCGTCTGAGGACTCTCATTACATAGTACTCAGCACTGTTAAGCTTTGTTTAATATGTTTTGTGTAAGTATGTGATCCTTTGCTTTACAACTAGTTTTCATTTCCCACATTAATAAAGAGATTATACAAGCTGTGTACATTTTTGGATCTCTCAGACTTAGGTTCTGATAATGTGTGAAAGAAGAACCATTATTATTATCATTATATATATTTTTTTGAGATGGAGTCTCGCTCTGTCACCCAGGCTAGAGTGCAGTGGCATGATCTCGGCTCACTGCAAGCTCCGCCTCCTGGGTTCATGCCATTTTCCTCCCGAGTAGCTGGGACTACAGGTGCCTGCCACCACACCCGGCTAAGATTTTGTATTTTTAGTGGAGATGGGGTTTCACCGTGTTAGCCAGGATGGTCTCGATCTCCTGACCTCGTGATCCGTCTGCCTCGGCCTCCCAAAGTGCTGGGATTACAGGCATGAGCCACCACACCCGGCCCAGAACCATAATTTTTAAAGTCTACGTTTGACTGTACACCACCTTTCATCATAATCTCATGCCTCTAGCCTACCCTCCTACTTGCTGTCTTAATTCATATTATTGATAGTTACCTACCAACAATATCCAGTTTTTTCCTGTGTATGGCTTTTTCTTCTATCTGGAACCTAATTCTGTTTGATTACATTCTCCTACAGTTTCCTCTCTTCTTTGAGCACTAGCTTTATTTTAACATTAGTCTTTTTCCTTTAATTTAACACTATGCTAATTACAGTCTACTTGTACTTCAGAAAAATTACGTTCTCTTACACATTCCTACCTTTTTTTCAGGTATTCTCCCCTCTTCCATGTCAGAAATATTTTATTCTTTCTTTTCCTTTCCCTTCCTTCTGTTAAGTTTTTAAAAACAGTTTTATTTATATAAAATTTTTGTACCACACTATTTATTCCTTTTCAGGTATGCAGTTTAGTGGCTTTTAATATATTCACAGAGTTGTATATCCATTACCATAATCAATTTTAGAACGTTTCCAGCATCCCTGAATGAATCCTTGCATTCCCTAGCTATCACTCCTGGAGCCTCCCATTTTCCCAGCAATAGGCAAATACTAATCTACTTTTTGTCTGTATGGATGTGCCTATTGTGGATGCTTCATATAAATGAATTACATAAAATGCAGTTCTTTGTGACTGCATATTAGTGCATTTTTCCACTTAGCATACTATTTCAAAGTTTGCCCATATTATAGCATATGTCGGTGCTCATTCCTTTTTATTGCCAAATAGTATTCCATTTTATCCATATACCATATTTTGTTAATTCATTCATCAGTTGATGGACCTTTGCATTGTTTCTACTTCTGAATATTGTGAATAATGTTGCTTTGAATATTCAAGTACAGGTTTTTTTTTGTGAATGTATGCTTTTATTTCTTTTGTGTATATATACCTATAAATATAATTGCTGGGTCATATGGTAATTTTATTTGTAACCTTTTGAGGAGCTGCCAGACTGTTTTCCAAACCAGCTGTACCATTGTACTTTCCATTGGCAATGTGTGATGGTTCTAATCTCTCCACATCCTCCTCATATTGTTATCTGTCTTTTGTGTTCCAGCCATCATTGTAGGTGTGAAGTGGCATCATTATGATTTTCATTTTCATTTCCCTCATGGCTAATGATATTGAGTATCTTTTTGTGTATTTATTAGCTATTTCTATCTCTTCTATGGAGAAATTATTCAAATCCTTTGCTTATTTTAAGATCTGCCTCTTTTTCTTTTAAATTGTGAGATTTCTTTATATATTTTAGATAAAAGTTTCTTATCAGATATGATTTGCAAATGTTTCCTGTAATTTTGTGGGTTGTCTTTTTACTTTTCTGATGGTGACCTTTTGTCTAATTTTTTTCATTACCCTCAAGTACATCTTCTTTACATTGGACCTTGTTATCATTTAGAAATGGTTTATCCCTTTGATACTGATATTGATTCTTGGTCATCATCATTACTTTTAGTCCTTTTATTTTTTTCATTTTTTTTAATATCACAGAATCCTTCTTGGTCTTATTCTTTAGCTTCATTCCCATTGGCCAACATTTTCTATGACACTATAATTTTAGACTATTTTTCTTTCCTTTCTCTGTTTATCTTTGTTTTCTCCATGCCTGTTCTGTCATTCCTGTTTGCAAATAAGAAATGTGTATATGTTTCACTTTTACTACCACCAAAATAACTGTATCTGACCTGAATTAAACTGTTACTGATTTCTGATATTCTTATAAAATGCATGTATATAATTGAGTTCCAGTTTTACCATTTCTTTCATTATAAATTGTGATTTATTAGCGAGTTTTGAAATCAACTTCATTGATTACTACTAAGAATTTGAAAAGACTAGAATAGAAACTTTGTGCCTCAGTCTTCTCATTCTAAATGTTGGACTAATGTGCCACCAAAAGCAATAACAAATTTAACTTCAAGCATCAAAACTGCAAAGTGCTTTTAGTAAGAAAAGTTTTTCTTTGATAAATGCTATATCCAAAAGTAAGAGATAAATTTTGAGTGTTGAATCAGTCACTAATTTCTATTTTGTGAATGAGTTTAAGAGGCTTTAAGAGAATATCTGTGGATGTTGAATTATGTTTTATGATGCTACAATAATGAATCCTTCCTCAGCTCTTGCAAAAATCAAATTAAAAGTATATTAAAATAAAAAAGAAAATGTTATATGCTAGTGCTTGCTAGGGATTTGATTTTGTGCATTGAATTATAGTAATCTTTATGTTACATATAAATACTGGTTTAGTGAATGTCTTACTATTTCTGTTGCGCATTATTTTCACTTTTCAACTATTGACACTTAGGAAAGATCACTGAATTGGAGTGTGAAGATTTTCTCAATAACTATATATGACTAAATAAAGGTCAGTTTGTTTCATTAAGTTTTAGTTAATTTTCTCATCTATAAAATAATGAAAATATGTTTATAGCTGCTCATAGAGTTCTTGCAAATGCCAAATATATTATTGTTTGTGGGCTTAATCTGTTGTTCTTGTCCTAGACATAGACCTTGCTGGAATCATCCATCTAAAGATATTACCTATGGAAGTTGTTCTAGGATATAAAGTTCTTGGAGACTGAGATAACAACAGTCAGAATTGTAGTCTAGGTGATCCGTTATTTTGGTTGCAAGGATGATAGAGTGAAGGTAAATTCAAAGAGTAAGCCAAGAAAGAAAATAGGATAATGAATAGATATTGATGAGAAAAGAATAAAATTCAAGACATTGGTTAGGTCTGGTTGTTTGAACTTAGTGAAGAAAGTGTACATTTGTGCCCTGTTAATGTAGCTATTTACAAGAGGCCTCACTAGGCTCACAGAAATGTATGATGAATAAATATTTTCAGTTCTACAGATTCCCAAGGGGAGGGAGTCAATAGACCTGTGAATGGATGTGACAATGCAATGGGATATCTAGAAGAAATGGGTAAATTCCTGGACACAGCCTCACAAAACTAAGCCAGAAAGAAGTCAAATCCATGAATAGACCCAATAACAATTTCTGAAATTAAGGCAGTAATTAACAGCCTACCAATCAAAAAAAGCCCAGGACCAGATGGATTCACAGCTGAATTCTACCAGAGGTACAAAGAGGAGCTGGTACCATTCCTTCTGAAACTATTCCAAACAACAGAAAAAGAGGGACTCCTCCCTATCTCATTTTATGAGGCCAGCATCATCCTGATACCAAAACCTGGCAGAGACACAACAAAAAAAAATGGGCGTGGTGGCTCATGCCTGTAATCCCAGCACTTTGGGAGGCTGAGGCAGGTGGATCACGAGGTCAGGAGATCGAGACCATCCTGGCTAACACGGTGAAACCCTGTCTCTACTAAAAAAAAAATACAAAAAATTAACTGGGCGTGGTGGTGGGCACCTGTAGTCCCAGTTACTCTGGACGCTGAGGCAGGAGAATGGCGCGAACCCAGGAGGTGGAGCTTGCAGTGGAGCTTGCAGCTTGGAGCCGAGATCACGCCACTGCACTCCAGCCTGGGCGACGGAGCGAGACTGTCTCAAAAAAAAAAAAAAAAGGAAAATTTCAGGCTGATATCCCTGATGAACATCCATGTGAAAATCCTCAATAAAATACTGGCAAACTGAATCCAGCAGCACATCAAAAAGCTTATCCACGACGATCAAGTCGGCTTCATCCCTGGGATGTAAGGCTGGCTCAACATAATGCAAGTCAATAAACATAATCCATCACATAAACAGAACCATTGACAAAAACCACGTGATTATCTCAATAGATGCAGAAAAGGCCTTCAATAAAATTCAACTCCCCTTCATCTAAAAACTCTCAATAAACTAGGTATTGATGGAACGTATCTCAAAATAATAAGAGTTATTTATGGCAAACTCACAGCCAGTATCATACTGAACAGGCAAAAGCTGGAAGCATTCCCTTTGAAAACTGGCACAAGACAAGTATGCCCTCTCTTAGCACTCCTATTCAACATAGTATTGGAAGTTCTGGCCAGGATAATCAGGCAAGAATAAGAAATAAAGGGTATTCAAACAGGAAGAGAGGAAGTCAGATTGTCTCTCTTTGCAGATGACATGATTGTATATTTAGAAAACCCCATCGTCTCAGCCCAAAATCTCCTTAAGCTGATAAGCAACTTCAGCAAAGTCTCAGGATACAAAATCAATGTGGAAAAATCACAAGCATTCCTATACACCAATAATAGACAAACAGCCAAATCATGAGCAAACTCCCATTCACAATTTTTACAAAGAGAATAAAATACCTAGGAATCCAACTTACAAGGGATGTGAAGGACCTCTTCAAGGAGAACTATGAACCACTGCTCAGGGAAATAAGAGAGGGCACATACAAATGGAAAAACATTCCATGCTCATGGATAGGAAGAATCAATATCGTGAAAATGGCCATACTGCCCAAAATAATTTATAGATTCAGTATATCCCCATCAAGCTACCATTGACTTTCTCAACAGAATTGGCAAAAACTACTTTAAATTTCATATAGAACCAAAAAAGGGCCTGTATAGCCAAGACAATCCTAAACAAAAGGACCAAAACTGGAGGCATCATGGTACCTGACTTTCAAATATGCTACAAGGTTACTGTAACCAAAACAGCATGGTATTGGTACCAAAACAGATATATAGAACAATGGAACAGAACAGAGGCCTCAGAAATAACACCACACATCTACAACCATCTGATCTTTGACAAACCCGACAAAAACTAGCAATGGGGAAAGGATTCTCTGCTTAATAAATGGTTTTGGGAAAACTGGCTAGCCTTATGCAGAAAACTGAAACTGGATCCATTCCTTACATCTTATACAAAAATTAACTCAAGATGGATTAAAGACTTAAATGTAAGACCTAAAACCACAAAAACCCTAGAAGAAAACCTAGGCAATACCATTCAGGACATAGGCACAGGCAAAGACTTTGTGACTTAAACACCAAAAGGAATGGCAACAAAAGCCAAAATTGACAAATGGAATCTCATCAAACGAAAGAGCTTCTGCACAGCCAAAGAAACTCTCATCAGCGTGAACAGGCAATCTACAGAATGGGAGAAAATTTTTGTAATCTGTTTATTTGACAAAGGTCTAATATTCAGAATCTACAAGGAACTTAAACACATTTACAAGAAAAAAAAACCCTATGAAAAAGTGTGCAAAAGATATGAACAAACATTTCTCAAAAGAAGACATTTATGTGGCCAAGAAACATATGAAAAAAAGCTCATCATCACTAGTCATTAGACAAATGCAAATAAAAACCACAGTGAGATACCATCTTATACCAGTTAGAATGGTGATCATTAAAAAGTCAGGAAACAACAGATGCTGGAGAGGATGTGGAGAAATAGAAATGCTTTTACACTGTTGGTGGGAGTCTAAATTAGTTCAACCATTGTGGAAGATAGTGTGGCAATTCCTCAAGGATCTAGAACCAGAAATACCATTTGACCCAGCCATCCCATTACTGGGTATATACCCAAAGGATTATAAATCATTCTACATAAAGACACATGCATTTTTATGTTTATTGCAGCACTATTCGGAATAGCAAAGACTTGGAACCAACCCAAATGTCCATCAGTGATAGACTGGATAAAGAAAATGTGGCACATATACACCATGGAATACTATGCAGCCATAAAAATTGATGAGTTCATGGTTTTTGCAGGGAGATAGATGGAGCTAGAAACCATCATTCTCAGCAAACTAACACATGAACAGAAAACCAAACACCACGTGTTCTCACTCATAAGTTGGAGCTGAACAATGGAAACACATGGACACAGGGAGGGGAACATCACACACTGGGGCCTGTTGTGGGGTAGGGGGATAGGGGAGGGATAGCATTAGAAGAAATATCTAATGTAGATGACGGGTTGATGGGTGGCTCGAACCACCATGGTACGTGTATACCTTTGTAACAAACCTGCATGTTCTACACATGTATCCCAGAACTTAAAGTATAATAATAATAAAAACACGAAACTTATACTTTCATTTACTTTTCACATACTTTACAGCTGTCTGCTTAGCATTTTTCATCTAGTGAGCTGTATAATGTAAGGACTGGATACCATTAAAGTTACTTGGATAGACTGAGTTGGCTCACCTATTTTAGATTGATATGTCTCATTTATTAATTTCATTGGCTTCTTACCAGGAATATTGTTGTTGGCAGGTTATATATCCTTTTTTACAGATGGGAACATTTATGCTTAGAACAATTTAGTGTTTTTCTTAAATATCATCCCGCAGCTATTCACTGACTAAGTCATTTTTTGAAGCCAGGCCTTTGGAATTTTCTGCTACCATTATGTCTGCAATACCAAACTATCTCTGGTAAATGAGATCAGAAATAGAGTAAAGTGTGTTACTTCATTAGAAAATATTAATGAAATTATAGCAAATATTGGAAATTTAATTAAAATAATAAATTATAAAGGATAAAGCAGAGATTAAAATTTGAGCTAAATATGTATTATTAATCAGGTTATTGAATATATATTTTTGTTATTCGTGTTTCTGATGGCTCTTAAATCATAGAAATTCTAACCCTGTCTTTTTGCGAGAAGATTAAATATAAAGTCACACATGGCTTTGGTTTTGCTCTGGAAAACAAGGACTTGCTACCACTTTTCCTTGTTCAGAAGTTCATTATTTTGTTGACAGTGTAGTTTCATTAATCTGGTATTTGCAGGGAAATAACTTACAGACTTTAAAATCTGTGCTAAAGGTGATCAAATGGACATTCGAATCCCTCATTTAAGTTATGTCTTAATGTTAAAATAAAAATCTACTTTCCAGAAAGTAACTGTTAAAGTATTTTATGCAACATTTCATGTGGGATACCTTAATGGTTGAATAATAAATTTTACCTCATAAAAATGAAATTCAATAATACAGTAGCTTTCTCAGCGCAGTAGCATCTGGTCTATTCTCATGAGAGCCAATATTTTCCAACTCATTAGGATCATGTCGTTCTGTATGTCGTCAACATTGACTTAGCCAAGCAACCTTTACTTACATAACTGCCAAACTATTAAATAGGTCTCTTGTGGAGTGAAGTCAAATATTCCTCTTACTTTACTTCTGCCTTAGAAGAGGGGAAGAAAATGTACATACTGTAACATTTAAACATCTGGTCTAAAACCACATCACTGTAACTGAATAAAGTTATGGAGGTATTCTTCCCAGGTGTGCATATAAAAAGGATTTTGGAGTTGTTGAATAGTTCTTTAATCACTTAGGAAAAAGATTGAGGTATATTGATATGATTTTTCTATTCCTCTGTTTTCAAACTACTTCCCCCAACACCATCATGTCTGCTAAATACTTCTAATGTGTTCTAAGATATATATTTTTGAGATGTTATAAAATTTTCTTGCCAGATACAGGCATTGGCTATACATTTATTCTTGCGTAAAAAAAAATGAATTGAGTTAGATTTGTATTGAGAACTACCAATTAGACCTCTTGATATTTAAATTGGAGTAAAAAGACATTAATTTTTGTGAATCTTGTGAGTTTTAAGGTGTCCCTATATGCACTTTTAATAATATGAATATTTATTGAATTTAAAGTTTCCATTTTACTACAGCTTATGTCCAGGTATTGAGAGCTCATTTATAGAATATGTGGTCATTATTAAGAAGTGAGTAATTAATATAGGTTTAACCCATTTATGCTGGAGGTTGCAATTTTGTGTGTGTGTGTGAAAAATCAGATCTTGGCAATGACTTTGCACAGTAGGATATAAATAACTCCCACAAGCTTAGCATTCTAATAATGCAACACTAGGAATAAAGGGGTTAAAGACACACTTAGAATGTTAAGTTATGCCTGACTTAATTTTGTTCCTCTATTCTGTCTCAGACATTTTGATAATGTTTGTAAATTTTTTTCTGATGATACTTCATGGCACAGGAATGGGAATTTTAGGTGTCCTTTAGTGAAAGAAAATATATAAAGTGTAAGTGTACAGAGTAGATTTGAGAAAAATGCAATTCTTTGAATTATTATTTAAGTATATTTTATTGGATATTTGAAAAGTAGGCAATATGAATTTAGTGTGATTTTTCAGTCTTACAGAAAGTCTTTTATGAACATCATAAAAATGTGTCAATAAATTACTGTTGATAATAAAATATTAATAGATAAATGAGTTAGATTTCTGCAGAAAAGATACTTTTTTTGCCTTATGTATTTTTTTGCTGTTTATTTGCCTATGTATTCTTTGCTCATGTTTATGTCTTCTATTTGTTCACAACCTAAAATGTATTTCTTCTGGTTGTATTCACTTATCAGTCATTTTGAAAATATGTAGTTTGCAATCTGTTCAGTTCTGGGAGCAGATAGCTAACAAGAAATAGACATGATTTTAGTAATGAATGTAGAATCTTCTGTGTCACCTATTACAAGATCAAGTATGGCTTTAAAAATGGACAAGAGTTAATTACATACAGTGAAGAAAGGGACTCTTATTTGTGAGGGCTGTTTACAAAGTACCACAAACTAGGTGACTTAAAACAGCAAATTTATTTGTTGAAGCCTTGGGCTGCTTAAAATCATGTTGGAAGGCAAAGCAGTAGCTGGCGTGTCACATCGCCAGAGTTGGAGCAAAAGAGAGAGTTGGGAGGAGGTGTCATGCACTTTAAAACAACATCTTCTGAGAACTCACTATCACGCAGCACCAAGCCATGAGGGATCCATCCTCATGACCCAAACACCTCCTACCAGGCCCCATCTCCATCACTGGGGATTACATTTCAGCATGTGATTTGAGGGGATGACAAATATCCAACCCATATCACATATCATTAAGACTTCTTTTCTTTCTTTTTATTTCCTTTTTTTATTGATTCTACTTGGAGGAAAATTGTAATATTTCATAATTTAAAATGAAATTTTGGTTGCAAAATTCCATTAATCCCAAGTTTCTGATTCTATCTTTTTATAGTCACCTTTTTAAATGAAGTGTATATCTCATATGATAAACATCTTCATATTATATGTAAGATTAAATACTATGTTGATTTTACTAGATTTTTGTTTGCTCTTTACCACAGAGATTTATTTGAAATATAAATATTTTGCATAAAGTGAATACTTATTTTAATTAATGATTCATGGAACATATAGGTCAAATCATTGCAACAAATGAAATCATGATAAAAGTCTTATTATCATAGATTGACTTCCTAATTCTTAATTTTAAAACAGTCCTTTACTTTCACAGGAAAGCCAAGTGACAATAGTGAAGTAATTTTGTAAGTTCTTTGTAGTCCATATTTTCATTAATCTCTTGTACATTCTTTGAAGTAGAAAATCTGAACAATATTTTACAGGTTTAAAAGCTGTTGAAGATATTTTTACAAGGCTACTGAGTAGTAAAAAATAACAGAATGAGAAGTTGGGTTCTAGTTTTCAGAGAACTACTTGTGTTTATTTTTTAAGAAATAATGCGACTGGGCAGGGTGGCTCATGCCTGTAATCCCAGCACTTTGGGAGGCCGAGGTGGGCAGATCACAAGGTTGAGAGATCGAGACCATCCTGGCCAACATGCTAAAACCCCATCTCTACTAAAAATACAAAAATTAGCTGAGTGTGGTGACATGTGCCTGTAGTCCCAGCTACTTGGGAGGCTGAGGCAGGAGAACCACTTTAACACGGGAGGCAGAGGTTGCAGTGAGCCAAGATAGTGCCACTGCACTCCATCCAGCCTGGTGACAGACTGAGGCTCCATCTCAAAAAAAAAACAAAACAAAAAACAAAACCGAAATAATGCTGTAATATACTACACAATTCCAAATTTTTACTTATTATGGCAAATAGAATGTTAGAGTATAATTTATATTGGACTTTGTTGGATTTATTAATGTGAATCCTTGAAAAATTTCCTACTGATTTTAATATAGGTAAGACCAAGATCTGTAAATATTATTTTTATTCTGTTTTAGTAGGTAAGTATATAGCTTCTTTACAGTAGATGGACTTATTTTTTCACTACTATTATGAATTATTTTAATAACAATTTTTTTTTTTTTTTTACTTTGTAGAGATTGGGTCTTGCTATGTTGCCCAGGTTGATCTTGAACTCCTGGCCTCAAATGATCCTCCCACCTCAACCTCCTGAAGTGCCGGGATTGGAGGCCCAAGCCACTGTGCCTGGCCCTTTATAAATTATGTTATAATTTCATGTAATACATAATTGTATAGTCAAAATGGCTCACATATTAAATATTCTTTATACAAGGAAGTCTCAAAGAGAAATTACATTTGAAATAGTTTATTCTAAAAAGTTTTCAAATACTTCAGTTACAGAACTTAAAGTTTATAATGTATACTAAATGTTAATATTTGGTTCGTACTCAAAATTTTTTTTTTAAGGACAAGAGATGTAGGTTCTGTGGGTCTAAAAATAATACCCATATGTGTCACTATATATTAGTTCTTATAATAAGCAATTAAAAATGTATAACCATATACATAATTACTCATTTTTCTTTGATGATAGTTTAAATAATTAAGAATGTGCTAAATATATTCTGAAGATGAGCACAATTTCAAGTAATAAATTATGTAGGGCTGGTTCTAGGTTTAAGTGAATAAGGAGAAGATAGCTGCTGAGTGCTGGACCAGAATCCCATTTTATTTATTTACTTCTACCTGTATTATGCTCTGGGAATCAGCATTTCCTACACTATAAAGGAAATTTCCAAGGCAGAGCAGCTAATTTTACCCTGGATATTCTCAGCACCTCATTTCTAATCCTTGTGGCATACAGTTCTTTTATTGACCCCTATATTCTCAAACACATCTCCCATTGAGCTATGTTCCTTTGGGGTGTACTTCTGTGGCACTCTGCAGTATCCTCAGTATCTTTCTATTATGGCCATTGGATTCCACTGGATCGGATATCGGGTCATTTTTGTAGTGTTTGTATGTGAATACATTTATAGTCTCACATTTGGTGCCATTGTGTTAGACATAGAACATTCTCGAAACTATATTTGAAAGCTGAATGTCTGGAAGTTGAACAATAAACTTACATTATAAGGTCTTGAAAAATATATATATATATATTTTTGAGACAGAGTTTTATTTCCATCTCTCAGGCTGGAGTGCAGTGGTGCAATCTTGGCTCACTGCAACTTCAGCCTCCTGGGCTCAAAAGATACTCCTACCTTAGCCTCCCAAGTAGCTGGGACCACAAGTGCCCACCAGCATGGCCAGCTAATTTTTTGTAGAGATGGAGTTTTGCCATGTTGCCCAAGCTGGTCTCCAACTCCTGAGCTCAAGCAATCCACCTGCCTCAGCCTCCCAAAGTTCTGGTATTAAGGTGTGAGTCACTGTGCCTGGCCAGGTCTTAAAAATATTTAATGTTTAACTGTCTTTCCTATTGGTATGGCGTTCTTGGGCTAGGAAATTAAGGATATATGTGAGAACTATCTCAGGTGACAAATGACTGAGACGCAGGAGGTGGTGCTTAGTTCTGGGAGCCTGCCAGCCAGACATCCTCACTTCCCACAAGCCCATTGGATTTTTTTCCCTTACTCTCATCCTTGTTACTACCATGATTGTAAGATGAAGCCGTCCCTAAATGTGAAATTTTCTTATAGGAATGAGAGGCTGAATGAAGTAGGCAAAAGGCATCTTTGTTTTCTTTTGCCATGAGAGGACAAGGTAAGGGAGGCTTCTGGCAGTCACTCTACTTACACTTGAGGACAAGCCTGAAGCTGTCTACCTTTTACTTCTTTTAACTCACACACACCTCTGGCTGAATTCTTGCCGACTTCTTGCATATCTTCTACCAGGCTTCCACCCGGTAATAGTAAGTACAGCAACAAAAGTGGAGGAAGGGGAGAGGACTTGGTTTGCTCTCTGCCCTGAAAGACAATCATCTTTTATATTAGGAAGCTCCAGGCCCCTGGCAGGTCAGGATTTCCAAGGATCCTTCTTGGTAGATTTAGACAAGCTAGATTTTGGAAAGGAGAGTTGTTAGGTATAGCTGTGGTTCAGCTGGCAGTTAAAACTTTTGTTCTGTTAGAGCCTGTTACTACTGGAAACCCCGTTTCTACTAAAAATACAAAAATTAGCTGGACGTGGTGGTGTGTGCCTGTAGTCCCAGCTAATCAGGAGGCTGAGGCAGGAGAATCACTTGAATCTGGGAGGCGGTGGTTGCAGTGAGCCAAGATCGCGCCACTGCACTCCAGCCTGGCGACAGAGAGAGAAAAAAATTACTTATGCTTTCTGTAATAGATGTTGTTGGTTCAGTACTTTTGTTCTTTCAGTAGTACCACGAGTTTCTTTTGGAGAACTCTTTTGCCAATCAAAGCAATTGTGCAATTTTATTTTTTTAATTTTAATTTTTTTTTGAGACAGAGTCTTACTCTGTCACCCAAACTGGAGTACAGTGGTGTGATCTCGGCTCACTGCAACATCTGCCTCCCGGGTTCATGCGATTCTCCTGCCTCAGCCTCCTGAGTAGCTGGGATTACAGGCGTCTGCCACCACGCCCGGCTAATTTTTGTATTTTTAGTAGAGACGGGGTTTCACCATGTTGGCCAGGCTGCTCTTGAACTCCTGACCTCAATTGATCCGCCCGCCTTGGCGTCCCACAGTTCTGAGGTTACAGGCATGAGCCACCGCACCTGGCCCAGTCGTGCAATTTTGATGGAAGTGACTGACTAAATTTCAGGCACGGGCTGTGACTGGCTTTAGCCAATCGAAACATTCCCTTCACCTCTCTCCTTCTATACTGATTGGTTGAGAAACCTAATTGAGGCCAATGGGGTTGAAAAACCTAATTGAAACCAATGAGATGTCACAGGGTGTTGCTGGGCAAATTAGAAATCATCTTCCTTCTGAAACCATCAGACAAATAGGCTCTTTTCCTTGGAAAGTGTGCTGTGAGCCTATGAGATCTGCAACTGTTGCAATCATTGTGTTATCATTACATTACATTATAGCCACAAAGAAGGGAAGTCTGAGGAAGACAGGTGGAGGAAGGCAGAGCTGAGAAATCTCAGAGAAATAGAGTCAGAGAACTGATAACATTGTGAATCTCAGATCTATCTCTGAACTCTGCATTACCATATGATTTAAGCTGATCTAAGGTGGTCTTTTTCTCTTCTTCTTCCTTAGTGCTGCTCCTACTTTTATTTCCATCATGAAGAATCTTAAGTGATATAGTTTGTCAGGATAAAACCCAAACTTCTGAGCATGAAATCAAAAGGTCCTTATGATATGATTCTTTTCTACCAATGTATGTAGCTCCATTTTCAGAACTACTACTCTCCCCTTTGCCTTCACATCTCTTATATTTTTGATGTTCTTAACCATATCAACCCCATAAAGTTTCTAGGCTAAGTCACGCTTTCATATGCCTGTTTTCATATACCCCCAAAATCTTATTCTTTCTTTAGGATTAGTCTTAGTAAGTATCCTCTGCAAATACTTCTCTCCCTCATTTAAGCAGATTTGATTATTTTCTCCTTTGTGAAATCATTGTGATTAATATATCAGCTTAGTTTGACAGATATTTCTTACCTACTAAGTGCTAGACTTGGACCCTGTTTTCAAAGCTCTTTAATTCTAGCTGGGTAATATGGCGTGTGTTTTTTGTACACATCACTCTTTATTGTAGTTACTTTTGTACTGAGATTTTCTGACAAAATCTAATGTGCTGTAATAGTTCATATTGTTAATACACATCTTAAGAAGTTTCCATTTGTTATTACTACCTAATTCTAATAAAAATTTTATTGCAAATATTCATTGAAAATAAATATAATAATTAGTTTTAATAATCAAATATAACATTTTTTCCAGATTTCCATGTCAAAAATTATAGATAGTCCTCTGACAAAAATTGGGTTAATATTATTTGTAACTTGGAAAACATAATTTTTCAGTAAAATGGCTAATAATTTTTTCCCTATCTGACTTGACCTGCTTTTTAGATCCTTTTATATAAGAAGTAGTAATTCTTTTAAAGTAAATATTTCTCTAAGAGCCTGCTTTGATAGTCCATACATACTTTTCTCTTCTCTGTAGCTAGAGCCCCTGTATTTTCAGCTATGCCCCAGGGTTCAGGACTAATCCTGTCTATGAACCTCTGTTGGTATAACTTTTGCACATTTATTCAATGTTCATGTGATTCAGGAGCATGTCCTCAACTTTGCAGTGTGTTGCCTTGACTGTGGGCTTAGCTTTATGTATTGAAAGCTCCTACTTGAGCTGACTAAGCTTTCATCTTGAACTGCCATTTCAGTTGCTGGATGCCTTTTTTTTTTTTTTTGGCTGGGCCACATTCCCTGTTTGGTATCCTAGCCCGTCAGAGGCTACCGTCATGAATTTCCCTTTCTAGACTCCCATAAGTTCTGCAGGCTTTTCCTTAATTCCAACTCTCTGGATGTGGTACTCCCCCATAAGTATTACCAGACCAATTTGGAGACATCTACTTGCTTACTACCCATTTAATTTTTTAAAAAGTTATTATTCATTATATTATATTTGCCTGCTGGGACACCTACTGTATTGTTTCTTATTGGACAGGTATTAGACCTGACCACTTGTCTCAACTTTTGCCTTCTATCCAATTCTTGAGATCAGGATTTGGCAAATAATCTGGCTCACTCTTTGCTTTTATAAATAAAATTTTATTGGAACACAATCATGCTCACTCCTTTAATTATTGTCTGTGACTACATTTATCCTACAATGGTAGGGTTGAGTAGTTGCCACAAACATATTGTCCACAAATTTGAAAACATTTATCTTGCCCTTTACCAGAAAAAATTTATCCACTGCATAAAGTATAGCTTATAGCCTTGTACTTTTCATATGGTGCCTATTTCAAACATTGTACTTTTTATCTGTAGAGAACTTAATAAAAATTAACATACTTATCAGATTTTTCATGTAATTTTAAAATTTACTTAGTCAAATATTGACAGAAGAAGTCCTGGAATTTAAACTTTATTGCTAATTTTTCTTCATTTTTTTTACCAGCATTTTGTTAACGTGTCTCATCCACAATGTGTATAGGTTTAACTGATTATATTAATTGATACTTTTTACCTATGTTTAATCATGTACCCATAGTACCAAATACCAGGTGTTGTCCAATTTATTTTCTCAATACTTTAACAACATATTCATTTCTCTCCATCTTTACTTCTGTCACACTAAGGCAATTCCATAATTTCTTTTTCCATCCAATCTATTGTCTATTTTGTACCAGAGTGAGCTTTGAAAAACTCAGATGTGACAAGTACTACCAGCCCTTCACTGACTTCATATTAATTGTAGGATAAAAACTTAAATATGGACCTATTCCCCAGTAACCTCTGAGCTTCTCAAAAGAACTATGCTTCTTTCTATTTTGGAGTTTTTTTCAATATACTCCATATTTCTGCAATGCCCATGTCTCTCTATTTAATCTATTTATATCAACTTATCCTTTGGAGCCCACCTTAAATGTCAGTTCCTCAGAGGAGCCTTCTTTAAGTAGAAAATAGGTTCCTCAAAGGCAGGTTGCATGTCTGATTTTTTTCCCTGCTGTATCCTCAGTAACTAATGTTTACTTTGCAGAATGTCTAAAGATGATAAGTGTTGTATGTCTGCTTTTTTGGTGAATGTTCAAAATGTAAATAGTTTACAAATTCTACTAATTCTTAAAGATCACCTCTTATTTTGCCTGCCTGACACCATGTGTTGTATAGGGTGTACAAACTAGGAGATTAGTCTCTGTTAGTGAGCAAAGTAAATCACTTACAATTAGATTATAGGAATTAATTGTTAAGAAAATACTGTGATTTAAGTTATGTGTGAAAAATTGTTAAAATAGAATTTCTGTATGCATTCTTATCTGTGTCTAAAGTCCTTAAGACCATCCTTACTTTAGAGAGCATCTAGAAGGACTTACAGGACTCAAGATGTAGTTGTACGCATTACTAAGATTTATTATAGCAATGTAGTAAGGATACATACTTGGGTCATAAGAGGAAAAGACATAGGTTGAGTCTGGAGAAACTCATGCATGTGATTCCTTTTGCCCCCTGCCTCCTGTGAAGGCACAGGTATGCTTGAGTATTGAGTATACTCCTTTTTCCACCAACAAAAAAATACACTAATATGAGCATTGTTTGAAGCCCATTCAGTGCCCAAGGTTTTCGTTGGGGGCTGGTCATATAAACAACCTCTGCCTTGCAAGTACCAAAATCCTGGACTCCTAGAAGGAAAGCGGATGTTCAGTATAAGCTTTTCTTTTTGTACAGAAGGCTCCACATAGCAAACCACTCTTATCTTAGAGGATGCGGGGAAGGCAACTTCCCAGACTTCACCAGTCAAGGTCCAGCTTTCCAAGCAGGCTTTCCAAAGGATAACAGTCTTAGGCTTGCTATATTGTCTTTTTTGTAGTGTTCTTAAAATAATGTTTTCTAATGTTATTTGCTTTTTATTCTAGTCACAGAGGTACTTCTAGCTAGATACATTCCTACATTGAATTAAATTGAAGTTCTTTTAGTAACTAAGAAAGGGGTATGAGTAGTAGGTAGGCAGCTACTAATCCTATTATGCTAAGATTTTTTTCAAGTCTCCCTTGGGAAAAATTTGAATGCCTAATGGGGCACATCATGTGCTACAATTGCTTTTGTTCACTATGCTTAAGCCACATCGATCTCTTTTCTGGACTTTAAATACAACAAACTTTCTTCTGCTGCAGGGCTTTTACTGTGTTATTCACTTTTCCTGTTAGGTCCTTTCCATTTTTACTTGGCTTATAACCACTTATTTTTCATGTCTCAATTTAAACTTCATCTGTGATACCTCACTACCCTCTCCTCCCATGTCTCTTAGGTTAGCTACTCCCAGTATTACCTTTCAATTGGATTATAATTGTTTACTGTCTTTTCTTTTCTAGAGGAACATATTCTCATCCTAGCATATCACATGAATGAATGAATGAATGAATGAATGAATGTAAAATTTGGGTGGAGGAGAATAGGGGAGTGCTAGAGGAAAAGGAGGGAAAGAGATTAAAATTTGTATGACATTTTTGAGAATTATATATTTAATAATTCAAATTTACCCTATCTAGTATCGTAGCCACCAGTCACATGTAGCTATTGGATACTTACATGTGGCTAATCTGAATTGAGAAATAAGTGTAAAATACTTACTGGGTTCAAATACTTTTAAAAAAAGAATGTAAAGTATCTTAATTTCATTACATTTTAAAGTCATTAAATTGTTTTTGGATATATTGAATAAGTAAAAATGTTAATATTGATTTCACCTGTTTTTACTTTTTTAATGTGGTTAGTACAAGATTTTAAGTGACATTTTCTAATAGACAGTACTTGCTCGGAAAGTGAGGCGTTGATGTTTTACCTTAGTGTGTGGTCCTACAAATTTAAACTTTAGGCTATTATCAAGAAGAAAGTATCTAAAAAATGGCACATTAGCTTTTCTTTCCTATTGTACTGGTACTAGTTTGGGGCAAAAAATGTTGTGTTTTCTGTTTACTCTTTTCATTATTTTCTGTTTACTCATTTTCTGTTTACTCTTTTTTCATTATGTAAGTAAATGATCAAAACAACTGTAACAGATCATGTTCATGTTTATTCCCTCTAATAACATTTATAATAGTAACAATAATTGCTAACACATAAGTGATTATCGTGTGCCTGGCACTGTTCTAAGGGCTTCATATATACTAACACATTTAATCCTTAGAATAGCCCTGTTGTTAGATACCATTGTCATTCCTTTTTAACAGATGAGGAAACTGGGGCGCAGAGGCAGTAACACGGTCAAGGACACAGCATGTTTGAGTCTTAATTCCGCTACCTGATAATGATAGTACCTAAGAATGTGATTTAGAGAATTAAATGTGATTCAGAGATAATTTACTTTCAGAGCTCTGGCTATATGACTTACTACATGTGACTTTTCACATAGTAGGCATTCAGTAGATATTTTTTTATTTGAAGAACACTGAGAAGGTGTAGTTTCTAGTTTATGCTTTCCAGCTATATTATATATGGGTATTTTTGTGTATTTCATTTTTGGTAATATAGTTTTGAATCTCAAAATACAAAAGAGCCGTGCGTATATGAACCTCACTAAGCCTCATTATAAAAGACACATGAGTTGATTCCTTTTCTTGGCAAATCCTTCCAGGATAAAAATAGAGCTGTCACTAGAACAAAAAAAGTATGGAAAAAGAAAGCTACTAGTTTTGGTAGTGACTAGGGTTGCTTTGGGCCATATCTGGTTGTGCCAGTTTGTTTACTTATTATCTATGGTGACTTTTGCACAATGCCAGACTTGAGTACTTGCAATAGAGATTTCATGGCTCACAAAGATTTTGGCCCTTTGCATAAAACATTTGCCAGTTTCTGACTCATGAACATATCAATCCAATAAAAGAATCTAGTGCTGGACCACAATTAAATTAGAATCTCCTAGGTTTTTCCTGGGCTGCTCCCTTAAAGGTATGCCAGTTAGACTGTCTTGAGATTGTTTTTAGGGGAAAGTTGGATTTTGATTATATCCAAATATGGTCAGAGTGGAATCCTGAGCGTTCACAATAAGTGTATCCCAGGAGTTGGCAAACTGCAGCTTGCAGTGGCCTGGTCTTGTATTGCTTACAAGCTAAGAATGTTTATTTACATTATTAGAGGATTGAAAAAAGAGGAGGAAGAAGAAGAAATGTGAGTCCATATGTAGCACACAAAGTCTAAAATATTTACTATCTGGCCCTTTATAGAAGAAGTTTGCTGATCCTTGGTCTGCATAATCTGCACTGTTTTTTCTGATCACTACCCTGGTAGTAGCCAAAAGGAGATGATTCCTTTGTGATGACAGATGCATTTGTTGACATTTATTTACAGTCTTAGCACTGTAGACTAAGAGAGGGTAAGGGAGGTGGAGTTTTGTGTTTCAGTTGATTTATAAGGATGCAGTTTTGGTGTTTGATAATATTTGATGCCTCTGGATTAGATAGCGAACATGGAATATCCATCAAATATTGTTGATTGTTTAGCTGTTGTGTGCTCTTTATGATAAAAGGGCATTGTCAAAGTGCCATTGTCGTCTGGCACATGGTCTTGAAAACTGAAAATATGTAATAGCTTAATTGTTATGGCCACAGTGGTGCAGAGGGAGTCAGCTGATCAGAATGAATGGGAGGTGGGTGGGAATGAAATAAGTTTGACAAGAGTAGTCTGGAAAGGGATGGAGTGGTAATGCCTCATGCAATGTGGCCTTTCTTGTGATGTAAACTGGTTGAGTTTTGGTGGTCACAAGTCTGCCATACAGTGGTAATCTCTGCATCAGAAACAGTCGTTTGCTTTTTGCCCAGTCTATGATGGTGAATATGTTGCTATGTGATACAGTGATGGATCCAGGCAGCAATTGTGACAATCTGGGTGGTGCAGGTTTGATCAACACCTTGATTCCAGTTGACCTCATCCTGGAATGGGCCCCTACTGTGGTCATCAGCATGAGTGACCCAGATTATCTGATCAGCAATGATTTTTTTTCTATAGTTTGTGGCCTCTAAGCTTTAGTCTTTAAATCTGCCACTCTGGTTTTCCAAGTGGCAGCGTAAACAGGTAGGCCATTGGCAATAACGATCAGTCATTTATAACAAGATTCCTCAAGGGAAATAATTGCCAGAATTATGAGAATGGCCTTGAATTTTGCCTACTGAGTTATGCCCACTGAATAGCTGGAGCTAAGATAAAACAGCAGCAGTAGCACGATGTATACCATTGGGTTTCAGTTTAGTTGAATGATCAGTGAATCAGACTCTGACATTTTGGGGAATTTCATGTATCAAAGGCCCCATTAGGCCTGCAGCTTGGCTTCAAGTGGCAAAATGAGGGTTAAAGTTTCTCCCCAAGGGATGTGTCTTGCTATGTTTTGTGCTTCTATAACAGAATACTACAGGCAGGATAATTTATAATGAATGGAGATTTATTGGATCATAGTTCTGGAGGCTGAGAGGTCAAATATTGAGATGCTAGCATCTGGCAAGAGCCTTCTTGCAGCCTCCTCACATGGCACAAAGGCAAAGAGAGTGAGTGAGTGTGTGTGCACGCACACTGGTGAGGGGGGCTAGTCCGCTTCTGTGATAACAAGCCTACTCTCGCTATAATGGCCTTAGTTCATCCATGAGGGCAGAGTCCTCATGACCTAAACATCTCTTAAAAATCCCACCTTCCAATACTGTCACAATGGCAATTAAATTTCAATATGAGTTTTGGAGGGGACAAACATTCAAACCATAGCAGGATGGCTGCCACTTTTTCATGTAAATTCAAAAGCTTCTGGGTGCCAAGCCTGGTATGTTCTTGAATATGCTGTTTTCATTTGACCAGGGGCAGCTACCTTACTCAGATCGAGCCAGTTGTAATGTCTCTCTATAAGTTTAAAGTCCATAAAACTGGTGTTGGGCAAATCAGAATTTTTTTCTGAGAGTTTTGAACTTGGAACCAGAGAAAAATGAGGCTTGTTTTTAGTGACAAAAAAGTGTAAGAATTGGTAGTTGTCATTGTTTGTTTCCTGCCATGATGAGAAATTAGGTCTACAGAGAGCTTAAAGTCATCTGAAGTGACAAAGAGACAGAGTTTTGGAGTCATTTGAGACTCTGCTTCCAATAGTTTCTGAGGCCTTGTCTTTCCCTTATCTTCACTGGGTTTTACCAATAAATCTCAGCTTTTGTTTAGGCTAGTTTAAATTGGCTTTCTGTCACTGATTAAAATATGAGTCCTAGCAAATACATATTACTCTCTTAGGCCAAGTATAATTACTGATGGTTTGGCATGTTAATTTAAGACATATTAATTTGTATTTCACCTAGACCCATTTCTGTTTGTTTGTGTTGATGTCATGGAAGAAGGAATGAAAACTGTATGCACATTAAACTAGATGTCATTTCCAAATTTGTCAGAGTTGTTGTTAAACATATGAAGTGATTTTCTCTAAGACACAGAAGAAGCATAAAACGTTAAAGTATACTTTGGATTAAAGGTAATAAAATTAGAAACAAAGATTTGATTGGCACAAGCAAGAAAAGTTATGGAGTTTTGGGTTATATTGGACTCCTAGGGAATATGAATCTGTACTTTGAACATGACTTAGTACATTGGTGAGAGAGCTAACATGAGTTTGGATTGATTCTACATCAGAAGATTCACCAGGAAGAACTGAGAAATTCTTCTTAGTTTTATTCTTTTTTTTTTTTTTTTTTTTATTATACTCTAAGTTTTAGGGTACATGTGCACATTGTGCAGGTTAGTTACATATGTATACATGTGCCATGCTGGTGCGCTGCACCCACTAATGTGTCATCTAGCATTAGGTATATCTCCCAATGCTATCCCTCCCCCCTCCCCCGACCCCACCACAGTCCCCAGAGTGTGATATTCCCCTTCCTGTGTCCATGTGATCTCATTGTTCAATTCCCACCTATGAGTGAGAATATGCGGTGTTTGGTTTTTTGTTCTTGCGATAGTTTACTGAGAATGATGGTTTCCAATTTCATCCATGTCCCTACAAAGGATATGAACTCATCATTTTTTATGGCTGCATAGTATTCCATGGTGTATATGTGCCACATTTTCTTAATCCAGTCTATCATTGTTGGACATTTGGGTTGGTTCCAAGTCTTTGCTATTGTGAATAGTGCCGCAATAAACATACGTGTGCATGTGTCTTTATAGCAGCATGATTTATACTCATTTGGGTATATACCCAGTAATGGGATGGCTGGGTCAAATGGTATTTCTAGTTCTAGATCCCTGAGGAATCGCCACACTGACTTCGTTTCAGAATTTTGAGCAGTACTGTTGACATTAGAAAAGATTTAAAAATACCTAACAGGTTTCCAATAAGCTATTTGAAGAGGAAGAAAAATGAAAAGGAGAGAAATGTTAATTTTTTTAAAAGAGAGAGGCTTTAATAACTATTTTCTTATGAATATATCTTTGAAGTTTATTCTGTTACACAGAAAAAAACATACATCTAAATGACTATTGCTTTTTTAAATTCTTTTAGCTAATACTTTTCAGTCGCGGACACACCGTGTTCTCAGAGTTTTAAAACTTCTTTGAAATTTTTTTTGGTGGCCAATTTTGCAGACACACAAGGAAATCAGTACCTCAGCTATTTATTCAGGAGTGGAGTCTCACTCTGTCACCCAAGCTAGAGTACAGGGGCACAACCATCATAGCTGACTGCAAACTTGAACTCCTGGGCTCAGGCCATGCTCCTGCCCCAGCCTCCCCAGCAGCTGATACTACAGCTGTGCACCGCCATGCCCAGCCAGTACCTCAGCTTCATATACATACTTTCTTTTCTTTTAGAGACTCAGAGGCAGACATAGAAACAAAATGCAATTTTCAGTATTTATCCAGAACTATACCTTTTGTTAGAATATAAAGATTTGTTGGGATCCAGTGTTACTTATCTACTGCTCTTGGCTCTGAATGGTATTTATTTATTTCAAATATTCAGACTCACCCCTCAAATAATCAAGATTTGGCATCACTGGGACAATTAAGAAGGATGACCTGTAGGCCGTAAATGTAGTTGTGAATGAAGAGTACCAAATATGTTTTTATCAGTGAAACACTGATTTGCTTAGCTTATGAATACTTAGAAAGACAACACATTTTAGTCTGTCTAATCCACTAGCATAGTCAGGACCTTATGGTTTAAATTCTAGCCCCATGTAACTTCCTTCCCAGTTCACCCCCAATATTGGCATTTACTAACTGGTAGTATCTTAGGCATCTTACTTAGATTCTTGAAATTTACAATTTCTTCATTGTAAAATATGGTTAATACTACATTTTTCATGTTTTGGTTGTGATAAATTGCATTAATCACAGTGCCTAGCTTGGTAATTGGTGGCTACTGTTATTAATTATAGTAATAGCAGTGATCGAATTTCTCTTGGATTATTTCATGATTTTATGAAGGGTAACAGGGTTTTCTAATTCTGTAAAAGAAAGGAATGAGTTAAAACTAGAAGGAATTTAGGTGGATTAAAAGAAAAACCAGTGGATTTTAAAAACTCGAACAGGATGACAATTATTCATCGTATGACATTGTATTATTTGTTTTCTAACATGTTTCCTTTGAATGGACCGTATGGGTGCTTTGTTAACATATACCTCAATTTTTTCATGAGGCAAATAGTTGTTAATGTCTAATACAAAAGATGGCCATTACATATTATAAAGTGCTCATTATTGGTGTATATATCACCTTTGATATAGGAGATTATTTTATTTTATATTTTTGAGATAGAGTCTTACTCTGCCGCCCAGGCTTGAGTGCAGTGGCATGATCTCGGCTTACAGCAACCTCCGCCTCCTGGGTTCAAGTGATTCTCCTGCCTCAGCCTCCTGAGTAGCTGGGATTACAGGTGCACACCACCATGCCCAGCTAATTTCTATATTTTCAGTAGAGACGGGGTTTCACCAGGCTGGGGTTGAACTCCTGACCTCAAGTGATCCGCCTGTCTTGGCCTCCCAAAGTGCTGGGATTACAGGTGTGAGCCACTGTACCCAGCCTGATATAGGAGACGATTTTAATTAGTATGTGGGAAACTTTAATTTTAGAAATTATTTATTTTACTGTGTATTAGGAAAAATATATCCCACATATTTATACACATGATTTCAAATATTACTGCTTAAGATAATAGTGGAATAAAAGTTTGCTTATAAAATAAATTTATTATAATCTAAATATAGTAAAATGAGTAAATTTAAAGAAAAAATATTAATAGTATTGTTAATAATTATTGAGTGGTTATTATATATGACACACTCTTGTACATACTTGCTATCTATTGTGTCATTTAGTCCTCACAGCAGTTTAGAGAGGTAGGTACTATCATTATTTCCATTGTACAAATGAGAATACGAGACATTAGCGAACAGAGAAGTAAACATTCTTGCCCTTAGTTATGAATCTAGTAAGTGGCAGAGCTGGAATATCAATCCATGTACTCTGACAGTGTCTGACCTCTTAGCCCCTATGTAATAACTGCTGCTTCTTCAATAAATAATAGTACAAAGGATATATGGATAGGGTAGTAATAAAGTTGGTATACAAATACATGAAGTTTGTACAAACTGCTCTAGATAATGAAATATTTCTAATCTACAAAGAACGTATTTTCATATGTGTATAAAATTGAATAGAGATGCATTCAAAGAATGTATTAAGATTATTCTAAATATTAAAGGGAACATTATTGTCATTCACATAATGAAATAATACTTTATTTAAAAAAACAAAGTATGGCGAAGTATAGTAAGTTTTTTTCACCACTTCTGCACCTGCTTCTGTGAAAAGGAAATATTCATAGTTTATAAGGAGTGAAAGTTGGTTTTTTAGGTCATTCACAACTGCATTCCAAACTGTTTGATATTTTAGCTTCAGGATTTAACATCCTAACAAAAGTCATGTGACATCAGCAGTGAGGTGCACTGAGAGCTCTCTCAGGAATACTCTTAATAGAAAGGAAGACTTTAGGTCTGTGAGGTTGTGCGGGCTTGAATGTGATTTTTATTTGATATATGAGCTGTGACATAACTGTTGCATGACTGAGATGTGCTTGTAAGTGCTGTACTATGCAGATGGGTTTTTTTTCTGAAACAAAGCCAAAAATAAAATCTTGAATGTGTTCATGTAGTGGGAAAAGAATACTTCATAGAAACATATGGAAACATTTCTAAGTTTTTTTCATTATATGAACCTTTTACTTTCTAAGCATTTTTATGATTGTTCAAGTTAACATGTCATTTACCTCATATTTTCCAAGTTTAGTGAGACATGGGAAATCTTATAGTACTCTGATGTTTGGAAACAACCAGATAATTTTTAGGAATGCACATTTTAGGATTAGGTGAAATGATTATTAGAAAATTAGGATTGAATAATGGGTTTATTTTTCATTACATTATTAATCATAAGACTATAGCTAATTAATTATATTAATCTGATGGGATTTGATGAGGAGATGTATTGAGTGGTTTCTTTTTACTCACTTTTAAATTAAAGCATAGGACAACATTAAAGGAAATCATAAAAGTAAAAAGATACAAGTATAGCATGACTGTTTTTAATTCTCCACATTCCCTTCCAACTCATGTCTTCGTATATACATTTTTACATGTTTTTTATTTATTATATGTTTACCATTTTATGTTATGCTCTTCTTTTCATAACATTATGTTTTAAAATTTCTCTTTGGTGGTCACGTACCACTCTGATTGTCTCTCTCATTGTGGGAAGCATACAAATAGAAAATTTTCTTAGATTCAAAGTTCCTCCCAAGGTCTCATTTTATCTTCCTCTTTTCTGTCACAGAGAAATGACTTAGAATTATGTACATGTTGCCTCTCCAGTTAGCTTTGATGCTGAGTCCGGTGTATATTTTGTAGTTCTAACTTCCTGACTCTGTATTTGACATACGTAGAACTCTCTTCTGATTTGTGGGCTCTTCTCCTTTGTCTTTTTATCGTTGATCTTAAGAGAATACACTGAGTAATCTCTTTCTCCTGTGTTGCTTCAGCTACAACCCATACACTGACAACTGCTTCATTTAATGCTGTAGCCCAGAACATCTTCCTGAAACTGTGACATTTATTTGAATATGCCAAGGTATCTAAAACTCACTATATTCAGAAGGAAATTTAACTCTTCTTTTCTTTTCTTTTTTTTTTGTTTTTTGAGATGGAGTTTCCCTCTGTCGCCCAGGCTGGAGTGCAGTGGCGCGATCTCAGCTCACTGCAAGGTTCGCCTCCCGGGTTCACGCCATTCTGCCTCAGCCTCCCGAGTAGCTGGGACTAGAGGCACCCACCACCACGCCCGGCTAATGTTTTGTACTTTTAGTAGAGATGGGGTTTCACCGTGTTAGCCAGGATGGTCTTGATCTTCTGACCTCGTGATCCATCCATCTTGGCCTAACTGTTATTTTCTAATCAGAGCTAATGGTATCACAATTCACCCCTTGTTTTATGTAAAACACCTAGGAATTCTCTTTAACTTAAATTTTCTCTTGTCTGCATCTTGTAAGTCATCATGTTCTGTTATTTCTTCCTGCTAAACCTTCCTGGGCTCTACTTTGTGTTACCATGCTTTTGTTTCTAATAGTACTGTTGTAATAATATCTTTCCAAGTTCTCTCTTGTTGTTTTGCAATTCATTCTCTCCAATGCTGTCTCAGTGATCTTTCTAAAATGGAATTCTGATTGTATCCTTCAGTGTTTTCTCATTTGTCCTCAAGATAAAGTTGGAACTTCTTCCCATGTTAGTACATGATCATTTCATGACCTTCTCTTAGACTCATCATGGGAAACTTTCTTCTTCAAGCCTCTTTCTTTTTACTTTTTTTTTGAGACAGAGTCTCGCTCTGTCGCCCAGGCTGGAGTGCAGTGGTGCGATCTCAGCTCACTGCCAGCTCGGCCTCCTGTGTTCAAGCCATTCTCCTGCCTCAGCCTCCCAAGTAGTTGGGACTACAGGTGCCCGCCACCATGCCCGGCTAATTTTTTGTATTTTTAGTAGAGATGGGGTTTCACTGTGTTAGCCAGGAAGGTCTGAACTACTTATAGTACATTTCTAGCCAAAACATAGAGTCTCTCATACCTCCTTGCTGTTGCACATGCTACTGCATCTTCCTGCAAAATCTTCCCTACTCTCATAACCATTTCTTCTTCTTGTCTGCTTAACCTGTTTTCCATTAAGACATAGCTGAAGCTTCAAATCCTTCAGACTGCTTTAGGTGTACTTCTTTTAAGTTCCCAGAGTGTGCTTTCTAACATCTTGTGCCAGTTATATAGTATATGCCTTACATACTTTTAAATTGAATTATTTAATATTATTCCACTGACGTCCTTTTTTAAAGAAATTCATTAACACTTGAAATTTAGGTGATTTATTGTTTCTTAGATACAGCATTTTGTATCTTCATGCATGTTGATATTTTTAAGTTATTTTCCTGCAAAAATTTCTGAGAGCACAAATATTGGGTCAAAATTAAGGACACTTCTTATGACTCTTGGGCATTGCCTTTCAGGTAATGATTCTTAATATCAATCTTGCCTAAATTACATGTTATAGGTATAGTAATTTTCAGAAAGCAAGACTCTTGGTGCTGATAACATTTTCTCTGTGTAAAGAAATTTTTTAAAACGGATACATAATATTTTACATATTTATGTGATATATGTGATATTTTGTTGCATGCGTAAAATGGGTAATAATCAGGTCAGAATATTTGGACTATCCATAACCTTGAGTATTTATCATTTCTATATGTTGAGAACATTTCAGTTTCTTTCTTTGAGTTACTTCAAAATATACAATACATTGTTGCTATTAGCCTCCCTACTCTGCCATCAACATTAGAACTTATACCTTCTGTCTAACTGTATGTTTGTACTCATTGACCCATTTCTCTTCATCTCCTGCAACTCATCCACACACTCTTCCCAGCCTCTGGTATCTATCATTCTACTGTCCACCTTCATGATACCAACTTTTTTAGCTCTTACATATGACTGAGAAAAAGAAATATTTTATCATTAAGAAAAACCTAATCTTGACCTAATATTAATTTTTGTATTCTATAAACATATATAGACACTATTGTATGTTAATCTCTGTACAAGGCACTGGGAACACATATAGTAAAAGTCTTCCCCTCCCTGTTTCTTTCCTTGGTTATTTTCAAAATCGATTTGTCAAGAACTCTGAAAAGTAACGTACATAATATAATTCATACATGTTTATTGTACTCATTGGAGCTGCCTGTTAAATATGAAGAAATATCAATGTTATATTTAACCTATTAATGCCATAAGTGTAAAATATTTTGTTATTTATAGTTTAGGGAATGGCTTAATTACTTGAAAAACTGCCTTTTTCCATATTAACATTTTTGCTTTTATCTTTTAGATTTTAGGAAGGTTGTTTTAATTAGGATCAGATTTTAATAATGAGCAGCAAAAATGAGGTGCTTTTTTTTGGAAAATATAATTAGTAGATTGCTGAATGAAGTTCAGTTTTATTTTTTTAACAAGTTGAATGATGATTAGGATTTATAATATGGTTTATTTGTGTGTACTTCTTAAACTGTTCTGGTATGTTTCATATATCCATATTAAAATACAAGTAGTAGATGGTTATACTATTTCTTTGTACATGATATCCACACAAGAACTCTTTGTACTGTTGGTGGTAGTGTTATACAGTTCCACACTATAGTAAGTGAATATATTACCTCAACCATTAATCAGCCTACCATTGCCATTGATGACCCAATGCTTAAGTTGTAACACTATGCTGCTGACCCAGACTCTGGGGGCTTATTTTTATTTTTTGATGCATTGCTGTAGGCAATTTTAAGGGTGTGGAACCAAGCCATTTTCTCTCTTGGACTCATTTCCACTTTTATTTCCTATGGGAGGCTTAGCCTTCCTTTCAAATATTTGAATTTCTAAATTGTTCACCTATTCTGTGATTACTAGGTGGAGGAGTAATGCCCATTTTAACATACTGAATTTAAAAAAATAAAATGGCTTAACTGTTCTCAGAAAATAAAATGGCTTAGCAATTCTCAAAATTAAAATTTTGTAATTTGTGAAATGCTTTTCTTATAGAAACTTTATTTTTTTCATGGATTACTTTTATTTTGTGCTTATGTGCTAGGAATGTTTGGCTTGGTTTTTGTCCCTGGAGAGTGCAGTTGAGAACTGACAGGTTATATGAAGTTGAAAAGAAATTTAATGAGTTGTAAAAACCAGTGTTTCATTTTTCCTTGGTAACTAATATGTACTTGTGAGGAAGTGTCCTAAAAAATTTAAAACGAATAGGCCTTCAGGTTGCCTAGTAGCTTTCAATTTTAACATTAATGAATGTATCTCAAAAATGAAAATAATTTTATTCACTAAGAAAAATACAGTTATTTTATTTTTAGAACGTGAATGTTTGGGGCTTGAATTTGCTGGCCATAGTTATCCAATCTCACAGATAAAATATATGTAATCCATATAGTTTTAAAGTTTTTTTTTTTAAACTCACTTTTAGTTTGTTTCCTTTCTTTATCAAGAAATTGATGGAACATTCTACTTGTACCAGGTACATTATGAGGCACTGGGGTTTTTAATGCGAAGAAGGTACAGATTGCGGGAGCTCCTTTAATAGGGAAACAGATATATAAGCACGTAATTATAATAGTGTGTGGTAAGTACTGCTGGACGTTCAAAAGGAAGCCGTGAGAAAACAGCAGATGATTATATTTGAAGGCTTCAGAGAAGAGTTGACATTTTCAGGTTAGGGTGTGTGTGTCTGTGTGTGTGTGTGTTAATGTTAGTGGAGGATGAGTGTGATAGTAAGCTCAATCATCACATGTTTCACATAAAATGAATCTTCTGTGCGCTGTTAAAAATGGCATTTTATTTGTAGGTATAAGGAGTGATTTTTGAAATGGAAACAGGCCTGGTTAGGTTTTCCAGAAAGTTGACCCTGTGATGGAATTAGGACTGCAAACTGCGTACTAGAGAGCAACACCTGTGAAAAAAAGGGTCGGGAACAAGATTGGTTGGAAAGAGTCATCACATTGTGAAGCTGATTTTGCAGTCTCTGGGCAACCCAGCAGGGACCTCTGGAACAAAGGTTGTTGGAATATTCCTGCATTAGTGGAAATGGCTAGGTCCTTCTACCACCATTATTCAGGCATTGGCTCTGGGCTTCTCCATGAGGAGAATGCCCTTGGCTGAAAAGCTGAAGTCAACTTAATAAAAGCTAACAGCTGAAGACTGTCAGCTAATCATGCTCCTTGTAGCCAGGCAATGTGTTCTTTGTTGAAGGTGGGGGTGGACTTTGGGATGATACTAATTATTCATGGATTGATTGATTGATTGATTGATTGATTCAGTGAGTGTTAACAGTTTGACACTATGTACTAGGGTTAGGGCTGGGTATGGGTGATAGGAACAAAACAGACATGTCCTTGTTCTCATGTAGAGAAAAGGTATGGAAGAAGAATTTTCTAAGCAAACAGAAAATCTGATATAAAGGACCGTTACGGGCAAAACCTTGGCTTAAAGGAGAGATAGAAGGCCACTTTGGCTAAAGAATTCTGAGATTAAAAAAAGAGATTACAGGGAAACAAGGTCAGAGAGTTTGGCAGGTGTCATACTCTAAAGCCTTGCAAGCCACAGTAAGAATTTTGGATTTTATTCAAATAGCATTGGGAGGTCAGTGGAGGGTTTCAACCAAAGGAGTGATACAGTTTGACTTATGGTTTAGAAAGTTTACTCCTGCTTACCTGTTTCCACATTCAATAGTCATAATGCAAATATATCTTGACTTCTGACTTATACAATGTTGTCACTTGGATAATTCTTTCACATCACCAGTAATTGTGTAACATCTGCAGAAAACACACATTAATTCCATTATTAGAGTTTATTTTTCCCATTTTCTGTGTTTCTGTAGTAACTCATTAACCAGTTATTTTGCTTTTAAGTAACTATTACTGAATTGTAAGAGCCATATTAATTTTAATTTTTAGTTGGGTATATAGAACTTATTATACATGTTGGGGTTTTTTTTGCCTATTCATAGCTCTGAAAAAAGTAAATAAAATGCTTGTGTAGGAATTTTATTTAGGCATTTTAAACTCTTCATGTGAATATCTTGAGTCGTTAAAGTTTAGTCCCTTACTCGATCCATATGGCTCTCTGTTGTAGTACAGGACACAATTGAAAGCTCCTAGGTTTCCTGCATATAGCAGGGACCTGCACAGTGCTGCCTTCTAGAACTGCTTTTATTTTCCTTGAGGTCAGAAGTCCTCCTCCCATAGGAAATTTTAGATCTCATTCCCCTCCAAAATATTGACTTGCCTAATTGAAAGTTATTTTATTCATGTTGATTCTTATTTAAGATTTATAATTGTTTATGAAAACCAGGTTCCAGTTCTGAGAAATGTCTTCTCAGTACCAAAGTTTGAACCTTGGCCACACCATTTGTTAACCATATGATTTAGGCAAGTCTCTTTACCTCTTTAACAATCAGTTTCCTCCTCTGTAGAACGGGGAACACCGGTAGAACTTGCTTTATAGAGTATAGTGAGAAGTAAGTGAAATAATATAGAATGTCTGGTATACCATGACTGTTCTATAAATGGAAATTGTTACAGTTTTACTGTTACTTTTAATAGATTATTACTTTATTAGGGATAGTAGAAATGCAGATTCAAGTTGGGCATTCATCTGAAATCTACTCTGGTTTCAGCTTTGGCCTTGGCCTTTGGGAAATTGAATAGCAGCATTGTCACTTCAGTGTCATTTGTGGCATTCCTGAATTTGTGTGTGAAAATGCTTACCATTATATCTAGCAGCCTAACATTTCTTTGATAAATGAGGCATGTCATCTGGACTTTTTGTTAATGTTTCAGTGTTTATTTTTAATTACAGGTAAGCATTCTAAATGTAATAGACAATGAACATATGCTTATATGCTTTATGTGTTAAAGTTCTGTCAATGAGTTAAAGTATAAGTGTTTATCACCAGAGTAAAATACTATAATTGTCAATAATTGTAGAAGCTGTTAGTTTCATGTATAGAAATCGTGATTTCACAAGTTCAAATATTAGGTCAGGAGATTGACAGTTAACACAAATACTAACCTAGTACTTTTTTTTTTTTCTTGTTAGCTGGATATATTTCTTTTGTTGTTGTTGTTGTTTTCTTTGTCACAGAACACTGTTTGCAGTAGAGGAAACTGGTGTTGCAGTCTGGTGGTATAACGGCTTGCTCACATAAACCAGTACATGTTCATCCTTTAGTGCAAGAAGCCCTAATGGCACATACCCTATTAAAATTCACGGCATCTCCAATATTCTCTCTCTCTTTTTCTTTGTCATCTTTTCTTTTTTAATAAATGTTTTCAAGGTTTGTCTAAAAGAAGGCCATATAGGTTCTTGGCTAGCAGAAGACAATTCAGAACAGTTGTTGCACAATTGGACTCTCACCTTCTCCAGGCTGGTTGTTGATATCTTATTTTTTTTCCAACTCATTTTTATTAAGAAAATAAATGCTCCAACTATCAGTTTTACAAAATCTCTAAGAGAAACACAAGAGCAAGGTGCTGAGGCAAAAAACACCTGAGGTAGCTTTTTCTGTGTGTTTTTCTCATTTATAAAATCGGTAAATTTAACGCCCTGGGCCAACAACCTTGTATAAATTGCTACTTTCCTTCACATTTTTTTAAAAAAGAAAGAAATAATTTTGCTGAATATTGATGGCTTATACACCAAAATGCAAAAAGACAAAATACATTCTTTCATTGTGGAATTTTTTCTTTGTTTGGTTGATTGATTGGTTTGGTGGGTTCCTGTTTTCTTCTTCCAAAATGCTAGGACAAGTACCATTGACTCTTGTTCTTTTGAGTAACCAAGCGTAAGTTGAGGCTGACGTGTGTGTTTTGCTTTTGTTCCTTTTGTGTGTTGGGATACTCAAAGCACTGCTTTCCTTGGGCGGGGGCGAGGGTGGTGTTGCGTAGATATGGGATTGAGATGGAGGGATGAGGGAATTCAAAAGAATGGAGATGGAGAAGTAGGGGAGGGGAGGGAGGTGAGAGATAAACAGAGAGAGAGATAGAGAATTATATAGCAGTATGCGAAAAACCAGTTTAAAACCCATGAAGCAAAGAGAAATGGATGTATAAGCTAGACAGGCATGAGGAGTGACAGAGTTTCCTTTTCAAGGAGATGGTATCCCTCCTGTTGATATACACAGATGATCCATAATTGCTGTGAGTGTCCTTCCGACAAGATTTCCCTCTGGGTGAATTTTGTGTAGGTCACCTCGAAGCTCCTCTCTACACCGTGAACCTCCCAAAGAAAGACTTTAAAGTCTAGAAAAGCCTGCTTTCTCTTTAAAAAGAAAAAAAAATTAATAGTTGATTAAAAATTGGAATTAGTTGAGTTATTTGATATGTTATTTCTAAAACATATTACCGCTGCAGGCACCCTGCGTAACCCGCAGGCCACGTATCTTACCATCGTCCCCTTCTAATATGTGCACACATGTACAGAGATTTGCCACAAAAAAGGGTGTGCATTTTGCATGGCTTTGAACACGTTCACCTATGTTACTTCAACCAAAAGGTACAGCATTGTGGGAGTTAAGGAGAGATCTGAGTGGATGGTGAAGTGGATTGCTGAAGCTGCAGAAGTCCTGGGAGGTAGGAGGCAGGGCCCGGAGGTTCTGGCAAACCTGGCTGACCTTCCCCCGCCTCCTTGGCCCCTGGGATTCTCAGGGCCTCTGCAGAGTCCCTGGCCGCCTCCGCAGACTTCTCATTCCTCAGATGGTCTTTGGTTTGCTTCCGATCTGGCTGGCTGTGTTTGGTCTCATTTTGTCAGGTGTTGGAAGGGCTCCATTCATCTGTTGTTTTGCTGATGCCTGTGGGAGGCCTCACTTGCTGCGCTGTGAGGCGACTCCCTGAGGGTATTTCTACTCCTGCTGCTTCACCTCTTGTACAGTTTCCCTGATACTGCGCTGTGCAGTCTGGCTAGCAAAGAAGTGCCCGATAATTCTGATGATCACTTCCTCATTTTCATCGGGCGTTTGGTCACGAGGCACAATGATTTCTGCACTAGTTAAGTTATGCAGTTCATTCACAGTCTTGCCACCTTTGCCAATCACCCGGCCAGCTGTGGAAGAGAGCACTCTGATATGGGCTTCCAGCTTCACTTCTTCTTTGGGGTTAAAGAAGTTTTCTTCTTTTAGTTTCCCGAAGATCCGTCCCTGGGCCTTGATGGAGGCTCTGGCGAGTCTTGCCAGCTGTTTGATGTGTGCCCCTTTCTTCCCGATGATGGTACCCACAGCCTGGGTTGGGATGAAGAGATTCACAATCTCCTGCTCTTGATAAGAATGCTGATGCGGGAACGGGCCAAACTGGTGATGGGGGTACAGGCTGGAGAAAGTATCTGGAGTGGGTATTAACAGCCAGCATATCATTTTCAAAGGCCTCACGCAGCTTCTTCATAATCTCCATCTCAGCACTGGCATAGGCCTCCACTGTGCCCTTCACAGTGATGGTTCTTTCCGGGTTGCATATGCTCAAATCCTGCAAGGATGAGATTGTTATCTTGGTCCCTGTTTCATGTTCATTTTTCTTCACATTTCTGCCTTCTTTTCCAATCAGTCTTCCAAACAAGCCATTGTGGGCCACGATTTTCAGAGGAATCTCTTCGGCTAGTTTGGTCTCATCTGCCTCTTTCTGCATGCTTTCAAGAATCGTGTGGCATGCTTCAGAAGTCCCCTCTGGGGTGGCATGGATGGTGACAAGCTTCTCTGCAGCTCCAGAGTTCTCTTTTCTATGGATGTCTACCCGGGACTGGGTCTGCTCAGTGATGTTCACTATGGTCAAGCCCTCCTTTCAGACCATGGCACCAACAAACTGGGTTGGATCCGCAGCGGGAAATCAGTCTGTCCGGCCTGAGAAGAGCCCCCAGGGCGTGACCTTGCTCCCGGAAGAGTGGTCCCCACCCTGGGCTCGCTGAGGGGGTAAAGGGGGAGCTCACCTCTTCATCCAGGATGTAGGAAATCTTGAAGGAATAGTTCTCAAACTGATGCCCGCTTAGCTCCTCCATGGCTATTTTGCTTCTTCCCTTGTTGCATATGTGACATTGACAACAGCAGTTTCTGTGTCTGTGTTGACTTGTTCCACATTCTCCACTATCCCGTGTTGAGCCAAAGGTGCATCCAACATCGCCCACTGCAGGTGAGGAGGTATGTTTCAAATCTGAATTTTCCTGTTCCTTAGCTTTTTAGAGACCGAGTAATCAACTTCCATGATTTTCCCATGCAATTCCACTTTACCTTGGCCTCGCCGCCGCCCCGCCCCGACTCTACACGCCGGTAGGGAAGGGGCTTCCGCGGGGTTGGGGTTCAGGGGCCGCAGGGCTGGGGTTCGGGGGCCGCGTGGCTGGGAGCAGAGCTTGTGCTGGCGAGAGTTGGGTAGTGCGCTCGCGCAGTCCCTAGTACATTATTAACTTTATGAAAGTCTAATTTTTCTAAGTCAAAATGTTCATAAACATTTAAATAAAAATAAGACATTAATGGAGGTTGCATTATATCCTCATTCTTTGTATAATTTATAAAATTGTTTAATGTACAAGCATTAATAAAACATTTAAACTATATACATTTTCTATTTAATTGCAACAAGTCTCCCAAAGTAATGCCCTATTTGGGATTTATTCACATTTATAAGATTGAATTAAAAGGAGAAATAGAATGTTTGAGGAAGGGGAACAAAATGATTAACAGTATCCAAGAAAATAATCCTTGACTCAAATATAATAATGAAAAAATATGAAGAGTATGAAAAGAAGAAAGTGTTAGAGAAAAATTAGATCATCTAGAACACACCTTACTTTCTCAGTAATCTTAAAATAATAGAATTTTACAAGAGTGCTTTACAACCATTTCTGTGTAGATTTTTAATTAATGAATTGTTGGTATAGGGGAAAGAAAATATAATTAGTTGCTAGAAGTATCAGCATCTTCAGTGCTTCCAAAAAAGTCTTGCTCCCACATCTATTTCAGTTGGAATTGAACACCTTCTTTGTTACTACAAATATGTAGAGACTATAGTAATAATGTAGCAGCTGACAGCAGGTGAGAAATTGAGTACCATGCTATCGTATTAAAAATCAACTCTTAACATGCTTAATAGAAATTTATATTGAAAATTTATTTTAAATAAAATTCTACATTTATCTTTGTATTCCAAAAAGTCATTCTGCAATGATATTTGGCTTTTGCCGCAGCTTAGTAGTGTGCTATATTTTAACAATATGGAAAGTAGTAAAATCTGTACCTTTTCTGTGTGCCTATCATATTTATTAATTTACCCAAATTATACAGAATGTTGGGTAAGTTTAGAAGAAAGTATTTTTAACAGCAAAATCCTGTGTTTTCAGCCTACATTTTTTTAGAGGCTAGTTTCTATTTTAATTAATAATTTAGTAGGCTGCATATTATATATAAAATTTAAAGAAGTTTTTGTGTTTCAACATAGAGGAATTGCTAATTATTTTCTTCTTAAGTGATGCGTTACATTAAATCCACTGAAGTACTTTTCAACATAATTTATTACACAAGTACTACCATGTAACACATTTTCAGTGTTATTTCGTTTTCCCTCAGTTCTTTCATGAGATAGTTATTAGAACTACTTACTGTGAATTAGAGATAATAGAGACATAAAACAAAAATTTGCTTTTTTCCCTTCTACAGTAGAAAACAATGGTAACCACTTATTTATTTCATTGTCAATAAATGAAAATAGAATAGTGTCTACTGGAAATGGGTGTGGAGATCTTAAAGTTTAAAAACAGCTGCGTAGTATCCGAATAAGTAATATAGGATGCATTTTAACAATGCAAGAACTGGTTTGATTTAATTAACTGTGGTTTAATATGTTGTGCATCTCACTCATGGTATACCATGGTGGCATTTACTGGCTGATGCTTCAAAGCACTACTGTTTTTCATCCACTATCATGGGTCAATTGTGTTGTAGAGGCATTATCTAAGGTCTGGAAAACAGTTCTCAAGGATTTTGCTTTAATGATAGGTGTAACATCTAGTTCATTTGTTGATGTCAATTTTTTTTTTTTTTTTAAAGACAGAATCTTGCTCTGCTGCCCGGGCTGGAGTGCAGTGGCGTGATCTCAGCTCACTGCAACCTCCGCTTCCCAGGTTCAAGCAATTCTCCTGACTCAGTCTCCTGAGTAGCTGGGATTACAGGTGTGTGCCACCACGCCTGGCTAATTTTTGTATTTTTAGTAGAGACAGGGTTTGGCCATATTGGCCAGGCTGGTCTTGAACTCCTGGCCTCAAGTGATCCACCTCCTTTGGCCCCCCAAAGTGCTAGGATTACAGGCATGAACTACCGTGCCTGACCTGTTGATTTTAATTTGATGTAATCTCTAAGCTCTCTTCTTAATGACTTTAAAGTTTGAAACTGTAATGTTTTTACCAAGTAGCTTTTAAATGATGTTTCCTGAAGGACAGAACAGATAAATTTGAATGATGTATTTCTAAATACAGACAGCAGTGATCTTCATGTCCTATTACATTCACCCTATAAAATCACCTGGATGTTTTTAAAAAGGCAAATGGAGAATGGAGAAAAAAGAGGCATTGCTCACGTGATGTGTATAGTGTTCTAAGATTTCTTACATTTGATAATGCTGTGGTAGTTATCTTAGATATAAAGTAGTTTCAAAAATTCCAGTTCTATAACCACATCTGATAGGGTTTAGCTGTGTCCCCACCCAGATCTCATCTTGAATTCCCACGTGTCGTGGGAGGGACCTGGTGGAAAGTCTTTCCTGTGCTGTTCTCATGATAGTGAATAAGTCTTACAAGATCTGATGGTTTTAAAAAGAGATGTTCCCCTTCACAAGCTCTCTCATTTTTTACCTGCCACCATCCATGTAAGATGTGACTTGCTCCTCCTTGCCTTCCCCCATGATTGTGAGGCTTCCCCAGCCACATGGAACTGTAAGTCCAATTAAACCTCTTTCTGTAAATTGCTCAGTCTCGGGTATGTCTTTATCAGCAGTGCGAAAATGGACTAATACAACACCTTAACTTTTGAAGTAAATGAGATACCTGACGGTATTTCCCCCCAAGTAATTTGTGTTTGCTTTTACAGATACTTTTTGGATTACTTGATTAAAAATGCAAAAACTACTATAAAAATAGAGGATTATATCTCTTTAACATTTTATCACTGTTATCTTTCAATACATTGACAATGCAAGGGTAATAGTTGAGGGTTTTTGTCAAAATGTTGGGGTAAGCAACCAGGCTAATGTAAAGTGGAGGCAAGGAAAATGTTTCAGTGAAAAGGAAAACAGGCCATGTAAATATATTGTCAGTGAAAAAAAGAAATGAATAAATAAACATTTGATAAAATTAATGACTGAAACAGAAAAAATCACGAATGTTTTTGGATAATAGGCTATACCACAGGGATATAGAATTAATTGAGGAGGTGATGGTGAGGGATAAAAGACTACACATTGGGTATAGTGGTGTATGCTGCTTGAGTGATGAGTTCCCCAAAATTAGAGAAATCACCACTAAAGATCTTATCCATGTGACCCGAACCACCTGTTCCCCCAAAATTATTGAAATAAAGTAAAATAAATTTTAAAAAATTCATACAAAAAAAAGAAAGTGTTTGTTACCTGACCTGCATTGTGCAGGTTGGGGTTATTTTTTTTTTTTTTTAATTAAGAATGGCAAACTCCTTCTGAAACTCTTAATGGCCTTCGTTTCTCCAATTTCAGGTCTTGCTGCTCTCATCCCTACTTCCTATAGGCTGTACTACCAGTAAGCTTCTGTAATAGGCCTCTAGGCAGTCCCAGTTCCTTCCTTAGGTTTGTGGGTCGTGCTTTTCCATTGCCTGGAGTACTTCAATTTACTCTACCCTCATCCTCTTATCTAGTTTACTTTTCTTTATCCTTGAGTATACTATAGACCAGGATAGGGGTCCCTTTATAATTTCAAAGTGCCCTATACTTCCACTGTCATAGTACTTATATTAATTGTACACTTCTCTAAATTAGTGTAAGAGTTTGTGGGAGTGTGTGTGTGTGTGTGTGTGTGTGTGTGAAAAGACAATGTCTTTAGTTAATAAGCACAAAATAAATATGTTTTGAATGAGTAGATTCTGGTTCTAGTATTTACTATTTTCAGATTTAGGAAACAATTAAATGTTTAAATATTACTTCTTAGTCCACTCTGGGGGGATTAGGGGAAAACTAATGGCCATGGGGCAAGCTTAGGTGAAGGATGATGCTTGAGCTCAGCTGTGTAGGATAAGTTAATCTGGAGCGAGTTGCTGATAAAAGTAGAATAAATTTTGGTAAGAACTTTTCCTCCAGTGTATTTTGGCATCACTTTGTAGAATAAAAAATAAGTTAAAGGATGTTAGTCTATAATAAAATTTATATTGATACTTCATGTTAATACTGACAGTTATTGGCTAGTTTATCTTATTTTAATTAATAATAAAGCTAAAACAATTGTTTTTAAGCACTAAGAGAAAAACTGTGTCTTGAAAAATAAATAGCATTACGTGCAAAACATGTAATATGCCAACCGGTGGCATTTTGCTTCCCTATAATTATTATCAAGTGAATGATTAGATTATCATTCTAGTGATATATCTAAAAATAAATTTATTTCTTATTTATTTATATGTTATATGGTAAATCTTATATTTAGAATCTTACAAGGGAAGGGAAAAACATCTTTTTCCCCTCTCCAAAAATCTACTGAGAGAGGAAGGTATTTATTTGGCTTACCTGAATTACATGAGACAATATCTCAAGATTTCATCTGAGTAAGAATCACTTGGGGTTGTGCTAAAATGCAGGTTCTTAGGCCAGTCCTGTTTTTGTTGGTGAGGCCCTTACATTTGACCTTTAATGAGCATCCCAGTGTTATCACATTCCAATGTGATAACAAATTGGAAAATAATGTGTATTTCAGCAATTATGTAATTCAGATACTAATGACTGACCCTTATTCTCCTGGCCATTGAGTGTTGTGGCTGACACATTCTATATAAATCTGAGGTTCTTCTCAACAGGTTATATCCAATTCTGTCATAAATTTAGAGTAATCTTAAGTACATTGAATTAAGTGTTACTTATTGAATGCATGACATTTCACCTAGAATTGACAAAATCAGTCAAATTACTTTATTCTTATCATCTGGATACCCTATTTTGCCGAGTAAACTGTGTTACATGTGGTTTTGTTTATTACAGTCTGTGCAAAAAGAAACATCAACAATATTACTGTCATTTCACTTTGGTGTTTCTGGTATTCCACTAATGCCTCATTTGTAATAGTTAGGTATATCTTTATCTTTCTAGTAAACTGTTTGGTTTTTAAAGAATACTCATCCTCAGCATTTAACTTTTTTCTAGATGACAGTATTTTGGGCCTAGGGATACTGATGTAAATAATTGACACAGAATTGCAGATAAAGAGAGGTTCTGAGGTTAAGAATCAGTTCAGCCAGAGTCAATCTAAAGCATCTAAGGCTACTAGGAAGCTTTAAGGAGCCATGAATCATACTTCAGGGACCCAACAGTAATGAAGGTGTCCAGGTTGAATCCAAGCATTTTCTGTTTATAGTTAAACAGAACAATAAGATATGCAATAATTTAAAGACATTAAATAATTATAAAGGTTTCACTCTTTCCTCCTCATTTACTTTATTTCCTACTTTAGATGGTATTTTGGTGGCTCAGTTAAAATAATACTTAATAAAGTTAGGCTTCATGTAGAGGGGTAGGATTTGTATCAGATTAATGTAACTTCTAAGTCCCTTTATGCATTCCAGATAAGAGGAAGTGTGAACCCCCTGATGCCAGAGACTGCTGTTTCTTGATTACTAACTCTTTGACCTCAAAATTCAATGAAGTTTAGTATATTAGGCATAGTGCATTCAAGCTCATTTTCTAAGTTATCTTTCATGTTTTGTCAACTGCCAGGTGGACTCTGGGCATTTTTTGGGGAAATGTGGTTAAAGCAGCCATAATTATCAACTGCTTGAAATACTTACCCGGTATTTTAAAGAATATTAATAAGGCCTCATTTAATTTGGTTCGCAGCTTTTAGATGATTGTACAGTGATCATGATCATGTCTTACATTTTTATATATTCCCTAGCCATTTAATAATGTACTTGAGAACTAAATATTTTAATAGTATTTCCTTACAGTCTGATACAGCAGCAATGTTAGGTAGTTAAATGTTGTCTACTACATAATATTGAGCTCAATTAGCTTGAAATGGCAAGTTCATCTAAAGTACATATGAATAAAAGGGATTATAAGTATAGTGAAGTGTTACATAGAACTGGTAAATATTTTAAGTATATGTACTCATTATGATTTCTAAATATTATAGCCAAAGCATGCAGTTACAACAATTTCCAAACATTAACTGTTTGAAAACTCTTTTTACATTTTACGCTTAATAAACTAATTTGTACATAAGCCACATTATTATTTATATTTAAAACTAAAAAAAATCACTTTCTCCAGCTATTCTAACAAAAACTTAGTAAGTAAGCATTGCTTTTAAAATGACACAATCTACTAGTTATTTGGTAAGACTAGCATAATCATAAATTTCCCATCCATGCTTTTTCCAAAAATACTAACCCATATTGTTCTCTCTGGACCTGTTGTAGGGATGACTAATCCAACTGCTGAGGTCTCCCTTTATGTGTTTGATGGAACACTTGGCTTGCTGGACTACAGCTGTGTGTTTATGTGCAGTGCACACCTGCAGGGGCCTGACAAATAGCTGTAGTATGCAGAGGATACAAAATTACCCTGGCAGTGCTGCAAATAAGGAAGTTTCTGTTTTGAAGTCCATATGTGTGTGTGCTTGAGATGCCAGCTGGTGTATTTATGTTGCATGCACAGATGTAAAACTGCCAACTGATTTTACACCAAATAAAGTCTAATCTTTTTATATGTACTTTGTGTCAAAGTTATGAAGTGGTATGTAAGAATATTCTCATGACTTAGGTCTTTTAAAATAAAAGCTGCTATTAAAAATATGAACTCATAAGATGATTAGGAAAGAGAGGAAAGAGGATAGTGATAGAGATGGTATTTCTTAACTATTATCCTGTGTATAATAATGTTGTTATGACTATATCATTAGATAAGTAAAGTTTTGATTTATTATAATTATGAATGATATATATTCTCTTTTGTGGCTAGAGTCAGTCAGGTCTTTGTGAAATCCCAATTTATGAATACTGAAATGTGAAAGACAAATTTATATAATTACTTGACTTGCAGGCTTTGGCTATTCTATTTTTCAAGTACATTTGATTTTAACAAGTTGAAAGGATGGTGCACTTTTGCCATTTTTAGAATGTATTTAAATTTGTTCTGAAAGAAATACTAGTGTTTATAAATACCAGGGATAATATTTCCCAAGTCTATGGAAATTTTAAAACCAATATAAAAATAGTGGAAAAGCCAGTTATTCAAAAGAACCTTTGAAAGAAGCAATTTTTTTTGTTTCTTTTAATATGTCTTCTCTAACTAAATGAAGAAATATATTTTATTGACTATATCCATCCCAAACAAGAATAATGATTTGATCACTAGAAAATTGATCTTCAAATTAATATTTGCAAATGAGATACTTTATGTCTGTTACTTAAGTGTAAACATAGATTAGAGTGGAAGCTTTTGTTTAAAATTAGTGCTGGATATATTCATTTTCTCTAAGAACCATCATTGCTTATGAAGCAGTGATTTTTTTCCATATATAATTGGTTTCTTTTTTTTTCTTTTGGAGTTGGAGTCTCGCTATTGTCAGCCCAGACTGGAGTGCAATGGCGTGGTCTCGGCTCACTGCAACCTCCGCCTCCCGGGTTCACGCTATTCGCCTGCCTCAGCCTCCCAAGTAGCTGAGATTACAGGCGTCCGCCACCATGGCCAGCTAATTTTTGTACTTTTTTAGTAGAGACAGGGTTTCACCATGTTGGCCAGGGTGGTCTCAAACTCCTGACCTCAGGTAATCCACCCCACCTTGGCCTCCCAAAGTGCTGGGATTATAGGCATGAGCCACCGCGCCAGGCCCATATATAATTGGTTTCTAATATTAATGGATATGTTTCAGTTGAATCATTTTCAAAAATATTGACTTTTACTGTATTTGAAATATATGTATAAATTAAGAATTTTTAGACATTGCTCAACAAGAACTGTTTATCAGAATGGTTATATTTGTTTTTGTTTTATTTATAACCTCTTTATTGTTTTGTCTCATTTTATATGTATAGGTTTATAAATATTTGCAAATGGAGCAAAGTAGTTCAAGTGCTTATCAAAATCATGTTAACTTTCTTATTAGAAAATTTTAATGGTAATGTAAAAATACGTTGTCATATGTAATCTTGTATTCAGTTTTGCATCTGAAACACACTGAATTTGTCTTTCACCTAAGTATATCTAGATATATTGATTCTTCTGATATTAGTGTAAGTTATACTTGAGTTCTGACTTTTTACTTATAGAATTGCCTTATCATAGTTCCTTATTTGACTATATTTTACTGACATTTTGTATGCTTTCCTAATTATTATTTTTATTGATAGCGTCAAACTTGTAAATAGTTTGTAATGCCTTTACAAATTTAAATAGTGTTTTAATAGGCATGATTCCTTTTTCTTCAATGGTAGGCATGATGCCTTTTTTTGTCATAAAAGGGATGTATATTTGCCATTTTATCTAGCAAAATTTCACTTGAACTTTTACTGTAATTAAATTTCAGCAAATGTGGGAAAGGCCTGAGCTTTTAGCATTGTCCCTTAGCCTTAAAGTCTAAATTTTGACTAAATCCCGGCATCTTAATTCATGAGGAAAGTTTGATTTGGAATAAGTTTTATATAATGAGACAGGAAGATGGACTAGAAACCACATCTCCCAGTGGTTGACCTGAGGGATAAGATGTTTCTGACAAAATATACAATTACTTGTATGACAAAAAGTGCATGAAGAAACCAAGTACCTCAATTTCCAAAATGAAAGGCAGTATGGTATAGCTGAATGAACTCTTGATCAGGAGACAGACAAAATTCTAGCCCTGTAACACACAGTTGTATGTTATTAGGCTAGTTTCCTGGAGCTTTAGTTTAGTTTAATTTTTCTACCAGAGAAAGGGAATAGTAATTCTGATTAATATTGATGTGAGTATTAATAATAAGATAAGGGACATAAAGCTGTTCTGTGGTCAGGGTGTGGAGCATGTAGTAGGTGTTCAATAATAGTTGACTTTTTTTTTTAAAGCAGTAGTAGTAACAGTTTGAAAAAGTTCATTACATAGGAAATATACATGTAAAGTTAACTCAGAAAAGGATAGACATAAGAAAGCTTCACTGATGTCTTACATTTTTTCCTGAAAATATATTTTAAAGAAAGGACCAAACCTCAAATTTTTACAGCTAAAAGAATCTTTTATTACTTATTTGAGAGATTATGTTCCATACATTGCTTGGTTATTTAGTGCTAGGGCCAACTGCCTTTAGTAGGATATCACTTCAAACGCTGCTGCCGCCACTGCAGGTTGCAAGCATATGATTGAAGGCTTCTAGTTCTCAGCTCATGCCCAGATGTCTTTCAATAACTATAGCCAGTAATTTCTTCAAATTGCTCACTTTATCAGCAGCACATGTCATCAATCCTGAAGTGGTTGCTCAAGTCAACTGCAGAATCTTTAGCTTATAGACACAGCTGCAAACAGGTGAACAGGCAGAAAGTAATTTGTGCAGCTTGGTGGCTGTCAGACGAAAGACAGACAATCTGTGTTTAAAACAGATTGCAGGCCCTGTATGGGCCAGACAAAAGGGATTTCTCCAACTGCAAATAATTCTAAGGTTAACATATTTTCCTTTCTGCCATTAGGTGATTTGTTAAAATTGGAAACAATGAACATTATAAATCTACACAGAAACTGGAGACAAGATGAAAGAGAAAATCAGATCACTAAATAGGTTTACATTTGTCTTTCCAAAGAAGTATAACTGGCATTCATATAAGCTGTTTTCTTACAAATTAAGCCAAGTTATAAAATAATTCTTTGAAACTGCAAGATTATAAATATTTCAAGTTGCATTAAGAATTACTGGTATTAAAAAAGCAATGAACCCTGAACAGTCCAGTTTTTATAAGCAGGTTTTAGAGTTAATTGTTAATTTGTAGATGTTGGAATTTGCTTCTTTATAAATATTATTTAGTGTTTTTCTTGCAGCTTTACTAAGTAGATTTTAAAAGTAGCATATGCTAGATATAACACACTTTTCAGCACATAAAATCTACCATGGTTACAGAACAAAAATTCGTATGGAGAAAAATATTCTGAGGACCTATGCATTTAAAAAAGTTATCCTCACATTTTCGCCTTGGAGTTATTCGGATAAGAATGTGAAAGATATCTGAATCTATCTGTAAAATAGTCATATTTTAGAAGATAGTTCTATAATAACACTAAGAGTATTCATCATTTTGTCCATAAATCTCAAAATGATAAACTTATGAGAGTCTGAATCAGCAAAGTTATTTCTCATCAGTATTAGTCCATATAAGTGCCTACTCATTAAACTAAACAGGAAGAAGGACTATATTACATTAGCTAAATGAGTACCTCATGACTGAAGATAGACACACACAAAGTTTAGATATTTAAAATATGTGTACATGTGTGGTGCATGGATGCATGTATGTGTAGGGAGGAACACATGAGAAATAATTGAGTAGTCCTTCTTTGTTATCTACCAGAGCTTATGGCTATGACATAGAGAACTGTAAGTGAATGTTACTGATTTATTCTCATTGTTGGCTCTCTTGTGCTTTCTCTCTTGTTTCACAATCAATTTAGTACGGTAATTGTTTTTAATAGATAATGATCTATATAACATAGTGTTTAAGAACACAGTCCTCAGTGTCAAATTGGATTTAAGTTCCAGTTTGATAATACTGTGTGATTTTGAACAAGTTACTTAACCTATCAAATCCTTAGTTTTTCAGTGGTGATAGTGACTGTTTATTAACTTACGTTGTTTTGTGATATTAAAAACTCATATGAAGTATTGTGCCTTGTGCCTTGTACTTATTTAAAGCTTCAATAAACTTTAGGCATTTTCTGCTACAATCCAAACATCCTGAGGAAAGGGAATGTTTTTGTCTTGCTCTTAGCTGCTTCCTAAGCATTTATTACCATGATTTGAACCGCTAAGAACTCAGAAGTAATCTGAATGAACTTGTCAATAATTCTGTAATTTTTAGAGTCCACTGTGCTGATTTCTTTTAGTCATAATATTCCTTTCTTGTCAAATGCCTTGACCTTAAATATGAGAATAATTCTTATTTATTTATCAAGACAGAGTCTTGCTCTGTCGCCCAGGCTGGAGTACAGTGGTGCGATCTTGGCTCACTGTGGCCTCTGCCTCAGCCTCAGTAATCCCAAGTAGCTGGGATTACAGGCACTCACTACTATGTCTGGCTAATATTTCTATTGTTTTAGTACAGATAGGGTTTTGCCATGTTGGCCAGGCTGGCCTCAAACTCCTGGCCTCATGTGATCCACCCGCCTCAGCCTCCCAAAGTTCTGGGATTACAGGTGTGAGCCGCTGTGCCCAGCCCTGATTTATTTTTTGAGTATAGACAAAGCGGTATGATTATTTTACTGTCTCTCATTTCAGTTTTTCTAACATTAGGAAATTGTTCTTGATTACAGCTGTTTGTCAAAATATAGCTAGCTGTGGTGCCTTATGCTCACAGAATAATCTGGCATTAAAAATCAATTATATTTTACTGTTTTTTGTTTTGTTTTGTTTTTTGAGACTGTGTCTCGCTTTCTCAACCAAGCCTTTTGGTCTCCAAACTTGCCCAACATGGTTCCACTCCATTCTTTGGCCAAAAATCAATGGGTTCAAGAACACAAGTTTTAACTGTAGGGCTTAACTTTAGATTTCTCATATCAAAATCGCTTTGCCTCTAGAGCAGTAGTTAGAGCTTCCAATATATGCTGACCTTCAGGCCCTACACCATACCTGTTGTTTTGAAATCTCTGAGGATGGGGCCTGGATGTTGATCTTTCAATAAAATCTTTTTGTGTCAATCTAATGTGGACCCATGGTTGAGAACAAGTGCTCTAGGACAGCGACTGGCAAGGTATGACCCATGGACCAAATCCAGCCCATCAGCTGTTTTTGATTCGAATGCAGTAACCACCATTATTTGGCTGGTTAGTTATTATCAATGGCTGTTTTGTGCTACAACACCAGAGTTAAATAAATGCAACAGAGACTGTCTTGCAAAGCCTAAAATATTTATTATTTAACCCATTATAAAAAATGTTTGCTAACCCATTTTAGATTATGAGCTCTGATGCGGTGGCTCACGCCTGTAATCCCAGCACTTTGGGAGGCCGAGGTGGGTGGATTATGAGGTCAGGAGTTCGAGACCACCTTGGCTAACATAGTGAAACTCCATCTCTACAAAAAATACAAAAATTAGCTGGGCCTGGTAGCATGTGCCTGTAATCCTAGCTACTCAGGAAGCTGAGGCAGGAGAATCACTCGAACCTAGGAGGTGGAGATCTCACCACTGCACTCCAGCCTGGGCGACAGAGCAAGACTCTGTCTCAAAAAAAAAAAAACAAAAAAAGATTATGAGCTCTGATTATCATCAGTTTTGCACATATTTCGTGTTTGTTGGTACTTTAGGCAATCTATTGGTGAATTAGCTAGATATTTTTGATTACCTTTCTATTTCTTGCCTAATAGATAGTGAACTGTTTGAGGGCAGGCACTATATTTTATAGCTCTTTAAAATCCTCAACCCCTAATATAGTTAATTTTGCATAGTTGGGTGTAAGTAAATGTTCGTTAATTGACTCTAGTTATTGGCCTTTGGTTATTGCATGAAGGTACCAGTAAGGGACAGTGTGGAGCTTTTGCTTTGTGCATGTTCAATTTTTTTTTTAACTCCTTCTATTAAAATAGACATTATTGTATTTTAGAATATTACCAAGTCATCATTTTATAATTATAGAAAATCCCTTAATTTTTTCCACTTCTGGAATTACTGTCAACCTTCATTACTCATTGTTTGTACTTAATGTTTAGATCTAAGCTACAAAACAGCATACCATATTTTCATCATCATTACTCTTTTAAAAATTTGCCTTCATTCCAGTTTCAGGGAGTTTGGGCAATGCCTGTGATATTTGTGTCTTGAAAATATCTCAGTGGTCTGTCAGATATGAGGTTGATCCAATTTTAATAATAGTTTTTTCTACTTCCTGATCTTTAATGGGTTGAAATTATCTTGGCTTTTACTGGTAGTGTAGTCATAATAATTTTTTAATTGTAGGTGCTCAAGAGAGAAAACAGACACAAAGTGTTCTGTATTGGTTCTATATTATTCCCCTGGAATGATGTGTTTAACTAGTTTTCTTTTAAACTATCAACTACATAAATTTTGTTCAAGGCTGGTGTCTTAGCATTTGCGTTACAACTATAAGTAGTACACATACATGTCTTCTATATTCATTTAGAAAGATCACTATCTTAAATTTTTTTTTCATTTCACTTGTTAAATATAGTGAATATGTTATTTGGGGCAGGGAAAAAAATAAGGCAATCAGGCAGGTTGCTGACGGCAGTCCAAATGGCTGATCAGAGAGTCTTTATATGCATTGGTAATGTGTTGTGCAATATAAGCTGAAATATATTCCACAAGGGAGGAAAACGGAATAGGTTACATACACTGTTCCTAAGTGCAATGAATATAAAACTCCATTACTCACTTTAGGCAGGTGCTTTTTATATGAGGCTTTAAAGTAATATAAAACTGCTGGTGAAATGATTGGTTTATACAGACACCACTTAGCTTCCAGTGCTCTAACCAGATAAAGAGACTAAAACTATTAAGATATTTCTTTAATGATTCAGGGATTGATGTTTAATATTCTTTTGGTATAATAGCCTGTCCCTATAACATTGTATAGTTATGAAATTTGTGTGTGGCTGGGTTACGAAAGACTTTTTTCAGGGAAAGAGGAAAAAATTTCTTGTTTTTCTTTGTTAATGATAAGGAAATGAATCTCCCCAAAATTTCTTTCAATGTATACATATATAGAAATATATATATCTGCATTTAAAAATATTTTTGAAGGACTTTCTAAATACATTTCTTGGTAGTTTTTTTCAGCTTTTCTCCAAGAATGACTGAACATTTTATAGGCATTAAGATTGAATAAATTTTGTAATGTACAATAACTCTCTTTAGGATAACTGTGAAGTTGGTTGATGAACATTATAAAGCATTAAAATATGTATTAGTCCATAAAGATTTGCAGTGATCCCACCTAGATATACAAGCCCCTATATTTCTCGTTTTTGACACTTTTAACTCTTACAGAGAACAAGTAACCTGCTTATTGTTTAAACACTGAACATTCTCTTATGAGTGAATTTTTATAAACTAAAAGGGATGTTAAAAGGATAACAAATAGGTGTTTTTCAAATTTGTCTTAGGTTTTAAATATTTGAACCAGATGGTTTTCTTTCTAAATCTGTCATTGATTGATTGATTGATTTTCCCTCCCTCCCATCCCTCAGTCCCTCCATGTCTCCCTCCCTTGAGCTTCTCCCCCACTCCCAAGCCCACTTCCCCTTATTAGGTGACATTTACATACAATCAACTATTTTAGAGTGTATGATTCAGTGGCATTTAGTGCATTCACAATGTTGTGCAACTACCAGGTCTCAGTTTCAAAATCTTTATATCACTCCATAAAAATACCCCATAGCTTCTAAGTAATTGCTCATAATTCCTCCTCTCCCTCATCCCCTGGTATCCTCTAATCTAATCTACTTTTGTCTCTGTGGATTTTCCTTTTCTGGACATCTGATATTAAAGGAATCATATATTAATATTATGTGACCTTTTGGTTTTCGCCACAGATCTAGCCAAGTTGTTGTGTGTATCAATAGTTCATTCATTTTTTTATTGCTCATAATATTCCATGATATGGATGTACCACAGTTTGTTAAATCATTTATCTGTTGAAGGACATATTTGTTGTTTCCAGTTTTTGGCTATTACGATAAAGCTGCTATAAACATTTATATACAAGTTTTTGTGTGAACATGCATTTTCGTTTCTCTGGGACTAATGCCTAAGAGTACAGTTACTGGGCTATACGGTAGTTGAATGGTTTTTTTTTTTTTTTTTGAGATGGAGTCTTGCTTTGTGCTCAAGGCTGGAGTACAGTGGCGCGGTCTCGGCTCACTGCAAGCCCCTCCCTGGTTCACGCCGTTCTCCTGCCTCAGCCTCCGGAGTAGCTGGGACTACAGACACCCGCCACCACGCCCGGCTAATTTTTTGCACTTTTAGTAGAGACGGGGTTTCACTGTGTTAGCCAGGATGGTCTCGATCTCCTGACCTCATGATCCACCCACCTTGGCCTCCCAAAGTGCTGGGATTACAGATGTGAGCCACCGCGCCCGGCCTGAATGTTTAAGTTTTAAAGAAGCTGCCAAACTTGGGGCCAGGCATGATGGCTCATGCCTGTAATCCCAACACTTTGGGAAGCTAAGGTGGGATGATTCCTTGAGCCCAGGAGTTTGCCGAGGCTGCAGTGAGCTATTACCTTCGCACTGCGTTTTAGCCTGGGTGACAGAGGAAGACCATGTCTCTTGCGGTTGGGGGTGGTGGGGGAGAAACTGCCAAACAGTTTTCAGGAGCGGCTGTACATTTTACATTTCCACCAGCAATTGTATGACTTACTGGTTTCTTCACATACTCACTGGTATTTAATTTTGCTGCTGTTTTTTTATTTTAGCTGTTGAGATAGATGTGTAGTGATATCTCATTGTGATTATAATTTGCATTTCTCTGATAGCAACACAAATGATGTTGAATATTTTTTAATATGTTTATTTGCTATCAGTGTATCCCCTCAGTGAAATGCTTGTTCATGTTTTTAGCCCATTTTCTAATAGTATTGTTTGTGCTTTTATTGTTGAGTTTTGAAGCCTCTTTATACTATTCTAGATACTAGTCCTTCAGCTATATGGTTTACAACTATCTTTTCTCAGTCTGTAGCTTTTCTTCTCTTAGCAGGGTCTTTTGCAAAGTAAAAGTTTATAATTTTGATGAGGCCAATTTTTTTCTTCTTATGGATTATAATTTTGTTGTTAAGATTAAGAACTCTCTGCCTAACTCAGATACCAAAGATTTCCCCCTATGCTTTTTTCTGACTTAATTTTTTTAAGGTGTTAGACCTAGATTTGGCATTAATGTTTTTGCCTATGGCCTATTCTAGCACGATTTGTTGAAAAAGACTGTCTTTCTTTCATTAAATTGTATTTGCACCTATGTGAGAAATTATCTGGCATATTTTTGTCTCTGTTTGGGTTCTTCATTCTGTCCACTAATCCGTGTGTTTATTCTTTTTTTTTTTTTTTTTTTTTTTTTTTTTTTTTTTTTTGAGACAAGGTCTTGCTCTGTCACACAGGCTGGAGTGCAGTGGCACAATCATAGCTCATTGTAAGCTCAAACTCCTGGGCTCAAGTGATCTTCCCACCTCAGAGCCTCCAGAGTAGCTGGGACTACATAAATAATCTTTGATTTCTTTCATCAGCACTTTTAGTTTTTTGCATACAAGTCCTGTAAATATTTTGTTAGTTTTATATCTTTTTTTCTGTGATTTTAAATGGTATTACATTTTCATTTTCAGTATTCACATATATTCATTGAGAAATTGATAATTTCTATTTTTATTTTATATCCTGTGACCTTATAAAACTAAGCTCACCTATTACTTCTAGAATGTGTGTGTGTGTGTTTTAAGATTCCTTGAGATTTATACATAGTTATGTTAAATGCAGAGACGGACAGCATTGCTTTTTTGTTTGTTTTTTCCATTTCCCATCTGTATACCTTTTATCTCTCTTTGTTATTGCATTTGCTAGAATTCACAGCATTAGGTTGAATAACAGCAGTGACAGCCAAAATCCTTGGCTTTGTTCCAGTCATAATGGAAAACATTCAGTCTTTTACTATTAAGTGATTTTAGGTGTTTTTGTAGATGATCTTTCTTAGGAAGTTCCTCTCTATTCCTAGTTCCCTGAAACTTTTTTTTTTCTTTTAATCCTGAGAGGGTGTTGAATTTTGTCAAATGCTTTTTTTGCATCAGTTGATACTGTCATGTGGATTTTTCTTCTTTAGCCTGTTCATATGGTGGATTGCATTGATGTTTTTCAGCATTAAACCAGTCATCCAGTTCTGGAATGAATCTGAGTTGGCCATGATGTATTATTTATATTTGTATTTACAAACACAATAACACATCGCTGAATTCTATTTTTAATATTTTGATAAGTTCGTATTTATATTGATGAGGAATCTTTGTCTATAATTTTCCTTTTTTGTAATAGCTTTGGTTTTGGTATCAGGGTGATTCTAGCTTCATAAAATGAAATGGAAAGTGTTTCCTCCTTTTCTGTGTCCTGAAAGATATTGTGTAGAAGAGATGTTAATTCTTTAAGATTTGGTAGATTTCTCCATTTGGACCTGGAGATTTACTTTTTGGGTTCATTTTTCTTCCCCTTGAAGAATTGATTCATCTAGTCATAGTTTTCAAATTTTGTGTGTAGAGTTGCTTGTTTTCAAAATTAATCTTTTGATAACTGCAGGGTCTGTAATGATATCCCATTTCATTCCTTATATTGGTAATTTATGGTTTCTCTCTTTCTTATTAGAGTTTTTTCAGTTTTATTGATCTTTAAAAAACAAGTTTTAAAAATCAAAATTTTAAATATAATTTCTTTATTTTTTAAATTTAAAATATAAATTTTGTTGATTTCTGCTATCTTTGTTATTTTTTGTCCATGCTTACTTTGGTTTTATTTTGCTTTCCATGTTTCTGGTGTTTTAGGTGAGAGCTAGATTATGGAATTAAGACTTACTTGTACTGTGCACATTCGGTGCTATAAATTTCTCTCTCTGTACTACTTTAGTTGTGGCCCACAAATTTTGATACATTATATCTTCATTCAATTTTTTTCTTCTGTTTCATTTGAGAATTCCTCTTTGGCTCATGGACTATTTAGGTCTGTTTAGTTTCCAAATTTGGGGGGATTTTCTTACTATTTTTTAAAAAATTGATTTCTAATTTGAATCTAATGTGGTCTGAGAACAAACTCTGTATAGCTTCATTTATTTTAATTTTGTTCATTTCTGGCCCAGTATAATATTATCTACCTTGTTAGGTGTTTTGTGGGCATTTGAAAAGAATGTGTATTCTGCTGTTCTATAATCTAGAAACAGCTTATTAGTTGATGGCATTTTTAACATTGTTGATATCCTTGCTGATATTCCGTCTATTTGTTATATTTGTTGTTGAGAGGGTATCGAAGTCTCCAAATATAATTGTAGATTTATATTTTCAGCTCTATCTCTTTCTGCTTCACATATTTTATAGCTATGTTGTTTGGTTTATACATATTTCAAATTGCTGTGTCTTTTCAGAGGATTGGCTCTTATAATTTTTTTCCTCTTAAGCCTACTTTATTTGACATTAAAATAACCAGTTTTTTTAAAAAAAAATTGAGATAAAATTCACATAACAGAAAACGTATCATACAGCTATTTTAAAGTATACAATTCAGGAGTTTTTAGCAAATTCATATAGCTGTGCAGCTTTCACCACTGTCTAAGTTTAGAACATTTTTATCTCCCCAGAAGAAACCCCATACCAATTAAGCAATCATTCCCCATTCCTATTTCCCCACAGCCCTTGGCAATCACTAATCTACTTAGTGTCTCTGTGGAATTCTGATTTTGAATATTTTCTATAAATGGAATCGTGGAATATGTAATCTTTTGTATCTGGTTTATTTCACTAAGCATAATTTTTTCAAAGTTTATTCTTGTTGTAGTATGTTTCAGTACTTCATTTCTTTTTATGGCTGAATAATATTTCATAGTATGGTTATATTACATTTTGTTTCTCCATTCATTAAGAGTTAGATATTTGAGTTGTTTCCACTTTTTGGCTATTAGAAATAATGGTTTTATGAACATTCTTATATAAGCTTTTGTGTGGACATATATGTTCAGTTCTCTTGGTTATCTACATAGGAGATGTTCTGCTGGATCATATGGTCACTTTCTGAGTAACTGCCAAATTGTTTTCCATAGCAGCTGGACCATATGACATTCCTAGCAGCAATGTATGAGGGTTTCAATATCTCCACATCCTCACCAACGCTTGTTATTGTTTCTCTTTTTATTATAACCATTTTACTTGGTGTGAAGTGGTAGCTATGTTCTAATTTTTATATATTGATGTTTATATAATCTACTTTTTCCACCCTTTCACTTTCAACTTGCCTACATTGTTATATTTGAAGTGAGTTTCTTATTGACTCTTTATATTTGGAGTATGTTTCTTTGATCCAGTCTTCCAGTCTTGTCTTTTAATTGATATATTGTGAGAGCATTTATATTAAATGCAATAATTGATATGTTAGACTCTATGTCTGCCATTTTATTTTTTGCTGTTTGCTATCTCTGTTTTTCATTTCTTTTTCTGTCTTCTTGTGGGTTAGTTGAACATTATTTGAACATTATTAGAATTCCATTTTGGCTTATGTGCAGTAATTTTAAGTGTATCTCATCAAGCTTTTTAATGATTGTTTTAGGTATTATATTTCACATTTCTAACTCATTACAGTTTACTGATATTGTGTTATTCCAGTTCAAGTGAAATATAGAATCTATACTTGCTCTTATGTTCCTTTACCCTTCCTCATGGAGAACCATATCAGATATTATTTTTGCTTCAACATGAAACATAGTTTAGAAAACTTAAGAGGAGACAGAAAGTCTGTGTACTCTATTTTTGCTTGCTGTATTCTCCCTTCTCTCCTGATATCCCAAAAATCCTTATTTTATTCTTAACTTTCTGTTTGGAGATCTTTACCTGTCCTTTTACTGTAGATCTGCTTATGACACATTTTTTTTGTTTGTTTTAGTTTCCCTTCATCTGAGAGTGTTTTGTTTTCTCCTTCATTCCTGAAGTATATTTTTGCTGAATATAGAATTTGGGGTACTTTTTTTTAAAGCAATTGAAAAATGTCATGCTATTTCCTCCTGGCCTCTATGGTTTCTAATGAAATATCTACTGTCATTTCATTTTTCCCCCTCTATACATAAGGTGTAGTTTTTCTCTTACTCCATTCAGTATTTTTTCTTTTATTTTCAAAAGTTTATCCATGATGCGTTATGATTTCTTTGAGTTTACTCTGTTAGGGGCTAGCTCAGTTTCTTAATGTTTAGATTTTGTCTTTTGTCAAATATGGGAAGTTATTAGCAACTATTTTTTAAATTAATTAATTTTTAACTTTATTTTATTTTATTATATTTTATTTATTTATTTATTTAGAGACGGAATCTCACTGTGTCACCCAGGCTGGAGTGCCGTGGTGTGATCTCAACTCACTGCAATGTCTGCCCACAGGCTCAAGTGATTCTCCTGCCTCAGCCTCTTGAGTAGCTGGGATGACAGGCACCCACCACCATGCCTAGCTGATTTTTGTATTGTTATTAGAGACGGGGTTTCACCATGTTGGCCAGGCTGGTCCCAAACTTCTGACCTCAGGTGATCCACCCACCTTGGCCTCCCAAAGTGCTGGGATTACAGAGCCACTCTTTTTTGAAGTACATTTTCTGTTTCATCTTTTTATTTTTCTTGTACTGGACTCTGATGACTTGAAAGGTAGATCTTTTATCTAACTTTCTCATAGGTCCTTAAGACTCTTTTCTCTTTTTTTCCCTGTTTTTTTTTCTATATTTCACATTGGGTAATTTCTGTTGTTCCCTCTTCCATTTTAATGATTCTTTCCTTAGCCCTCTCCATTCTGGTATGGAACCCATTTATTGAGTTTCTTGGTTTGGTCATTACATTTTTCAGTACTGAAATTTGTTTGATTTGTTTTTATGTCGTTGTCCATTTTCTTCTCTTTTTTTTCCCTACAAATTCCTATTTCTTTGCCAAAATCTATTTTCATTTGCTTCAAGCAAAATGTTAATTGGAGCATTTTTATAATGGCTGCTTTAAAATCTTTCTGTGATAGTTTTACCGTCTTTGTCATCTCAGTGACATCTATTATCTTTTTTCATTCAGTTTAGGCCCTTCTTGGTTTTTGGTACGATGAGTGATTTTTATTTGAAACCTGGATGTTTGGATATTGTTTTCCGAGATTCTGTGTTGTGTTTAAACCTGTGTTAGCTGACTTCCTCTGAAAATGCTCCAGCAGTGGAAGGGAACATGCCTCCACTTATTACTGCTAGGGGATGTACAAATCCAGGTTTTCCACTTGGCCTGCATTGCTATTTAAGGCCAGGGGGGATTCTTGTTACTTCTGGCCCGGGGTCAAAATTCTGGCTCTCAGTGAGGCCTCTGTTGATACATCCCTGGCTTGGAGTGTTTAGATTGCCTCATTACTGCTCTAAGTGAGGCCTCCCCTGATGTCATGGTGGTGCTGAGGTGGTATGTTATTGCCGCAGGTTGGTAAAATTTTTGACTCTCCACTAGGTCTCTCTTGACACCACCCCAGCTGTAAGAGGGAGGGGCATAGTCTTACTTCTAGGTTGAGTTAAAAGTCTAGGCCTTCTCTTTAGCCTAGTCTTATTCTACCCAGGCAGGGATGTTGGGGTTCATGTTAGAGTATGCTGAAGATGGAAGTCTAGGCTTCCCACTTGATCTTTGCTGTTGTTGGTAGTGGCAGGACCACCATTTTTAGAGTGGTGTTTGGGTGGAGGAGACCAGTTTTTGCCTAAACATTTTCTGTTTTGCTAGGATACCTCTTTCTGGTCCTTTGGCTAAGGAGAACAGGTTGGGGAACTTTTTTCTGTCTGTACCCATTGGCCTTTCTGGGTTGCTGGCTTCTAGGATATATGAGCAAAACAAAACCCGTGATCCTTACTACCATGACATTTGCTGGGTCTACATGTCCCTTCCTTTTTAAGGCTGACTAATATTCTATTGTATGTATATACCACATTTTGCTTATTTATTCATTCTTTGGAATTTGGGTTGCTTCCATGTTCTAGCTATTATAAATAGTGAAACTATGAACACAGGTATACAAATATCTTTTTGAAACTCTGTTTTTAATTTTGGGCACATACTTAGAAGTACAATTGCTGGATCATATGGTAGTTCTATGTTTAATTTCTTGAGGAATCGCGATACTGTTTTCCACTGTACCATTTTACATTCCCACTAACAATATACAAGGGTTCCGATTACTCCACATCCTGGATATCATCTGTTATTATTATTATTTTTTTAAATAGTAGCCATCCTAATGGGTATGAAGTAGTATCTCTTTGTCGTTTTGATTTGCATTTTCTTAATTAGTAATGCTGAGCATATTTTCATGTGCTTATTATCCATTTGCATATCTTCTTTGGAGAAATGTCTATTCAAGTCCTTTGTCCATTTTTGAAGTGGGTTTTTTTGTTGTTATTTAGGTCTAGAGATTATCTATGTATTCTGGATACCAGCGTCTCATCAGATAAGTGATTTGCAGATATTTTCTCAGATTGTTTCCCTCCATTTTCATAGCACTCTAACTTGCAATTTTCACAATGTTGAATATGTATATATTTGTGTAATTTTTTTAATGACTGCTTCTCTCACTAGATTGTGAATTTCATGAGAGAAGAGCCTGAATTGGTCTTATTTACTTGTCTGACTCCAGGCTGAGTCTGGTATAGAGTAGTTTCATAGTAAATATTCATTGAATGAATGAGAGAGAGAATAAAAGACATATGAATCAAAGTTAGCACCACACATGAATGACCATTAGTAAATGATCATGCTTAGGTGCAGACAAAACTTGCATCCTTAAGCTAGGATGAAAATCTAGTGGGCAATTACATTTCAATGTGAGTTTTGGAGGGAATATATATTCAAACCGTAGCAGCAACTGATTGCCCTAAACTTAAGTGAGAAACAGGTTAGAGTTTTGTGCAGTAGTTCTTTATCATGAATTGAAGGGCTCTGATTGAAGTAGTAAGATTGGAATCTTGGTTGCACACAGAGTTCTTATAGTAAAAAAATAGCTTGTTGGAGTCTCGATTTCATAGTTAGGTAATTAGCCTTGTAGGATGACAATTTTGTGTTGTGGCATTAGTGAGAGTGCCTTGTGGCATACAGTGAGTTAAACTAAAGAAAGGAGAATAATCTGTGCATAGTGAGTAATGTACTCATTTTTATTCCAGTGTGTTCTTTACCAACTCCTTCCAAACAGACGTGCATGTGAGTGCATGTGTGTACACACACACACACACACACACACGATGTTTAAAATATAGTTTTGTCTTTATTATGACTTCTTTTATTTCTTTCAGCTAGTCATTTAGCTTCTTTAGCCATGCTTCAAATATTTTTAAAAATCTTTACTGATTTCTCTTATTGTGTTTATAACAAGGTGTTTTAAAATAGACTCTATGTTTCCTGTGTAGTATTTTTAAATGACCTCATTTGATTTTTGCCCTAATGCTGACTTTTTTTTTTTTTAAGTTAGTGCCCAAGAGTGATGGGTTTCTCTCTCCTTCTTTCCCTCTTGGGCTGTCAGAATATGGGGTTTACTATAATATGACTTTTACATAGTAGTCCTTCTTTAGATATTTGTACCAGTGGTTATTACTAAGAACTTAGTTTCATGTATTTTCTTCCCATATGTATTATGAAATTAACTAATATGAGAAGCAGGCATTTTGTTTTTTCTTGTTATTATTTTCATATCAATGCCATGTGTTTTTTTAAGTTCATATATGTGGATAATGCTAAATTATCATCATTTAGTTTTATTTTATTATTTTTTATTATTTTAACCAATAATTTAACCAAATAACATTATTATTTTAACCAATAAATTTTAGAGAAAAAAGCACTCTAATATTGCATCACTTTGTACTTAGTTTCATGTATTTTCTTTCCATATGTGTTATGAAATTGACTAATATGAGAAGCAGGCATTTTGTTTTTTTTCTCAAGTTATTATTTTCATATTTATGCCTTTTTTTTAAGTTTATGTATGTGGATAATACTAAATGATCACCATTGGGTATTATTATTTTAACCAATAAATTTTAGAGAAAAAAATCACTCTAATATTGCATCACTTTGTTATCGGTATCACAACAATAATTAGTTATCATTCTTCTCCTGACATAGCTCTGGAGCCTATGGGGGAGATATCAGAGTTTTGGAAAGTTTTCCTTGCAATATCAGTTTATAAACAAATTTATAGTTATTCCTTTAAAATTTTATCTCAGCTTTTATCACTACCTGACTTTGCCTAGTCAATATTTTTTCTACCATATATTCAAAAACATAACTACTTCATGTAATTAATTAGCGTAAGTTTTCTTTGCCTCTAAAAATGTTGAAGGTACCTGACTATATTACTACCTGAAAGACTGTTTATTTCATATTCCATTTTGTCATATTTATGGTCTTCGATCCATTGTAGATAATCATGGCTTTTAGAGATAAAAGCAATCATAGTCATAACCAAATCCAGTCCCTGACTTTTTTCAGGTGAAGAAACTGGGCCACAAAGTTTTAAATGCAACATTATACAGCTTTTTGATGGTAGAGTTTTTACTAGAGTAAAGGTCTAGGGATTAGTGTATCTTTCAGTAAACTCCCTTATTAATTTTTAATGTATATGAACTGAACTTTTCTAATCCCAGCTTGTATTGTTTATATTAATAGTAGCAATAATGACAATATAGTATCTGACATTTATTGAGCATTTACATGCCAAATGCACTATTAACCACTGCCCATTTATTATTCTACTCAGTGCTCATGATTACTGTGTGAAGTAGCTAGTGATTTATGCCTGTTTTACAGATGAGAAAACTTAGCGTAGTTTAATAAATTTCAGGGCTCATGATGTGTTTAATTTCTTTGCATATCCTGTAGTATTTAACCTCAGAAATTATGTTTTTCTTCCTCTTCTATCATGGATGAAATCTTAGGAGAAAATTCGTTTATAAGCTACTTTTTGCTTAAGAAACATATAGCAAGACTTCTAAAAAAATTTAAAAAACAAAGAGAAAATGAAAATTAGTGTTGGAAGTAGGCACTGATGCTTTGTGTGGGTTCCCCTAATGTTCTTTGGCAACCCCACTAACCAGTGGATTTGGATTTTGATTACCAGAAGGGAGTGTGGGCAAGTAGGGGGGAATTGGAAGTGATATTCCACTTCAGTAAGCTCATAATGTCAAAGCACTAGTGAAAAGATAGACCATTTCAAAAATCTGTTTCACTCCAGATTTAACAAAGAAGGTTTTTTGTGTTGGCCTTGATTGGGAAGGGAGAGGGTGCTTTCCTGGAGAATTTGTAACCACAACTCTGTCCTCATTCAGATTTTAATTTCTTGCCTGACCTGGGAACTACTGAGCTAATAAGTTAAAATGTGATCCTTAGTGGGCTAATTACATCCCTGAGTGTCTAGTAGTAAGTACAAGTATTTGCTGTGGCACATACCCTTACCTCTGGCAATGTATGTGAAAAAGAAAGCCTTATGAAATGTAAACTCATAATCTAAAATTACAAAGAATTTGAGGAAATAATTCAGCAAGAGTAAGAGTGAGCAGAAACCGCCAGTGGCCAAATTCAACTTCTGCAATGTCAGATAATATATCAGAAACAGTATAAAAGACTTTTAAAATAATTGAAGAAGTAAAAGATGGAATTCAAATTACAAGAGAGACACAAGATACTATCATAAGGACTACAGAATTTTTATAATGAAAGAATTTTTTGGAGGTTGGAAGTCCTTAATGGATTAAATGGATTAAACAGCAGATTAGACACAGCCAAAGACGCTATAAGTGAACTGGAAGGTGGTTATAAAGAAGTTTCCCAGAATGCAACATTGAAAATAGAGATGATATGTGAAATACAGTCAACAGATCTGGATGTTAGAATGAAAAGATTCTTTATTTCTATCAACTCTCAGGAGGAGAAAGTGGGAGAGAAGCAATATTTATTGACTTTTTTTCCCCTGACAAAATAGATGTGAGATGTGAATCTTCAGACCTGAGAATCCTAAATTCCAAGTAGGAAAAACAAACCTAAACCTCTAAGTAGACACATTGTGGTGAAACTCTGGTGTGCTAAAGATAAGCATGAACCCTTAAAAGCAACCAGAGGGAAAATAAATAAATGGCATGATCTGCCAACATATATGTTAATAATTCAGTTTCCTGCAGTTGGTAATGAAGATGTCAAGGATAGAGAAAATTTATTTCTTCTTGAACATATATTATATTTGAGGCATTGTATTAACCTATTTGCAATAGGTTAATTGGCTAGAAAGGGGAGGATCACTAGATTGGATTGAATAGGATCACTAGATCACTTCTTTGAAGTCCACATACAATCTAGTGATCCTCCCCTTTCTAGCCAATGTGAGTTATTGAATCTTCTTTTGAGACTATATCTAGAAGTTACAAGTTCCTCAGTATTCTGAAGAACCAAACTCTGTCCCCTTCCAAATAAAAATACTTAATTTTCTATTTCTAGTCTCTTGTACCCAGAAATGTTCTTATTCCCACATTTGGAATTATGACATAGTAGATCAATCAAAGTTAAGTAAATAAGCTTGTAATGGAACAAGTTACTTAAGTTTTTCTTTTTTTAAAAAAAAACTTAATTTTTTTTAAGAGCAGTTTTAGGTTCACAGTACAATTGAGAAGAAGATACAGAGATTTCCCTTATACCCCCACCCCAAAACATGTATAGTCTCTCCCCTATTATCAATATCAATATCCCCTATCAGAGTGATACATTTGTTACCTTCATGAACCTACACTGATGTGTCACAATTACTCAAGTCCATAGCCTACTTTGGGTTTTACTCTTAGTGTTGTACATTCTATGGATTTGGGAAAATGTACATGTTATGTATCCATCCTTATCATATCATATAGAATGTTTCACAGCCCTAAAATTTCTCTGTGTTCTACCTATTTATCCTATCCCCCACCAGCCAAACCCTAGCAACCACTGGTCTTTTTACTGTTTCTGTAGTTTTGCCTTTTCAAGATTGTAGCCTTTTCACATTCTCTTAGTAATGTGCGTTATCATGGCTTGATAGCTCATTTCTTTTTAGCAATAATATTTCTTGTCTGGATTTACCATAATTTATTCATTCACCTACTAAGGGACATCTTGGTTGCTTTCGTGTTTTGGCAACTACCAGTAAAGCTGCTATAAATATCTGTTTGCAGGTTTTTGTGTGGACTTGTCTCACCTCCTTTGGGTAGATACCAAAGAGTGTGAATACTGAATGGTATGATAAATGTATGTTTAGTTTTGTATGAAACTATCAAACTGTCTTGCAGAGTGACTGTAGCCATTTTGCATTCCCACCAACAGTGAATGAGGTTCTGTTTCTCCACATCCTCACCAGCATTTGGCATTGTCATTGAGGTTAATTCTTATTAGTAATGCAAATAAGTTTTCTAAGAATGTATGTGGTTAGTGTGACAAAGACATGTAGGAGAGATTGTGATTCATACAATTTTAGAGTTAGAAGCACATTTTATGTATTTATTTCATATTAAGAATTATGTCATAAGCAAGGTGGCAGAATGTATTGCTTTAAATTGAGGCATTTAAAAATCATTCTGTCACTGTGAAGCTGAACTTTTACTTGTCAGATGTTTATTTGCCATTGCTGTTTAAAAAAAAGAATTACATGTTTGTCAGTAAATGCTTGTTGACTCCTTTTGCTGGTGATTACAGCAATATGGACAGGGATTTCTGAGATGCAAGTGGGGGTAGAACGATGAAAATTAAGCTCTTACTGTACAGACTTTGTGTTTTGTTCCTTGTGAATATTTAAAGTTCAGTTCTGTCATTTAATGATCACTGTGAGTTGTACTTTTGAGATTACTTTTTGTTTCATGTTGTTTCAGTGGTTATATTTTATGTTCTGCTGAAAATAGTAAGTGCTTTTTACCTGGATATTTTGACTTAACCCTAGAATGGGTCACTACATCTGTTTTTTGCTGTTAAAATCATTATAATCAACAACAATAATAAAAGTACCTCTACCTTTTTAAGTGTGCTGTCTCTTAAAGTTTCTCTTTTCAGAGGGAGATTTTTACAGTCTTTGTCACCTATTGAATCTTAGAACTAACTAGCTTTCTTGGTACACCTGTCTTATTAGTATTTCCTAGCGAGCCACTTTTATTTAGGTTTTTCACTTTCTTCTTATGTGATAAATCTTCCCCTCATTTCACTTTCTCCCTTTATTCTTCCCCTGAAAGGATAATACTTACTTCTTACTATATAGTATGAAAGATTTGGAAGCTCTTGACTATCTCTTTAATGCATCTTTTAAAATAATTTACCTCTTTTCTCTTTCAGAAACCTTTATTATAGTTACACTCTCCTGTGATTTTGTTATTTCCCAGTATCAATATGGCTCCTGGCTGTTTGAATGTTTTGGATGGTCTGTTGTTGTTGTTGTTGTTGTTGTTGTTGTTGTTTCAAACAGGGTCTGGCTTTGTTGCTCAGGCAAGAGGGTAGTGGTATGACCATGACGCACTGAAGCCTCAAGCAATCCTCCCACCTCAGCCTCCCAAGTAGCTGGGACCACAGGTGTGTGTCACCATGCCTGGCTAATTTTTTATTTTTTTTTGTAGAGATGGGGTCCCATCATGTAGCCCAGACTTGTCTCAAACTCCTGAGCTCAAGTGATCATCCTGCCTTGGCCCCCCAAAGTGCTGGGATTATAGGCATGAGCTTCATCTGGCCAATCTTTTGTTTTATTTTATTAAATTATAGCTTTGCAAGGCTTGTAACAAAAAGAGCAGTCTTCTGGCACCCTGTCATCCTCACTGCTTTTTAGAGGCAATCATTTTTCAACTTATTCTTAGATATGTACCTCTAAATTTCTATATAGTAGTCTTTGTTGCAGTTTTCTTATTTTTGATGTTTTTCCATAGAGAAAGTCAGTGTTGGCCCTGAAAGCTAAATCATTCTCTGTGTTAGGCAGGAGTATGTAGATATTATCTGCATAGTTACTATTGAATATGAGGATATATTAGTTTTCTATTGCTGCTCTAACAAATTACCATAAACTTAGTCCCTTGAAGCAACACACATTTATTTTCTTGCAATTACGTAGTTTAGAAGACTGAAATGGGTCTCAGACTAAAATCAAGGTGTCAGTTGGGCTCCTTTTTACAGGCTCTAAGATAAAACCCCTTTCCCTGCTTTTTCTAGCTTTTAGAAATTTCCTGAATTCCTTGGCCTGTGACCCCCTTCCCCCATCTCTAAAGCCAGCAATGTTACATTTCCGTGAGTGTGCATCTGTCATCACATCTCTTTCTCTGACTCTTTTTTGCCTTCTCCTACTACTTTTAAGGATTCTTCTGATTACGTTGGGTTCACCTGAATAATCTAGGATCATCTCCCTATTTCAAGGTCAGCTGATTAGGAATCTGAATTTTCCTTTCTGTTGTAATATGACATGTTCACAGGTCCTGAGGTTTAGCATATGAACATCTTTGGGGGGGACCATTATTCTGTCTGTCATAGAGGATCTAGTTTTTAGGGCCAATACTCATAGCCTCTGTCTTTTATTCCTTTTTCCTAAATCTTTGAATATAATTATGTCACAGTTTTTGCTTAAATCTATACTCAGTATGAACGTATTATAAACATGTATGTATGAGTTAGAATATGCTACCAATTGCATTTATTTTTCTTATAAAACTTGTATTCTTGGAGTTAATAACTGTCTTGGAGTTAATAACTGTCTTTTTTTTTGTTATTGCTTGATTAGTGTTCTATGTACTTATTTTTAATTAATTCCCTCAAACTCTGACATAAACATATCTTCTCTCAATTCCTTCAGGTGTGTGAGATAATTACTTTTAATTTTTGGAGTCTTTTTTTTTTTAATGCTTTTTCCTCCTGTTTTTCTGTTTGTTCCCTAGGCCTACTGTAGAGATGTCTTGAAATTTCCTTTTATCATTGTCCTGGGATTTCCTTTTCTCCGGTTGGATCCCCTGTTTCTTAGACCACACATGTTACTCTTTCTTGATTTACTCTCTTTTTTAGGTGGAGCAAAATCCTCTAGTTACCTTCCTAGTGTAGGAAGTAAACTTTTTTCAGGTCTGACATGTCTGAATGAATCTTTATTTTGTCTTTATATGTAATTGATTGGACTGTATATAGATTTTTAGGGTGGGAGTGATTTTCCTACAGAAATCTGAAAGCATCACATTATTGTCTTCTTGCTTTTGGCATTTCTGTTGAGAAGTTTGATGCCATTCTAATTGTTTAACCTTTGTTTGTCACCTGTTTTTGTTTTTATATTTGTCTGTCTGTCTTATATCAGAAGTTTTTAGGAGCGTCTCTTTAGCCTTGATGTTCAGGTGGTATGAGTTTATGTGTGTGTTTTTTTCATTTGTTAATACTGGATACATAGTAAACACTTTTAATTTGCAACTCCTTTTCTACAGTTTTGGAAATGCTCTTGAACTATGTTTTTGATTATTTTCCCCATTTTCTTTTAATAGTTCCTTCTAGACCTTTTGGTTTTTAGATATTGGATTGCTTATGTTGATCTTTTCATTTTTCTTCCATTTTCATTCTCTTTGGATTTTTTGGTTTTAATTTATGGGAGATTTTCTCAACTTTATTTTCCAATCTATTTATTAATTTAAAGAGAACTAGCATCATGTTTTTAATTTCTATGTGCTTGTTTTTGTTGTTTGAATATTTTAAATAAATGTTCATTTCTTATTGCAGTATCTTCTGTACTCTTTGAGGATAGAAATCATTATTATTATTATTATTTGAAGTTTTCTTCTGCTCCTGGCTTTGTCTGTTTACCCCATGTTCCTTTTATTATGTTTTAAAATAATATCTGCCTGTCACATTTGTGATTTCCATCTAATATTTAACAATCCTTCATATTGCAGAATGAAGTACAAAATAACTGAAACCTCTGTGTGAGGTTGGAACTTGTTGATTGTAGGGGAATTGGACACAATTCATTTTTGGTTTGAGGATAATCGATTATCAGTGTCATGTTTCCTTTTTCTTGAGCTTGCTCGTTTCAGAGAGAAAGCCGTCCATTTCCTTCTTGAGGTTTCTAAGCCTGGTACTTAGTAAAGGAAGGGTAGATCTCATTATCCAGTATGTGTATGCCATATAGATTCTAAGATAATTCCCCCCTTTTAGCATATGGTTGTATCTCATATTCCTTAGTTGAGAGTCCTCCTGGTTTAACCTCTCCAAAGTAAACCCTTTAGTCTTCTGCCAGGTGAGTGTCAGGTAGTTACTGGGCTGCGTGGATTAAAGGAGAGGATCCTACATGGATTAAGAAAAACGATCTGTAGTCACTAGATAAAATTTTAGTCATGCCTCATCTTTTTAGCCTCATCTGCATCCCTGCCTTCAGAGCTTCCTGGCCTCTTTTTAATTCTTATATTTCTGGGGCTTATTGCAGGATCTATTTGCTTATTAGCTTAATTACCCACAGGCACTTTTCTCTGTTCTACTAAGGCTACTCATTGCTACTTGTTCATCAGATATCCATCTTTCAAAATTTAGATGATAGCTCTTGCTTGTTTGAGAGCGGCCTATTTGGCTCTTGTCTTTTTATTTTCGTTTCTTTGTTAGTTTAGCGCCTTAAAATAATTTCTTAATAGTCTTTTGGTGGACTTCAGTGGGGGAACAGAAGTAATCATATGGTTTGACTCCTTAATCTTTTACTTCCACAGAGATATACAGATCATTCTCATTAGTTCATCATTTAATATGTACATCATAACTACAGAAGTGATCATAAGCTGACTACTGAACACTAGAAAGTTGACACTGAGGGAGAGGTCTCAGTGAGTCTTAAAGAATTATAGCGGGCAAGAAGGTTGGTGGAAAAAGAATTAGGGTTAGCCTGGGCACCATAGTGAGACCCTGTCTCTACAAAAAAAAAACAGGTGTGATAGAGTACATGCCTGTAGTCCCAGCTACCCAGGAGGCTGAGATGGGAGGATCACTTGAGCCCAGGAGCTCGATATTACAGTGAGCTATGATTGCACTACTGCACTCCAGCCTGGGCAACAGAGTGAGACTCTGTCTCTTAAAAAAAAGAAAAAAAAATAGGTTTAATGGTGCACCACAGGACTAAGATTATGTGTTAGGAGTTGATATTTTTCAGAAAAGTACTAGGAGGATGATATGATTTGGCTGTGTCCCTGCACAGATCTCATCTTGATTTATAGTTCCCATAATTCCCACATGTCACGGGAGATACCTGGTGGGAGGTAATTGAATCATGGGGGGTGGTTACCCTCATGCTGTTCTTGTGGTAGTGAGTTCTAGAGGGACGTGATGGTAGGTAATTGAATCATGGAGGTGGTTACCTTCATGCTGTTCTTGTGATAGTGAGTGAGTTCTCAGGAGATCTGATAGTTTTATAAGCAGTTTTTCCCCCTTTGCTTAGCTCTTCTCCCTCCTGCTGCATTGTGAAGAGGATTAGTTTGTTTCCCCTTCTGTGATGGCCTTCCCAGCTATGTAGAACTGTGAGTCAATCAAACCTCTTTTCTTTATAAATTACCCAGTCTTGGGTATTTCTTCATAGCAGCATGAGAATGGACTCATACAGCAAATTGATACCAGTAGGGTAGGGTGCTGCTATAAGGATACCTGAAAATTTGGAAGCTACTTTGGAACTGGGTAACAGACAGAGATTGGAAAAGTTTAGAGGACTCAGAAGAAGACAGGAAAATGTGGGAAAGTTTGGAACTTCCTAGAGCTTTGGAAGGCTCACAGGACAGGAAGATCTGGGAAAGTTTGGAACTTCCTAGAGACTTGTTGAGTGGCTTTGACTAAAATGCTGACAGTGATATGGACAATGAAGTCTGGGTTGAGGTGGTCTCAGATGGAGATGAGGAACTTGTTGGGAACTGGAGAAAAGTTAACTCTTGCTGTGCTTTAGTAAAGAGACTGGTGGCTTTTTGCTCCTGCCCTGGAGATCTGTGGAACTTTGAACTTGAGAGAGATGATTTGGGGTATCTGGCAGAAGAAATTTCTAAGTGGCAAAGCATTCAAGAGTAGGCAGAACATAAAAGTTTGGAAAATATGCAGCCTGATTATGCGATAGAAAAGAAAAACCCGGCTGGACACGATGGCTCATGCCTGTATTCCCAGCACTTTGGGAGGCTGAGGTGGGAAGATCAAAAGATCAGGAGATCGAGACCATCCTGGCTAACATGGAGAAACCCTTCTCTACTAAAAATACAAAAATTAGTGGGGCATGGTAGCGCATGCCTATAATCCCAGCTACTTGGGAGGCTGAGGCAGGAGAATCGCTTGAACCAGGGGGTCTGAGGTTGCAGTGAGCTGAGATCTTGCCACTGCACTCCAGCCTGGCGACAGAGTGAGACTCCGTCAAAAAAAAAAAAGAAAAAAGAAAAAAGAAAAACCCATTTTCTGGGGAGAAAGTGAAGCTGGCCACAAAAATTTGCATAAGTAATGAGGAGCAGAATGTTAATCACCAAGACAATGGGGAAAATGTCTCCAGGGCATGTCAGAGACCTTCATGAGAGTCCTTCCCATCACAGGCCAGGAGGTCTAGGAGGGAAAAATGGTTTTGTGGGCTGGGTGCAGAGTCCAGCTCCCTTGCTGTGTGCAGCCTTAGTACTCTGTCCCCGCCATTCTAGTCATGGGCAAAAGGGGTCAAGGTAGAGCTCAGGATGTTGCTTCAGAGGGTGTAAGCCCCCAGCTTTGGGAGGTTCCACGTGGTATTGGTCCTGAGAGTACACAGAAGACAAAAATTGAGGTTTGGGAACCTCTGCTTAGATTTCAGAGGATGTGTGGAAATGCCTGGATGTCGACTCAGAAGTCTGCTACAGGGGCAGAGCCCTCATGGAGAACCTCTGTTAGGGCAGTGTGGAAGGGAAATGTGAGGCCAGAGCCCCCACACAGAGTCCCTACTGGGGCACTGCCTACTGGGCTGTGAGAAGAGGGCCACTGTCCTCCAGACCCCAGAATTGTAGATCCACTGATATCTTGCACCATGTGGCCGGAGAAGCTGCAGACAGTCAATGCCAGCCTGTGAAAGCAGCCAAGAGTGGGAGTTGTAACCTGCAAAGCCATAGGGACAGAGCTGCCCAAGGCTGTGGGAGCCCATCTCTTGCAACAGTGTGATCTGGATATGAGACATGGAGTAAAAGGAGATCATTTTGGAACTTTAAGATTTAATGACTGCCCTATTGGATTTTAGACTTCCATGGGCTGTAACTCCTTTGTTTTGGCCAATTTCTCCCATTTGGAATGGATGTATTTGCCCAGTGTCTGTACCCCCATTGTATCTAGGAAGTTACAGGCTCATAGGCAGGAGGAACTTGCTTTGTCTCAGATGAGACTTTGGACTTGGAGTTTTGAGTTAATGCTGAAATGAGTTAAGACTTTGGGGGAGTTTTGGAAGGGCATGAGTGTTTTGAAGCATGAGAACATGGGATTTTGGGGGGGCCAGGGTAGAAGGATATGGTTTGGCTGTGTCTCCACCCAAATCTCATCTTGAATTGTAGTTCCCATAATCCTCATGTGTTGTGGGAGGGACCCAGTGGGAGGTAGTTGGATCATGGAGGTGGTTACCCTCATGCTGTTCTTGTGATAGTGAGTGAGTTCTTAGGAGATCTGATGGTGTTATAAGGGGCTTTTCCCCCTTTGCTTGGCACTTCTCTCTCCTGCCACCTTGTGAAGAAGGACGTGTTTGCTTCCCTTCCATCATGATTGTAAGTTTCCTGAGCCTTCCCAGCCACATGGAACTGTGACTCAATTAAACCTCTTTCCTTTATAAATTACCCAGTCTCGAGTATTTCTTTATAGCAGCATGAGGATGGACTAATACAGAGGAGGAAAATAACAGTGCATTATTCTATATTTAATTTTATTATAAAAATTGGTAATTATTTTTAGATTATTGTATTGACTGTGCAGTATAACTTATATGTCAATTGCAGTACCTTAGGGATACCTCTTTCCTTCCTCTAGTGGACTATGACAACAGGATTTGAGTAAAGGAATAGGTGAATACTTTATAAAGCATTTTTTCAAATGTGGGTATTTTCACTATCTTTGTGATTGTCCTTTTGACTCATGTCAGCTTTCTTTACATCCTACAAAAGCATTATACTCTCTTTCTAAATTAAGTTCTGTATAAAGTTTAGCCAAGTTCTCAGAGTTAAGCACCTGGAACAATAACTACAGTTATTTTGGCCTCCTTAAGTAACAATAATAAATAGTGACTAGCCTTAAGCCACTGTATTACAAGGTAAAGAATGCTGCCTATATCTGAAGCCACATTTTAGCTTATTTGCTCTTTTTGTTTCACCACATTGCTTCCCTAATAGTAAATTTCTTTTCACAGTTTCTGAGAGAAGTATTCCTGTGAGTGGTGCCCTGAGTTGTATAATGTCAAGACTGTACTCCTTTCTGCCTTTCTATTGCTCACATTTGGGGCATTTTATAATTTCAGTTTGATGGTAGAGTGGAAAGAAACTACGATTATTTTTACTAGCTACTTTTCTCTATTTGATATCAATGTCTATCAAGAGATGAATATAACTTTTATATAAAAATCCCTTCCTTATAAAAATCTGAGCTTTTAGCACTAAAAACAAATTACTTTATAAAAAACTTTTCTTAAGGAGAAATTATGACATTATGTTCTTTTAGTTGTTAAACCAAATTTAAAAATACTTGAGAAATGTAAAGTTAAAAGTGTCAAACTGTATTCTTGATTGTAGTTGTCTAAATCAAAGTGCTTTATATAGGTATATAAGATATAAGAATCTTTTTTTTTTTTTTTTTTTTTTTTTTGAGACAGAGTCTTGCTCGTTGCCCAGACTGGAGTGCAGTGGTGTGATCTCGGCTCACTGCAACCTCTGCCTCCCAGGCTCAGGCAATTTTTGTGCCTCAGCCTCCTGATTAGCTGGAATTACAGGTGCTTGCCACCATGCTTGGCTAATTTTTATACTTTTAGTATAGATGTGGTTTCTCCACATTGGCCAGGCTGGTCTTAAACTCCTGACCTCAAGTGATCCTCCTGCCTTGGCCTCCCAAAGTGTTGGGATTACAGGCGTGAGCCACCGCGCCTGGCCAAGATTGTTATCAGAAGATGTTTCAGATAACTTATGATAAGAGTCTTATATATAACATGTATGAGATATTAAGAAATACTTATTATTTATGATTCAAGGTAGAGTATTAAGTTTTGGAAACTGTAAAAGAAGCCGTGTTATAAAATAATTCTAAAGAAACTCATTTGGTCTATCCATATTCTTTTGCTCTTGTATATACCGGAAACTAATTCAGATTTTTGGTTCTGAACACCATCAACGACTCTTTAGAGAATCTTTTAGTAGCTCTTGTTTGCTGACTACTATATAGGTTTCCTGTATTTCTTTTGAAAAAATTGGTATTGAATGAGAGTTTGACCCTTAAGGCTTGAGAGCCAGGGGAGGGAAGGCTATTATTAAGTTCTGTTTCTCTCTCATCATCTAACATAGTGATTGGAACAGGGTAAGTTATCTATTGATTATAGCTCCCTGCAACCACAGTAGATGTTAAATAGAGTAGCTCAGCATCCTTTGTTATAAAGAAAAATGAGATCCAGGCTTTGCCACTTTCTGACTTGGGCCTTTGCAAAATCCTTATTTCTCCAATCCTTTTTTAAATATATATATAGAATGAAAATAGTAATAGCTCCTAAGGATTATTTTGTGTTTGCCGAATAAATGAAATAAACTAGGCATCATGCATGGCACTCAGTAAGTGCTCAGTGCATGTTAAGTGCTATGATTACTATTATTGATACTACTGCTGCTGCTTTTATTGCTGCTGCTGCTGCTACCACTAACTACTACTACTACTACTACTACTACTACTACTACTACTACTACTACTACTACGATGATGATTGTATTAGCATTTTTGGCATCATTTAATTTTCTGAGATATTAAAATTTCCTGAGACATGAATTTTGAGAATCTGTTAAAAATGCTTTAAAATGCATAAATATACAGCATTTTAGATACCATTTCATAGGTGTAATGAACTCTTTAAAGTGTGCTCTAGACCATAGGTTTAGAACTCCTTCTCAGAGGATAATGGATACCACTTCAAATGGACACAATTCAGGTGGCAAATATTGGAAAATAGCAACCAATTAGTACACAATTATATAAAGACAAAATACAAATTAGCAAATTGATAGCTCCGAGTATTAGTCCGTTCGCATACTGCTGTAAAGAACTGCCTGAGACTGGGTAATTTAAAAAGGAAAGACACTTGATTGACTCACAGTTCCACATGGCTAGGGAGGGCTCAGGAAACTTACAATTATGGCAGAATGCGAAGGGGAAGCAAGTACCTTCTTCACATGGTGGCAGGAGAGAGAATTGCCAACGAATGAGGAAGTGCCATGCTTTAAAAACCGTTAGATCTTGTGAGAACTCCCTCACTATCATGAGAACAGCATGAGGGAAACTGCTCCCATAATCCAGTTACTTCCCACCTGGTTCTTCCCTTAAAACCTTGGGATTATAATTCAACATGGGGTTTGGGTGGGGACACAAAGCTAAACAATATCATAAGGGTTGATTTGGGACAAGGTATTTCTCAGGATAACATTCTCTAACCATTTGCAAATCATTTAATGTGCTTGTTAAATGCAGAATTCTGGGCCATAGCTCAGGATGACTGAATCATAATTTCTTTGAGAGATTATGAGTCTTCTTGAATACCCTAGAGTTTAAAGTCAAGGATTTTAGAATAATGTTTAATACAACTATCATAGAAAGTGTATGATCTTCTTAATTATTCATACATAGTTAAAGAAGCTTCAAAAATAAAGGATGGAATTATTTAACCAAAGTGTGGAAAGGGAAAAAGAAGCAAAATTACGTTGGTGGGTTTTCATGAATAATTGGCAAAATGAGTGATAAAGTCTTCTGTGATGGAATCAGATTGTGTTAAACACCCTAGATCTTTCACATAGCAACTGTTGTCCTCTGGGCAAAAATTAGTTACCTTCCCTAATCTATTGCATCCTCAATCTGTAAAGTGAAGATAATAATAATATCTATAATATAGGCCTGTTGTAAGGACTGAATGAGATAATGTACATAACACATACTTAAGTCCTCAGTAAATGTTAATTGATTAGAGTTAATTGTCATTATCATCATCATCATCACTATCATCACCATTTTAGTGGTGGTTGTCCATACTGTCAGTATAATATTCTTAAGGTTTCTTTGCCTGTATAATTCTCACCTACCCTTAAGGATCAAAATGAGGTTCTCCCTTTTGATTAAGTTTTCCAACCATTTATTTATGGGAATTATTACCTTCTGTGCTTTTATATCCTTTAGCAAGTAGTACATAATAAAGATGTTAATATCTACTTTTTGGTTAATTTATAAAAATTTATTTGCTTCCTTTTTATCTATACAGAGCATGTGAATTTTATTTATAAGCTATTGTATTTTAACACAGGAATTATTTGAGCTACAGGTTGAGTGACCCCCTACTCTGAAAATTCAAAATCTGAAATGTTCTAAAATCTGAAACTTTTTGAGAGCCAATATTGACTCTCAAAGGAAATGTTCATTGGAGCACTTTTGATTTTTGATTTTCAGAATGGGGATGCTCTACTGTTAAGTATATAATACAAATATTCCAAAATTCAGCAAAATCCAAAATTCAGGACACTTCTGCTCCCAAGTATTTTGGATAAGGGATCCTCAACCTGTATTTTGTTTCTGTTTCCTCATTTCACCTGACCAAAATATTTCAGAGAATTTGTTTACTCAGGTAGTTTTTTTTTTTTTTTTTTGAGATGGAGTCTCTCTCTGTCGCTAGGCTGGAGTGCAGTGGTGCGACCTCTGCTCACTGCAACCTCTGCCTCCCGGGTTCAGGTGATTCTCCTGCCTCAGCCTCCCGAGCAGCTCGGACCACAGGCGCATGCCACCACGCCCAGCTAATTTTTGTACTTTTTTTTTTTTTAGTAGAGATGGGGTTTCACCATGTTGACCAGGATGGTCTCGATCTCTTGACCTCGTGATCCGCTTGCCTAGGCCTGCCAAAGTGCTGGGATTACAGGCGTGAGTCACCGCGCCCAGCCTTGCTTGGGTAGTTTTATGTTTAAATGTCTCCACCTAGGCCGGGCCTGGTGGTGCACGCCTGTAATCCTAGCACTTTGGAAGGCTGAGTTGGGTGGATCACCTGAGGTCAGGAGTTCAAGACCAGCCTGGCCAACATGCTGAAACCGCGTCTCTACTAAAAATACAAAAATTAGCCAGGCTGGTGGAATGCGCCCGTAATCCCAACTACTAGGGAGTCTGAGGAAGGAGAATTGCTTGAACCCGGGAGGCAGAGCTTGCAGAGCTTGCAGTGAGCTGAGATTGCACCACTGCACTCCAGCCTGGGTGACAGAGTGAGACTCTGTCTCAAAAAAAAATAAAAAATAAAAAATAAAGTCTTCGCCTAAATTAAACTTGACTTTATAAGTTAAATTTGTTTCAAAAAGAAAAATCTTATTGTTTTCTAAAACCAAATATGATTTTTAAAATTATTTCTTGTTTTTTTTAAAAAGTATTTGTGCATTTACTTTTATTTCTTGAGCTTGACTAATCAAGAATTGAATGCATAAGTATAGTTATGAGAGTTCAGCCCATTTATTTTAAATTTGCATCCTTTCACCTCTGAAATACTAAACTATGAAACCTAACACAAATACTGTAAGAACATCTGAGGTAGACAGTTAGAGTATAATTAAGTTTAAATGCCTTGGTGAAGGAATATAAAAATTATTTAAATTCAATCGGCTAGTACATTTGCAGTTTTCTTTTATTAGGTGTGAAATCTAAGAATCCCCTGCCAACTCTTGAGGGCTCAATCCAGAATGTTGAATTGAAGTACTGCAGCACATCATTGGTCAAATGTGCCTCTGGGACCATGGGATCAATAAAAATTTGTGCCAAAGCCCCAGGTATGTGCAGCTGGACCGTGTAAAACTTTATTGCCTGTATAGGAGAATTGGCCTTGCGTTTTACAAGGAGCGTTACTGAAACAAGAATTTACTCACTGTTGCTATGAATCAGACGTTTTAAATTTTTACTTAGAAATTTTTCTAATTGTGCCAGGATGGTACTTCTTGACTTTAACAAATTTTTATTTAGGGAAAAATACTTAGTTTTATGAATGGTTATGAGGGAGAAAAATTAAAGGAATGTTTATTATACTTTTTGGGGGAATAGGAGGTGTATATATATGTATATAATATGACACTTAAAATTAAATTAAAAAGTTGTTATTGTAATATAATTAAATAGGAGACCCAGTTGTTTTTAAATTTTGGTTGTAAATGACTTTACCTTCCTACCAATATTTTATTTCATAATATATTTTAAAAACCATTTGTGATTTTTTTCAGTGCAAACTAAATTTAAGGTAAGTTTATAAAAGTCCAGATTTCATTTAATTTTTAGAAGACAGTGTGTTTAGTTGTTTCCTTTTATAAGCTTTTCTGGACATGTTCTGCATTCATTAGCAAATATGAAAACTTAAGAGTTAAAAATGCTTTACATTTTATGAGACTCAGTATAATTAAATGTATAGCTAATATTATCAAATAAAGTTGAAATGTTATATTATGGTGTTAGTATATTTTAAAATCAAACATTCTCAAGTGACTCATGTTTTATTTTTATTATTGTTTTATAAATATTTCTTTTCAGTTGATAGTGGAAAAGAGAAGTTGATTCCCTTGCTTCAGGGTCCTTCTGACACTAAAGACCTTCATAGCACCAAGTGGCTCAATGAGAGTAGAAAGCCAGAGTCTCTCTTAGCTCCAGATTTGATGGCCTTCACAATCCAAGTTCCACAATATATTGACTACTGCCACAATTCCGGTAAGTACAAACCTATCATTATTCCCTTGTTTTGCTTTTTTTTTTTTTTTTTTCCAGAAAGGCTTTTAAAATTGGTATATATTTTTTTTTTTTTAGGTATTTTTGTCAATTGGCTTACTCTGCAGTTGTGCTTTTTCAAAATTCAAATGAAGAATTTTTGTATCACTTTTGTTAATTGAAATGTGTTTATAAATAATGATTTTATTTATATGAGAGAATTTAGCTGTGTGTATAGTGGTTAACTTCAGATTCGTATATATAAGGAACAACTGAGTTTTAAAATATAGCATATCATTATAATGCATATTTTCTTGAGATAGTAGCACTTTGTAACCCAAGTTTGTCATGTGTAAATTGGTGTTTTTACCTTCTGTAATTTTTTAGGAATGAAAAGATTTGATGGTAGAACTGAGAAGAAAATCTCAGAGGTCATTATCTCATTTCTTAGAGTTTTATTTTTTTCTGGTAGCACTTTGAATAGAATCGATTTCATTTTATTCAACACTGTAATAGCAGAGCTATACCTCTCATGTTGAGAGAAGGTATCAGAAGGATCAATGAAGACTGAGAAAAGAAAAATGTATGATAGGTAGAGATCACTATCAGCCATGAATTCACTTAGCCAGTATGTGGTTAGCAAAGTCAGGGTGTTCAGTCAATGAAGCTAGCAACGTGATAGTAATATAGACATTTGTTTTAAAAGATACGTGGTCCACATTTTCTCTCTAGAAGTAACTGGCCAGTGAGTAGTTTCAAATAGCTGCTTTAGAGTAGAGCTTCATTAACATTATTCAACAAGTACTGTAGCTTATAGAAAGTATGTTCAGCACTAGTATGTTCAAGTGGAAACTATGAAAAGATTTGCAACTAACTGAGCAGAGACTATGTAGAGGTAAATATTGAATAAAGCAGTGCACAAATGAATATATACAGGGACACAAAACATTTGAAAGATGAGTATATTATGATAATATTTGCAGTTGAGTGGTATCCACATTGAAAACTGGAAATTAGTATTTGAAAGGTGAGTCTAAGGATGCTGTCTGTCAGCATGCTTCAAAGGACAGCACACCTCAAAAATAAGATTTCAGCCTGGTAAGAATGGGTACAGAACCATAAAGAATGAATGATCAGAGGATGGCTCCAGATCCAAAGTAGGGTTGTCCCTATAGAGAAAAGATTTTACCAATCTTTTAAGACAGGGATTGGTAAATACTTTCTTAAAGGGCCTGACAGCTAATATTTTAGGGTTTATGGCCCATACAGTCTCTGTCTCAACTGTTTCTGCTGTTTTAGCACAAAAATAGCTACAGACAAAACTTAAATGAATGGACGTGACTGTGTTTCAATAAAGCTTTATTTATAAAAGCAGGAAGTGGGCCAGATTTGGCCTATGTGGTTTGTCTAACATGGTTATAAGAAGAAGGAATTGGTGGATAAATATCATGACTTTGTTAATGCCTATTTAATCATGTTCCTTAAATATATTGTTTAGTAAACTTCTTTATAGAATTACCCATATAGTAATTTTTGTTTTCAAATAATAAACTTAAGATGATACTAAAATGACCAGACCATTCAGTTACAATTTTGATACCTAAGAAGAGATTAATCTTTCTAGAATCTTGCCACTTGTTCTTGAGTTGGACAGGAACTCTTAATATTTGTTTTACCACATATACAATGAAAATAAATTAATAAGTTGAGTGTATTTAAATAATCTGTTCTTCAACAATATATTACCTTTTATAATTTAAATGCATTTCTAGGGTCACAAAATTTTATTTTTGTTTTTAACTTTTTATATAGCTCTAAAAGTAAAGTGGTATAAGAAAAATTATCTGTGACACCTATAATATTTATAAAGTTTTAATTTTTTCTTGCTGTTAAGGAAATTCACCTAATCTGCAACATTAGTGTTATGGATAGTAGTATGTTTATGGATTTGTGTGTAAAATTTTAATGTGATCATGTATTTAATGCTTTGAAAATATTCCTTTGGGTATGTTTTGAACCTAAAATGTAATATATTTTAACTTAAAACTACATTCACATAGTTTATTTATGGTATTTTTAAATTTAAATTTTTCATCCACCTTACAACTGCCACCCACATTCATGGCTTAGGTATTTATGATATGGTTTAGAGAGCTCATAAGTACTATTTTTATGCCAGTTTTAAAATAATTTGAATTAATCTTATGTTCTTGTAACAAGATTTAATTTGGGTGTATATGTATATATGTGAGTATGATTGATGTTATAGACAAGTCATAAGTAAATCTTAAATGAAAAAATCAAAATTCCTTAACAGTCCTTCAAGACTTTACAAAAATATTATACTTTCAGCAACTACTTTCCTGACCACTGTATCTAAATTTCTCTCTCTGTCTCCTACACACATATTGACACTTCTTACTTATTTTTCTACACTCCTTTAGTTTTCCTTAGTACTTATCAGAATCTACCATACTATATATGTTACTGATTTATATTGTTGATTGTTTCCCCTGCTATTAGAATTTTATGCTTCATTTGGGCAGGACGTTTTGTCTCTTTTTGGTCACTACTGTGTTCCCAGCATCTAGACCAATACCTGGCACATAAGCTAACAATAAATACTTATTGAATGAATAAGCAAGTAACTGATGATTACATTTACTTTTCTTTGCTTTTTGAAGTTGAAGTATCTAATGGAATAGAGACAGGAATCTTTCTGGAGGCTTAAGGGAAGAAAAAGATGTTAGGTGGTTAAATCTTTTAGGTGAACAGTTAAAGGGAATCATGAGTGGTCTCTGCTTGTGTTTTCAGAAACAGATAGATGTCCCGGTGAGGTTGTTAATGAACTTTTCCCATGGTCTTATAGAATTTGAATGATGATCATACTAACTGGCTTTTTTTGGGTCATGGCATGATGTGTGGAAGACAGCTGCCCTTGTGCATATACTCTCAAATTGAGGGGGATGGGTGGTTAAATGGGACCAGCAAATGTTGCAGATGTTACGTAAAAGTCAATTAGGAAGTGAGTTTTGAGAGGAGCTTATTACTTAGGCAGCCTTTTGACTGTGATTTGAGAATGTGAGGGAATGGACAGCTTTATTAATGGGGATTTGGAATTATGACAGAGAGAAATATTAATGGTATTAGTAAAACTCATTATAAAAACAGTACTTTACAATTAAAATGTCACATTTGTGTAAATTGTTTTATTTGCTTACAAATCAAAACTGTTTTAGGCAGAGAAAATATTATTTGTGTCTTGCAGAGGAGGAAATAGATGCCTAGAAGTTCAATGACTTGTCCAATTGCCTAGCAAGTCAGTCTTTGAACTAGAACTTGGAACTTCTAACTATACAACATTTTCCCACCATGTTGGGTGTTGGGCTGTTTATCATTTTCTCTTTTAACCTTAGAATCCACCTCACTAAACACTGTATCCTTCAGTCTTAAAAGTTCCTAACGTAACGGATCTCCTTTTTTACTTTATATTAAGCACTGTCAAAAGAGCCACACTGTCATGATCTTACAGCATTTCTTTGTCTTTGAAGTCTCAGCAATTCCCTTTACACTTTTCCCACTTCCTTCCTTGATTGCATTCTGCACTTGACTAACTCTGATTAACAGCAAAGGAGCTGAAGGCTCTTATTAGAATACAGTATGCCAGCACACATTCTGTATTTATGGTTATTTTTCAGGGGAACCATTTAATGACACATTTCTTAGGTTTGTGTAGATACAACAGGTCACATAGAGAAATAGATGCTTCTCTGGTTCCTTTGTAGGTAGAAGCACTTGGTGACTATAACTGACATAATTAAAACATTTAAAAATAGGTTCTGCAGGTGCAGTGGCTCATCCCTGTAATCCCAGCACTTTGGGAGGGCTGAGGTGGAAGCATCACTTGAGCCTGGGAGGCAGAGGTTGCGGTGAGCCAAGATCACGTACTGCACTGTAGCCTGGGTGACAGAACGCAACCCTGTCTCAAAAATAAATAAAAATAAAAATGAGGTTCTAAATATTTTCTTCCCTTATTTTTTATTATTATTATTTTTTAGACAGAACGTTGCCCAGGCTGGAGTGCAGTGGGCGCGATCTCAGCTCACTGCAACCTCCGCTTCCTGGGTTCAAATGATTCTCATGCCTTACAGAGGCGCACCACCACACCTGGCTAATTTTTGTATTTTTAGTAAAGATGGGGTTTCACCATGCTGGTCAGGCTGCTCTTGAACTCCTGGCCTCACGTAATCCACCCGCCTTGGCCTCCCAAAGTGCTTGAGATTACAGGCATGAGCCACTGTGCCCAGACTCCCTTGTCTTTTTAATATAGACTTTGGCTCTTCTTATGCTATATTTTGCCTATGATTCATAGCAGGTTCTGCTTGCTAAAGAGTTCTGAGTCTTTGTTAATCATGGTATTAATGTGTAAATAAATTTTGGAGTGTCTGCTATTTAGGAATATAAAATGACCATGAATTCTATCAGCTTAGAATCAAAAGAATTTAGGCCATCATTTCAATTTCTGTTTTTTCTTTTGATATGGAGTCTCGTACTGTCGCCCAGGCTGGAGTGCAGTGGCGCGATCTTGGCTCACTGCAACCTCCGCCTCCCAGGTTCATGCCATTCTCCTGCCTCAGCCTCCCAAGTAGCTGGGACTACAGGCACCTGTTACCATGCCCGGCTAATTTTTTGTATTTTTAGTAGAGACAGGGTTTCACTGTGTTAGCCAGGAAGGTCTCGATCTCCTGACCTCGTGATCCACCTGCCTCTGCCTGCCAAAGTCCTGGGATTACAGGCGTAAGCCATCGCACCAGGCCCATCATTTCAATTTCTGAGCCAGTGTTAAGAGTTCTATTTACATGTCTCCTGCTCTCTCTTTGCTCTGGCTCTGCTGGCCTTTTTTGATGTTCTCTGTGGTGGTTATGTATTTACATATACTGTTTTTTTCTGTCTAGGATTCTCACAACCATCCTTACCCTTTTTATACCTGTTTATTTCCAGCTCAGTCTCAAGATCTCAGCTCAACTACTGTTTCTCCAAGGAAGCCTTCTGTGACTCTGCCTTTTCCCTACTCCCTCCCAAGCCACTCAATTTAATTAAGTACCTCTCTTACATTCTTTCATAGCTGTTAAGACGGTATATATTTATATATGTCCTTACCACTTGACAGTAAGTTCCATGAGGGCAGAATTAATCACTGGCTGCTTACCATTTTATCTCCAGGGCCTATCATTGATGAATGCACAAAGAATGCATGAGAAATCGTTTGTTGAATGAATGAATAAATGAATGAACATTTATGACAGATGTTCAAGGGTATAAATTTGACAGATAAATAATCAGTTCTTGATACATGTTAGCCGCCTTTTCTTTTCTCTATTTCTGTTTCTTCCTCCTCTTCCTTTTCCTTCTGCATATATCTACCACTAGAGAAAATATCTACCAATATCTTTCTCTGTAAGACAGTTCTAATTACTATTAGATTATTTATTCACTGGACTATACCTCCCATTTCCTGGTCTGATTTTATTCTTATAAATGACATGAAATAATATATCAGCCTGAAATATACCTGACAACACATATTATCTTACCTTTCTTAGCTTTTTTTCACCCTTCCTTTCATTTGGTATTCATCCTCTTTAGTCTCCAGCATTTACTGCTATGGTTGATCATACCCTTTCTATTCAATCCTTAGTCTCTTTTGGCTTCTAGATGTTCAGAGACAAGTCTCTATAGCAGTGGTCCTCAACTGTTTTGGCGCCAGGGACCTGCTTCATGGAAGACAATTTTTCAATAGACTTGGGTGGTGGGGGATGGTTTCCAGATAATACTCTTCCAACTCAGATCATCAGGCATTAGATTGTCATAAGGAATGTGCAAGCTAGATCCCTCGCGTGCACATTTCACAACAGGCTTTGTGCTCCTATGAGCATCTAATGCTGCTGCTGATCTGACAGGAGGCAGAGCTCAGGCAGTAATTCTTGCTTGCCTGCCCACTCCTCACCTCCTGCTGTGTGGCCCAGTTCCTAACAGGCCACGGACTAGTACAGGTCCATGGCCCAGGGGTTGGGGACCGCTGATCGATAGGTCTTTTTTGTTTTTGCACTTCTTGCGAATGGAGGCACTGACTGCCCTTTGTTCTGGACTGTCTATTCAGAGATGTTCTTATAGTGAACAGCCTTGGAAGACAAGTATCATGTCTCATTCTGGAGCAAAGAGAAAGCATGCTTCCTGTTATAAAACATTTGGTTCCTTAACTTCGGGTTCATCTCCTGTTATGTAATTCACTGCATGTACAGGCAGCCATCTGAACAAACGTGCACATCATCACCTCTGTGAGACTTGTGGGCAAAGGGAACTGATGCAAATATGTTGATACTGGTGTTGCTCCCTGTGCGATAAGTAATAAAGTCCTTATCTGTGACTTGGGATCCTTGTCTTCTGCAGCCTTCATGAAACTGTGGTAGCGTATGATCTTAGGTCCCTGACAATTCTTGACACCAGAACAATGTCGTTTCTTGGTTTTCCTTGCTTTGTTCCCCTCCTCGAAGATGTTTCTTTCTTCTGTTCCTTAAATGTAGGTTGTTACCAAGATTATGTTATTGACCCTGTCTTTGTATCTGAATGATCTAATCAATACATCTGTTTTCAGCAACCAACCATAAGTTTATATCTTTCTGTCCATTTTTTTTTCTTTTGAGATCTGGACTGCAAATTTCAGCTGCTTCTTAAATATTTTCTTTGGATATTTTAGTGGTGCCTAACACATTCAAAACTAAACTCAGTATAATTTTTTATTCCCTATTTCATACTTCATTATTCACTCTTTCAGTTAATAATGGCACTATTTCCCTCTTAATACTGTCAATTTCAGCACTACCTTGATTCTGCCTTCTTTCTTCCCTGCACATGGTTGATGTTTTACAAAAGCCTCCACCACCCCACCAATTAAATATCCTAGGCAAAACATCATAAATTTATTTCAGTAATTTTCTATATGATTTGTCTTCAGATTGTCAAACTGACTACTTCCACTACATGTTTGAAAATATCTTCTTTAAAATGTTAACTCCAAAATTTAACACAGTCTTCCACATACCACAAAGTACAATATATATACTTCTCAGATTTGTATAGGGAACTTCTATTCAGTTGCTATTTGTCTTGAGCTTGTATGCTACTTGGAAACCGTGGATCTTTTTCACACGAACTACTCTTAAGACATTTTTACATATTTTATATGTCTACATTAGTTTATGAACCTACTTGGAAAGCTTTATACTTATTTCTATGAAATTTCACCTAATTGATTTTGGTCCACCATTAATGAAGATGATACCTTTTAAAGTATCTGCTTAGCTGTAGTCACTTGTGCAATTCAGATGCACATGCTATTTTTGCTTTTAATATAATGGAACTAAAAATAACGTTTTTTACTAAGGTAAGAAAAATAGATTTATGTGATTATGATGTTATTTTAAAATAATTTAAAATAAGTGTTCCTCTTAACGTATCTTTAAATGTAATGCCAATGTAAACCAGTCTTTATTATCTTGTATAATTTGTTTCAGAATTAAGTAGTATAAATTTTTTAACTTTACCAAATTGTGATAAATTAAAAATAATTTAAAATTTTACCCATCGCACATGGGAAACTTTTGGTCATTGTTATTGGAAAGGAAAGCCACAATTACAACTCTAATCTCTGTAAATTAACTGTTACATTGGGAGGTAGTTCTTTGTCTTGATTAAAACATACCAGCAAACAGACACACTCTTTTGGTTCACCATTTGGAGTTGGTTGGTTAGAATATATTGTTTAGGAGTTTTAAAAATGGAGACAGTATTTTATATTGTAAGTTTTAATTTGTAGGGAATGTCTTTTTTGGTTTCAAAAAATTCTGCTCCTAATGTAGAAATAAGTGAATTGCCTTGAAGTTATATGTTTAGTATTTTTGACAGAACATATGAGTAAGAATGCTTATATATTGTAGCAATTAAAGACAATTCACATTTGTGGTTTGGGCATAAATGTGTAAAAATTATACCCATCTATCTTATTACATTTCCTCTTTCCTCCCTGAGGACGTTACTATGTATTTTATCTGTAATTGTTGCCAGTTTTCTATCACGTTCCCACTGGGCTTTTGGTGCAAAAAATCTTATCCTCTTGATGACAGAGCTTGCCTGAATGATTTCATGCTCCTAGCATTTTTGTTCACGGGAATTAGGGGCAAAATGTAACTACAGCTGAACAGAGCGTCTATTTTTGTAATTTTGGAGTTTAGGCTCTGTTATTGGAACTAAATGAAGAGATGCAGGTGTTCTCCAGTCCAAGCCCTTTGGGAGTTTTGATGGTAGATGCTTGAAAAGAAAATGCATGTGTTTCCACAGTCAAACAGCAGCTGTGAGACAAGGATTTATGCTTTTCTCAGAACTTTGGGATTTCAAAATGTTACATTTAATCACAAGCCCAGAAAGGGGAGCAAATGTTAAAGATGTTACGCATAAAAGTAAGTTTACTGATTTCTTTACCATACGAACTAGTTGTGGGAACATAGGAACAAAGTACTTTTTAATCATAATGCAAACAATTTCTAAAGGATTATGATAATTGTAAGGACATTGCCTTTTGAAAATGTTACATTTGTAGTGCAGAGAATTTTTTTATCCTACTAATTTCCTAAAATATATTGATATTTTTTCCCGTTAAGAGATGCAAACACATACACACACAAGACGAAAGGTGTGGTAAACTATTTGCCATATGCATTTTAATTTTTTTCCCCAAAAAGTTTAATAAATATCTTATTGTAAAAACAATATTTTCAAGTACTAGAAATGTCAAGTTCTAGCTAGGATACTAACTAAGGGAATTTATAGATATTTAAATACAGGTGTATATTTAAATGTTTACACAAAACAAAGCATATGTATATGTTTAAAATATTTTTTCTTTTTTCAGATCATGAAATTACTTTGTGTTAGTTGATTTTCAAATTTATCTTTATTAAAGCACCACCTTGCAGTATTTCTTTGCCATTCTCCTATTTTTATTGCTCTACTTTTTTAGCATAATCATTCATTTATTCATCTAACAAGTATTTATTGCCTATTTTTTGTGCGTAGAACTATAACGATGCATCAAAGTCTCTACAGTGAATCAACTTCTAATGAGGAGTAAGCATATAAACAACTACAGCTGAATAAATGAATGATATAAAGGCTTATTTTTTGGGTTCAGCTTCATCCATTATAAATTATGTTACTTTGAGCAAGTAAACCTTTCTGAGTATTGGTTTCTTTTTTTCTTTACTTTTTTTTTTGAGATAGAATCTCACTCTGTCATCCAGGAAGGAGTGCAGTGGTGCTTGCATCCTCTACCTCCTGGGCCCAAGAGATCCTCCTCCCTCAGTCTCCTGAATAGCTATGACTACAGGCATGAGCTGCCACACCTGGCTAAATTTGTGTGTGTGTGTGTGTTTTTGTAGAGACAGAGTCCCACTATGTTGCCCAGGTTGGTCTTGAACTCCTACGTTCAAGCGATCTTTCCACCTTGGCCTCCCAAAGTGCTGGGCTTATAGGCGTGAGCCACAGCACCTGGCCTAGTGTTGGTTTGTCACCTATAAAATGGAGATACTCTTATCTGCTTACTAAGATTGTTGTGAAGATTAAATACTGTATCCTCAAGTACATTGTAAACTTTAAAACATAATGTGGATTTTAAGTATTAATTATTCTTTTCACAATAGTACCCTATATTAACCAGTGATTGAAAATGTAAGGTTTTTCTGAGTCATTTCTTTTCCTTCCTTAATCTCAACATCCCAGTTAATGGAATCCACTTTAAATTTTTTCTCAAGGTAAAAATTTGCAAACCTATGATTATGCATTTCTGAAGCTAGGAGCAAATCCTTTACCTAGTTTCGTTATTCTCCTTCCACATTGAAATGTACCCTGGACGCTATGATGTTAGGAGTCAGGAACAGTTGCAATAGCAACAGGAAATTACTTTGCTTGCTTCCTTTGAAAGGTCCCAGATTCTGGAAGGATGCCAGAGGGAGAAATCCCTTGAGCCTTAAGGGTAACCAGTTTCCCTCATTTATATAGCACAAGGTCAAATTTTTTGCATTTTATTACTGCTTGTATAGTAAAAGTAAACTGGTATTCAGAGTAAATAGTAGCTTCATTAGTAAGTAGTAAATTAGTATACAAAAAGTATTCGGGTTGTATACTGGGCTGCAGGTGAACTTCACTAGAAAATACGGACTATCTCATAATTTGTTTAAAGTATGTTTTATATGGATCAAAAAGGTACCAGTATTACTTTATTTTCTACTTAGAAAATAATATACATTTTCTATGTGAGTTTTTATTTTTGCAACTCATAGCTTTTGTGTTTAAGACCCAATGACATTAGCCTTGTGATCCTGTGCAGATTTTGAAGTTGGCTGTATAGTAGCTTTCATATAGGCCAAAAGAGGAGTTGCTTTATAAAACACTTACGGGTGAAATTCACATCAATCTTTGCTACCTGCCCCTTCTCCTAGTTGTTCTATACCCTCTAGAAAAAACCTCATTCTACTGACAGCCTTTGCATTCCTTTTATTCAGTTCAGTATACATGGGAGTCATTCTTATACCATTGCATTGTTTTGTAAATAAGTGAGACTCAGTTGTCTGTTAATGTGTGAGAGTTTAAGTGTTTTACTGAGGATATTTCTGTTTTATTTTCACCTCCCTCTGACTTTTGCCCTTCCTCCTCCCCATCCCTTTCCTCTCCCCTCCCTTCCCAATTAATTACTCCCTTCTAAGCACAACCATAGCACTTTTGCTGTATCATGCTGCAAATAGTCTTAACTATTTATAGGATTCCTTCCCCATGAAGTTGGGAGTTCTTAACAGCAGGGAACCATAACTAGTGTATGATAGGTATTCAGTAAATGTAGGCTGGTCCAAAGGAAATTATTTTTGCCATTTGGGCATAGCCCTATTGTTCGCAGGTACATATTTCATTTCTGAATTGCTCTATGGGGAAAAATGTAGTCTGGCTTCGGTCTGTTAAAGAATAATTTTTAAATGTAAAATCATAACTCTCATATAGAAATAAGACAAGTGCTAAAGATTTTATTTAACTCATCATTAATGAGAGAACCAGGCATATGTTACAACTAGATCAAAGGAGAATTTAAAAAACAGAGGCATTTGTTGATCAGTAATATCAAAATAGATTTGGAAATGAACAAACTGGCTTTTCCCTTAATGGGGAAATGAGATCAATTGAACTTCTACCTGACAGAATTTGCGTACCTTCAGTCAATAATTATTTTGCATTGCTATCAGTTATCTATAATTTACTGATTTGTAAAATAGTGTAAAGGCAATGAAAGGTGCAGAGTAACATAGAGTCAGAATCAGATAACCTGCAAGGGTGTGCTTTTAAAAACACAGAGCTCTACATTGAAGCACAAGTTATTTCCTAAGAGGCTTGCTAAATTCCAGATGGCTAGGATATTTCTAGCTATGGGTGGTTTAAATATAGAGGCAGATCAGAAATAATTTTGTGAAGGTTTAGTGCATGGTGGGAAAATTAAAGAGAAATGATACCACCGGCAGAGGGCAGTAATGAAATAACAGTTTTTTGAAGACAAAGGAAATATTGATTGTTGATAATTCTGGGATAATTCTGTTGACCTTAACTTGAGTTTTACTTTTCAAATATTGCCGTACTAGGTTCCTTTCAGCCAGCTGCTTTGCCAATACCTGGAACGTGCCAGAATAAGGCTCATTTTGGTTTTGTTTTAGGCTTTGTTAATGAAGTAAATAAATAAAATATTCTAACCTGGTTTTAGTTAAGTAAATAATGTGTTCTAACTTCTAAGTACTTTTTCTGTATGGCAGATATTTGAGTATCTGTTGTAGATTAGGTGTTGCTTTAGGTATTAAGGAGATATATGTGTGTGTGTATCTATCTGTCTGTCTATCTATCTATCTATCTATCTATCTATCTATCTATCTATCTATCTATCTATCTCTCCCTCCGTACTGTATAGATAGATAGATACATCTCCTTATCTATGATGAGTTATGATATGATCTATGATAGATGGATATATGTAGCTATCTACACACATGAGAGTTTCCAAGCCTCACCAAAGTAACATTCTGTTGATTATGATATTTTAATTTTAGTAGTTAATTTATTCTATTTTTTATGAGAATAAAACACTTAATATAGTATTATTTAAACTATCAGAAGTCTTTCTTTGAATGTAATAATGACATCATCTAATTTCCACTAAAAGATAAAAATCTAAAATATTGTGAAAATATCTATCTGGAAATATATGATAGCCAAAGTTATATAAAACTTAGTTATAGATAAATAATAAAAATGCAAATACACCATAGGAAAATGGCCAAAGGGGACAAAAGTAAGAAGCACAAATGATCAAAACACATAAAAAATTCAAATTAACAAGTAGTCAAAGAAATCGACATTAAAACACTAAGGAACATTTTTTTACCTGTGAAATTGATAAATGTTTACTAAATGATAAAACAAAGCTGAGGAATTTATAATGAGATGAGTATGTCCATAAAAGTCTGGCAGGTGTATGAATTAGTACAGAGCCTCTAAAAATCAATTTAGCGAAGTTTATGAAGAATTTAAGAGTGGTTATCTTTTATAATCCCACTTCTAAAACTATATCCCAAGTGAGTAATCCAAGATGCGTTTGAAAGACTTATATTTGAAGTATAAGGGTATTTATGTCAGCTTATTTATGATAATCACAAATTATCTTTGTTGTCTAATAGTAGGCAAATTACCTAATAAATCAGTATATTCCTAGAAGGATATTGATGTCAAAGGAAAATGTTCATATTAAAAGCTTGTGTGAAAAAATAAAAGTATAAACCTACATATAAGATTCCAGTTTTGTAAAATTTCTTCAGTATATACATATGAATATATGCATGCATGTATATTTATGTATTCATAAAAATTACTTTTAATAGTGATTACCAGTGCTTAATGGGATTATGGGTCAACTCCCAGTCATACTTTTACTCTTCTATGTTTTTTGATATTTTCTGCAAACATAATAGATATTAAAAAATATTTCTTCTCCAGAATTACTTATTTTCAACCAATTATTTAGAGAGAATTATGGTTATTTGGCTCACACATAGCATTCTTGCACACTTAATTCTTATATAACCTTTAATAATGAAATACAATTTCATTTTTAAAGAATATATATACCCTGAAAGTCACAGAGTCTATAGCTCAATTTTTGAAGATGCTTTGAGGGGCAAGTGGGAGGGGTCTCAATATGTATGTGAATAAAATACCAAATTTTAAGATATCATAATTTACATTTCTCTTTGAATAGTTTTAGTCTAGTGACTAAAATATTTAAAATAACTTTATTTTTCTGATAATTGTTTTCTAATTATAAATAAAATGTGTCTTCTTTTTGATGTATAGTTGGAATTTTATCATTAGTCAACTATCAGGTATAGTACAAATCAAAAGAACCTTCAATGACTTATGATCCAGCATCCAGATATTCACTTGAAAAATAGCTCTTTGACTATTTGCATGTATTTTGACATAGGAACAAAGATATTGATTGTCATAGTTAAACTCCAAGTTCAGCTGGGTGTGGTAGTTCATGCCTATAATCTCAGCACTTTGGGAGGCTGAGGTGGAAGGATCACTTGAGTCCAGGAGTTTGAGACCAGCCTGGACAACATAGTGAGACCCCTGCCTCTATGAATGAATGAATGAATGAATGAATGAATGAAAGAAGGAAGGAAGGAAGGAAAGAAAGAAAGAAAAAGAAAGAAAGAAAGGGAAATCAGGGTCAACTCATGAAATCTTTTTTTGTTAAACCTTCGATAAAGTTGAAATTTTCCAAATTCTTAATGGAAACTAATGGAAGTTAATACTCTAGATAATGATCTTACAGGAAGAGTTAAGAACAATAGTAAATTTGAATAATATCTAAAATCATCTAACTTCAGGTAAAATAGGTTTAGTTAGGAGAATGCTATATATACTTCTGTAGAGACACTATCAAAGTATTTTTCAGTGTATCTATAATAGGACATTAGAGTTTGATGATATTGCCGTTCTTTTTTGTTTTTACCCTCACTTCCAGTCAGTTCCTGTCTTCTTGATTTGGGCTTTATTTAGAATTATTAGCTATGGTTAGTGTTACTTTGGGCTCAAGTTGAGAACTAGAAAGAACATTTCCTTGAGATAGCTGGATGAGTTGACAGAGATACAGGAAATGTCAAGAATCTAAAGACGATTCATTTCTATGTGGGCATGAGAATTTCTGAAATAATGAGCTGTAGTTGACGAAAAGCAAGCAGAGCTTAGTGAATAATCTTTTCAGGAAGAAAGAAGGTGACCAGGCCAAAATGTATCACCTCTGCAGGGTGATAAATAGCCACTGAATGGAGAGGAAAGAGTGAAGGAGGAACAGGCAATATTAAAGTAAGTTGCTGGTAAGTTTTTAAAAAATCAGTTTGATATTGTTGAATCATTAATCATCAGTTATCCTAAAAACAAGATTTATTATAATGACTTATCCTGTGTAGAAAAATACATCTATTTTGAGTGGGAGACTTTCAAGATCATTTCTAGTCCAGAAGAAAAGAAAAGGCAAACATTTTATTTGGGCAAGTGTCATTAGAGTTAAGCATCTAGTGAGTGGAGGAGGTAAGACTGACTCTTGTTGTCTGGAGTTCTTTTTATTATGTATATTACTTTAAATGGCCATTTTCAGGTGACCATGTAGTTACCTGTATTCATTCAACACATATTTTCTTGGTGCTGGAACCTTATGATATAAAGATGAACGAGACCCTTTTATCTCTTATTAATGAGCTTATATGTAGTTCATTGATGGAGACGTACAGGTAAGTAGACATTTAAAATGTAGTTTATTGTGGCACTATTCACAATAGCAAAGACTTGGAACCAACCCAAATGTCCATCAATGATAGACTGGATTAAGAAAATGTGGCACATATACACCATGGAATACTATGCAGCCATAGAAAATGATGAATTCATGTCCTTTGTGGGGACATGGATGAAGCTGGAAACCATCATTCTCAGCAAACTAACGCAAGAACAAAAAACCAAACACTGCATGTTCTCACTCATAGGTGGGAATTGAACGATGAGAACACTTGGACACAGGAAGGGGAACATCACACACTGGGGCCTGTCATGGGGTGCGGGGAGAGGGAAGGGATAGCATTAGGAGATATACCTAATGTAAATGACGAGTTAATGGGTGCAGCACACCAACATGGCACATGTATACATATGTAACAAACCTGCACGTTGTACACATGTACCCTAGAACTTAAAGTATAATAATAAAAAAAAAAAAGAAAAAAAAGGTAGTTCAAGGAATGCCACAAAACAAGGTATTATGAATTCACATTGAAAGAAATCCTTAACCCAGTCTTTCTGACTTGGAAAAGGATTCCTGGAATAAGTCATGTCTAAGATGAGTCCTTAATTAAGGGTTGGAGAAGAAACAATTGGTCAAGTTTGGCTAAACTGTAAATAATTTCTGTGGATTTGAAGATTTGAATGGGATGGGATCAATGGTAATAGTTTGTGCCTGATAAGATAAGAAAGCTCCCTCAGATTAAAACGGGCCTTGAAAGTCATTTTAAAGGGTTTGGACTGAGTGCCAAAGGAAATAGTTAAAAGGCTTTTTTTATATTTATGCTTTAGAAACTAGCATAGGCAGTAGTGTGGATGAGGATAAATGACAGGAGGCCATGAGAAAAGTTAGGAATATGTTGCAGTGAAAAAATGCTAATGTCAATGGAGAGAATTACACAGATTTGTGGAATATTAATGGGTTGGAATTACAGGAGGTGATTAATTGAATATGTTGGCCAAAAGAAAGAGCACAGTAGGCAAGCACCCAGGATGTGGATTTGAAGAGCTGGGTGGACAATAAAATGCCTTTTACTGAAATGAGGAACAAAGAAACAAGAACCAAGTTTTCTTTAGGGTAATAGAAGCAATAGATGTAATAATACTAATAGTTCTTTCTACGTGCCAGGAATTATTCTAAGCATTTTACAGAGAACATAGGCAGTTTGAATAAAGAACTCATATTCTTCACCATTACGTGAAACAGCACAGGCTATGGAGATTTCAGACTCTAGATAATTTATGATTCAATTCATTGAATTCTATTTACTTTAATTTATTGGCTGCTAGCTGCATTCTAGAGGCTGGTATAGAAAGTTACTCAGTACAGGGCCCTGGTCAAGTAGTCTATATACACATACAACTAATTCTAATTTGACTTTCACAAATGATATAATTGATTGGGAGAGAAGTTCTGCTATCCAAAAATAGAGGAAAAAGAGATTAATTTGAATTGAAGAAGGGAGGACTGAATGATATTAGAAAGATCTCTCAAGGAAGGATTGATATTTAAGCCTTGAGTGATAAAGGATTGCACATGAGTGGAAAATTCTTATTTTAGCATTGCAAATATTTTCAATTAGCTTACATTGTTTTCTTTTAAATGGTAATTATTATTGGATGAAGACAATATTCCCATAAAAGTAAAAAATATATAATTGTTGTTAAAAAGTGTTTAGTACATATTTGTGGTAAGGTAATTTTTCCTCTACAGTATTTCAGAATATTCAGATAAGTATAATTAGGAATCATATTTAAAAATTTTAAAAGATTGTAGAATATAAGATTGGATTGTTATTGCTGCTTTGTTTTCTAAGACAAATTTTTAAAATTTGGATGTTGGGATTATTAGATTTAATCTAATTTATGTGGGTAAGCTTGGAGTTAATTATTAAGTAGAACTTGATTTTTAGCCTTAGAATAACAAATGCAGAAGTGAAGAAAACTTTTAATTGGATTTGTTGTTAACAAAGCATGGCATAAGTATGCCTCAGCCAGCCTGTGAAAGGGATGACTTAACACAACTGTTGATGCATTTAGAGTGAAACATCTTTATCAAGTTAATATAAGAAGCAGTCATGCCCTACTTGAATTACTCATTTATAATAGCTGAACAGCAGCCTGCATGTGGACTTTGAAATCCTGGGAAAATAAGATGCCTGCATACATCCAAATGTTGAAAGCTTTTACCCTTCAGCAGCTGGAAAATGTTGAGCTCTTTTGTCATCTACTAGGTTTTTGGCCCTCAGGGAGATGTGATCAATTTAATTACTGACCAGCTTTATCTATTACTTTTAATGATTATAGTCGCTGAAGTAAGCCTCTGCAGTTTGTAGCTGAAAAGATCATGTTTAGATATTATGTTATTTAAAATCTATAAAAGTTAAACACATGGACCTAGATGTTTCTACTTTGCTCAGGTTTATCCCATATATTGGGATCACTAAAAATAGCAAATAATTTAGATATCATAAAAAATAATTTATCCACCTTAAATGGAATCTAAAAGGGGCACACAATATACCCCATATATTGCAGTTCTTGGGTAAATTTTATATGTTATATCTATTTTTGTGCAACTGTTTGTAACTTTCCTAAGATACAGACAGTGGTTTATTTTGAATCAGAACTACTTATAAACACACAATGCAACTAATTATTTGTGCTTCTTATTTAGCTTCTTTTCACTATCTTTTTGATGACTGGTCCAAAGGGGATTTTTAGAAAATAGCATGGAGTGAAGACTATACTTTCAGGGATCATTTCTATAGTTTGTTACTAGAGAAGTTTCTCTGAACGTGTAAAGCACCATTTAAAGTTCATATGGAGCCAAAAAAGAGCCCGCATCGCCAAGTCAATCCTAAGCCAAAAGAACAAAGCTGGAGGCATCACACTACCTGACTTCAAACTATACTACAAGGCTACAGTAACCAAAACAGCATGGTACTGGTACCAAAACAGAGATATAGATCAATGGAACAGAACAGAGCCCTCAGAAATAATGCCGCATACCTACAACTATCTGATCTTTGACAAACCTGAGAAAAACAAGCAATGGGGAAAGGATTCCCTATTTAATAAATGGTGCTGGGAAAACTGGCTAGCCATATGTAGGAAGCTGAAACTGGATCCCTTCCTTACACCTTATACAAAAATCAATTCAAGATGGATTAAAGATTTAAACGTTAGACCTAAAACCATAAAAACCCTAGAAGAAAACCTAGGCATTACCATTCAGGACATAGGCGTGGGCAAGGACTTCATGTCCAAAACACCAAAAGCAATGGCAACAAAAGCCAAAATTGACAAATGGGATCTAATTAAACTAAAGAGCTTCTGCACAGCAAAAGAAACTACCATCAGAGTGAACAGGCAACCTACAACATGGGAGAAAATTTTCGCAACCTACTCATCTGACGAAGGGCTAATATCCAGAATCTACAATGAACTCAAACAAATTTACAAGAAAAAAACAAACAACCCCATCAAAAAGCGGGTGGACATGAACAGACACTTCTCAAAAGAAGACATTTATGCAGCCAAAAAATACATGAAAAAATGCTCACCATCACTGGCCATCAGAGAAATGCAAATCAAAACCACAATGAGATACCATCTCACACCAGTTAGAATGGCAATCATTAAAAAGTCAGGAAACAACAGGTGCTGGAGAGGATGTGGAGAAATAGGAACACTTTTACACTGTTGGTGGGACTGTAAACTAGTTCAACCATTGTGGAAGTCAGTGTGGCGATTCCTCAGGGATCTAGAACTAGAAATACCATTTGACCCAGCCATCCCATTACTGGGTATATACCCAAATGACTATAAATCATGCTGCTATAAAAACACATGCACACATATGTTTATTGCGGCATTATTCACAATAGCAAAGACTTGGAACCAACCCAAATGTCCAACAATGATAGACTGGATTAAGAAAATATGGCACATATACATCATGGAATACTATGCAGCCATAAAAAATGATGATTTCATGTCCTTTGTAGGGACATGGATGAAATTGGAAACCATCATTCTCAGTAAACTATCACAAGAACAAAAAACCAAACACCGCATATTCTCACTCATAGGTGGGAATTGAACAATGAGATCACATGGACACAGGAAGGGGAATATCACACTCTGGGGACTGTGGTGGGGTGGGGGGAGGGGGGAGAGATAGCATTGGGAGATATACCTAATGCTAGATGACGAGTTAGTGGGTGCAGCGCACCAGCATGGCACATGTATACATATGTAACTAACCTGCACAATGTGCACATGTACCCTAAAACTTAAAGTATAATAAAAATAAAATAAAATAAAATAAAAATAAAAAAAGAAAATAGCATGGAGTGATATGGCATAGCTAAGACAAGATCCCTGTTATATGAAGGAAGAAATGTGTCTGTAACATTAAAGCTGTTACTCTGGAATTCTAATTCTGGATCTTAATCTTGGTGTAAATCACTTGAGCTCAATTTGATTGTTTCTTAATCTGTTAAATGGTTGCAATGCCAGATACTGAATACTGTTGTGTTGTCCATTGCATAAAGACACCCTTTTAAAGAGGTCACCATTCATGTTGCAAACTAAGTTAATTTGTTTATTATTATTGCTGTTCTCACAAATTGGTGTATTATGACAGTATTCTACAGATCGAAGTAAAAATAAGGATGGCATCATGTGGCTGGTGGTGGCTGTGGATGACATTGATGATCCTATGTTTGACTAGTTTCTCCTTTTTAGTTGATGTGTTAAAAATATTTGTTGGTATTAGAAAATGTAAGAGCTTATCTTCATTGACAAACATTTGATCATATATGTAGATGCATTATGCTAGTGACATACTGAGATTTTACAGATAAAATAAGCAGTAGAAAACAGTTAGGGAGATATATTGGAAATTAATTTAAAAATTGTCTCTTGGTACTAGGTGATAAAATGTCCTAAAATTTCAAAATAAAAAAGAAGTTTTACATCATTAATATGTATGATATTTTACTTATATAATAACTTTATATACAGGTTAATGATACATCTATAAACAGCCTAAAGGAAAAAAGATTAATGAAATAAGTATCTTTTGAAAGAGGTTAAGTAATGGATTTTATGATCAGAAGGGACTTGTTCTAAAGTTGACAGAAGAATCTAAAGTGGTCAGAAACTGTGTTCAAATAAAAGCTACAGAACATATATGTATGTATGAAAACTCCTTGACTTATGATGTTACAGCTTGATAAATGCTTTGTAAATAGAAAATATTAAGTAGAAAATGTATTTGATACATCTAACCTATTGAACACTATAGCTTAGCCTGGACTACCTTAAATATTCTCAGAACACTTACATTGGCCTTCAGTTGGGCAAAATCATCTAGCAACACAGTGCACTGTAGAGTACAGATTGTTTACCCTTGTGATCACTTTCTGCCGCTGCCCAGCATCACAAGAGAGTAGCATACTGTATATCGCTAGTCCAGGAAAAGATCAAAATCAAAATTTGAAGTAGAAGGCCAGGCGCAATGGCTCATCCCTATAATCCCAGCACTTTGGAGGGGAGGTATAAGGATTGCTTGAGCCCAGGAATTTGAGGCCAACCTAAACAACATAGAGAGACTCTGTCTCTACAAAGAATAAATTTAAAAAAATTAGCTGGGCATGGTAGCATGCCCCTGTAGTCCCAGCTACTTGGGAGGCTGAGATGGAAGGAGCACTTGAACTCAGGAGGTCAAGGCTGCAGTGAGCTCTGTTTGCATCACTCCACTCCATCCTGGGCAATACAGTGAGACCCTATCTCAAAAAAACAAAAGGAAGTATAGTTCCTATAGTTTCTATTGACTGCATATGGCTTTTGCACCATCATAAAGTTGAAAAATTTTATGCTGAACCATTGTAAGTTGGGGACCATCTGTACATTATGTAAATATTAATTCTAAAAATGAGTTTGGAGTTTATTCATTTGCCTTTTTTGTTACCCTTTTAATTATCTATCCAAATATTACCTGTGTACATATAATTTCTGTGCCAGATCAGGGCAAGGATGTGAAGAGCATTTATTGTTCTAGAAGCTATAAATTTTTAATAAACTTTTTTTCACTGGAAATAAGGATAATATCTATGTAATTAATGATAGAAAAATATTTTGGAAGTACTACATATTTATATATAGGTAGGACATATGCTAGATTCTTATTTCTAATATTACTACAATATGCCATTTTTTCTAATACATAAAATGGAAACCTGGACTGAATGTAAATTTGAATGAATTTTTCTAGTATAGTTAAATCTTTCTTTACTCTAAAAACAAGCAAAACCTTATCTGTGCATATTGTGAATGCATATTTATGCAAGGATGGTAATTGCTGTGGTCTGAATGTGTCTCCTAAAATTCCTATGTTAAAACTTAATCACCAATGTGATAATATTAGGAAGTGGGTCCTTTATGAGGTAATTAAGTCACAAGGGTTGGCCCTTGTGAATGGAATTAGTGACCTTATAAAAGAGGTTGAAGGAAGCACTCATCTTTCCTTATTGTCCTTCTGCCACGTGAGGACATAGCTTTCAGGTCTCCATCTTGGAAACAGAGACCAGGACTTCACCAGATAGTAAACCTGCAGGCATCTTGATCTTGGACTCCCTAGGTTCCAGAACTGTGAGAAATAAAGTTCTAATATTTATAGATTACACAGTCTTGAGTATTTTGTCATAGCAGCACAAATGAACTAGAAGAGTGATAAACACCAATTTAAGTATAAATATTTGTGTATTTATATATATATATATGAGGGGGAGGGATTTTTTGAAGACATCTCGTGTACTCATGTGAAATACATTTCTCAACAAATTCAGAAAATTTGAGACTTTAGATGCTAAAATGTAAAATGAAAGTAAGGTTTTTATAGGGTTTATTTGCTTATTGATCTGAAATTCTGATGACAAAACTTAGTTTAGATTTTTCTTTTTTTCTTATATTGAAACCAAGTGAAAGATTTTGTTTGAAATTGGCTATTGTTTCATTTTAGGCAGCCCTTTTTGAGATGCGCATAGGAGCTCTGCATTGGTTTTTCACTAGCTGTTAGAACTTTGTTCTTTTTAATGTCAACCTCTTAACAGCCTAAAGTATTAATCCTTGTAATCACATTTGTAACTTTATATTTTGGTGAAATTAGGAAACTTGTCAGCTATTTTCTTATTAAAATAATGTTTTTTAAATAATTGTTATATGAATCAACTAGGTCTAAGGGTTTGTGTAATAAGACATCATTACTTCATATTGAGTAATATGTAAAATCATGTGCTAATTCTTTTCTTCCTTTTTTCTTTTTACAAAATGAAAATGTCATTTTACTGTTCTGATAAATGCATAATGCAAAAATTCCCATGGAAAGAAAAATATTAAGAAGTGTTAGCAATCTGAAACTATGTGCTAGTGGTTAGCTAGTGTTTATGTTTTGGTGAACATCGTTTTAGACAATTTTCTATGCAACGTTAGATAAACATAGAATTGTACACGTATGATTTTGTACCCATACATTTTCTTCTGTACCTGCCTTTCCACTCAACAGTGTTTTAAAGCCATCTTTCTATGCCACTAAATACAGTTTTTCTTCCTCATTTTAAGTGACATTGTAGCATCCTGTTGTTGGCTGTCTTGAAATTAATTAATGTCTTCTTGCTGGGTAATACATTATTGGTGGATATTTGGATATTGGGATTTTTCTAATTTTTTACCAATAGAAAGAAGGGCTGAGTTTTGTTATATTCATCTTTTTGAGCTTGCCTGACAGTAACTTTATTAAAGGCATGTTTTGGTGCATTATTTTGCCCTTGATAAACATTGTCAAAAGTTTATTCTTCAAATATTAGTGCTAAATAAGTTTAACTACAAATTTTATGATGCAGTGGCTAACTTTTCAGAGAGTTCCAGTGAGTCTTTCTTGTCTATATCATAATTAATATACTTTTGTCGGCCGGGTGCGGTGGCTTGCGCCTGTAATCCCAGCACTTTGCGAGGCCGAGGTGGGTGGATCATCTGAGGTCAGGAGTTCGAGACCAGCCTGACCAATATGGAGAAACCCCGTCTCTACTAAAAACACAAAATTAACTGGGTGTGGTAGCACATGCCTGTAATCCCAGCTACTTAGGAAGGCTGAGGCAGGAGAATCACTTGAACCTGGGAGGCAGAGGTTCCGGTGAGCCGAGATGGTGTCACTGCACTCCAGCCTGGGCAACAAGAGTGAAACTTGGTCTCAAAATAAATAAATTAATTAATTAAATAAAATAAAAATAAAAAAGATATACTTTTGTCTGATAGAAAGATTATCTTGGAGATCGTCAAGATGTCATATAAATAATTCACTCAATGACATGTAAGTATTTTTTCCTAGAAGGTTTTAATGCTTTAATTCTACTCTCAAGTATCTTGTAAATCATTTCTTTAGTTTCATTATCCCAACACTGTTTAAGAGAAAGAGGTTAGACTTTGGAGTCAGGCAAACCTGTTTTCAGATACCTATTTGCTTTAACTTTCTTCATGACTTTGGGAGTTAATTGTCTTCCCAAGTGTTATTTTTTCATTTGTAAAATTTATTTAAAAAATTGGCCCCCTTACAGGGATTGTTTTTAGGATTAAAGGTAGGGAATATGAAGAGCTAGCACAAGGCCAAGGAGTGAGTGGCAGGTGCTCAGAAAGCAGCACCTCTGCTTTGCAGGGATGGTTTTTGATGGTCAGAAACACTCTTAGAGTTAGATGTGATCTGGAGTTTCAGTCCTGCCACATTCCAAAGAGCGATCTTGGCCAAGTTATTCCACCACTTTTTTTTTTTTTTTTTTTTTTTTTTGAGACAGAGTTTCACTCTTGTTGCCCAGGCTGGAGTGCAATGGCACTATCTTGGCTCACTGCAACCTCAGCCTCCTGGGTTCAAGCGATTCTCCTGCCTCAGCCTCCTGAGTAGCTGGGATTACAGGCCCCCACCACTACACCCGGCTAATTTTTTGTATTTTTAGTAGAGACGGGGTTTCACCATGTTGGCCAGTCTGGTCTTGAACTCCTTACCTCAGGTAATCCACTGCCTCAGGCTCCCAAAGTGCTGGAATTACAGGTGTGAGCCACTGTACCCGGCCAAGTTATTCCACCGCTTTACGTTTTAATTTCTTCATTAAAAAGAATCAGCACTTAAGTTTTGTAAGGCTTAAGTTAAATTATGCACATAAAGTATGTAGTGCAGTTTTTTGGCAAATATTTCTTGTGTTACTACTGATATCATTTTTACCAGCAGATTAACTCCACATTTAACATGAATTTATATTTTAGTTTTTTTATTGTTGCACCATGCTAAACTTACAGATTTTTTTTTTTTCCTGTCCATCCTTACATTTTAAAAGTAAATTTGGCCAGGCACGGTGGCTCATGCCTGTAATCCCAGCACTTTGGGAGTCTGAGGCGGGCAGATCATGAGGTCAGGAGTTCGAGACCAGCTTGGCCAACATGGTGAAACCCAGTCTCTACTAAAAATACAAAAATTAGCTGAGCGTGGTGGTGGGCCTCTGTAATTCCAGCTACTTGGGAGGCTGAGGCAGGAGAATTGTTTGAACCTGGGAGGTGGAGGTTGCAGTGAGCCGTGATCGTGCCATTGCTCTCCAGCCTTAGTGACAGGGCGAAACTCCATCTCAACAACAAAAACAACAACAAAGTAAATTTATACTTAACATAAACTGAGTAGCTTGCCTTGTTGTGTTTTGTTATATGATCATATAACTACTACCTGATTGTCTAATGGGAACATGTGCCAAAAGTTCTGTTTACAAGATCAAACCAGTGTGTTTCTAAATCTTTGAGTCTGCCTCTCTCTAATCCTTTCCTTTGATATTCTTGCCCATAGCTGTCTTATTTAGACTTATTTAAGCAAACTTGTGTGTGTGTTTGTGTGTACACCAGGGGTGAGCACAACATTTTGAGGTTTTCATATGTCCTCATTTGGGAAGCCATCTATTGTCTGCAATCCCCAAATACCACTTGGGTCACTTTATCTCTGCTTTTTGCTATGTTAATAGCATATTTGGCATTAATGTGCACTTTGATAAACAGCAGGTTACTTATTCTAAATAATTTTATGTTAGCTTTTGAAAGCAAATAGTTAAAAGAATATATATTTCTCAATAAAGCATTGGTTGTAAATACTGCAACAGTATGCAATTGCAACATGGTAACATTGGTATGTTGGGTGTGTTTTCTTTTTATATAGACTTCTCAACCAGCGAGTAGTAGCTTAAAGTTGTTGCTGTATTCCAAGTCAGTTTGTAACCAACCCTAATATGTGTTTGGCTAAGAGTACAGGTTTCCACGTCCTTACTTGTTTATCCCTTTCAGCCTAGGTATCATTTTTGAAGGAGGTTTTCTGGGAGATATGATGAATCATCCTGCATTCTCTTCCCAGTTCCTTTTCTTTAGTTATCCATTCAAGAGAGATTGTCTGCATTACTCTTACAGAGCTGGGTTTTAGCCTCAGCTATATCATTTATTAGGTGTTTGTCATTAATGTGCTGCTGTGTACCTCAAGTATCCCACTGTGAAATAGGAATATTAATAAGTGTTAGCCTACCTCATAGTGTTATTGGGAAAAAATCAGATTATTTAATATAGTTTTTTTTTTTTTTTTTTTGGTAAACCAAGTTCTGCACACATAATAAAAATATTAACTTTTGGCCCGGCATGGTGGCGTGTGCCTGTAATCCCAGCACTTTGGTGGGTGGCTCGCTTGAGCCCCAGGAATTTGAGACCAGCTTGGGCAACATGGTGAAACCCCATCTCTACAAAAAAATACCAAAATTAGTTGGGTGTGGTGTGCATGCCTGAAGTCCCAGCTACTTGGAAGGCTGACGTGGAAGGATCACTTGAGCCTGAGAGGTCGAGGCTGCAGTGAGCCATGAGCATGCAATTGCACCCCAGTCTGGATAACAGAGCAAGACCTTGTTTCAAAAAAAAAATTTTTTTTAACTTTTATTTAGGGCTCGTTAGTATCAGGCACTCTTTTAAGAGTCCCATCTTGTTTTCTTTCTTTCTTTTTTTTTTTTTGACTGAGTTTTGCTCTTGTTGCGTAGGCTACAGTTTAATGGCGCAATCTCGGCTCACCGCAACCTCCACCTTCCAGGTTCAAGCAATTCTCCTGCCTTAGCCTCCCGAGTAGCTGGGATTACAGGCATGCACCACCACTCCCAGCTAATTTATTTTTAGTAGAGATGGGGTTTCTCCATGTTGGTCAGGCTGGTCTCCAACTCCTGACCTCAGGTGATCTGCCTGCCTCGGCCTCCCAAAGTGCTGGGATTACAGGCGTGAGCCACTGCACCCAGCCAAGAGTCCCATCTTGTTTTATCTTCGTAGTAACTTAATGGAACGGGAGCTTATTCAGTAAAAAGTTGAAAGCAGAAATTGTAGATGATATATCAAAGGTATTTATGTAAGATAAGGCAGAACTTAGAGTCCTTGTTTCCATCTAAATCCAAAGACAAATTAATGGATATACGTTTGTGTTTTATGTTTAAATAAAATGGTTTTGTTTTTGTTTTTTAAATACAGATGGGGTCTCATTATGTTGCCCAACCTGGTCTCAAACTCTTGGGCTCAAGAGATCCGTCTGCCTTGGCCTCCCCAAATGCTGGGATAACAGGTGTGAGCCACTGCACCCAGGCTAAATAAAATGTTTAGACTGTAAATGTATTCTTTCTTGTGATTTCTTACTTTAACTAATTTTTTTCACCCTTCAACTGAAGCAGTACTCATAGTGTCAAATAAGAGAGCTCTGGAGCTCCTTATTTCAATGATCTCTAATGGGACTCAGTCTAAGAAAGGAGGGGCATCAGATTTTCTGCTGCACGAGGCTGTTCTGAAGTCATTATTCTAGGGTTTGAAGATACTTACTTTTCTGGCCCTTACTTGACTCCTCCGGCCATAGCTCCAAACTGTCTAGCCAGATTACCAGGGTTGGCTTCAGATGAACACTTTAGTATTTTGATGCTAAATACCAGTGATAACTATAAATATTTCTCAACTTATGATGTGTGTTTTGTTTTAATAAATCTACTGTAAGTTGGAAATACTGTAAGTTGACAATGCATTTAATATGCCTAACCTACTGAACATCAGCTTGGCTTAGCCTACCTTAAACATTCTCAGAACACTTACCTTAGCCTATTATTGGGCAAAATCTTCTAACACAAAGCCTATTTTATGATACAGTATTGAATATCTCATGCAATTTATTGAATACTCTATTGATTTTTTTTTTTATTAAAGACAGAGTTTCACTCTGTCACCCAGGCTGGAGTGCAGTGGCAAGATCTTGGCTCACTGCAACCTCCATCTCCTAGGTTCAAGCAATTCTCCTGCCTCAGCCTGCCAGGTGGCTGGCATTACAGGGTATGCCACCACACCCAGCTGATTTTTATATTTTTTGTAGAGATGGGGTTTTGCCATGTTGGCCATGCTGGTCTTGAACTCCTGACCTCAGGTGATCCACCTGCCTTGGCCTCCCAAAATGCTGGGATTACAGGCGTGAGCCTCAGTGCCTGGCCTGAATACTCTATTGAAAGTAAAAAACAGAATGGCTCCATGGGCACGTGAAGTACGGTTTCTATTGAACGCATATTGCTTTAGCACCATCCTAGAGTCAAAAAATCCTAAGTTGAACCAACCTAAGTTGGGGACCATCTGTGTAATATGATGAAAATGTCTGTCTTTGTTGTTTAAAACTAGTTTAGAAGGGCCGGGTGTGGTGGCTCACCGCCTGTAATCCCAGCACTTTGGGAGGCCAAGGCGGGCGGATCATGAGGTCAGGAGATTGAAACCATCCTGGCTAACACGGTGAAACCCCTTCTCTACTAAAAATACACAAAATTAGCTGGGCGTGGTAGAATGCTCCTGTAATCCCAGCTACTTGGGAGGCTGAGGCAGGAGAATCGCTTGAACCTGGGAGGTGGAGGTTGCAGTGAGCCAAGATTGCGCCACTGCACTCAGCCTGTCTCAAAAAAAAAAAAAAAAAAAAAGGAAAACAACTAGTTGAGAAGGAGAACTGAAACATTGTTTTGCAAAAGTGTTGCTGTGAACAATGGGCGCTCATGTCCTCTATGGTGCAGATTCCCCTTGATTCATAGAGTGCTTTATCTTTGTAACTAGCTATATTTTTTCTATAGTAATACCACCATTAAAGGAATTAAAGTGACATTAAGAATGAAGAATGTTTTAAATCTTTTAAAGTCTTGTGCATTCTAGATTCAGTAAAATTCCAGTAGTAACAAGATTTTGAAGCAACTGCAGAAACTCTGCACAGCCCCACGTGTAATGTGGCTTTAGAATATGTGTTTCTTCGCCTGTAGTCTCAGCTACTCCAGAGGCTAAGACAGGAGAATTGCTTGAACCTGGGAGGTGGAGGCTGTAGTGAGCTGAGATTGCGCCACTGCACTCCAGCGTGGGTGAGACAGAGTGAGACTCCGTCTCAAAAAAAAAAAAAAAAAAAAAGAATATATGTTTCTTTCTTGTGATTGTGTGTTGCTGTGGTTCAGTGATTGTGTATTGATTGTGGCTCAGTGCCTGGCAAAACATTTGTACTACAGATCTCTCAGTAAGGTGATCTATTTTTCCATTTATATGCATATTTATTTATGTTACCATCAGTAGTTCTCCATAGCTTCTTTTGTAGTTCTCCATAGCTTAATTTTGACGTTCACATAATCCTGATTTCTTAGAGTAATATCATTTATGACAGATTTTATAGTATAGTGGTTAAAAATATGGGCTTTATAAGCAGACTGATTTTTGTCTCCACTGCATGTGATTTTTGTGATCATGGGCTAGTTTGAATCTTTGGTAACTTTGTTTTCTTATTGGTGAAATGGGTATAATTATAGTATCTGTCTCAGGGTTGTCATGAAGATTAATGAATTCATGTAATTAAAGCATTTAGAATAAGATTTGGCACATCAAAATAGTAGTTATTATTATAATGGCTCGAGTTTTTGGTTGGAACTCAAAAAACAAATAAGATAGTCTTTGTTTTCTGTTTTATCAGAAAGCACTTCCCTATGAGAGGATAATCAGGGATTAGGAAAGAAAATTTTAAAGAAATTCATATTTTCTATTGGCAGATGTGATTGCTTTAAAAGAAAATCATGTTTTGTTTTTTTTTTCATGGAATAAGGCATTGAATCCAGTGGCTAAAAGGAATTGATATTGTGTACCCAGTCTTGGATAATGCCAGTCAATTCTGTAAAGATGAAATATTAAATTTGTGCTATTCTGTAACATTGGTAGTCCCAACATTTTTCCTGGACTGTCAATGAATTTTTGATTATCTGTGAACATTGTCTCTTGGATAATTCATGAGCACATTAGACCCAGCACTTCCAGGTTAATTTTGCCATTTTACTCCAAGCCTACACCTTGACCTTTATTCTCTGTACAATGAATGGTAGTATTATCAGTCAATCCATTCATAATCCTAGGGATCATCCTAAACGTTTCTGTTCTCTCATTTTCCATCTTTTATATCTGGGCAATCAACAAATTCTGAGACTTTTCTATAAACCTTCTCTGTAAGACAGATGTGATCTTTTTGCTCCCTTTCAAAATATGTTTTACTGCCCCCCTCCCAATGTTTTCTGTATAAAGTTCAGACTTCTTAGCAGGACAACATGAGCCTCATATTGTGTGGTATTTTCATGTGCATATCATCCTCCCATCATGTGGAACGATTTGCAATTCCATGAAAATGCCATTCTCTTACCATTTTCATTAGTGTAAACAATTTTTAGTGCATAGAAAGCTCCCTAATTTTCTTCTTCTCTTACTTTATTATCTCCATTTTATTCAACTCAATCATTACCTCATTGAAAATTTATTTACAAATTCGCTTCCCAAGACAGGTTAGGTGTCCATTGTATTTTGCTTCTCCTTTACATTCTGTAACTTCATATGAATACAGTTGGCTCTTTGTATCAATGCATTCCACATTTGTGGGTTCAACCAATGGTGGATCAAAAATGTTCAGGAAAAAACAACCAATAAAAATAATAACTAGTAAAAATAATACAAATAAAAACCAATACAGTATAATAACTGTTTACATGACATTTACATTGTACTAGGTATTATAAAACCCAGAGATTATTTCAAGTATATGGGAGGATGTGTGTAGGTTATATGCAAATGCAACACCATTTTTTATAAGGGATTTGAGTATCAGCAGATTTTGATATCCACTGGGGCTGCTAGACCCAATCCCCCAGATACTGAGGGATTACTGTGTCTTTATTAAAGCACTTATCAAACAATATGATCATTAGTTTTTTATCAGTGTCTCCCACTAAATTATGAACAGTTCAAATACAGGGCCTATTTATCTCTAAGTGCTTAATGTTTACTTTTAGGCATATGGTTGGTGTTGAGTAAAAGTGTTTTGAATTAGTAAAAGATTTTGAACTAAAAATCTTTGGTAAAAGTTACATGATAAACCTGTCTTTAATGGGAGATGATGGGAATTAATTGCTAATAGCTATTATCAAGAGGCAAAAATAAAGAAATGGACTGACATCCAGGCTTTTACCCGTTTGACATTAGCCACTCTGCTAGTTTCTTCCTCTTACTGGTTTATCACTTTGGTGTTAACTATTTGGTCTTGTCTGCTTTCTTGTTAGTACTAATCAACTCTGTCAAAAATTGCCTGTTTCTCACTTAACCTAGTTATATCACCACTGTATTTTTAATACTTTTTGTTAATGCTGTTTATTTTTATCAGATGACTATTAAGACAAAAGTTTTCGCTTATGTTTGGCGCATTGGTTGTAATAAATGTGAAGTGGATTCTTTAAGTCAATTTAAGGGCATCTGGCAACTAGGAAGACTAATCCTTGGAGTGAATTAAGGGCATGAAGACAAGGACCTGTCATTTATAGGATAAGAGGTCAGTGAACTATGTGGGCAGGATAAATATATCAATTAGGGAGTTTCCCTGAGAGTGGGCAAGAGGCTAAGAATCTGAGTCAATAGGTCAGGAATATGTAGACAGTAGGTAAAAGACATATCTAGAGTGCCAGATGGACTAGTGAGGTAGAGGTTATATGTTTTCATTATATTTTAGGGGTATTTGACTATTAAGTGAGAAAATAATGCTGTTTGGGGGAAGCTGGCCTTGGAAAATAGTGCATTCCCATTAGAAGTTGATAGAATATATACGTAGTGGAACATCTTGGTCCTGGTAGTGGGATACTAATTATGTTTATTGTATTAACCCTATTTGATTCAGGATTGTTTTTGCCTACAAATAACTTAGTTCAAACTAGGTCTTAACAAAATGCAAGAGACTAATGTTCATATTTATTTAGTGAATAAATTGGAGTAGTTTTCTGTGCTATTGGTGGAACAAATTAAACTTTCACTGGTTGAGGGCTTACACCTACACAGTATAGTGTGGGAGGATCATCAGCCAGTTTGTCTTATTGTTTTATTGGCAGCAGAAAACTCTTAAACTGTGTTTTCCCATGGAAGAGGCATCTCACTTGAAATCTCAGAACTTATACTAAAAAATTTATGAAGTGGGATGATAGTGAATTACAGAAGAGTCATCAAAGAAAGTATGTGATTAACTGACAGTTTATTGACTTCATCCTCAGGGCCAATTTAAAGAAAAGTGAGGCAGAGTTAGATTTCAAGCTATGCTTTGAATGCTGTGTGAGGTCTTTTTGAGCTTTTTGGTTAAGCTGTAATTAATTAACTCGATTAAACAAGTATTACTACATGAATAAAAGTACACACACGGATTTTTCAAAGAGGTAATAATGGGTTCACTGCTGATAAAACTGTGGATCTGAGTTTGGTTAACATTAAAGAGCACTCCAAAATTCACCTGTTGTTTTAATCTCTTGATAGAGAATGGTAATAATTAGGGTTCTATATATGTATTCTATATCTTTTAATATATGTCTATCTCTGTATGTTTGTATATATTTATTTGACTTCAGAGAAAATAGCATTAAGGTTTCCTTTTCCTTTTCAATTATATTTTAAAATGTTAACTTTTAAGTTAGCTTGACCCTTTGAAAAATTGTTAAAAATTACTGTCCTCAGGCTTTACAACTTGTACAGTTATATAATTTCACTCACAGATATGAAAGCAAAGAAATATTTTAAAGTCTTCTATTTTCAAATGCTTCCTAAGAAAGATGCTTCCAGTTTATGAACAATAAAATGAAACTTCATAGGTAGAACATTTTTTTTAATTCCTGAATATTGAGATACTGAGTCCCTTTTGGTTTGTTCCCTAAATATAATTTCATTTAGTTATTTTTGTTAATTCTGAAAGCAGCAACAGTATATGCTATTTCACTGGTTATTTTCATATCTGATTTTGTTTATTTGGGTCTTATCTCTTTTTTGATTATTACAAGCAACCGACCATCGATTTTGTTTATCTGTTAAAAACCTTTTCCTTTTGTTGATCCCTTTTTCATTGAAGTTTCTATTTCATTTAGTTCTGCTCTGACTTTTATTATTTCATGTCATCTCCTAATTTTGGGTTTGGTTTGTTCTTGCTTTTCTAATTCCTTGAGGTACAACATTAGATATTTGAAATCTTTCTACTTTTTTGATGTAGATATTTATTGCTGCAAATTTCCTAACTAGCACTGCTTTTGCTGTATTCCCTAGGTTTTGGTATGTTGTGTTTTCATTTTCATTTGTTTCAAGAAACTTTCTAATTTCCTCCTTAATTTCTTCATTGACCCAATGGTCATTCAGGAGCATTTTGTTTAATTTCTGTATACTTGCACAGTTTCCAAAGTTTCTGTTATTGATTTCTAGTTTTATCCCATTGTGGCCTGAGAAGATACTTGATATAATTTTGATTTTTTAAAATTTCGTTTAGACTTTTTTTTTGTTTTATTTTTTATTTTTAATTTTTTTTTTAATTACACTTCAAGTTTTAGGGAACATGTGCACAACGTGCAGGTTAGTTACATATGTATACATGCACCACGTCGGTGTGCTGCACCCATTAACTCGTCATTTACATTAGGTATATCTCCTAATGCTATCTCTCCCCTCTCCCCCAACCCCATGACAGGCCCTAGTATGTGATGTTCCCCTTCCTGTGTCCAAGTGTTCTCATTGTTCAATTCCCACCTATGAGTGAGAACATGCGGTGTTTGGTTTTTTGTCCTTGCGATAGTTTGCTGCGAATGATGGTTTCCAGCTTCATCCATGTCCCTACAAAGGACATGAACTCATCCTTTTTTATGGCTGCATAGGATTCCATGGTGTATATGTGCCACATTTTCTTAATCCAGTCTATCATTGTTGGACATTTGGGTTGGTTCCAAGTCTTTGCTATTGTGAATAGTGCCGCAATAAACATACGTGTGCATGTGTCTTTATAGCAGCATGATTTATAATCCTTTGGGTGTATCCCCAGTAATGGGATGGCTGGGTCAAATGGTAATTTCTAGTTCTAGATCCCTGAGGAATCGCCACACTGTCTTCCACAATGGTTGAACTAGTTTACAGTGCCACCAACAGTGTAAAAGTGTTCCTATTTCTCCACATCCTCTCCAGCACCTGTTGTTTCCTGACTTTTTAATGATTGCCATTCTAACTGGTGTGAGATGGTATCTCATTGTGGTTTTGATTTGCATTTCTCTGATGGCCAGTGATGGTGAGCATTTTTTCATGTGTCTGTGGGCTGCATACGTGTCTTCTTTTGAGAAGTGTCTGTTCATATCCTTCACCCACATTTTGATGGAGTTGTTTGTTTTTTTCTTGTAAATTTGTTTGAATTCATTGTAGATTCTGGATATTAGCCCTTTGTCAGATGAGTAGATTGCAAAAATTTTCTCCCATTCTGTAGGTTGCCTGTTTACTCTGATGGTAGTTTCTTTTGCTGTGCAGAAGCTCTTTAGTTTAGTTAGATCCCATTTGTCAATTTTGGCTTTTGTTGCCATTGCTTTTGGAGTTTTAGATATGAAGTCATTGCCCATGCCTGTGTCCTGAATGGTATTGCTTAGGTTTTCTTCTAGGGTTTTTATGGTTTTAGGTCTAACATGTAAGTCTTTAATCCATCGTGAATTAATTTTTGTATAAGGTGTAAGGAAGGGATCCAGTTTCAGCTTTCTACATATGGCTAGCCAGTTTTCCCACCACCATTTATTAAATAGGGAATCCTTTCCCCATTGCTTGTTTTCATCAGGTTTGTCAAAGATCATATGGTTGTAGATGTGTGGTATTATTTCTGAGGGCTCTGTTCTGTTCCATTGGTCTATATCTCTGTTTTGGTACCAGTACCATGTTGTTTTGGTTACTATAGCCTTCTAGTATAGTTTGTAGTCACATAGTGTGATGCCTCCAGCTTTGTTCTTTTTGCCAAGGACCGTCTTGGCAATGCGGGCCCTTTTTTGGTACCATATGAACTTTAAAGTAGTTTTTTCCAATTCTATGGAGAAAGTCATCCGTAGCTTGATGGGGGTGGCATTGAATCTATAAATTACCGTGGCCAGTATGGCCATTTTCATGATATTGATTCTTCCTATCCATGAACATGGAAAGTTCTTCCATTTGTTTGTGTCATCTTTTATTTTGTTGAGCAGTGGTTTGTAGTTCTCCTTGAAGAGATCCTTCACATCCGTTGTAAGATGGATTCCTAGGTATTTTATTCTCTTTGAAGAAATTGTGAGTGGGAGTTCACTCATGATTTGGCTCTCTGTTTGTCTGTTATTGGTGTATAAGAATGCTTGTGATTTTTGTACATTCATTTTGTATCCTGAGACTTTGCTGAAGTTGCTTATCAGCTTAAGGAGATTTTGGGCTGAGACGATGGGGTTTTCTAAATATACAATCATGTCATCTGAAAACAGGGACAGTTTGACTTCCTCTTTTCCTAATTGAATACCCTTTATTTCTTTCTCCTGCCTGATTGCCCTGGCCAGAACTTCCAACACTATGTTGAATAGGAGTGGTGAGAGAGGGCATCCCTGTCTTGTGCCGGTTTTCAAAGGGAATGCTTCCAGTTTTTGCCCATTCAGTATGATATTGGCTGTGCATTTGTCATAAATAGCTGTTATTATTTTGAGATACGTCCCATCAATACCGAATTTACTGAGAATTTTTTTTAAGCATGAATGCCTATTGAATTTTGTTAAAGGCCTTTTCTGCATCTATTGAGATAATCATGTGGTTTTTGTCTTTGGTTCTGTTTATATACTGGATTATGTTTATTGATTTGCGTATGTTGAACCAGCCTTGCATCCCAGGGATGAAGCCCACTTGATCATGGTGTATAAGCTTTTTGATGTGTTGCTGGATTCGGTTTGCCAGTATTTTATTGAGGATTTTTGCATCAGTGTTCATCAGGGATATTGGTCTAAAATTCTCTTTTTTTGTTGTGTCTATTCCAGTCTTTGGTATCAGGATGATGCTGGCCTCATAAAATGAGTTAGGGAGGATTCCCTCTTTTTCTATTGATTGGAATAGTTTCAGAAGGAATGGTACCAGCTCCTCCTTGTACCTCTGGTAGAATTTGGCTGTGAATCCATTTGGTTGGTAGGCTATTAATTATTGCCTCAATTTCAGAACCTGTTATTGGTCTATTCAGGGCTTCAACTTCTTCCTGTTTTAGTCTTTGGAGGGTGTATGTGTTGAGGAATTTATCCATTTCTTCTAGATTTTCTAATTTATTTGCGTAGAGGTGTTTATAATATTCTCTGATGGTAGTTTGTATTTCTGTGGGATCGGTGGTGATATCCCCTTTATCATTTTTTATTGTGTCTATTTGATTCTTCTCTCTTTTCTTCTTTATTAGTCTTGCTTTGGTCTATCAATTTTGTTGATCTTTTCAAAAAACCAGGTCCTGGATTCGTTGATTTTTTGAAGGGTGTTTTGTGTCTCTATTTCCTTCAGTTCTGCTCTGATTTTAGTTATTTCTTGCCTTCTGGTAGCTCTTGAATGTGTTTGCTCTTGCTTCTCTAGTTCTTTTAATTGTGATGTTACAGTGTTGATTTTAGATCTTTCCTGCTTTCTCTTGTGGGCATTTAGTGCTATAAATTTCCCTCTACACACTGCTTCAGATGTGTCCCAGAGATTCTGGTATGTTGTGTCTTTTTTCTCATTGGTTTCAAAGAACATCTTTATTTCTGCCTTCATTTCGTTATATACCCAGTAGTCATTCAGGAGCAGGTTGTTCAGTTTCCATGTAGTTGAGTGGTTCTGAGTGAGTTTCTTTATCCCGAGTTCTAGTTTGATTGCACTTTGGTCTGAGAGACAGTTTGTTATAATTTCTGTTCTTTTACATTTGCTGAGGAGTGCTTTACTTCCAACTATGTGGTCAATTTTGGAATAAGTGTGCTGTGGTGCTGAGAAGAATGTATATTCTGTTGATTTGGGGTAGAGAGTTCTGTAGATGTCTATTAAGTCCACTTGGTGCAGAGCTGAGTTCTGGTCCTGGATATCCTTGTTAACTTTCTGTCTCATTGATCTGTCTAATGTTGATAGTGGGGTGTTATAGTCTCCCATTATTATAGTGTGGGAGTCTAAGTCTCTTTGTAGGTCTCTAAGGACTTGCTTTATGAATCTGTGTGCTCCTGTATTGGGTGCATATATGATTAGGGTAGTTTGCTCTTCTTGTTGAATTGATCCCTTTACCATTATGTAATGGCCTTCTTTGTCTCGATTTTGATCTTTGTTGGTTTAAAGTCTGTTTTATCACAGGCTAGGATTTCAACCCCTGCCTTTTTTTATTGTCTGTTTGCTTGGTAGATCTTCCTCCATCCCTTTATTTTGAGCCTATGTGGGTCTCTGCATGTGAGATGGGTCTCCTGAATACAGCACACTGATGGGACTTGACTGTCCAATTTGCCAGTGTGTGTCTTTTAATTGGAACATTTAGCCCATTTACATTTAAGGTTAATATTGTTATGTGTGAATTTGATCCTGTCATTATGATGTTAGCTGGTTATTTTGCTCGTTAGTTGATGCAGTTTCTTCCTAGCCTCGATGGTCTTTACAATTTGGCATGTTTTTCCAGTGGCTGCTACCAGTTGTTCCTTTCCATGTTTATTGCTTCCTTCAGGAGCTCTTTTAGGGCAGGCCTGGTGGTGACAAAATCTCTCAGCATTTGCTTGTCTGTAAAGTGTTTTATTTCTCCTTCACTTATCAAGCTTAGTTTGGCTGAATATGAAATTCTGGGTTGAAAATTATTTTCTTTAAGAATGTTGAATATTGGCCCCCACTCTCTTCTGGCTTGTAGAATTTCTGCCAAGAGATCAGCTGTTGGTCCGATGGGCTTCCCTTTGTGGGTAACCGGACCTTTCTCTCTGGCTGCCCTTAACATTTTTTCCTTCATTTCAACTTTGGTGAATCTGACAATTATGTGTCTTGGAGTTGCTCCTCTTGAGGAGTATCTTTGTGGCGTTCTCTGTATTTCCTGAATTTGAATGTTGGCCTGCCTTGCTAGGTTGGGGAAGTTCTCCGGATAATATCTTGCAGATTGTTTTCTGACTTGGTTCCATTCTCCCCGTCACTTTCAAGTACACCAATCAGACATAGATTTGGTCTTTTCACATAGTCCCATATTTCTTGGAGGCTTTGTTCATTTCTTTTTACTCTTTTTTCTGTAAACTTCTCTTCTCGCTTCATTTCATTCATTTGATCTTCAATCCCTGATGCCCTTTCTTCCAGTTGATCGAATCGGCTAAGGAAGGTTGTGCATTTGTCACGTAGTTCTCGTGCCATGTTTGTCAGCTCCATCAGGTCATTTAAGGACTTCTCTGCATTGGTTATTCTAGTTAGCCATTCATCTAATCTTTTTTCAAGGTTTTCAGCTTCTTTGAGATGGGTTCGAACTTCCTTCTTTAGCTCGGAGAAGTTTGATCGTCTGAAGCCTTCTTCTCTCAACTCGTCAAAGTCGTTCTCCATCCAGCTTTGTTCCATTGCTGGTGAGGAGCTGCGTTCCTTTGGAGGGGGAGAAGCGCTCTGATTTTTAGAATTTTCAGCTTTTCTGGTCTGTTTTTTCTGCATCTTTGTGGTTTTATCTACCTTTGGTCTTTGATGATGGTGATGTACATATGGGGTTTTGGTGTGGATGTCCTTTCTGTTTGTTAGTTTTCCTGCTAACAGTCAGGACCTTCAGCTGCAGGTCTATTGGAGTTTTCTGGAGGTCCACTCCAGACCCTGTTTGCCTGGGTATCAGCAGCGGAGGCTGCAGAACAGCAAATGTTGCTGAACCACAAATGTTGCTGCCTGATCGTTCCTCTGGAAGCTTCGTCTCAGAGGGGTAGCCGGCCCTGTGAGGTGTCAGTCTGCCCTTACTGGAGGGTGCCTCCCAGTTAGGGTACTCAGGGGTCATGGACCCACTTGAGGGGGCAGTCTGTCCATTCTCAGATTTCAAACTCTGTGCTGGGAGAACCACTACTCACTTCAAACCTGTCAGACAGGGATATTTAAGTCTGCAGAGGTTTCTGCTGCCTTCTGTTTGCCTATGCCCTGTCCCCAGAGGTGGAGTCTACAGAGTCACGCAGGCTTCCTTGAACTTTGGTGGGCTCCACCCAGTTCAAGCTTCCTGGCCGCTTTGTTTACCTACTCATGCCTCAGCAATGGTGGGTGCCCCTCCCCCACCCTTGCTGCCATCTTGCAGATGGATTTCAGACTGCTGTGCTAGCAATGAGTGAGGCTTCGTGGGCTTGGGACCCTCCAAGCCAGGCACGGGATATAATCTCCTTGTGTGCCATTTGCTAAGACCGTTGGAAAAGTGTAGTAGTAGGGTGGGAGTGTCCTGATTTTCCAGGTGCCGTCTGTCACATGTTCCTTTGGGTAGGAAAGGGAATTCCCTGACCCTTTGCGCTTCCCTGGTGAGGCGATGCCTTGCCCTGCTTTGGCTCATGCTCGTTGGGCTGCACCCACTGTCCTGCCCCCACTGTCCAACAAGCCCCAGTGAGATGAACCCGGTACCTCAGTTGGAAATGCAGAAATCACCCGTCTTCTGCGTCGCTCATGCTGGGAGCTGTAGACTGGAGCTGTTCCTATTCGGCCATCTTGGAACCACCCCCGAGACTTGTTTTGTGTCATAACATGTGATCTACCTTGGAGAATGTTCCATGTGCTGATGAGAAGAATGTATATTCTGTAGCTATTGAATGAAATGTTCTGTAAATGTTTGTAAGGTCCATTTAGTCTAAAGTACAGCTTAAATCTGGTTATTTCATTGTTAATTTTCTGTCTAGATGATTTGTCTCATGCTGAGAGTAGGGTATTGAAGTCCCCAACTATTATTATATTGGAGTGATTGTCCTCCTACCTCAGCCTCTCAAGTAGCTGGGACTACAGGTGTGCATCACTGTGCCTGGCTAATTTTAAAATTTTTTCTAGAGGTGGAGTCTTGCTGTTTTGTCCAGGCTGGTGTGAAACTCCTGGCCTCATGCAATCCTCCTGCCTTGGCCTCCGTAAGTACTGGGATTATGAGCGAGAACCACTACAGCCAGCTTATCTCCCATTTTAGAGCTAATGATATTTGCTTTATATATCTGGGTGCTTGGTGTTGGGTGCATATATGTTTAGAATTGTTAAATAATGTATCCTCTTGCTGAACTGATCCCCTTATTATTATATTATGACCTTCTTTGTGTCTTTTTACTGGTTTTGACTTGAAGTCTTTTTTATCTAATATAAGTATAGCTGTTCCTGCTCTTTTCTTGTTTCAATTTGCATGGAATATCTTTTTCCATCTTTATGTGTCTTTACAGGTGAGATGAGTTTCTTGTCGGCAGCATATAGTTAGATCATGTTTTTTTATAATCCATTTAGCCAGTCCATATTTTTTAAGTGACTGTTTACATTCAAGGTTTTTAAAAATTTATTTTTTTGTTTTTTGATGGAATCTCTGGCATCCTGAATCTGGATATCTAAATCTCTTGCTAAACTTCAGAAGTTTTCAGCTACTATTTCATTAAATAGCTTTATTCCTTTTGCTTTCTCTTTCCCTCTGGGACACTGAAAATGCAAATATCTGGTTGCTTGATGATGGCCTCTGTGTCATGCAGGCTTTGTTAATTGTTTTAAATTCTCTCTCTCTTTTTTTTTTTTTAACTAACTGGGTTATTTCAAAAGACCTATCTTCATGTGCTGGATTTTTTTCTTGTGCTTCATTTAGTCTATTATTGACTCTTTCAAGTATATTTTTAATTTTATTCAGCAGATTTTTTATTTCCAGAATTTCCATTTGGTTCTTTTGTTTATCCTTTGGTAAATGTCTCATTCAAATCTTGGTGTTTTTTTTTTAAATTTCTTTGCATCATTTATGTGTGTTCTCTTATATCTCAATGAGCTTCTTTATAATCAATATTCTGAATTATTTCCCCAGGATTTTGTAAATTTCTTTTTTTTTTTTTGAGACGGAGTCTTGCTCTGTTGCCCAGGCTGGAGTGCAGTGGTGTGATCTCTGTTAGCTGCAAGCTCCGCCTCCCGGGTTCATGCCATTCTCCTGCCTCAGCCTCCCGAGTAGCTAGGACTACGGGCGCCTGCCACCGCGCCCGGTTAATTTTTTTGTATTGGAATTTGTTGCTTGAGAATTATTGTGTTCTTTGGGAGGTGTCATATTTCTTTGCCTTTTGTATGTGTGTTTCTTTTGTTCTTATGTTGATATCTGCCCATTGGTAGAACTTTTGCTCCTTCCAGTTTTTTGAATTTGTTTGCATAGGGGAAGGCTTTTACCTGAAGATGTATCTGTCATCTTGGTTGGGTTAGGGAACTTTGGTGTTGATTCTGGGTGCATTATATGGTGGTTTTCTGGTGGGATGCATAGGTTGGGCTAGCTGTGGCCCTGGTGCTCTGGAAGGCAGGGTTGCTTTCAGTGTCAGTGGTGTAGGCTTGCAACTGGAGAATGCCTGCTTTGGCCCCAGGTGTTGGATGTGAGTGGGGTAGCCTGTCCTTAGGGTGCTTATAAATGCACAGTTGCTTTGCTACTTGGAGTGGCAGGGCCACTGGCAATGGCTTTTGCTTTGGGCCTAATGGTGGCAACCAGCCTTAGTGGCAGCGGAGGGCAGGGAATGTCAGTGGGAATATAGGGATATGGAGATGTAGGGGCTTTTTGGCCCCAGGTTATGATGCAATCTGGTAGGACCTGGATTCTCAAAGTGGTGCTATGCTGTAGTTGCTTAGGCCTCAGGGCGTTTGGGACATGGCATAAGCGCCCTCTCTGCAGCAATGCCATTACATGGTTTCCCAGCACCTCCCTATGTTAGTTTCAGGGGCCTGTGAGGGTCAAGGTTCTCTCTCTTCACTAGAATTACAGGGATCTGTGGGGGAAATGTGGACTGCTGGAAGTTTCTCACTGACCCTTTCTCCTCATTGGGATGCCTCTCCAGGGTCGCAGCCGGTCCCAGTCAAGCATGCTCCCTCACTTCTTTTTCCTTCCTTTCTTGTGTTTTTTCTCACTCTTGTTGAATTCCATTGTTCTTTCTTAGAGGATCTATTTGAAGAGTGATTATTTACTCACTAGGTTCTTCTGTGTGAAGGGGATGAGTACCAGATGCCTCTAGTCAGCCATTGTGAAGCCCCTGTCTTGTGGCTTTATTTCTTATTTCCTGTTATACCAGTAGCTTTGATGTGCCATCTTTATGCAACAATTTTCTAATGCACACAATTTTTGGAATCTTTTTTTCTGTTTTAGTGATATATGAAATAATGTCGAATCTTGATATTATGAAATACAGAAACAAATGTTCTTACTAAAAGGGAATGCATGTCAGCTATAAGAAATGGTGTATGGCCTTGGGGCTGCTTCACAGGTGGCATAGAATGGCCTTTGTAGGAACATCTTTTGTGGCTCAAAGTTATAATGAGTTCATCTACTGTATTCCTTGCTCTGTTTATAAGCAAAACCTCTTTGAGGTTATCCCAGATCTGGCAAGCCAACATAGTTTCATATCTTGCATGATTATTTAGTGAGTGGGTATGGATCTGAACTTTAGATAAAGTTTTTTTTTAAATTATTTGTACTTATTTATGGGGTACAGTGTGATGTTTCAATACATGTATACATTGTGTAATGATTAAATCAGGGTAATTAGCATATCCATCACCTCAAACACTTGTCATTTCTTTGTGATGACAACATTGAAAATCTTCTCTTCTAGCTGTTTTGAAGTATGCATACAAATCACAAGGAATTTATAATAATACTATGCAATTACAGAATATAGTCTAATAATGTTACTATTTCCACCATTTTAGGTTTTCATATACATTTGTGTGTCTGTGCATGTGTGTGTAGACATAAAATTCATTTTATTTTTTAATAAATTATATGTTAACTGAAATCCTCTGGGTAACCATTCCTTCTTCTCAGTCCTCCCTTAATTTGAAGTGATAACTTCTAAAAATTCACTATGCTGTATGGATGTGTATGTGGATTTACCTTGGTGTAATAAAAATATCTTGAATAATAATAATAAAAAAGGCCTAGAGAACCTGAACCATTCAGTTATTATTTGAACAATGGGACTTCTCTTTGAATTGAGAGGTACTGAAGGACTTGTTCATCATTAATGAGGATATGTAACACCATGTGAATTACTCAATTCACTGTTTTAAAAAGTTTTGTCATGAATGTAGGTGCATGCACTAAGGTACTATAAAATCACAAGCTAATAGGGGATATCTGTTTTATATATGTATATATATGTGTCTGTGTGTGTTTATTCCAACTGTGTTTTTTTGGGGGGTTAGGAACATTACGGAGCCTTTAGAAAGCTTTACTTTACTGTTAACATTTAAAACTTTGACAGTAGTTTTCAAACTCAGATATTAAGTTTATGCCATTGTGTTCTTGCCCTAATTTACTGCCTTTGCAAATTAAGCATTCTTTTTGAATTTTCCTATTGGATGGGGTAATATTTGAGTGTATATAAACAACCAAAAGACTATTTTGAGTAGCAAGCATTCATAAAATGGTTGATGTGCTTATTCAGTTCATGAGCATACTGATATTGAATAACAATGCTGTGCAATTATTCTATAAACAAATATTCATTGAATACTTATTGGGTAATATGGTATGTAAAAGAGAGAGATTGATGAATAAATTCCAGTGATAAAAATATAGCCTCTTTATGGTACTTCCAGTTTATCTATTCCTGTCCTGTATGGTAGATCTCATTTTAAGACAAAGAAAAGAATAAACAAATTTAAATTATGGAGTAAGGAACTTCAATATAAGAAAATATCCTGTCATTGAGAGTAACTTACATGGAATTATTATTTTTTTTATTTTTGGGATGGAGTCTCGCTCTGTTACCCAGGCTAGAGTGCAGTGGCATGATCTCAGTTCACTGCAACCTCCACCTCCTGGGTTCAAGCGATTCTCCTGCCTCAGCCTCCTGAATAGCTGGGACTACAGGCACGCACCACCAAGCCTAGCAGCTAATTTTTGTATTTTTATTAGAGACGGGGTTTCACCATGATGGCCAGGCTGGTCTTAAACTTCTGACCTCGTGATCCACCTGCCTCAGCCTCCCAAAGTGCTGGGATTACAGGTGTGAGCCACCACACCCGCCCTACATGAATTTCTTTATGAGAGAAGGGTCTTATTACTGAGATTGTTCAGGTGTGTTATTTTAAGGCCAAAGAAAGTCTAGTTATTGTTAAAATTAGGGGCATAATGATGTAATGTAGTAGCTCTCAACCCTATCAAATCTAATGCCCCTTTTTGTAACATGTATTTTCTTATGTCCCTTTACTATCTTGAAATAAAATTCATAATTGTACTTTCCTAAGCTTATGATTTATGAATAAATCTATATAATATAATCTTATTAAGGGAGAAATAAAAGGAAAGTAATTTATAATAGAAGCACACATTTTTATATTTAGAGCATAACTAGATTTGAAGACATGATGAGGTGTTCAGGTAAGATACTCAGCCTGCCACATGTATTGTACCGGGACAGTTACAAGTCTTGCCTGTGTATATGTGTTGCATATTGGCAATGAATATCCTCAAATGAAATAGCCGTGAGTGATGTGATTTTCTAAAATGGTAAACATGTCTTTGTCAAATGCGAAATGATATAAAATTTTCTCCTATATTGCTGAGAGATAGATTTCTGGAGCTTTCTGGGTCTATTAAAAGTGGGTGAAAACTGCTTTGTATTTAGATGTAAAATTGAGTTAGAGTCTAAATTCAAGTAATTATCTACAGGTTTTTAACTTACATGGAAATCTGCGAGAATATTTCAAAATTGTTCAGGATGTACGACTGTTCTTTGTTGTAAAAGGATTGTTTTGGACATTGAACAACTTCATTATTCTTGGTTGATGGTTAATGTCAGTACTGTCTCCTAATCATTGTGACAACCAGAAACACTAATTTTTAAAAAATGCCCCCAGAGTGTGGTGCAACTTTCATATAGAATTGACTGTCTGTAGAACAAAGAGAAAGTCTACAGGCAAGAGTCACAGCCTTGGATTTGATTCTTGTTTCTTCTACTTACCGCCTTCTTACTGAGGTTTTGATATTGGACAAGATAATCGACCTTTTACAGTCTTAGTTTCCTGTCTGGAAAACTGGGATGATAATATCTCACAGAGTTGTTTTATGGATTAAATAATATAACGTATTTTAGGTACCTGACATGTGCTTCATGTGGGATGGGACTATATCTCTTTTATGCACCACTTTTTCATCACTAGTAGACACTTAATAAATACGTGCTTACTCTTGTTATTTAACTCCTATATGTCACACTCTGTTCCAATATTAAAAGCATGAGAGGGAGTGATTGTTTATAATAGGCACCATGTCTATCATCTGTGTCTTTCCTTTCAATGTTTTAGAACTTGTGAATCTTAGATGAGAATGCTTGTTCTTTGGAATTGTGGCCTTCAGTTTCTAAGACCTTATTAAATAGAAATATGATGGTTTGCTTTACATTTGAAAGGGATTTATGGGATAAAGGTCCGCCTTAATAAGCACACTAATTTCCCAGCATCCTGATATTTTTTCTTATTTATTTATATTGTTTTGCTAATGTCAGGATGGATAGTGGGGGCTATGTAAAAGACCAAGGACCTCCCTTCTCCTGGGAATCCTAATCTTTGTTACACTAATGTTTAAAATACAACATCAGTAATTTCTTCCTCTTCTTCAATTTTCTTTTTACTCTTCCTGTGATTTTGGCCAATTAATGTTGATATATTTTGTTTTCTTAGTAAATATTTGCTATCTTTGTTGTGTTACTTGTTTAACTTTAATCTTAGATGATTCAAACCATTTACTAATGTAAGATAGAATAGTTACTTTTGGCAATTTTAATGCAACTTATTACTTTGAAAATGTTAGAAGGGACCCCTAGTTTTCCTTTGTAAATTGTCGTTTATTTGGCAGAGAAAGCATTTAATCTGTAAATGCTGCTCTGTGTTTTATAGAATGGTGAACCTTACAAGTATTTTATCCCAAATAGATGTTTATTAAAATTTTAACTTAAATATTTGATGATTATTATGAATAAGAGTTTTTAAAGCAGTCACTTTGCTTTGATATTCACAGTGTGAACAAGCTAAAATTTTCTACCTACTTTCTCTTCTTTTTATTCTTCCAGGTCACCTTTGTGTCAGGCATTGCTACTTTGGCAAACCTGCTTGCCTTTGACCTTTGGTTACTCAGTTTTAGTTTGGTTTTGAGCCAGTGTGTGCTGAAATCTTTAAAACTAAACAAATATTTAGCATTCATTTGATTTACCAACAATTGTCTTTTTAAATATTCAGTCACTCCACAAGAAAAGTAACTATTGTCAGTTACAGACTGTAGTACCAAAGTCAGATTCTGGAACATTCTATAAATTACTAAAAAACTATCAGGTTATAATTTAGATTGGCTCAGATGATTTTAGGTTGTTTTAGAAGCTGACGGTATTTTTACTCACAATTTTCTTTCTTTTTTCTTTTTCTTTTTTTTTTTTTTTTTTGAGACAGAGTCTTGCTCTGTCGCCCAGGCTGGAGTGCAGTGGCGTGATTTCAGCTCCTGCAGCCTCCGCCTCCCAGGCTCAAGTTATTCTCCTGCCTCAGTCTCCTGAGCAGCCAGGATTACTGGTGGCACCACCACGCCCAGCTAATTTTTGTATTTTTGTAGAGACGGGGTTTCACTGTGTTGGCCAGGCTGGTCTCGACCTCCTGACCTTAAGTGATTCACCTGCCTCAGCCTCCCAAAGTGTTGGGATTACAGGCATGAGCCGTCGTGCCTGGCCTATTCCAAATTTTCGAATGTGCGTAAATAATTAATATAGATGACTATATTAGATAAGGGACATGATATTTTTCCTAATAAAAGTTTAAACCATATTTTTATCCATTCTCTGGTAATTATTTCTTAAAAATGTAAGTACATCAGAGAAATGATTTATTCATTTCCAAGGCTGAGAAGGTGAATTTTAAATTTGTATTTGAATAACATTTGTAATTTTACTTTACTTGCACATAACATTATTTTTGCTTAGTAAGCTTATGAATCATTTAATTCCTACTATATGAGAAATGTGTTATGGGATATTGAGAACATTATGATTTAAACGTAATACATATTTAGTTGTCTTCAATCTCATTTCTATCTCTTTGGAAATTAAAAGGTTCCAAAACTAAGACTGTGGGAATGAAAGTGAGACTTTTGTTTTCTTTTAGTTGTATCAAAATGTAAATTCCTGGGAAGGCTATTTTTGCCTTTTGTGTCACAATTATTATGGGAAGCCAAACAAGCTGCTATTAGGTGTTAGAGAATACAATAAAATTAGACCCTTATTTGCTCACTGGCCAAAGACCACGTGTTCCTTTAGTTGTATCCTTCAGACGAGCAACCTTGTTGTTTGTGCCCTTGCTTTTGCCTTTTCCTTTGTGTAATTTTGTTCTTTTCCTAGAGCCATTTGTAATTGACTGCTGTTTACTAATAGTTTAGAGCAAAATAGCCACCTTTTTCATGGAACACTTCAGAGCCAACTGCATCATTAAAATGTACAAATGCTCTATGAAAATGTATTCAGTTAGTAAGATTAGGCTGAATTGCTAGATTTAGGCTTTACTAGATCACTAATATTTTCACTTAATTAAGGCTAGTACTTTTTTTCCTGAGTAGAGATTCCGTTTGTTTTCAAGAACTCAAGAATATGCTGCTGCTCTTTATGTTGCTCTGGAGGCATGAATGTAATTTTGCACATAAAAATATTCTACAAATCTTTCCTTAAGAGAATAAGGGAGGAAAATAAAAGTACATTTTTAATTTGAGGGTTGGTCATTAGACTTATTTTGCCTATAAGATTGACAGCGTGACTGCTCTTTAAATGTTGAATTGGGAGTTTAACATGAATGCAATCCACATGTCTGTGTCAGAGTTTTTTGTATTTTTTTCCTGGAGATGGGAAGTATAAACATGCAAAGACTTAGCTATTGCAAGAACCTTATTTTGGTTTCTTACCCTGTTCTGTTTTGTATCTGCATTTGTAAAGGAATTTAAGGAAGTTGGAATGGATGCAAAGAAAAGGAATAATCATCATTAGGATAGAAACAAAGACACAAGGAAAACAAAGTATAGTTCTTAAACACGATTGTCTTACTTCCTTGATAATTCTTTCTGATGTGTGTTATCTTCTGCACTCTGTACTAAGTCACAAAAGATGTACAAATAATTTTTACCAGAAAAGTATAGAACAGAATCAGAATGTGAATTACTTGCTCAGGACATAGTTATCCAACATTGTTTAATAATTATCACAAGAGAGCCAAATACTAGGAACGACCGACTGAGATCTTCAGCCTAGAGGGTGGGGTAGACAGGCTTGGCCAGTTCGTACTCTTTCGTTCCTTTTGAGCAAGGGAGGAAGTACAGGTGAATGTGTTTAATAGATACGTGTTCACTGATGTATACACAACAAACTTTCACTTTGTTTTTCCTTTCATACCTATCATGACACTCTTAGCTGCATGACGGTAATTACAGAGACAGAGATTTCTTAGTAATCTTCTCAGGGAGCATAGAGAGTTTTAAACAGTGACTCTTAGGAAAGTTGGTCATTTTCTGTCTCAACAAAGGATAGAGGGAAGGAAACTAACAATTATTGAACAATATTTCCAGATACTATGGTTGATGCTTATTTTCTTACATCCTTAAAAACTCAGAATAGCCCAGTGAAGAAAGAACTCCTTCATTTTTGCATTGAGAAAACAGGCTTAGGCAATATATTGCAATATGGCTTATTAACCATCTCAAAGACACATAACTAATAAGTGGCACAACAAGGAATTGAACCAATATGTTTATATCCCCAAAGCTCTCTATTATATCATGCCATCTCAAATCAAGTGTCTAAATAATTGGAAATGGAAGTAATAGAGAGTTTAGTTAAGTACAACTTAGATAGGCTATTATCTAAGCACAATTAAAACTTAGATAGGCTACCAAGTACACTTGAAAACATAGTGCTGTATTCCTCTTCCCCAATAAGGTTGTTGTTCTAAATAATTAGCTTGCATTTTGATTAATCTTGATTGTGCTCTGATACAAAATATTGCAATTATTTGACTTGCAACCTGCTTTATAGAGTTAGTGATTTATTGAATATCTTGGAAGCAAGTCCTTGACAGGCAGTATTTTAAGGTGAAATTGCTATGTGAGGATTTTGTTAACCTGACGTTTTGTGGTTTCGCCTCATAAAACTGGCAAAGGACTCCCAGCGTGGAATGTTAATGGGGTGAAGTAATGAATGCAGGCTGAGTTACAAGCATCCAGATATGAGCAATCCTATAGTTCATACTCCATGATTCTTGCGGGAGGTCTTTGTAGACAGAAGCTTTACTAAAAGATAAAAGCAGTAGGAGATCGTTAAAACTCAGCAGTTGATCAAACTCTTTCTGAAACCTAGGCTTAGAAGCCAAGCAGAGATATGAACATGGGAAAGTAATTAATCTATTATAGTCTTTCATGATAATTTTCACTTTCTCAAACTGTTGAAGTAAATAATTGTTGGGTACCTATTTACTCTAACCAAATATTAACCTTTTTATTCTTTTCAGCTTTTAAGTACTGCCCATTCCACTTCTATATTTTGATCCCTCAATCAGATAGCTAATTTAATTCCAGCATTAGTTATGCAGATTTTATTCCACTGGACCAAAGCAATATACTGTGTTCCTCTTCCCATTTAATTTTATTTTAAAACTTTGCTTGCAGAGCTGAAAGATTTCTTAGAGTTTTCATGGGGCTGGGGTTCTGGCTGCTTGCTTCTAGATTGTATCAAAGCAGCTCTGCCTTTTTTCTGATTTATTTGTTGGACTACTCCATGAGATTTTGTCTGAAAAAAAGAAAAAATGTCCTGTTCCTAAGAAAGTTTGAAAGCCACATATATAGCTGTTTAATTTAAAGGGTATCAATTGTAAGATATGTTTTCAACATTTTTGTTGATCACGTATTTCAAGTGACAGAGCACAAGGGTATAGATTACCTTGAATCTTGTATTCTAAAGAAAAGAACCAATTATTTATATATTGAGGGGAATTTTAGGACTTGTTACTATAATGTAGTCAGTTTTGTAGATTACATCTAGTTACAAAGATTATATATGGTTTTAAAAATTGTTGTATTTTGATATTTTATTTTTAATTAAAGGCTCTTCCTTCTCCTTCCATTGTATAATCATATTAAGGTATCTTTTAGATAAAATCTGAAAACACTTTTCTTAATCATTCTCATTTTCATTGAGATTCTGAACAGGTAGGCTAGCATTATTGTTCTCAAATGGCTAATGACATATTTTAATCTATGCTTTACTGCTTATACAATTAGTTAAAAGGTCTTAAAATTCTTTGAGATTCTCTTCTTTAAGAAAAAAAATACAAAGTTCCAATATGTTGAAGAGGTTGGGCTCAAACTCCTGGGTTCAAGCAGTTCTCTCACCTGGGCCCCCCAAAGTGTTGGAATTACAGGCATGAGCCACTGTGCTCGGCCAAGATTCTCTTAAATTCATCTTTTGCTTTTTATTTCCGCTTACCCTGCTTTAGACTAACTTCTCACCGTCAATCACAGAATTGGTTGGATAGTTTGCTTTCTTGCTAATTTTGCCTTCTTTCACTTGTTCTCTATAAATTGTCCAGACTATCAGATAAAATCCAAATGTTTCATCCTTTGCAACTGCTCATATACTGTCTAACTTAGTGAAACAAACTGTTTTCATTGTTATTTGTTCTTCAGAATACTACCTCCTAAGTAAATGGTACCTCCCTATCAAAGGCAATTTTGTGAAATGTATTATTCAAAGCAACCTTAGCAGTATAATTCTTATCTGTGTATATCTGTGGCTCAAGCCAAAATCTCAATCAGCTTAAATCTGGCATCTCAGGGGAGAGTTATTATTTAGTTCCCTTAACATTATTTTCCATGATTGGCAAGGACCTAGTCAAGATGTTTTTGTTAGTTCCTCTTAGAAAAAAGATCACTTTTGGGATATCAGCTTTCAAGTATCAGGTAATTTCCTGTTTAGGTCTTTATATAAATGCCTATCAACCCTTATAATACTTTTTATTTTATCCCTTTGTATCTACATTCCAAATAATTAAATCATGCATTCCTTTTACGGCCCTTAGTATCTCAACCAAAATAAATTTTTATTCTTTAGATTTTTGCCCTGATTAAATTATTTATTTGTTTTCCATAGGATATGTTTTTTGGGGGTCATTTCTCAATACTCCCAAAGCTGTACCTTAATGATTGGTTTACTTACATACCCTTGTAACCAGTTTATTGAAAACAAAAATTATTTCTTACTCTACAGTTTTCCTTCTTGGCAATTTCTTATTGCATTTCCTTCTATTCTGTGCACAGAAAAACAATAATGTATTATAGTGGAAGTATTGGGGAGATAGTGACTCAAATAATTTTCTGTGCTTTGTGGTTTAGATGAGGAACCCTGCTTGAAAAAACAGGCATGTGCGACAGGTACTCAGTGTATATATTGAGTGAATAAATTTGTGTTATTTACATTTTATGTTTGATATGTGTATCTTATTTCCCAACTATATTCTAAGCTTAGGGAGAGCTTAAACAATGTCCTCTTCTATATGTGAATTTGTCTAATTGGTAAGTAAGTAGTTTATGAAAAAATTAAATAATTTGAAATAAGGCAGAATTTCTATCTATCATCTCTAGGTAGCTTTTTTTTTTTTTTTTTTTTTTTTTTTTTTGAGACAGAATCTTGCTCTGTTGCCTAGTGGCACAATCTCAGCTCACTGCAACCTCTGCCTCCCAGGCTCTCCTGCCCTGCTAATTTTTGTATTTTTTGTAGAGATGAGGTTTTGCCACGTTGCTCAAGCTGGTCTCAAACTGGAGAGCTCAAGCGATCTGCCCACCTCAGCCTCCGAAAGTGCTGGGATTATAGACATGAACCACCATGCCCAGCCATCCCTGCATATTAATAAATTTCATGTATTTGTTAGTCTCCTACAAATATATCATTTATCACAATTTATTTTATCAATTTTGAGATACTTTTTTCATACTTTAACTTTTCTGAAAATAAATGGCCTCTTACTACTGGCCTCAGTTGAAGTTCAGCTCTGATAGAGGGAGTTTGTGTTTGCCTCTGGCATTCAATCTCAGACACATGAGACCACTTTGAATTAAGTTGTTAGATGATTTTTGGATTTCACTGATAGTGTGAATTTAGACTGCCATAATTGTTAATACTGGGTTTTGGTTTCAATTTTATGAGATTTCTTCCCCTACCCTCCACCTAGTACAAAGATTCGTTTATGAGTTTCTTCCTATTTCTGTCTACTTCGAAGAGTTTTTTTCTTTAATCTTAAACAAAGGTGTACCCCTTGGGTCTTCCAATTCTATGTACATGTAAAATAATTGTGTGTCATGATTGATGGTGTCTTAGATAAGAAGAAATACAGAATTGCAGTCAACCTAATTGGGTAGAATGGCAACTGCAGGAAATTGAGTCATCCCAATTCAATTTAAATTTTGAAGTTTACCAATGACTAACCAAATATTATTAAAGAACAGTGATTTTATTTGGGATTTCACTTTCAAAATGGAATTTACATTAATGTAGTATTTAGATTTAATGTATTAATAATTAATATAGGTAGCCAGTCAAATAAATGGCAGCTAGCCAGTCAAATAAATACAAAAATTTGCATCAGAGCACAGTCAAGATTAATCAGACACAAGGTAGAAGCATGGGGAGACAGATAGAGCAGTCAACACACATAAGATATTATACAGGTGGGAGGGAAAGAGCACATGGGGTTAATTAAAACACAAGTTACAGGCAAGAGACTAGAGATAGGGCAGTCAACACACTTCGGATACTGTATAAGTGGATGGGAAAGACCACACTATCTGAATCTGGTGGCATGGAATGTTTATGTATCCCCTGCCCACTTTACAGATGACTAACTTACCCTCTATGTTTATAACACATTTTATGATCTCTACTGTTTCATAAGCTACTTTGGTTACTCACAATTTGTATGATTTCTATCTGTATCTCATAAGATGCTAGTTTACTTACTATCTATGGTTAACATTTCTTATGAGTCTTATTCATCCTGTTTTTCTTGATTTATAATGTAACAGAATATTCTCAAACAATACACAAAATATACCTTACAAAAATTCTCTATCAGTCAAGGTTTAATTAGAGAAGCAGAACCACTAGGAGATATACTTTTAAAGTAGAAGTCCCCGATCTGTTGGCCATAGGCCAAAATGGTTCCATGGTCTATTAGGAACCAGGCTGCATAGCAGGTTAGTGGTGGGTTAGTGATCATTACTGCGTGTACACCATCTCATGTCAGATCAGCTGCAACATTAGATTCTCCTAGGAGTGCAAACCCCATTGTGAACTGTGCATGCAAGGGATCTAGGCTGCACGCTCCTCATGAGAATCTAATGTCTGATGATCTGAGGTGGAACAGTTTCATCCTGAAACAATCGCCATCCCTGAACCAAGTCCGTGGTAAAATTGTCTTCCACAAAACCTGTCCCTGGTACCAAATGGTTCAGGAGTGCTGATAGAAAGGATTTATTATAAAGATTTCTCCATACTCAATTGTGGGAGTTTTAAAAAAATTCTGTGGGAACTATTACTTTTGTGTTTGGTGCTATCACCTGAGGTCAGCAAGGCAGGAAGTTGAGCTGGGAAAACAGATATGAAGTAGGGGAAGCAAGGACAAATGGCAACCTGAAAGGTTTAGTGGGACCTGGATACTCTCTGTTTCCAACTTTGGTGATATAGGTGTCTTGTAGGAGAAGATAGCTAAATTTTAAACCTGAGATGATTGGATAAGATAACTTTTAACAAGTTTCAAGTATTTGCAAGGAGATAGAAAAATCAGGAATTGATCAAGTTAAGATTTTTGTTACTATGTTGGTCTTTTTATAAAATGGCTATTTTATGCAAATAAAGAAGCAGTTAATTTTTTTCAGTCAGTTTGAGTGTTTTAAATCAAAATATTCTTTGATATCTTCTGAGGAGATCTCAATTTGTCCAGCTACATCCCTGCAGTAGAAGAAGAGTGTGAATTCATACATCTGAAAATTCCAGCCCAAAGCAAGCAGCTACGAAAGGAAAATCTACTTTACGTCTCTTAGATTAAAAATCTTTGTAAGTTTGACATTCTACTCCACAATGCATTCTGTTTGTTTTACCTCTCCTCCCCCTAGTTATTAGATTAAGTTGCTCATCTACTAAGACCTACTGTGCTTATTTTTTCAGTTGAGTGCTTCTTAGCTTACCACTATACATGCCTATATATGTAAGTACCCTCTTTTGAAAAGTCTAGCTCATGATGATTTCTAAGATTCCTTCCAGTTGGGCTCTTTCTGGATTATAGACTTCTAAAGTATTCAAAATTGTGAACTGTTATCTTTCCAGTTTTTATGTGAAACATATAGAGTGAAAATTTAATTCTCTTGGCCTTGTTTTCATAGGTATAAACCCTGTATTTTAGTTTGGGGCATATTCTGAAAAAATGATTCATTTCAATAAAAGCAGCTATAGTATATTACAATCAATGCTTATATTCAAGCATGTGTTTAGTAAAATGAAATATTATTAATTTTGAAAAGATACATTTTTAAGGTATTATGGAAGAACATTGTGGTCTATATATTTTGTTTTGACAAAATCACCTTAGGGAATGCAGATCATAATTTTATGTCTACATTTTTTTGCCTTGACATCCAATGCATGTTTTTAGTAATTCAAGGAAATCCATCTGCTTTAAGAGGAAAAACCCTGTTAATTCCAGATTATAAATAAAATTGATCTTTTTGAGTGTAATTTCCAGTTTCGTTTTTGAAGCAACTTATTTCTTTCTGAGCCATCAGCTGTAGTGGATTACATTAAACATAACCACTAAGCATTCTCAGTGAACTTTATCTTTCTGTTTTTCCTACAAATATATTTCCTCTAGGATTTTATTAAATAATGTCATTCTTATCATCTTGACAGATTCTAGTAACAGACTGCAACATAGTGAATCTAACAGCAAATAAAAATAAAATAGATAAATGATAGCATTCAGTATTCCTTTCAAGCATGGTATTTTGACAATGGCGTGAAGGACATTTTGGGCCACATAATTCTGTCTCATACATTGTTGGATATTCTGTAGTATCCCTGACCTCTTCCCACTAGATACCAGTGGCACCCTTGGTTTGTTTCCAGACAGTGCTATATTTCCTATGGGTGATGAAGTCACCCCTGTTTGAGAGTCACTGTTTAGAGTATATATTTTATTCTGTAATATATATTAACTCATTTGAGATGCCTATTTGGAGAGGCATGTCTTCCAAGGATTTTAGAAAAGAATTTAAAATTGTCTTCAAATATTTGAACATGTTATTTGGACTAGTTATTTTGGGGCTACTATTCCAGAACACACTGGACTAGAATTGTTTTCTGTTAAAGTACCCCTTATTAAAACTTTTGATCATATATATAATATTAAAAATAGTATTATCCTCATTGCTATTATATTATGCCATTCATAGAGAATGAATGATGAGGCCAGTGATGGGGGTATGTTATTTTAATAATATATTCTATTTGGAGGTTGAGACTTTGGATGAGAAAGGGGAATTCAGGAATTTAATCAAGTACTGAATAAAGAACCAGAGTCAGAGAACAGAATTTCACTTTCTGAACCATCACTTAATATAGTTGTTTCTTACCCCTGACCTAAAGCTCATGCATTATTCCTTCTGTTATCTTCCTGTCTTCCCTCACCCCTACTCCTAGCCCAAATTAATTGTTTCCTAAGTGTTCCCCCTTTTCTTCCTCAATTTTGTTTATCTAAGCACTTACAATCTATATTTTAATTTTTTCTTCCTTCTAAGTTGTGGGATAATGGAGTGCTGGGTTGAAAAGTGGAGGATTAGAAGGGCGTTACAGTGGTACCACTGGCTACCTCAAGAAGTTATTTGATCTAGTCATTGTCTTCAACCAGAACGGAAACTATCAATATCTTGTTTCTTAGTGGCTTGTAGAGACTCTCCAAGTACCCATGGTAACTTTTTTTTCATATCTAAAGCCATTAAGCAAAATTTTATTTCTTTTGTTCCCCCTTGTCTTAAGGCAATTTAGGGTTAGTTTTTTATTGCATTAGAGTATTAGGTGAAGTTGAGTCTCTTAAAGAAAATTCCTTGTATTCCTGGTAAGAATTCCTCCTTCACCTTTCAGCTTCATTCTCATATACATTAAAATGCTTTCATTCAGATTCTTTAATCATAGATAATTTTATGAACTATCCATTGAATTTCCTCTGATTTTTTAATATTCTTTTCGGAATAAGGATGCATGGTTCCACTAAACTCTTACTTATCTGGTTTGTGGCAGAGAATGAGACCTATAGAAGAAAATTTAAACTTAAATGAACAGTGCTGGCAATTTACTTGTTGTGGTTGTTTTTAAATAATGCACTGGTCCTACAAAGTGCTTAGAAAACCTTACTTAAGGGATCAACCTGTTCATTTTAAGTAGTGTTGCTTGTCATTGCGTTACTCACTAGTCATTTACTACAGTAGCTACTACATTGACAGGTAAATGACCATAGAACTGTCAGCCTGTGTAGCAACACTACTTATAGACTACTTCTAGAATCTTGCAGTTTAGAGCTGTAGAGCAGCCAAGATCCCTTTATAAGGAACATTTAAATAGACTTATGTTCTCATTAGCATAAACACCACTAGTAGTTGAACTGGAATATCAATTTTAAAATTCTGAATTGCTAAAAAACTGATACTTTACTAGTAAATCAAGAAAAAAATTAAAATATAACCTGTAAGGGCCAGTTGGTTAGTTATGTTAACAACATATGAAATATGTAGGTTGCATTTGTGCATTTTTGTACAAATCAATACAGTAAACTTCTTAGTACGTTTTGACTTTGGTGATGTTGGTTTGGTGTAGGTTAAATTGTAAAATTTAAGGTTGGAAATGAAATCTGAAAGCTGCTGCAAAAATAATGGAATTTAATTTAAAGTATTGCATGTTTACATGAGACAGAAGGATACATTGCATGATCTTACAGCATTTTATAGGTGGTTGACAAGAAATTGTATTTGGAGTTCAACGTTGTAACTGCATAGGGATAACTTTAGTAATTTAAGATAAAGGAATACTTAACACAGTACAGCATAAATTCTGTTTTGTTTAAGGAATTTTTAAAAAATTTATCTCAAAATCATTTTTTCAGAAATTTGAGCATCTTTGTAACAACAGTTTGGCTGCTCCAGAAACGTAGAATAGAGCTTTGTTTTTATTTATTGTAGAAAATTGTGAATTTAATGGGGTTTCTTATAACATATTGATAAATCAGACAGAAATTTGGCCAGTCTTATGTTCTGACATCCAAAACTATATTAGGTGAACTCAGTGTAAAGACTCATTGGATCATTTAAATAATAGACTGTGACTTAGGTTTTTTCAGTATTTGTCTTGTGGTTCATAAAGAAAATGGCTAAATAGTAAACCTGAGATAATTGGATTAAATGATTATTTTTAACAAGTCCCAAACATTTGCAAGGAAATAGAAAAATCAGGAATTAATGTTAAGATTTATAGTTACTATATTAATCTTTTCATATATGGCCACTTTATGCAAGTAAGAGAACAGTTAATTTTTTTTTGTTCAATCAGTTCAAGTGTTTTAGATCAAATAAAATATTCTTTTATATATTCTGAAGAATTAATTCAGTACATTCTCTGAGTGTCCCAAGAGGTACAGTGTGGAAAGGATGTTTATGGTGATTTACTTGTAAAGTAAATGTTACCCTTACTCTGCATCCTCAGTTCAGTGCTTTACGTACAGTCATAGGCTATTCTTCAGAACATCCTTAAAAGCACAGTACAGAAAACAAGATGAAAGTTTTAGATTAAGAGACTTTATTCATTTTCTTCCAGACTCTCCCTAATAAAATTTCTTCTGAATTTCCCATATGAATTCTAAACATTTTAAATATCAGGCTTCTAATAACACTTTTTTGTCCATTTATTTATGTTGAAATTCTACTGGTATTGCATTAATCTCATGTTGATAGGAAAGGATAAAAAGTTGGCTCACATGTTTTTTTATAGCAGGGTGGTCAAATATAATAGTGTTGCTTATTTTTCTTAATGATGAAATAGTAAAATGATTCCAAGGCCTACTTAGAGAAGAGCTTAGACTTCAGACAGTGCTTTATCTACATGAGGGAGTAATCATAATTCTTCAGACATGTAAGTATCAGAAGTCTTTTTAAATAATAGTACTTAGTCTATTTAAATAGTATTAGGTTACTGGCAGCTTTGTAGTGAGAGTTTGAATTTTTGTAGAGTTTATATATTTTAGACAAGAATCTGACATTTAGAAATGTAACATTATTCTTAAATTTTAAAATTGTTTTTATCTGAAGGGGGTCAGGGACATGTAAAATTAATGCCCAGGAAATCTGTTTTTGGAGAAAGATGTGCATGAAAAGTAAAGGCCACATATATGGTGATTTTTAAACTTTACTTTCTTTTAATGAAACATTTTCTTTTGAGGTAATTATGTAGATTCACATGCAGTTGTACAAAATAATACGGAAGGATCCTATGTATCTTCTTCTCAGTTTTCCTTAATGATAACATCTTACAAAATTATAATATACCACCCCAACCAGGATACTGACATTGATACAATACATAGATCTTGTTCAGATTTCCCCTGCTTTACTGGTATTCATTTGTGTTTGTATGTATTTAATTATATGTAGTTTTATCACATATGTAGATTCATGTACCTACCACCATAGTCAAGATACAGAATAGTTTCATGACTGTAAGAATCCCTTGTGTTACCCTTTTATGTCCACATCTACTTTCCTTCTGCTTCCTCCTCACCATCCACTCTAACCCCAAGTCTTAACCACTGGCATCTACTAATATCTCTATGTCTCCAATTTTGTCATTTCAAGAATGTTATGTAAATAGTCATGTAATATATAACCTTTCTGGGATTGGCTTTTTTCACTCAGAATAATTCTCTGGATGTATACATGTATGTATCAGTGTCTAGTGTTTTACACAATGTTTTTGAAATCGTTTGTCTTGTGTATATCGGTAGTTTATTGTTTTGAATTGCTAAATAGTATTCCATTGTATGGATACAGTACAGTTTACTTCTTCATTCTACTATTGATGGACTTCTGTATTGTTTCTATTTTGTGGTTATTGTGTTTAAACCTGCTATAAAATTCTTTTACAAGCCTTTTGTGGACATATATTGTCATTTCTATTGCATACATATTTAGAAGTGGAATTGTTACTATAAGGTAGTTGTATGTTTAACTTTATAAAAAACTACTAGACTTTTTTTCCAAGTAGTTATATGACTTAAACTCTCCCACCAACAATGTGTGTTACAATGAGAATGACATTGTTCCATTCATATCTTTGCCAATATTAGGTGTAGTCATTTTATCTGTTTTACTAAGCTTGAAATGATATCTCATTCTTGTTTTAATTTGTGCTTCTCAGTAACTAATAATAATAATCTTTTCATCCTTTTGGCATTTCAGATACCTTCCTTTGTGAAGTGTCTTAAAAGACTTGAAGGTCGAATAGGAGTGGTGAGAGAGGGCATCCCTGTCTTGTGCCAGTTTTCAAAGGGAATGCTTCCAGTTTTTGCCCATTCAGTATGATATTGGCTGTGGGTTTGTCATAGATAGCTCTTATTATTTTGAGATACGTCCCATCAATACCTAATTTATTGAGAGTTTTTAGCGTGAAGCGTTGTTGAATTTTGTCAAAGGCCTTTTCTGCATCTATTGAGATAATCATGTGGTTTTTGTCTTTGGTCCTGTTTATATGCTGGATTACATTTATTGATTTGCGTATATTGAACCAGCCTTGCATCCCAGGGGTGAAGCCCACTTACTTGATCATGGTGGATAAGCTTTTTGATGTGCTGCTGGATTCGGTTTGCCAGTATTTTATTGAGGATTTTTGCATCAATGTTCATCAAGGATATTGGTCTAAAATTCTCTTTTTTGGTTGTGTCTCTGCCCTGCTTTGGTATCAGGATGACACTGGCCTCATAAAATGAGTTAGGGAGGATTCCCTCTTTTTCTGTTGATTGGAATAGTTTCAGAAGGAATGGTACCAGCTCCTTCTTATACCTCGGTAGAATTCGGCTGTAAATCCATCTGGTCCTGGACTCTTTTTGGTTGGTAAGCTATTGATTATTGCCACAATTTCAGCTCCTGTTATTGGTCTATTCAGAGATTCAACTTCTTCCTGGTTTAGTCTTGGGAGGGTGCATGTGTTGAGGAATTTATCCATTTCTTCTAGATTTTCTAGTTTATTTGCGTAGAGGTGTTTGTAGTATTCTCTGATGATAGTTTGTATTTCTTTGGGATCGGTGGTGATATCTCCTTTATCATATTTTATTGCGTCTATTTGATTCTTCTCTCTTTTCTTCTTTATTAGTCTTGCTAGCAGTCTATCGATTTTGTTGATCCTATCAAAAAACCAGCTCCTGGATTCATTAATTTTTGAAGGGTTTTTTGTGTCTCTATTTCCTTCAGTTCTGCTCTGATTTTAGTTATTTCTTGCCTTCTGCTAGCTTTTGAATGTGTTTGCTTTTGCTTTTCTAGTTCTTTTAATTGTGATGTTAGGGTGTCAATTTCAGATCTTTCCTGCTTTCTCTTGTGGGCATTTAGTGCTATAAATTTGGCCAGGGCAATTAGGCAGGAGAAGGAAATAAAGGGTATTCAATTAGGAAGAGAGGAAGTCAAATTGTCCCTGTTTGCAGATGACATGATTGGATATCTAGAAAACCCCATTGTCTCAGCCCAAAATCTCCTTAAGCTGATAAGCAACTTCAGCAAAGTCTCAGGATACAAAATCAATGTGCAAAAATCACAAGCATTCTTATACACCAATAACAGACAAACAGAGAGCCAAATCATGAGTGAACTCCCACTCACAATTGCTTCAAAGAGAATAAAATACCTAGGAATCCAACTTACAAGGGTCGTGAAGGACCTCTTCAAGGAGAACTACAAACCACTGCTCAATGAAATAAAAGAGGATACAAACAAATGGAAGGACATTCCATGCTCATGGGTAGGAAGAATCAATATTGTGAAAATGGCCGTACTGCCCAAGGTAATTTATAGATTCAATGCCATCCCCATCAAGCTACCAATGACTTTCTTCACAGAATTGGAAAAAACTACTTTAAAGTTCATATGGCACCAAAAAAGAGCCCGCATCGCCAAGTCAATCCTAAGCCAAAGAACAAAGCAGGAGGCATCATGCTACCTGACTTCAAACTATACTACAAGGCTACAGTAACCAAAACAGCAAGGTACTGGTACCAAAACAGAGATATAGATCAATGGAACAGAACAGAGCCCTCAGAAATAACGCCGCATATCTACAACTATCTGATCTTTGACAAACCTGAGAAAAACAAGCAATGGGGAAAGGATTCCCTATTTAATAAATGGTGCTGGGAACACTGGCTAGCCATATGTAGGAAGCTGAAACTGGATCCCTTCCTTACACCTTATACAAAAATTAATTCAAGATGGATTAAAGACTTAAACGTTAGACCTAAAACCATGAAAACCCTAGAAGAAAACCTAGGCATTACCATTCAGGACATAGGCATGGGCAAGGACTTCATGTCTAAAACACCAAAAGCAATGGCAACAAAAGCCAAAATTGACAAATGGGATCTAATGAAACTAAAGAGCTTCTGCACAGCAAAAGAAACTACCATCAGAGTGCAGGCAACCTACAAAATGGGAAAAAATTTTCGCAAGCTACTCATCTGACAAAGGGCTGATATCCAGAATCTACAATGAACTCAAACAAATTTACAAGAAAAAATCAAATAACCCCATCAAAAAGTGGGTGAAGGATATGAACAGACACTTCTCAAAAGAAGACATTTATGCAGCTAAAAAACACATGAAAAAATGCTGACTATCACTGGCCATCAGAGAAATGCAAATCAAAACCACAATGAGATACCATCTCACACCAGATAGAATGGCGATCATTAAAAAGTCAGGAAACAACAGGTGCTGGAGAGGATGTGGAGAAATAGGAACACTTTTACACTGTTGGTGGGACTGTAAACTAGTTCAACCATTGTGGAAGTCAGTGTGGCGATTCCTCAGGGATCTAGAACTAGAAATACCATTTGACCCAGCCATCCCATTACTGGGTATATACCCAAAGGATTATAAATCATGCTGCTATAGAGACACATGCACACGTATGTTTATTGCGGCACTATTCACAATAGCAAAGACTTGGAACCAACCGAAATGTCCAACAACGATAGACTGGATTAAGAAAATGTGGCACATATACACCATGGAATACTATGCAGCCATAAAAAATGATGATTTCATGTCCTTTGTAGGGACATGGATGAAATTGGAAATCATCATTCTCAGTGAAGTATCACAAGAACAAAAAACCAAACACCGCATATTCTCACTCATAGGTGGGAATTGAACAATGAGAACACATGGACATAGGAAGGGGAACATCACACTCTGGGGACTGTTGTGGGGTGGGGGGAGGGGAGATGGATAGCTTTAGGAGATATACCTAATGCTAAATGACGAGTTAATGGGTGCAGCACACCAGCATGGCACATGTATACGTATGTAACTAACCTGCACATTGTGCACATGTACCCTAAAACTTAAAGTATAATAAAAAAGATTCCTAAGGGGAAAAAAAAAAAGAGTTGAAGGTCTTTTGCCCATTTTATGTTAATGGTTTGTCTTTAATTGAATTGTAAGAGTTCCTTATATATTCTGAATACAGGTCAGCTATATGTGTGCATAATATATTTTCTTAGTCTTTTCTTTGTTTTTTCTTTTTCATAACAATGTTTTACAAAGAATAAAATTTTAATACCTTGGTAAATTCACATTTATCAATTTTTTAGTGATTAGTGCTTTTATGATTAGTGCTTTTTTGGACTTCTCTATGAAATCCAGGATATCCTTCTATATTTTCCTCTAAAAGCCTTATAGTTTAGCTTTTAATTCTATGATTCAAAAAATCAAGTTTTATAAATAGTTGTGAGGTAGAGATCAAGTTTTTGTTTTTTTTTTCTCATTCATCCAGTTATTAAAGCATCATGTGTTGAAAAGACTTTCCCCATTCAGTGCCCTGGCATGTTTGTTGAAAATCAATAGACAACATATGCATGATTTTATTTCTGGAATTCTATTCTGGTTTTTTAATCTGTTTGTCCATGGTCATGCCAGTTACCATGGTCTTGTTTGCTGGGGCTATATACCAAATCTTTGAATCAGGTAATATGAGTCCTCTAATTTTGCTATTTAAAAAGATTATATAAAGTACTATGTGTTTTTTGTTTTCTTTCTATATTTTATTATCAACTGGTCAGTTTCTATTAAAAACACCTGTTAGAATTTTGATTGGGATTTCATTGAATTTGTAGATAATCTTGAAGAACAAAATGGACATTTTGACAATATTGAGTCTTTAATCCTTGAACGTAGTGTATCTCATCATTTTTTTGGGTCTTTTTCTCATGAGGCTTTTGTACTTATTTCTTGCGTACTACATTCCATTTTATTCTTTATATAATCTGTTAGGGTACCCACAGAATATTTTTCTATAAGGATATATTTATATTTCAAAATTTATATAATTATACTTACTGAGAAAATAAGATGTGACTTCTAAGAATTGACAGTTTTGACGGTATGTGATTCACATGTTAAAGCCTCTTCTGAGCACATTATATTTAATTTTAGCTTTTATTTTGCCTAACATATAAAAATGGATTCAATGTTATAGTTAATGAAAACAATGTCAGATTATTTTGTTACCTTATGTTGCTTATACATGGAAGCATTATTTTGAAATTCAGTGTCTCTCAATCGTTTATATGTTGCAGAATTTTATTGTTTTGAAGCTTAGACATTCTTATAATTTTTATTAATTAACAGAGGTTGTTACCATGATAAAATTTTAGTATCTTTGATTAATAATGAGGTCCATTACATACAGGAAGACATGTATTCTCCCACTCTATCTGTGGTAGATCAGTGATTATTTCTTTTTTATTATGAGGTATGTCAGACATGCAAATAGAGAATAATATAATGAGTATCACAGATCAAAAAGAAAGTCAATTTTTTAATTTCCTCATGATGATCTTTCTCCTGTTTCACCATATCAGAGTTGGACACTATTCTAAAGTTAGAGATTATTATTCCTGTGCCTGTAAATACTTTTAGTATACATATGTATGCACATATATATGTATCATTTTAAAAATATTTAAGTTTCATATTGTTTTGCATGTTTTGATTTGTTTGCTATTTGTATTCTTTTGAACATTTATTTAATATTAAGTTTGGAAGAGTTTTTGTATTAGGTCGTTCTTGCATTGCTATAAAGAAATACCTAAGACTGGGTAACTTATAAAGAATAGAGGTTTGATTGGCTCACAGTAGGCTGTACAGGAACGTGATGCTGGCATCTGGTTGACTTCTAGGGAGGCCTCAGGAAGCTTAAAATCGTGGGGGAAGGTGGAGGTGGAGTAGGAGAAAGAGAGAATGGAGGGGGAGTGCTACACACTTTTAAATGACCAGATCTCATGAGAACTCACTCATTATCATGAGGACAGTACACAGGGAGATGGCACTAATCCATTCATGAGAAATCCATCCCATGATCCAGTCACCTCCCACCAGGCCCCACCTCCAACACTGGAGATTACAGTTTGACATGAGATTTGGTGGAGACACAGATCCAAACCACGTCAGTTTTTTTTTTTTTCCAGTTTTTTTCAAACAAGACAGGCTTTATTTAGGTCACTAAAAGTAATGTTTTACGGAAAGGGAACCATAACATTGCACAACAAAGTATGCTGTAAAATCTCAAACAAGAAAGGCAGTGCTTTCTTTAGGTCACCAAAAATCATGTTTCACTGTTAGAAGCAAATGTATAGCTGCATTTTTTCCCCCAATTCTCTCTATAATACTTTGAGACTACTTTGCGGTTTCCAAATATAAACTAAAATTTGTTGGACAGAGTTGCTCAGTCTCATCAATAGAATAAAAATAGCTTGCAAAAAATTTTTGTTTAATGCCAACAAATAACAAAACAATGTGGTTTCTGCTTACTAACTCCAACATCTAGTGAAATGGCCTAACCTATGTATACTTTCATGAACATTTCACTGTGAACGCAGTTGCCCTTTTTTTCTGCCATCACAGATAGCCTCCTTAGTAGCAAGTATCTTGTCAGAGCACTTTCGGACACCCAGGAAGTAATTCCTAACAGAATAACTATAGTTATGTGGGCAACTGAAACAACAGGGCCCACCTCTGCCAGAGTCCCCACGTGGTGTTGCTTTTGTGCTCTGGGTAAATAAGACCCAGCACCTTGTTAGTTGGAACAGTTGGAACCCAGAGTGCAGAGCTAGATGGAGGAGTTGTTGTTACAGACCCATCAACACTTTAATAAATTGCCGGGGGTTTCTAGGTGCTATAGTATGCCTCATAGGCAGCAACATAAGCCAACTCTGGGAAGAAATCATCATGGTATATATTCTGCTAAAAACTTCAGAAAAGATCAAAGTGTTTCAATAAAGCCTTCAGATTCTTCTCAGACTAGGACATGTTTCCAAGGATTTCTGGAAGTTTTACCAAAAGTCACAGCAAATGTTGTGCCCCATAAATGTGAAGGGGGTGGAGGTGTCTGGTCACCTGGGTGGTAATTATCAGGCACAAGCTTCCACGAGAGGACCTCATTTATTTAATTAGTTCTTTTCCCTTCAAAGCCAGTAAATGCAGCACTTTCTTCCTTGCTAGGAGGCTGAGGAATAGTTGAAGATGATGCACAGGTGTTTTGTTCTCCAGGTTCAGGAGCAGCCTGGGGCATGCTAGTAGATGTGGCCTGCTGCTGGCACTTGGGCGAGGTGACGCCTGCTCTCAGCCAGCCTGTTGCAGTTGGTGGTGTGGCACGCGGACCGCCTCAGAGCCTGCAATGCTTCCGGCTTGGCTTTGTGCCTTTTGTGGGTGGCTGGTTCAGCTGTGGTTGTCTGACTCTCTGTGGACTGTGGTGTGGATGGATTCAACAAAGGTGGGCTGGGAGAGAGCTCCCCCTGGCTCATTTTATTGTCTGTGGTGCTTTCCGTAATTGAAAGAAAACACTTAGCTGAAGTCACCTTTTTATACTGAGCTTATTCCCATGGATAGATTATAACTGATGCGGTAGTGTAATCAAAGGTTATTCTTAACCCATCCACCATCTCCTTACAAAGGTCAGCATTCTTTTCTGCTGGGAATTATTATAATGCACCTTCATGTTGGTGTGCCGCATAGTGTGGTGGTGGCAAGGCCTCTCACTGGCTGAAAAAGCTGTGTTGATAGCAAAATGCTTCTCGTAGGACTCCAAAATCATTATGATGTTGGTCTGTCGTGGAAGTCTCATTAACTGTTTCCTTCTGTTAATGTAGTAACGATCACTCTCAAGCTGCTTGTTCAGAACTTCGGGGATTTCTATAGTTAATATTCTTTCTTCCATTTCCCTTTCTGTTTACAGCTCCAGTTCTTGCACTTAAGTCTCTTCTTCAATAACACTTCCTTCACTTATTTTTCATCCTTGTCTTCACTACTGTTGGAGAACTGCTTATTGAATTTTCAGCATTTTCATCTTTGTCTTCAACTGGGGGGCTTTTTTAGACAGATTTGATGCCAGACAGCCTGCAGCACTTCCTTCTTCCTGTGCTTCTCAGGTGAGCTGCAGCTTTTCTTGCCAATTCATGCTGTCATCCTTGATTTGCACCTGTATTACAGTGTACGTGATCTTTGGCTGCCCATCTATCACAGCTTCCGTTCCAACTATTAAAATGTATTAGATATTCTGGGATCTTTCTGCCTTTTTTGTCTTTCCCACCAATAACATCAGCAATCTGGGTCAAACCCCCAGGCGTCCCACCAGAGCCCACGTGGCACTGGGCTGCACAGGAGGAAAGAAGATTTAACGCAAAATAGAGACCATAGTCAAGAGGCCTCCTCCACTAGCTGCAAGGCCAAACCGCAGCCTGGCCTGGACAGCGCAGACACAAGGCTCCCGACTGGGGCTGGGAGAGTTTTCCATTTTGAGTTCTATAATTCTTAATTCAGGCACTTAATTGCTATGTAGTAATTCCAGTTTTATGAATACAATGTACTGCAATTATTTTTATTGCTGATGATTTATTTTTAGAATTTGGTAAAACAATTTTAGATTGTATACTCTTTATTATTTAAAAAATTACTATTTTTAATTGACAAATCATAATTGTATACATATATGGGGTATAGCGTGATGTCTTGATATTTGTATACAATGTGGCATGATTAAATCAAGACAATTAACATATCTGTCATGTCGTTTACCTATCCTTTTTCATGGTGAGACATTTGAAATTTACACTCTTCATTATTTTGAAATACATACTACATTATTAATTGACTTCAGTCACTTTATTGTACAATAGATCTCAACACTTATGCCTCCTCTCTGTCTGAAGCTTTGTACTCTTTGTTCAAGAATTTCCATTCCCTCTCTTCACATCTTTCTAGCCTCTGGTAACCATCATTCTGTGCTACTTCTACAAGTTCAACTTTTTTAGATTTCACATACATGTGAGATCATATGGTGTATCTTTCTGTGCCTTGCTTATTTCACTTAGTATAATGTCCTCCAGGTTCATCTATGTTGTTGCAAAATGACAAATTTTTATTTACTTTTTAAGGCTGAATAGTAGTCTATTGTGTATATATACTGCATTAAAAAAATCAGTTTATCCGTTGATAGCCAGTTAGGCTGATACCATATCTTGTCTATTGTGAATAGTGCTGCAGTGAACATGGCAGTGCAGATATCCCTTTGACATATTTATTTCAGTTCCTTTGGTTATATACCCAGAAGTGGGATTACTGAGCCATATGGTAATCTTATTTTTAGTTTTTTGAGGAACCTCCATACCGTTTTCCATAATGGCTGTATTAATTTACATCTCTAGCAACTATGTACAAGATTTCCCTTTTCTCTGAATCCTCACTAATACCTGTCATCTTTCATCTTTTTGATAAAAGCCTTTCTAATGGGTATTAGGTGACTTCTCATTGTGGTTTTAGTTTGCATTTCCCTATTGATTAGTGATGCTGAGCATTTTTTTCATGTACCTGTTTGCCTTTTGTAGGTCTTCTTTTGAGAGACACAAATGGCAAATGTTCAGGTTTATTGCCCATTTTTCTTTCTTTTTTTTTTTTTTGAGACGGGAGTCTCGCTCTGTCGCCAGGCTGGAGTGCAGTGGCACAATCTCGGCTCACTGCAACCTCCGCCTCCCAGGTTCAAGTGATTTTCCTGCCTCAGCCTCCTGAGTAGCTGGCACTACAGGCACGCACCACCATGCCCAGCTAATTTTTGTATTTTTAGTAGAGACAGGGTTTCACCATGTTGGCCAGGATGGTCTCAATCTCTTGACCTCATGATCCACCCACCTCGGCCTCCCAAAGTGCTAGGATTACAGGTGAGCCACTGCTCCCGGCTGATTGCCCATTTTTCAGTTAGGTTGTTTTCTTGTTATTGGGTTGAGTTTTTTATATATTACCCCTTATCAGATATATGCTATGCAAATATTTTTTTCCATTTTGTGGGTTTGCTTCACTTTGTTAATTGCTTCCTTTGCTGTGCTTTTTAGTTCAATGCCATGCATTTGTCTATTTTTGTGGTTATTATTGCCTGTGCTTTAAGTTGCAGAATACAAAATCAACGTACAAAATTAGTAGCATTTCTGTACACTAATAACAAACTATCCGAAAAGGAAATTAAGAAAGCAATTCAATTTACAATAGCAGCAACAACAGCAACAACAACAAAAGTAGGTATAAATTAAACCCAGGCAATGAAATGTCTTTTCAATCATTTAAAATTGTAAAACCATTCTGAAGACTATAGAACACTGATGAAAGAAATGGAAGAAAACATAGGTTAATATAAAGATATCCTGTACTTATGGATTGAAAGAATCAATATTATGAAAACATGTGTACTATCCAAAACGATTTACAGATTAGTGCAATCCCTATCAGAAGTCCAGTGTTGTTTTTCACAGAAATAGAAAAAACAATTCTTACAAACCCACAAAAGACCTCAAATAGCCAAAACGGTCTTGACCAAAAAGAACAAAATGACGATATCCAACTCTCTGATTTCAAAACATATAAAGCTATTGTTATCAAAACAGGATGATACTGGTATAAAAACAAATACATTGATCAATGGAACAAGTTAGAAGGCCTGGAAACAAACCCACTCATTTATAGTCAATTGATTTTCAACAGAGATGGCAAAAATGCATAATGAGGAAAGGATAGTCTCTTCATTAAATGTTGGAAAAACTGGCTGTGCACATGCACAAAAATGGAATTGGATCCTTATCTCAAACCATATACAAAAATCAAGTCAAAAATGGATTAAAGACATATAAAACCTGAAACTGTAGAACTACTAGGAGAAAACATAGGGAAAGCTCCTCAATATTAGTCTAGACAAAGTATATTGTTTCCTTATTGATGTGTTTTCGAATTTCTCTTGGTCTATACTTAGGTTGAAATTGCTGAGTTATAGGGTAGGTATGTCTTTTACTTTATTGGATATTGCCAAATTACTCTAAAGTAGCAGTACCACATTATATTTCCTTTAGAAGAGCAAGAGACTTCTTGTTACTTCATATTATGTCTTCACCCATATTTGTATTGTGAGACTTATATGGATTTTTGCTGATCTGAATGCTAAGTCATTGCAGGTTTATTTTGCCCTTCCCTGGTTATTAGTGAATTTGAACTTTTTTTTCAGGTTACTCAGATGTTCCTCTTTTTTTTTCCAGTTAGTTTTTTTCTTCTCATTGGTTTGTACAATTTTTTATATTGCAGATTCTAATTCTTGGCAATTATATGTGTGGCTTGCTTTCCAATTTTTTATATAATGAGTTTTGATGCATGGGAAATTTCAGTATTAAAGTAGTCAGATTTATCTGTCTTTTCTTTTACGGTTTGTGTTTTGTGTGGCTTGTTGAAGAAATCCTTTTCTACCTTGAAATTTTAAAGATATTCTGCATATTTTAAAAAATATTTTCAAGTTTTCCAAGTTTTCCTCTTTTCATTTAGGAATTGAGTCTTGCCCATCTCATTCTTTGGTGTTAGTTAGGAATCAATTTTTTTCCTTGTATGGATAGCTAGTTCTCCTTGTACAATTTCTTGAATAATTTATCTTTTCTCCTTAACCTACAAAGCCATCATTGCTATAGTATGCAATGCTAGGTATGCAATACTATAGTATGCTAGGTATGCATTGCTCTGTTTCTGAGCTCTTTAGTCTGCTTGCTTTTCTTTTTCCTTATTTTTATACCGATGTCTTAATTACTGAAGTGTTATAGTTCTTGGTATCTTCTAGAGCAAATCTGCCCACCTTAACCTTCTTTTTCAAAATCAGGGGCTGGCAAACTATTTCTATAAGGACCACATAGTAACTATTTTAGGCTTTGTAGGCCATACAGCCTTTATTGCAACTGCTGAATTCTGTCATTGTAGTGCAACACCAACCGTGGGCTATATAAAGGAATGAGTTTGGTGGTATTTTGTGTAACTTTCACATATACACATTGTTATATATTTTTTCTTTTTTTCAATTATTTAAAATTGTAAAACCATTGTTTGTAAGCCATATAAAACAGTGAGTAGAACTTTGACTTTTACTTAAAATTGTCTGTGCTATTTTTTTATGCCCCTTTTCTTATATACACTTTTTGTGAAGTTAAGCTTCTTATTTTCCCTACATGAGCAAAAGGTTATTTAAAATTCTTCAGTCACCAGTGAAATAATGAGGCAGGAGAAAAAGTTCTTTAGGTGGTAGTCTTGTCATCAAAAATAAATACAGTTGCATGGAACTGCTCAAGATCTGAATCAAACTGAAAACCGGAAGGCAAGGGGCTGAAAATTAAGAACCCCTCCAACCATGAGTTATTCTTCAGGTCAAGGGAGGCGAGGGCAGGGAGAAGTGTCTAGCCATGCCATCTTAGAGCAGAAGGCCATAGCTGGATCAGATCCAATTCTCATGACACACACAAGGAACTACACTTGTGGCACCTGAGCTGGATTCAGATAGCAGAGTGGGCAGGCAGGTGGGCAGGCAGAGCAGTGGTTGGATGAGCTTAGAGCTCAGTACTATAGCTCCATCATTCTGTTCAGAGCACTGCCAACATGGAACCATTGAATCAGGGTCTTGTAGAAGTTCGTGGTTCAGGAGGATGGTTTCCTGAATCCTCTTGGAGTTCTTGATGATACATTTGAGGGGCTTGACAGGGCAAAGCCTTTCCAGCCTTGGATGATGAGATTACACGCAGGGTAGATCTTATAGTTTGTCATGTCAGTAAAGGTAAGGGACAGCAGGTTGGTTTCTTGAAGCTAGTTTCCTGGATCCTGGTAAAGCTCTTGATGATGATGCCCTGTCTCCCAAGGTGGCAGGGTTCTAGTGGTATATGCTCCCAGCTTGCCATGGCTCTCATCTCTGATAACCATCTATCTGATGGCATGTTTCTTACAGTAGTGGGCCTTCTCCTGGTGACAACATTACCTAAGGAGTTGGCATTTATTGTTTTCAGTGTTTATGGCACCAATAAGCAGGTTATTGGAGATGTTGTACTGGTGCCTCAATAACTTGAACCATATGCCAATATTCAAAATGTAGTGAGTGGTATGCTTCCTTTTCACTTTTGTAAGGATATGTGAATCTGTAGGTCATCCAGGTCTTTGCCTTCCCACTTGTCAAAAGGCTCCAGGAGCTGTAGGCACTTGTTGGGTGTGCTCATATCCACCCTCTGCCTACTGATATCCTTGTGGTAGGGGTGCTGGTAGTTGTCCTTCCTGGAGTCAACTCTGCTTAGGGAAGCTCATCTGCATCTGGAGCCTCCAATTTGTACTTCTTCCCATACATGGTTGTCAGGAAGTAAATCTCTTGGTTGAAGTTGATGGTGACAGAAATGGCCAGGGCTTGAGGATCTCTAGGGACATGATGAAGGCTTGGGCCTCAGGTTTGCTTTATTGTGGCCTGTCAAGTTCCTCTTGTAGGAGGTGAAGATTGCATTTTTCTCCATCTTTATTATGTCCTACCTGTTCCACTGGCCAATGCAGGGGCCACAGACAGTGGCCAGGACAATGCCTGCCATATCCTATGGGATCTGTGAATAACTCTTATGCTCAATATTAGTGTAGATCTGCTTAGATCCCAGTGCTGTGGTGAGCTGTGACTTGCACTTGAGCCCATGAGCTAGCACTTGCTTGGCCATAGCTGTTGAGCACCTGATGTCCTCATAGCTTGAGTTGGTACAGCTGTTGATCAGACCCACTTTGATGTCCAAAGGCCATCCCTCCTTCTCCACCACAGTACCTACTTCTTCCACAGTGTGGGCTAGGTCGGGGTAAAGGGCTTATTTACATGGGGCTTCAGCTTGTTGAGGTTAATTTTTACCTGTCATTTATAATGGCAATCAGGGTCAGGTACCAAGTGATCCTTGATTTTATCTTGGATTGGCATTGTCTCCTTAGCCTGTCTTACCCAGTTATTGCTTTATTCCGTGGTTCTAAGAGAACACTGAGGGCCCCAATTTCTACACCCGTGTTCAGATTATCATCAGGCCAATGTATGAGATGGGCTGTATGCTAGGCTGCTGGTACTCCACAGTACGCGTGTGCCACCTTCAGGATCACATCTGTGGATCAGATCTAGCTTGAGATTGTGCCTGTCAGCTTCACACCATTCATCTTGTGGCACTTCAACTCCTAAATAATTTCAATCCTGCCGTCCACTGCATCAGCCTCCCCAGCTCCAGTGTATATGCTCTGCAAGCCACCACTATTGAGGTGTGGGAGTAGTGGAATAAGAAGAATCCTGGGGTATATGTAGCTTTCAAGAATGATCTGGTGATTGATTCTAGGTCCATCTTCTAAAAGCCCACACTGTAGTTCACATCTGCAGTTGCTAGGAAATTATACTTTCTGATTTATGTCCTTGGCCTGGCACAGACCTTTCTTTTCCCTGAGCTGAGCCTTGTCTGGTGATCACAGTGGATGGTGGATGATATGGCCATTTGGCCACCTCTCTGCTTATGAACTGCACTGTGGCCATACGGTCCATAGTATCCTGAATGCCTATGCAGGTACATCTTACTCTGTTCAGTTGCCTGGGGTCATCTAGGTATCCATACATGATCTCCAAGAGGATCAGAGCCTGGTTCAATCATTCGTTAACACTGTTAATTTTCTTTTCTAGGAGGTCATAGTGGATATACTTGTTGACTCCAGTTAGCTCATGGTCACCTTGGCCTTTTGGCACAGGACTGATGCCACATGATATTTCTGCACACTGGAGGGCTTTCTGCAACAGGGTTACTAATAGAGTATGCCTGCCATAAGAGTTCTCTATTTCGTACAAAAATCAATTTTATGGCCTATGTTTTTAAGTTGCTAACAAAATAAACTCGCTTTCTAGCCCATATTTAGCACATTGCATTTGTGATTATAGATGAAATCAAGATTGTTAAATAAAGCAGTCATGAAAATAAACTTTTCAGATGACATGCAAAAGTTATTTGTTTTACCTCTGCAGTGCTAAACATCATGGACATAAATTAGATGATGTTAGTTTCCCTGTGGAACCATTTAAAACAACTATCTATTCTAAAAGTCAAATATGGTGATTTTGATCAGAGGATTAGTGTTGACATTAACATTTTAAAGTTTGCTTTAAATGATATAAAATTGGTCATATCATTTTATCTTCATGGAATAATAAAGTACAATCATTACTTATAAGGAGGAACCACCTAACAAATGCCTTTATTTTTCAGTAATTTATAGTGTTTTGTTCTTAAGTATAAATCACTTGTTTCCTGCCATAATTTTAATGATACAATGTTAATATATAGTTAAAATAATTTATTTTTTTTAAACGCACATGAAATTGAATTGGAGGAGTTTTTTTGTAGCATGAAAACATGCTGCCAATTGCCCACTTTGAATATTATTCTGAGAAAATTTATAACACTTCAAGTATGTCAGTTTTTCATACTTGAAATGGATTACTTCCTGACTCACTAAAAGAATAGAAATATATTTTTAAAGGATATGAGATATTTTTTATATTTGAAAATAGCGGCCGGGCGCGGTGGCTCACGCCTGTAATCCCAGCACTTTGGGAGGCCGAGGCGGGCGGATCACGAGGTCAGGAGATCGAGACCATCCCGGCTAAAACGGTGAAACCCCGTCTCTACTAAAAATACAAAAAATTAGCCGGGCGTAGTGGCGGGCGCCTGTAGTCCCAGCTACTTGGGAGGCTGAGGCAGGAGAATGGCGTGTACCCGGGAGGCGGAGCTTGCAGTGAGCCGAGATTGCGCCACTGCACTCCAGCCTGGGCGACAGAGCGAGACTCCGTCTCAAAAAAAAAAAAAAAAAAAAAAAGAAAATAGCATGCTTTTTCTTTCTTTTACTACTCAGACTAATAGTTTCTTATTGGAGGTACAACTTAAGATCCCCCACAAATGTACCAAAAACTAAATCTAGAATCCATAATGGAGAAAATCACATTTAGCACAGTATGTATTTTATGATTAGAGTTGCCAGGTAAAAATACATGATGCCTGGTTAAATTTGAGTTTTAGATAAACAACAAATAATGTTTGGGACACGCTTTTATTGTTAATCTGAAATTTGAATGTAGCTGATCATCTTGTATTTTTATTTGCTAAATCTGGCAACCCTAATTATGATTCAGTGTTTAAAAATATATAATTATAGATACATACTTTTCTATAATCGTTGAAAAAAGTCTTCGAGAATATGCAGCAGAATATTAATGGTGGCTGTTTCTGGTGGTTAGAGGGGAGGAAGGAAGATTTTAAATACTTTGTATTCTCTACATTGTGTTAATTTATTTCAGTATATACGTATTTTTTATACTTAAGTCACTTGTTTTCGGTGGAGTGGCAAAGATACAGTGGATGGCAAAAATATATAGAAATATCTGATACTTAACCATCATAGAGCATATGAGTGGGAAGGACAAGAAATCACACATATAAAATTGCGATTGCAGTAAACATCACAGAAGAGAGATACATCAGTGTTATGAGATTATACAGTCAGAGGTTCTGTTGGTTTGGAAGATCACAGAAAACTTTCTTCAATAAGTGAAGTTTGAGATTAGATATGAAGGAATTCGTGTAGGCATTAACTCGGTCAAGATGATGGCTTTTCAAACAGAATGAAGGGGGAGAAATAATTTGGTGAGTAGGAGGAAGTAAAGGAGGGGAGAGAGCTCCAGAGAAAGTAGTGCAAGATAATGCTGTAGAGAAACATAGTGGCCACAATCTGTGGAGACTTGTGTTCCGTGTAAGGTTTCAGGTTTTCATCTTTAAAGCAATGGTAAGCCATTGAAAGGGGCAATACTGGTGTTAACAGGATCAGAATGTGTTTTGCGAAGATCATTTTGGTTGCAGTGTGGAGAACTGGTATGATGAGTAAATGTATGCATGAGAGTGAGTGTTGCTTGACCAGTAAAGAGAATGTTGTAGCAGTTCTTATGAGAGAGAAATAGGAGTTTGATCTTAGTAGGGAGGTTTGATGATAATTTAGGAAGTAAAATTTTCAGGATTTAGTGATGCTGTTGATATGTGGCAGTCACCAAGTGAGAAGTATTAAAGTTAACATGGGTTTCTGATTTGCACAAAGATGCAATGAAAAATAATATAGCCAATAAAAAATTTAAAGTAATTACATAGATAAATAGGTTAGCAACTAAAATAAATCACTTGGATAGGATTTGTAAAGTGAAACTGTGTGATGGCAGGAGGTAAATGAATCAGGAGATTGTAATATGAATATGCAATATGTAATTATAATATGTATATATAATATGCAATATGAATTATATATGATATGAATTATATGTATATGTAATATGTAAAATGAATTATAATATGTAGTATGAATCAGGAGATTGTAATATGTAATATTTTGAGTTACCTTGAAATTAATTTTAGTTATTTAGTACTGTTCATATTCAAATAGATATCATTTTAAATTATAAAATTATTTCAGTATTTTTAGAATAAAAGAAATGCAGTAATGGTAAACAAAAAATAAGAAGTGCAGATTTTCTTCTTAACTTTTCCCAGGGAGACTTCCCCTACCTTTTATAATTTATTTTATTGGAGAAATAGATTTTTGAATTGAAAATGCTATTCTGAAATAAGGCCATTTGCCAACAAATCAGTACCTAAATGTATCTTTTCTCTTAATTATGTTTATTTTACAGCATTTGTTGCCTTATGTCAGGTTTCTCTGTCTCTAGTTAATCAATCCCTTTCATGTATCTATCTTTTCCTATACAGATTCGGATTAGATAATTCCTATGCTTCAAAACCTTTTATGGTTCTGAAAAGGAAAGTTTAAACTTAAAGTTAACTCCAACTGTCACCTTCTTGACCAGTTTATATTATGTTCATTTCTTTTCTCCTTCCTCAAGAGAGAGAGAGAGAGAGTGTGTGTGTGTGTGTGTGTGTGTGTGTATGTATGTGTGTGTGTTTATTTTCATTTCTTGGTATCTTCGAATGTGTTCACCTTTCTTTCTGGAATCCCTTTTTAGTCTGGAAAATACTGGCTGAGCTTTCTTGACACAGATCAAACATTACCTCTCTCAAAATGTGGTCACCACCTGGGAGACTTAGGAATTTTTGCATAGCGTTTCATTTATACTTATTCTATTATTTTATTATATAATAAATTACTAGTATCAGATGTAGTATAAATAACAAATATACATCTTACTTATACTACATGATATCATGTGTACTTGTTTAACTATTTCCATTAAATGTGAGTTTTAAGGAAAGCTGACATATGATAGTTGTTCAGTAAACCTTTGTTATGAGTTCTGTTAGGATGGAGATGTTTTGCTGTTGTCTGTGGATGGTAGATAAATGGACAAATAAATTATCAAATATCTTAATATCCAGAAGGGAAAAGAGACATATATATTATTAATAAATCAGTGTGGTAGTATTATGAGGGATGAAAGTACTCTCGGGAGTCTGGAAGAGAGAATTCTCAGTTTATCTTCATAAAGGTGCTTGGCTGATGTTAACCTCCTTTAGAATAAAGCTGTAACTGCTTAGGCTTGTGTTATATTAAATGGATCATTTTTCTTGCCCTCCTCCTGTGGAATCATAGCATTCCAACATTTATAGAGGAAATAGAGTGGAAGCTACCGAAATGGGTCCACCTTCATAATTTAAAACTTCTAATTTCAAAGTTATACCAGTAATAGGCAGTCCTCCCCTTGAGTGATTTTGTTTCCAATAATTTCTAATGTATAGAGCCCTATTAACTCCTATTACTGGTTGCAGGCAGGCATTACACAAATGAAATGACCTCATCCAGTTTCTTTTCTGAAGAGTTCCATCACTTTGTTCCTAGTCTGTTTTTTTCTGCAGCCATCTTACACAGCATGGTGATCTCTTATGTCATAAATAGTCCCATAGAGATTATTAGAAGAAATGAGTGGTAATAAGAATAAAGTTGAGTTTTAAAAGATGAAAGAAAAATGTATATGACCAGGAAAACTTGAGCTTTGACTAACAAGTAAAAGAAAATACCTGGCTGGGCGCAGTGGCTCACGCCTGTAATCCCAGCACTGAGGTGGGCAGATCGCTTGAGGTCAGGAGTTGAAGACCAGCCTGGCCAACATGGTGAAACCCTGTCTCTATTAAAAATACAAAAATTAGCCGGACATGGTAGCGGGCGCCTCTAATCCTAGATATTCAAGAGGCTGAGGCCATAGAATCGCTTGAACCCGGGAGGCGGAGGTTGCTGTGAGCCAGGATCGTGCCATTGCACTCCAGCCTGGGCAACAAGAGCAGAACTCCATCTCAAAAAAAAAACAAACAAACAAACAGTTTTTTTTGGAATGTCTTTTCCAAAGGGCAAATTGTAAAAATTGTATGCAATAATAGCATAGTTTGATTAAATGCTTTTTCTTCCAGACTTTAAGTTCTAATGAATTTACTTAAAAACAAACAAAAAACTTATTATTATTATTATTTTTTGGAGACAGAGTCTCGCTCCAGACCCAGGCTGGAGTGCAGTGTCACAATCTTGGCTCACTGCAACCTCCGCCTCCTAGATTCAAGCAATTCTTGTGCTTCATCCTCCCAAGTAGCTGGGATTAGAGGCATGTTCCACCATGCCTGGCTAATTTTTTCATATTTTTAATAGAAACAAGGTTCTACCATGTTGGCCAGGCTGTTTTTGAACTCCTGATCTCAAGTGATCCACCCACCTTGGCCTCCCAAAGTGCTGGGATTACCAGTGTGAGCCACCACGCCCGACCACACTATGTTCTTGATAGTCAACCATGTATCAGTCCTTGGAAAAAACTGATAAAAGAAAAGCAGATGTAGTGACTGTATTCTGAGGAAAATTGCATGACTGAAACTTATGTGGTGAAACATTTAACCATGTAGAGTTAGAAGAAACCTCAGTATTCTAATCCTTTGACATTGTGGAGCAGTGTGTTGTAAAGGATTAAGGGATTATTAATTTCAGGACAAATAAAAATCGGTTCATCAATTTTGAAGGCACACCTTACATGTAAATTGAAGTGCTTATTTGAGGAGATACATTCTTACTAGAGCAGACAGACTTCTTTCAAAAAAAAAAAAAAAACAACAGAATACCCAGCACTTGTTTGCTTATGTTATTACTTATTAAGAAAAAATAGCACTAGATGCATTCCTGGATCTGCTTATTGTCATTCCATTTATTTGACCTTAAGTTTTGCCAAAATTCTGTTTTCCCCCCAAAGTGACTGAACATATTTCCAAAGAAGTCTTAGATTTCATATCCTTGATGAAGGCTCTTCACTGACTTGTAGCAGTAAAAACTATTATGAAAAATAAAAACTTCGAAGACTACACTGTATTATTATATAATATTGTCTATGATTTTATGTAATTGTGTTTTGCATTCTATAAAGCTTTATGGTATATAAATGTGTCATTTATAATTAAATGTGGTTGAATTGATTTCCAAAATTATCAGATCCATGATTAACAAAATAACTTGTTGTATTACCCTTCTTGTTATAAGAAAAGGGGATTTAAGTCTTATTTCCTGATTTTGTAACATGTTATAACTACAAATAATCCTTGTTTAGGGTAATAAAAATAGAAACATTTGCTTTCTGAGACTTGGATAGTATTTGGAAATATTTGATTCAAGTTGGGAAGTGATTTTTCACTCTTAATAGTTGAAAATTTACAACTTTTAGGGAAAATCGTTGTGAGCATTCTACTGTAGCCCCCTCCCCCTGCCTTTTTTTTTTTTTTTTTTTTTTTTTTTTTTTTTTTTTTTGGTATTTCAGAGTCTGTGCTTTCTAAACAATAAAGAACAAATATCCCAGGATACAAAGAAATGGGAAACTTAAAACTAAAATTTGCTGTTTCATCAGATTCCTGAGAGTGGTTTTAATTTTCTATAGATGTCTTTAGTATGTTCATGTGCCTGGAATTTATATAATTTATTTGTTCTAAAACTGCATAAAATTTTTTTACATTTAGAAAGCATGTCAAAATTGGATTTTTAAATGGAAATATCCTATTATGGTTCTGTTTAGAATTTTCTTATATATAGGACAAACTATATTATTTTAGAAATTCATTCTGGTTATTTATGGAGATGTCTTTTTTAGCTGCCTCTATTCAGAATTCAAAGTTATTAAAATACCAAGAATATTTAGAATATTTAGTGAGGCCAAGGCTCAATAGTGTTTTATTTTGTATTTAAAAAATTTCTTTGTCTCGCTGTATTGCCTAGGCTGGTCTTGAACTCCTTGGCTCAAGCGATCCTCTCACCTTAGCCTCCCAAAGTCCTAGGATTATAGGAGCCACATGCAAGGCCCCAGCAGTCTTTGGAGACAAAAAATCCAGCTCTGATTCGGGCAACACTCAGAGTGGATTTTTAGCCTAGGGAGAGAAAAATAAATGATATAAAAAACAGACAAACAAAAAACCTAGTCATGGGAGAAAGGGAGTTGGAGAGTAAGCTTTGGAAGAGTACTATCTATAATTCTGTTAGAACAGACCTTCTGAAAGGGGGCAAGGAGTTTTAACTCCATTGCCATTATTTGTTGGAGAATATAATTTCCCTCAGGCATTTAGGGCAAGGAAAAGGTTAAGAACTGCTGTACCAATTAAGTTCTAATAATCTAAGCTTACTCTGTTAACATTCTATCTCACTTAGAGTGATTTTTCCCCTTTAATGTAAATCAGCTTATGCCATTCCCCTATTAAAGCCCCCTCTTTTCATATTGTGAATTAAAAATTCCAACTGCTTTTCTTAACTTAAAAATCCCCTACTGGCTGGGCGTGGTGGCTCACACCTATAATCCCAGCACTTTGGGAGGCCGAGGCGGGTAGATCATGAGGTCAAGAGATCGAGACCATCCTGGCCAACATGGTGAAACCCCGTCTCTACTGAAAATACACAAATTAGCTGGGCCTGGTGGCACATGCCTGTAATCCCAGCTACTCAGGAGGCTGAGGCAGGAGAATCGCTTGAACCTGGGAGGCGGAGGTTGCAGTGAGCCTAGATAGCGCCACTGCACTCCAGCCTGGAGACAGAGTGAGACTCCATCTCAAAAAGAAACAAACCAACCAACAAAAAACCCTACCTACCTCTCTAAATGAATGTATGACTCTGCCCTTTCCTTCATACCAAGTATGTTCCTATTTAGGGCTGTTGTTCTAGCTGTGCCTTTTGTTTTGCTTGGTTGTCTTACTGTTTTGTACTTGACTGGTCGTATGTCAGCTCACATATCAGTTTCATAGGCATTTGTGACCACTCAATATTAATATGTCATCCAGTTCTCTTTTCTATTACTTATAATTATTATAATTATACTTGTCACAATCTGATGTTTTCTTGTGTGTTTGCTTCTTTGTTTTATTTCTCTATTAACTACTATATTGTTAGTGCTTGGCATAGAGTTGGTGCCTAAGAAATATTTGTTGGATGGATGAGTGAATGAACCACTGCCCTAGGTTAGGGGTGCTACCCACGTCATATCATTGTATCTGGTGCAGGTAATATTATCCACAATTTTCAGAAACTAATTGCTTATATTATAATTTTTATTGGGGTGAAAATAGAGGCCTAATATTAACACTGAAAAAGAATTTTCAGGTCGAAGACTGGAAAACTGATTTAAGTCTCAGCACTTTTACTTGTAATTTAGACTGTCACTATACCTTTGTGACTATGTTTCTTTTTCTATAAAATAATATCTCAAAGAGTTCTGAGATTTAAATGAAATGGTGTATTTAGGAGTTTTTCATAAAGCACTAAATAAATTATTTTACATTCTCTCCTACCACCCTAAAAAAGAAGTAAAATACTTAAAAACAAGCATCTTGGGCAAGGCGCAGGGGCTCACACCTGTAACGTTAGCACTTTGGGAGGCCCAGGCAGGGGGATTGCTGGAGACCAGGAATTCAAGACCAGCCTGGACAACATGGTGAGACCCTGTCTCTACAAAATTTTAAAAAATTAGCTGGGCATGGTGACACATGCCTGTGGTCCCACCTACTGGGAGGCTGTGCTGAGAGGATCTCTTGAGCCCAGGAGATCAAGGCTGCAGTGAACTGTATTCGGGCCACTGCACTGCAGCCTCAGGGACAGAGTGACACCCTGTCTCAAACAAACAAACAAACAAGTATCTTTACCATTTTTTTTTGATAAAGTAATTTTAAAAGGTGAGCTTTACTTTTATATTATAATTTTACTACATGTACTATCCAACGATGGAAGTTAAAATTAATTACTTTGGAGAATCTCTAGTATTATTGAATATTTTATGAATTGCAAACTTATAGACTGAATACTTTCTTCAACCTTTTCTGTATTAGCTCTTTCATTTCTGTTTTACTTCCTTTCCTATGTCATAATCATCCAATTTCCTTTGTATTTATCCTTTATCTATTTTGAAATCTATTTTTTTGCTTTCTGAAATATTTATTATAGAAAATGTAATTAATTTACTAGAAACATAGATATATTTATTCACCTCTAGGCTTTGAAAACCCTGAAAAAATAAAGCTAATTCAACTTTTCTACGTTAATTTCTTCTATGTGAAAACACTACATTCAATCTAATTGATCAACTCCTAAGCACAATTTTCCTTTTCTGCATCTGTATTTTCATGCAAATATTATTAAACTGATCAGAATGCCCTTTCTTCCTCTACCTCACCTATTCAGACCTCTATCTCCAGAAAGATTCAGTTCATCTCCTTTTTCACTGACTTTCCCAGCCTGCTGTATCTGAAGTGGTTGCTTATGTTTTTTATACCATGTCAGGTATTATTTGTAATTAATCATATTTTACCCTTTTTAATATCTTATTTTTTTCATTAACCGTTGGTAACTAGTCATTTTACTTTTTCTATTTTATTTTGTGGTTTCTGTCACTATATGTTTCAGATTAACAAACTGTTATGTTTCTAATAGATCTCAAGCTCTTTTAGGTCTCTTTTCATAGCATCTGTCCCAGCATTTTTATTCATTTTGTGTGCCTAATAAAGTTTTTTTGGTTTGTTTTTACTCCCCATTAAACAGCCATTTATTTTATTCCAAAAGGAAATAATTGTGTGTTTTGTGAGTGACAATATTGTGATGTGTTCAGTGGTATACTTCTTGTGGCCACATTACTTAGATTTGATCCCCCATTTTAGTACTTAATAGCTGTAGGGTCTTAGTAAAGTCATTCAGCCTCTCTGTGTCTCCGTTTTCTCATCTGTAATAAGAAGATCTTTTAGGGTTGCTGTGTGGATTAAATGAGACAGTAAATGTAAAATGCTTAACACTTTGTTGTCAATTAAGTACTAACAATCTTCATCAACATTAGTTAAATTATTTTATGGCATAACGGAAAGAGGCGCAGAAGTCAGATAGACTGTACTGCTTATGTGACCATGGGCAACTTTCTTTGCTTTTCTAAAACCCAGTTTCTTCATTGGTAAAATGGGGATGGTTTATTTTGAGGATTAAATATCACACACACACACACACACACACACACACACACCACACACACTTAATATATGTGCCCAGTGACAATTCTCTTTTTGCATTTGTATTGCTGCTGTTTTTCTGAAGCCAGACCGCTGCTCCTCTGCGTCCATCCCTCATGTCTGTCTGACTGATTAAAAGCATCTTGAGGAAGTTTTGACTGCAGCAGTTGGTTTGGTGCCTTCAGAAGATGAATTGTGAGGAAACTCCATGTTTTTCTAAGAGTCCATTACATTCAGAAGATGAGAACTGAATAAAAATGTTAATCTGAGGAACAGATTTTGGGCAGTATCAGTGTGGGTTTCATAATACTGGACTATTTAATTATAATTTGTACCAGTGTCCCACTATTCATTGGTAAAGGAGTCTTGATTTGTGCTTAATAATAATAATATATTCATTGAGTGTAAATTAGTGATTTCATCTGACAGTAGTGTAAAGATAGTTGCTTATAGAGTTATTTTCTTTACACATAAAATACCGTAACCATATGAGAAGAATGTCAACACAAACCAAATATTTATTCGAAAAGATTATAAATTCAAAATATTTTCTATACCCAGTAGTCAAAAACCTTCAAAAATTGTTAATGTTTTGCTTTTTCTTTTGGACTAGAGATTGTTTCAGTTGGTATTCACTCTGAGGGGTGGAGAGTCTCACTTTAGGACACATCTGAAGAATAGCAGACAGTTATGAGAGGCTGTTAGCACCACCTTGTGGTGTCTGCTGTACCCTGCCTTTTACCTTTAGTGCCCTGCCATTATTATATAGATCTTGATAACCAGGGAAAGATAAGTAGGGAAGACCTCATTTTAACAATTATCTTTTGAAAGTACATGCAAATTTTGATGATTGGGTACTGATTACTATTGAATCCTTAATATTTCCGTAAGGTTTTACGTGTAAGATCTTGCCTATTATAATAATTGATTTAAGTGTTTCAGATTCTTAGGTATATATTAACAACATAGCTTTGCAAGTACAGAAATAATGTTTTAAGACTACTCTAGTAGATACAACTTTTTCTCTAAATTACATTATTATAAATAAGTCCTTTTTTCTTAAAATTATTTTAGAAATTAGTATTTAAGTGTGGTGTATTTGATGAATTTTTTCTTGTTTGCTGTCATAAAATGCAAAAAATGTAGTCCTTGCCAGTAACCTTAAAACACAATTTTAATGTTTTTTAACAGAATTTTATAGTCATAAAATAACATTGATTTTAGAAACAACATTTTTTATAACAGAGTATTTTCTTCCAAGATTCTATTTTAGAGTTTTGTACTTTGAACAGTTGGTTCCTTAATGTTATTGTCCATTAGCCTATTTTTAGATTTTTCTAATTTGGCTTGAAAGCAAAATGTGTCATTATATTCTGGATTGTGGGGTTTATGTAATTTCTAATAAATATTTCAATGTTCATGAAGAGAGATGAACATAAAGGCTAAGAATCGTAAGTAATGCAGATACCACAATGAAAGACATTTTGTATTTTAGACAACAAAGTGAAGTATATACTAGATATATGACATCTTTCATGTAATTAAAAAAGGTACAAATATCTTTAAAATAAATTTAAATTTCCAAAGTTTACTATGTTAGTCCACCTTGTATATTTGTAATAAAATTAAACAACAGTTTAAATGTAGAGTTAAATAGAATTAGCTTAATTCAATACGTGGATTAACCACATAGTAATTATACATTGAGTAGTGTGCCCATTCTAAATGAAAAGTATGGCCTCTACATTAGAATCAGCGTACAACCAAAACCATGTGTATTACTATACTTCATTGCAAAGAAAACAGGATCTCTCTCTGTTGCCCAGGCTGGAGTGCAGTGATAAGATCTTGGCTCACTGCAGCCTCTGCCTCCTGGGTTCAAATAGCTCTCCTGTCTCAGCCTTCCAAGTAACTGGGACTACAGGCACGTGGCACCATGCCCAGCTAACTTTTGTATTTTTAGTAGAGATGGGGTTTCACCACATTGGCCAGGCTGGTCTCAAACTCCCAACCTCAAGTGATCTGCCCACCTCGGCCTCCCAAATGCTGAGATTACAGGCATGAGTCACTGTGCCCAACCTGTTTTTTTTTTTTCCTTATCTTTCTTTCTTTCTTTCTTTCTTTCTTTCTTTCTTTCTTTCTTTCTTTCTTTCTTTCTTTCTTTCTTTCTCTCTCTCTCTCTCTCTCTCTTTCTTTCTTTCTTTCTTTCTTTCTCTCTCTCCTTCCTTCCTTCCTTCCTTCCTTCCTTCCTTCCTTCCTTCTTTCTTTTTTTTTGTTATGGAGTCTCACTCTGTCACCCAGGATGGAGTGCAGTGGCACGATCTCAGCTCAGTGCAAGCTCCGCCTCCCGGGTTCATTCCATTCTCCTGCCTCAGCCTCCTGAGTAGCTGGGACTACAGGTGCCCACCACCTGCCCGGCTAATTTTTTTGTATTTTTAGTAGAGACGGGGTTTCACCATGTTAGCCAGTATGGTCTCGATCTCCTGACCTCGTGACCCGCCCGTCTCGGCCTCCTAAAGTGCTGGGATTACAGGCATGAGCCACCCCACCCGGCCATTTCTTTTGAAAACATTTTGTTATAAACTTGAAGATACAACAAAATACGACTTCTTAATTTATGTAACGTTGTTATTTTATGATTATACTTTTTTCATGGACATATACCGGCTTGAGTATGATCTACTGGCAAGGGCAAAAGGTGGTGTAGCTAGTCTGTTACCTAAGAATTGTAGTGCCACTGACAGAAGTAAGGGAATTAACAATGGAAGATAATTATGATATGTAAGTTAAGTTCTTAGTCATTTTCAAAAGGTTTTCTTGGGTAGATTATATATTCTTTCAGGGATATTGGTTTTGATTTCTATAAATAAAATATTTATTATTGCATCATTATTTACATCACTATAGGATATTATTGTCCTTTGAGAGAAATCATCACTCTCAATCCGTTCTTTTCTGTTCTCTTTTACCAGGCAGTACTGCTTATGCCCACAGGCTTTAGGGGAGACAACACTGGGATTGACTTGATATGTATAGTAACTTTGAAATGTTACCACTTCTCAATGATCCTCAGTTTCCTAATCTGTAAAATGAAGATAATACCTGGCACATGGTAATAAGCACTGGATAAATAATGGCTGTTACTTGGAATTATCATTAGAAGAGAATCAGAATGATCTTATCAGAGTCTCATTGGAAAATTCATTAGACACTCACCTGCATTATTGAGGAACTGATAGGTGTTCAGTGCCTCTCAGTTTTTAGGCTAAGAAACCATACCTTGTCAAATCAGGAGTTAGCAAATTTTTAATAAAAGACCAGATAATTTTTTAGGCTTTGTGGCATGGTCTTTGAATGGTCTCTTTTGAAACTACTCAACTCTGCTGCTTTAGCAGGAAAGTAGAAGCATTTCCTGCTGTTTTAGCAGGAAATGGAGAAAAGGTGTGTTATTTTGTATGGCTTCCTTTAGGCATATATAGAAGCCAGTGTCCTTAAAGACCTGCTATAAAGACCAGCTTGATTAAATTATACCCCACTCTTGCCTATTATTTTAACCCTACTAGGTTTTCATTTTTTGAATGTGCCTACCAGAGCACTGTCTCTCCTTGCGCACAGGACACACTGAGTCTTTTCTCCTCTTTGTCTTTCTCTTGGAAGATTGTTTTGTAGGATTGGTTACCTTAGCCAGATAATTCAACAAACTTTTAGTGCTGGAACATGATGCCTGTATAGGAAAGCTGAAGGCAGAACTATTTTTAGGTCTCCATGTAATTTTTTATCTAAGATAATGATGATTATGATAATAATGATGGAGTAGCTATTACTTTTTAAGTTCCTACTGTATAATAGGCATGTTATAAATGTCTCATTCAGTCTTCATAACAACCCTACAAGTTACGTGGTGTTAGTCTCATTTTACATTTAAGAAATCTGCAGTGAAGTGATTTGGTCAAGAATACACAACAATCAGTGCCAGATATGGGCACACACCTTTGACTCCAAAGTCTTCTGCTCCTCTCTGTTTCCATTAAACTTTGACCATGACTAGGACATTCGTTTACTTTGTTGTTTTTACTAAATAAATGTTGATAAGGGCAGCTATTATATTTTAATTTGTCTTTTTTTTTTTTTTTTTTTTTGAGACGGAGTCTCGCTCTGTCGCCCAGGCTGGAGTGCAGTGGCGCGATCTGGCTCACTGCAAGCTCCGCCTCCCAGTTTCACGCCATTCTCCTGCCTCAGCCTCCTGAGTAGCTGGGACTACAGGTGCCCGCCACCACACCTGCTAATTTTTTTTATATTTTTAGTAGAGCCCGGGTTTCACTGTGTTAGCCAGGATGGTCTTGATCTCCTGACCTCGTGATCCTCCTGTCTTGGCCTCCCAAAGTGCTGGGATTATAAGCGTGGGACACCGCGCCTGGCCTAATTTGTCTTTATGCCTTTAGTTTCATTATAGTGGATAACTAATAAACGTTAATTTAGTTAATGATTGAATAATTGAGGGCAGATTCAATATAAATGATGAAGTAAGGGAAAAATGGTCTTATTTGAATTAGAAGGTCTCCATTGGAAATGTAGTATGAGTAAAGAGGAACATTTAAAATAAAGTGTCTTTCCTAAAACCCATTCAGGGCATTTAGGTTTTAAATGCCTCTCCATTGTGTGTATGCATCACATTTTAAAAATCTGTTCATCTGCTGATGGCCATTTATGTTGCTTCCAAATCTTGGCTATTGTGAACAGTGCTGCAACAAACATGGGAGTGCAGATATCTCTTTGATACACTGATTTCCTTTCCTTTGGGTTTATACCTAGCAGTGGGATTCTTGGATAGTATGGTAGCTCTATATTTACCATTTGTATGTCTTCTTTTGAGACATGTCTACTCTGGTTATTAATCCCTTGTCAGATGAGTAGTTTGCAAACATTTTCTTCCATTCTGTGTGTTGTTTCTTCACTTTGTCGATTGTTTCCTTTGCTGTACAGAAGTGTTTTAACTTGATGTGACCCCCTTTGTCGATTTTTGCTTGTGGGGTATTACTCAAGAAATCTCTGCTCAGACCAATGTTTTGGAGAGTTTTCTCAGTGATTACTTTTAGTAGTTTCGTAGTTTGAGGTCTTAGATTTAAGTCTTTAATCTACTTGGATTTGATTTTTGCATATGGCAAGAGATAGAGGGATGGGGTCTAGTTTTATTCTTATGCCTATGGATATCTAGTTTTCCCAGCACCATTCATTGAAGAGATTGTCCTTTCCCCAATATGTGTTCTTGGCACCGTTGTTGAAAATGAGTTCACTGTAGATGGATGGATTTGTTTCCTGTTTTTATGCCTGTGCCATGTTATTTTGTTTACTGTAACTCTGTAGTAAAACTTGAAATGAGGTAATGTTCAATTTTTTTCTTTTTAGTCAAAATTGGTTTGGCCATTTTGGGTCTGTTTTTGATTCCATATTATTTTTAGGATAATTTTTTGGTTTTTCTGTGAAGAATGTCTTTGGTATTTTGATAGGGATTGCAATGAATATGTAGATTGCTCTGGGTAGTATGGACGTTTTAACAATATTGATTCTTCTAATCCATGAACATGAAATATATTTTTATTTTATTGTGCCTTCTTCAGTTTCTTGCATCAATGTTTTATAGTTTTCGTTGTAGAGGTCTTTCACTTCCTTGGTTAAATTTATTTCTAGTTATTTTATTTGTAGCTATTGTAAATGGGGTTACTTTCTTGATTTCTTTTTCAAAGATTGTTTGCTGTTGGCATATAGAAATCTTACTGATTTTTGTATGTTGATTTTGTATCCTGCAGCTTTACTGAATTTATCAGTTCTAATAGTTTTTTTGGTGGAGTCCTTAGGCTTTTCCAAATATAAAATCATATCATCTGCAAACAATGATAATTTAACTTGTTTCTTTCCAATTTGGATGCCTTTTATTTCTTTCCCTTGTCTAATTGCTCAGCTAGGACTTCCAGAACTCTGTGGAATAATAGTAGTGAAGTGGGTACCCTTGTCATGTTCCAGTTCTCAGAGGAAGGGCTTTCTGATTTTCCCCATTCAGTATGATACTAGCTGTGGGTCTGTTATATATGGCTTTTATTATGTTGAGGTATGTTCCTTCTGTACTCTGTCTTTTGAGGATTTTTATCAGGAAGAATGTTGAATTTTATCAAATGCTTTTTCAAAATCAGTTGAAATGATCATATGGTTTTCTCCTTAATTCTGTTGATATGATGTATCACATTAGTTGATTTGCATGTGTTGAACCATACTTGCATACCCAGGATAAATCCCACTTGGTCATGATGAATGTTTTTTTAATTGTATTGCTGTATTGCTGAATTTGGTTTGCTATTATTTTGTTGAGGATTTTTCCATCAATTTTCATTATAGATATTGTCCCGTAGTTTTCTTTTTTTTGTTTTTGTTTTTGAGACAAGGTCTCACTCTGTCACCCAGGCTGGAGTGCAGTGACATGCTCATGGCTCACTGCAGCCTTGACCTTCCAGGCTCAAGTGACCCTCCCACCTCAGCTTCCCAAGTAGCTGGGACTACAGACATGTGCTACCATGCACAACTAATTTTTGTATTTTTAGTAGAGACAGGGTTTCGCCATATTGCCCAGGCTGGTCTTGAACTCATGGCTTGAAGCAATCCCCCTGCCTCGGCCTCCCAGAGTGCTGGGATTACAAGTGAGAGCCACTGCGCCCGTTGTAGTTTTCTTTTTTTGATGTGTCTTTGTCTGGTTTTTGGGATCAGGGTAATACTTGCCTCGTAGAATGAGTTTGGAAGTATTACCTTCTCTATTATTGAAAATAGTTTGAGTAGGATTGGTATTAGTTTTTCTTTAAATATTTGGTAGAATTCAGCAGTCAAGCCATTTGGTTCTAGACTTTTCTTTGCTAGGAGACTTTTTGTTACAGGTTTGATCTCATTACTTGCTATTGGTTGGTTCAGGTTTTGTATTTCTTCATGCTTCAGTCTTGGTAGGTTACATGTAACAAGGAATTTATCCATTTCTTCTAGATTTTCTAATTTATTGTTATATAGTTGCTGATAGTAGCCACTAATGATCCTTTGAATTTCTGTGGTATTGGTTGTAATATCTCCTTTTTCATCTTTGATTTTATTTGTATCTTACCTTTTTTTTTTTCTTTATCTGGCTAAAACTTTGTCAATTTTGTTTACCTTTTCAAAAAATCAATATTATTTCATTGATCTTTTGTATTTTCTTCATTTCAATTTCATTTATTTCTGCTCTGATCTTTATTATTTCTTTTATTCTACTGATTTCAGATTTGCTTGCTCTTGCTTTTCCAGTTATTTAAGATATATCATTAGGTTGTTTATTTGAAGTTTTTCTTATTTTTGATGTATTTGTTTATAGCTATAAACTTAGTTATAAACTCCCCCTTAGTCCTGCTTTTGCTGTTTTGGTATGCTGTTTCCATTATTATTTGTTTCAAGAAATTTTCCAATTTTCTTCTTCTTCTTCTTCTTTTTTTTTTTTTTTTTTGAGGCGGAGTCTCGCTCTGTCGCCCAGGCTGGAGTGCAGTGGCACGATCTCGGCTCACTGCAACCACTGCCTCCCGGGTTCAAGCGATTCTTCTCCCTCAGCCTCCCGAGTAGCTGGGACTACAGGTGCACACCACCACGCATGGCTAATTTTTGTATTTTTAGTAGAGATGGGGTTTCACCATATTGGCCAGGCTGGTCTCGAAATCCTGACCTTGTGATCCGCCCCCTTCAGCCTCCCAAAGTGCTGGAATTATAGGCATGAGCCACCATGCCCAGCCCTCCAATTTTCTCCTTAATTTCTTTATTGATCTACTGGTCATTCAGGGACATATTGTTTAATTTTCATATGTTCCCATGTTCCTCTTGTTACTGATTTGTAGTTTTATTCCACCATGGTCAGAGAAGATGCTTGATATTATCTCAGGTTTTTTGTTGTTTTTTTTTTTTAATGTTTTAAGACTTGTTTTGTGACCTAACATGTGATTTGTCCTTGAGAAAGATCCATGTGCTAAAGAGAAGAATTTGTATTCTGTCGCCATTGAATGAAATGTTTTGTAAATATCTATTAGGTCCATTTGGTCTACAGTGCAGATTAAATCTGATGTTTCTTTGTTGATTTTCTTTCTGACAGATCTCTCCAGTGCTGAAAGTCGGGTGTTGAAGTCTCTACCTTTTATTGTGTTGGGGTCTATCTTTCTAGCTCTAATAATATTTGCTTTATATATCTGGATGCTCCAGTGTTTGGTATATTAAAATTTACAATTATATCCCCTTCCTGAATTTACCATATATCATTATATAATGACCTCCTTTGTCTCTTAAAGTTTTTATCTTGAAATGTATTTTGTCGGATATAATATAGCTACTCCCGCACTTTTTTGGTTTCCATTTGCATGGAATTTCTTTTTCCACCCCTTCATTTTGTATTTGAGTGTCTTTATGGGTGAAGTGTGTTTCTGTAGGCAATAGATCATTGGGTCTTGTTTTTTTTTGTTTTTTTTTTTTTAATCCATTCAGCCACTCTATGTCTTTTGATTGGACAGGTTAGTCCATTTATATTCAGTGTTATTATTGATAAGTAAAGACTTTCTTCTGCCGTTTCTTATTGTTTTCTCAATTGTGGTCTTCCTTCTTTTCTATTTTCCTGTCTTTTTTTTAGGGAAGTTAATTTTCTATGATGGTATTATTTAATTTCTTGCTTTTATTTTTTGTGTATCTGTTGTATGTTTTTTGATTTAATGTTACTATGAGGCATGCAAGTACTATCTTATAACGCATTATTTTAAACTGATGACAGCTTATCACTGCTTGCATAAACAAGCAATCAAGAAAAATGAAAACTAACAAAAACTCTACACATTAACTTTACCCCCTTGCTTTTTAACTTTTTGTTTTTTCTATGTATATCTTATTGTACTGTCAATGTCTTGAAAAGTTATTGTAGTTATTGTCCTAGATTGGTTCATCTTTTAATCTTTCTACTTAAGAGTAGTTTGTACACCACAATTACAGCATTACAGTATTCTGTGTTTTTTCTGTGTGCTTACTATTACCAGAGAGTTTTGTACCTTCAGATGTTTTCTTATTGCTTAATGTCCTTTTCTTTCTGATTGAAGAAATTCCTTTAGCATTTCTTTTAGGACAGGTCTGGTGTTGATGAAATCTCTCAGATTTTGTTTGTTTGGGTAAGTCTTTATTTCTCCTTCATGTTTGAATGATATTTTCACAGGATATACTATTCTAGGGTAAAAGGTTTTTCCCTTCAGAACTTTAAATATTTCATGTCACTCTCTCCTGGTCTGTAGTTTCCACTGAAAAGTCTGCTGCCAGACATATTGGAGCTCCCTTGTAAGTTTATTTGTTTCTTTTCTATTGCTTTTAGGATCCTTTCTTCATCCTTGACTTTTAAGAGTTTGATTAAATTTCATAAGATTGTCTTCTTTCGGTCAGATCTGGTTGGTGTTCTGTAAACCTCTTATACCTGAATATTGATATCTTACTCCTGGTTTGGGAAGTCCTCCGTTACTATCCTTTTGAGTAAACTTTCTACACCTATATCTCTCCCTGCCTCCACTTTAAGGCAAATAACTCTTAGATTTGACCTTTTGAATTTATTTTCTAGATCTTGTAGATAGATGTGCTTTACTCTTCTCTTTTTTCTTTTGTCTCCTCTGGGTGTGTATTTTCAAATAGCCTGTCTTCAACCTCCTGGGTTCAAGCTGTTCTCCTGCCTCAGTCTCCCGAGTAGCTGGGATTACAGGCGTATGCCACCACGCCCAGCTAATTTTTGTGTTTTTAGTAGAGACAGGGTTTCGCCATGTTGGCCAGGCTGGTTTCGAGCTCCTGACCTCAGGTGATACACCCACCTTGGCCTCCCAAAGTGCTGGGATTACAGGCGTGAGCCACCGCACCTGACCATTTGGTTCCATTTTTAAAGGGATTGGGGAAGGGAGATGAACCATGCCACTCCAAGGAGATTTAGTTCTAAGACTATTGTTAATTATTGGGAAAGAAAGAGAACCAAGGGAAATAAAACCTCAGTAAGAAGACTGTTGTTCTTTTCATAAAATCAAATGTTTTTAAAAGCCTAATTTTATTAGCATTTGGTGCTTGGACCATTCTCTTGAAAATGCTGAAGAAAGAGACATATGATAGCCTTAGTTTTTGTATCCTGATTCTGTCCTTTTGACCATTCCTTAATTTCCTTTTCAGGTTTCTCTTATAATTTGATTAGCCTAACTGCTTTCTTCACTGTAGTTCAGTTGCAGTTCTAGCTCTGGGAGTCCCCCCTACCCCAACACACACACAATGTTAGCTTATGTATTTTAAATGCTTCTCAATGTGTTTATATGGGTAAAGATGTCCCATAAATGTCCCTAATTTCCCAAATTACCATCTTCATCTTTCTCTTCAAATTCATTTTTTTTAGTCCATTTCATAAATGATTGTACCATTGTATCCTCTCAGTGCTTCAAACTATTTCTTCCTGTATCTTAAATCTATTTAGTTATAGAATATTATTTCTGTCTCTAAAATAAAATATTTTTAGAAATCTGTTACTCTTTTCAGTCTGACTTTTACTATCTCAGGTCATGCCTTTGTGATTTTTGTCCCAAATGCCTTAAATAATTTTAAAAATAGTGGTGCTAAATAGTGTTTACCTATTTTGTACCCCAAATCCCCCAATCCATAGTCCATGCTCCATTCATTTTTATTTTCCTTAAATGCACACTTGAGATTTTATTTTTCCCCAGGTGTATTTAAGTCTTTAGTTGTATTTCATGCTCCCAGAATAAAAGATTAACTCCCTAGAATGGGCATTCATGATCTAGCCATATTCTCTATGTATTTTTGCTCCATCCTTTCAAAACTACTCATGTTCCTGAACGTATCATACTTTTCCTTATTTCCATGTTGTTGCACAAGGTGGTGTCTATTTCTGTGATTTTCTTTCCTGCTTCTTGTATGATTGGCAGAATCCTTCTCCTTCTTTAGGACTCTGCTTAAAAATCGTTTGTACTGTGTCCCTTTTCCTTTCATTGTGAGGCATGTTAACCCTACCCTTTCCATAGTTTTAAAGTTGTACCTATCCCTTATTTTATAATTGTTTATTGCTGTTCCTCTTTCCCACTATCACCACAAGATTCCTTGAGAATGCTATTTTCCTTTATTCATCTTTGAACCTTGAGTCGCTAGCACAATAATTTGAACATAAATGTTAGTTAAAGAATGAAAGAAAGGGAGAGGGAAGGAAGAGGATTGTTATGTTGACCAAATTATATGCATAGGATAAAATGAAATATATATAGATTTAAATAGGCAAGTAAGACCAATTTATGACACCTGGTTTAAGCCACATACATATCCGCAAGGCATAGGAGTAGAGAACACCTTGATTGATAATCCCAATAAACTATATGTGATTGTGAGGCAGTGGGCACGAGTCTGGGTTCTGTCAGGTTGTCCTGTGTAGAACTGGTGGAAGCCCACACAGAACTGGAATAAGAAACAATTTAGGCTTACCTGGAGAGTTAGGGTTGTCTGGGACAAGGGGAAAGGAATGCTTGAGAGTATCATCTACTTTGACACAGGAAAAATGACACAGGAAAAGGCTCTTCATAAAAGATAAAGCAGTTGTTTTTAGAATATATACTCGTTGGGGATACTAACTTCATGGGCTACAATGTTGAAACAACTAGGGTTTTAAGTCATCAAATATGAGGAGTTTCATCTATAGCAAAATGTTAATATTGATTAATAAAACTTCCTTTTCTTCTCCCTCCTTTTTTGTTGATCCTACAGTGTCCCCAGTGATTCTATATTTTTTATATAATCCAAATAAAGACTAAAGGAATAGCATACATAAAATAGTATTACCCTGAAACATTGGAAACTAGTCCAGAAAACAGTTTTACCTGTCATTAGTAATCACAGTGTGTCTTTTATTGAGTACTATTTGGAGTATTCTTTGATTTGAAGCATACTTTACAATAACTACTTCTGGATGAAATGGAGCTACACTTTGTAATAACTGCTTGGAAAATTAAAGACAGATATAATAATATATTTATACATTTATTCAACAGATTTTGTATTTTTTAAGTGCCAGTCACTGTGCTTGGCATTGGATGTAATTTGAACAATACAAATGGTCTCTGATATGACCTTGCATTCCATCCGAGGAGGTAATAAGCAAATAATTACATTATTATAAATGTTAATAACAAACAAGGTAATGTGATATAAAAGAATGGGAAAACCTAATTTGATAGGGTGTTAAGAGACAGGGCTCTCTGAAGAGATCATAGAGAAGTGATCTAACCTGAAGGGGCAGCGAAGAATTTGATATATTGAAGGGTAGCTGGAGTATGGTCAACAGGGAGAGTGCCACTGGATGAGAATTCAGAGAGAGGCGAGAATCAGCTTGTATACAGCTTTGTAGGCTATGGTGAGAAGTTTGGATTTAATTTAGATTGGTAAAGCAGTGTTTAGGCAGAAGAATAACTTAATCTGATTTATCCTCTAAATGCATAAAATCTGTAGATGTCTACATATATTGAGTGAAGGGCTTTTTTTTTTTTTTTTTTTTTTGAGATGGAGTCTCACTCTGTCACCCAGGCTCAAGTGCAGTGGCGCAATCTCATCTCACAGCAACATCTGCCTCCAGAGTTCAAGTGATACTCCTGCCTCAGCCTCCCAAGTAGCTGGGACTACAGGCGTGTACCACCATGCCCGACTAATTTTTGTATTTTTAATAGAGATGGTGATTCACCATTTTGGCCAGGCTGGTCTCGAACTCCTAGACTCAAGTCATCCGCCCATCTCGGCCTCCCAAAGTGCTGGGATTACAGATGTGACCTGCTGTGCCCAACCTTAAGTTTTTATTATAAAAGTAATTATATCTTTAGTAAGTAGGTTTTGGAATATTAAAATATGGAAAGCAGAAGAAAAATAACTCACCACCAAATCACAAACCGCTTGAAATTTTTTTAAACATATATCCTTCTAGGTTTTTATTCTACTGATACTTATTTGACATTTATTAAATTGTATTTAAAATCTCTGTTAATGTCACAAGAATGTTATCATTATCACATATTCTTCACAAGTATCTTTAAAAGACTACTACCATTTTGTTACATGGCTAACACCACAGTTTGTTGAACCAGTCCTCAGTTTTGGACCTTTAGATGGTTCTATGGGAAATTTTTAATATTAAGCAATTTATTTCCTTAGCATAGATTTCTGGAAATGGAATTAGTAAAAAGGTATTAACTTTATAGATGCACCATTTATTAAATAGGGAATCCTTTTCCCGTTGCTTGTTTTTGTTGGGTTTGTTGAAGATCAGATGGTTGTACATGTGTGGTGCTATATCTGAGGCCTCTGTTCTGTTCCAAGGGTTTATATATTTGTTTTGGTACCAGTACCAGGCTGTTTTGGTTACTGTAGCCTTGTAGTATAGTTTGAAGTCACGTAGCGTGATGCCTCCAGCTTTGTTCGTTTTGCTTAGGATTGTCTTGGCTATATGGGCCATGTGAACTTTAAAGTAGTTTTTTCCAATTCTGCAAAGAAAGTCAGTGGTAGCGTAATGGGAATAGCACTGAGTCTGTAAATTACTTTGGGCAGTATGGCCATTTTCGATATTGATTCTTCCTGTCCATGAGCATGAAATTTTTTTCCATTTGTTTGTGTCCTCTCTTATTTCCTTGAGCAGTGGTTTGTAGTTCTCCTTGAAAAGGTCCTTCACGTCCTTTGTAAGTTGTATTCCTAGCCATATGCAGAAAACAGAAACTTGACCTCTTCCTTACACCTTATACAAAAATTAACTCAAGATGGATTAAAGACTTAGATGTAAAACCCAAAATCATAAAAACCCTACAAGAAAACCTAGGCAATACCATTCAGGACATAGGCATGGGCAAAGACTTCATGACTAAAACACCAAAAGCAGCCTGTAATCCCAGCACTTTGGGAGGCCGAGGCGGGCGGATCACGAGGTCAGGAGATCGAGACCATCCTGGCTAACACGGTGAAACCCCGTCTCTACTAAAAATACAAAAAATTAGCCGGGCGAGGTGGCGGGCGCCTGTAGTCCCAGCTACTCGGGAGGCTGAGGCAGGAGAATGGCGTGAACCCCAGGGGGCGGAGCCTGCAGTGAGCCGAGATTGCGCCACTGCACTCCAGCCTGGGCGACAGCGAGACTCCGTCTCAAAAAAAAAAAAAAAACAAAAAACACCAAAAGCAATGGCAACAAAAGCCAAAATCAACAAATGGGATCTAATCAAACTAAAGAACTTCTGCACAGCAAAAGAAACTATCATCAGAGTGAACATGCAGCCTACAGAATGGGAGAAATTTTTTGCAATCTACTCATCTGACAAAGGTCTAATATTCAGAATCTACAAGGAACTTAAACACATTTACAAGAGAAAAAACAAATAACCCCATCAAAAAGTGGGTGAGGGATATGAACAGACACTTCTCAAAAGAAGACATTTATGTGGCCAACAAACATATGAAAAAAAGTTCATCATCATTGGCCATTAGAGAAATGCAAATCAAAACCACAGTGAGATACCATCTCACACCAGTTAGAATGGCGATCTTTAAAAAGTCAGGAAACAACAGATGCTGGCGAGGCTGTGGAGAAATAGGAACACTTTTACACAGTTGGCAGGAGTGTAAATTAGTTCAACCATCATGGACGACAGTGTGGCAATTCCTCAAGGATCTAGAACCAGAAATACCATTTGACCTAGCAATCCCATTACTGGGTATATACCCAAAGGATTATGAATCATTCTACTATAAAGACACATGCACACATATGTTTATTGCAGCACTATTTACAATAGGAAAGACTTGTAACCCATCCAAATGCCCATCAGTGATAGACTGGATTAAGAAAATGTGGCCCATATCCACAGTGGAATACTATGCAGTCACAAAAAAGAATGAGTTCATGTCCTTTGCAGGGATATGAATGAAGCTGGAAGCCATCATTCTGAGCAAACTAACACAGGAACAGAAAACCAAACACTGCATATTCTCACTCATAAGTGGGAGTTGAAAAATGAGAACACATGGACATGGAGGACAACATCACACACCGGCACCTGTTGGGAGGTGGGGGGCAATGGGAGAGAAAGCATTAGGACAAATACCTAATGCATGTAGGGCTTAAGATCTACATGATGGGTTGATAGGTGCAGCAGACCACCATGGCACATGTATACCTATGTAACAAACCTGCGTTTTGCACATGTATCCCACAACTTGAAGTAAAATTAAAAAAAAAAAAAGAAAAAGAAGTTCTGAGCTTTTCATTGTCAAAGCTGTCTATAATTATCTTTATTATTTTAGTAGTGTATATTGTGATTATAAAGTCAGAGGACAACTTTGGAACATCTTAAAGCATTAATTACTGACTCATAGTTTGAGGTTACCATTACATCTTCCTGGTGGATTCTGTGACAAATGAGAAATAAGACACATAAGTCAGATAGAAGGAGATAAAATGTTAACTTAGGCCGAGCACTGTGGCTCACGCCTATAATCTCAGCACTTTGGGAGGCTGAGGTTCACTTTGGGAAGGATCACTTGAGCTCAGTAGTTCAACACCAGCCTGGGCAACATAGTGAAACATCGTCTCTGCAAAAAATATAAAATAAAAATAGCCGGGTATGGTGGCACCCCTGAGCCTGAGATGGGAGGATCACTTGAAGATGGGAGATTGAGGCTACAGTGAGCTGTGATCATGCCACTACACTCCATCCTGGGCAACAGAGTGAGACCCTGCTTCAAAAAAGTAACAAAAGGAACTCTTCTGTTTTTACCAACATATTTACCCTTTGTTCTTCATTCCTTCTGTAGAATTAAGTTTATATCTAGTATAATTTCCTTTCAATCTAAAGCATTTATCTTATAGTTTATTGTAGCACAAATTTTCTGAAGACAAATTCTATCATTTTTATTTTGTCTTCATCTTTGAAGGACATTTTCAATGGGTATAGAAATCTAGGTTGAATTTTTTAACATTTAAAATATTCTATTATTTTCTGGCCACCATTATTTCTGATGAGAAATTATCCTTATCGTGATTTCCTTATATGTATTGTGTCTTTTTTTTTTCTTCTGGATGATTTAAAATTTTTTTCTGTGTTTGGTTTTCTGCTATCTGATGATGATATATCTAGATCTGGTTTCTTTTTATTTATTCTTCTTGGGGTTTGCTGAGCTTTTTTAATCTATTGGTTGATATATGTCAGTTTGGGAAATCGTTTTTCACCTCTGATATTATATTTTTAAAAATCTAATATTTTCATTTCACTCTTTTTTATACTTTCTCTCTGCTAAAATTTCCCTTCAATTCTAACATATTATCTACCCTTTTTAATTATTTGACATCTATATTATTATTAGAGTTGTTTTAAAGTCCTTGTTTGATAATTCCAATATCTGGGCCACTTCTGGGACTGGTGTATTGATTGTTTCCTCTTTTTATAATGAGTCATTTCTTCTGGCTTTTTTATATTTCACAGTAGTTTTTAATGTAATGTCAAATGTTGTATATAAAGAGAATGGAGCCTATGATAAATAATGTTTATGTCCAAAAAAATACATGCCTCTTCTTTTGTCATGATATTAGTATAGTTCCGTTGGATCTGGTCTTTGGCTTTTATTCCATACTTGAGCTGTATCTTATTCTTTTAAAATTTATATTAAGTTCACTACAGGACCCTGTGTTTTTTGAGAGCAAGATTAGGATCTTTGTTTTTGTATGGTTTGTAGTTTCTGCTTAGTTCTCCTGATACACCTTCAGAATTCCACATGCCTTGTTCACTTGTGCCTTAGGGAGGTATCTCTCTTAGTGCTTCTTTCTTTCTACCAGACACAGATTGCCCTTCCTGGTACTCAGTTTAAGGTTTAGAGTACGCATGAGATTTCTTTTCATTCTCCTGCTTCGCACTCAGACTTTATTCGTATCTATGGGCCTGCACTTCACCGGGGGTCTTTCTCATCTCTCCAGCCTTGCTTCTTGTCATTCTCATGAACAATTGATCGACACCTGTGGAAAATAGATGGCAAGTGGGTGGGATCCCCTGTGTCTAGAGTTCTCAGTGATTCTAAACTATCATGCATCCCCCAACTGGGTCTTTTGACATTTTTTTAAAAGTGCAGTTATTTTCTTCTTATCAACTTTCTTCTCCTTATCCTACTCTGCCAAGAATTATAGCCACTATTCATTTCTTCTCTCCTATAAGAGACCTTTGACTTTTATAGTTTTTATTCATTGGATTCCCTTAGGAACTCTGCTCTGATGAAAGCTGAAAAGCTTTGATAGATTACATGGCTCGTTGTTGCTACAATGGGATAGAATTCCCTTGCAATTTCCTACATCCTACGAGAAGAGGAAGTAATGAGCTACCATACGCACATACCATACATGTATGTATTGTACCATACATACATAAGCTACAAATCTTATGATTGATTTATACTAAATTTGACAATTCCCCTAGATAAAGTTGCTAGTAGTTGGCAGCTCATCACTGCTCTTGCATTTCTTAGTCTCTGATTCCCCTCTTGCCTTTATACATTACCTTTGTTTTTGAAGTAGTGATTCTTCTTTCATTTATTTTTCTTGTTTTCTTAACTGTTTAGCCAAAATTATCCAAATTATTCTTAAAAAATTAGAGTAGCACATAATTTCTTAGGAGCTATACAAATCTACAAATTTCTTTACTATAGCTGCTTAGTAGAAAAATAGTGAGTTTTAACAACTTAGATGTAAATTAATATGTTTGTGTTTTTTTGTCTCGTTCATTGGTTTAAGAAAAAACACAGGATACTTTTTCCTAATATAACTTGATATATTATAGGACAGTCTCATTGGCTGGCAAGCTTCTATAGCTGCCAAGAGGCATGTATGTTTAATTTTAATACTGTGCATCTTCGGTCTCTAACTCTTATTTCGGCTCTCATTCTTCAGCGTAGGGTGTAACTGCAAATGACAGTGGCACCCTGATTTAACTAATGGGTGAAGGCTGAGAAGAATGTGGATAAGTGAGCCATTTGGGCAGTGAGGAGAGCAGTAAACCACACTTTTCTCATTAGTTGTCTCCCAGGCTAAAATTAAACAGAATAAAATACTGCCAAATTTTAGTGATCTATGGTGGATGTGGTCTGTGTCAACTCAATATCAAACTAATTACCCAGATATTTATATGTTAGAACTTGTGTGCTATTTTTAAAGGTTGGTATCTTGTGAATTGAGTATATGATGAAAATCTCTCTCTAAATTAAAGAGAACATTATCTCTAAATTGTAATTTCAACCAAATTGATGTTAAATCAATGAATTACCCTCTTTTATCATCTATAACATTCGTAAATTTTAAGGCTGGCTGTAAGTCATGAGGTCGTTTTTGGTATAATGTAATCATATAACTTACATAGGTTGGTGAAGTATTTTTAACTTTTTAATTATAATAAAATAAGACCTTCAAGTTTAATTTTCCATTTGAAAATATTTATTATATTTGTTTTCCGTTTTCTCTCTCTAAAATCTCAAATAAAATGGTGTACCAATCACATGTTGAGAATTTGTTTGAAAATTCATTGAACACATTTAGTTTTAGACATATCTGAAAAGACTTCTGTAACAATTTGTACAATATGGAGGTTATCTGTAATTTCTTAACATACTTGCATCTTGTCCAGTTTGCATACATTTAAATTTATATGCCATTTTGTTTACTAGGTTTTGAAATTTTTTCATCATAATTAAAAAATATATAGTATATAATATGGCCTGTACTTAGATGCATAATCTAAAAGAACATAATCCTGAGTTATTTAAAAAATCAACTCAATATCTTTTTTCTTTCTTTACTGTTTTTTCAATGTAACATTAGGTATGTATAAAAATAGGTAACATATATGTAAGTATTGAATTAAAATTATATAATGAATATCATTTACTGTTGGCTGAGAAGTTGGTCATAAATTTATTTGCTTTTATAGATTCTTTCCTTAGGTGATCTGTCTTTTTGAGTACTTTTCTGATCTTCTCTTTATCTTCACTTGTTTACAGCTTCTTTTTTTGCTTAGTGTAGATTTATTTTAATTATCCAGTTTAGGGTTTATTGGGCCTCCTAGATTTAAGGTTTACTATCTTTCAACATTTCTGTAAAATACTCAGCCATTACCTTTTTTAAAAACCATATTGTCTCTTCCCCATTCTCTATTATCTCTCTCGAGCCCAATAAGACATATGCTATGTCTTCTCACTCAGACCTCTCTATCTCTAACTTCATTTTAAAAGTTTCATTATTTTTCAATCTGGGCTTACATCCTAAACTATCTTGTTATGTATCTTCCATTTCCTTAATTCTCTCTTCAACTGCATCTAATGTGCTTTTTAACATGTTTAGTGAGTTTTGTACTTCAACAATTTGTCATTTCTGTGATTTTCATTTTTCTTTAAAATCTACTTGTTGCTGATGCTTTCTCATAGTTTATCTTCATGATTTCATAAGTGTGTTTTTAAACATTTTATACATTATCAGGGGAACCAGCCCCTGATAATTCAACGTAGGTTCTTTTCTATTTTCCCTAAGTGTTGGCTGGTCTTAGAAATAAAGAGAAAGGCTACAAAAGAGAGAAATATTAAAGCTGGGTGTCTGGGGGAGACATCACATGTTGGCAGGTTCTGTGATGCCCCCTGAGCTGTAAAACCAGCAAGTCTTTATTAGCAATTTTCAAAGGGGAGGGAGTGTATGAATAGGGTGTGGGTCACAGAGATCACATGGTTCAAGGGCAACAAAAGATCACAAGGCAGAAGGTCAGGGTGAGATCACAAGGTCAGGGTGAAACTAGAATTACTAATGAAATTCCGTGTCCCGCTGTGCACTCATTGTCATTGATAAACATCTTAACAGGGTTCAAGAGGAGAGAACCAGTCTGACTAGAATTCGCCAGGCTGGAATTTCCTAATCCTAGCAAGCCTGGGGGCGCTGCAGGAGGCCAGGACGTGTTTCATCCCTTACCTGCAACTGCATAAGGCGGACACCCCCAGAGCGGCCATTTTAGAGCCCCCCCCCCCCGGAATGCATTCTTTTCCCAAGGCTGTTAATTATTAATATTCCTTACTGGGGAAATAATTCAGTGATATTCCTCTTACCCGTTTTCAGTAATAAGAGAAATATGGCTCTGTCCTGCCCGGCCCACAGGCAGCCAGACTTTAAGGCTATCTCTCTTGTTCCCTGAAAATCGCTGTTTTCCTGTTCTTAAGGTGCCCAGATTTCATATTGTTCAAACACACATGCTTTACAAACAATTTGTGCAGTTAAAGCAATCATCACAGAGTCCTGAGGCGACATACATCCTCAGCTTATGAAGATGATGGGATTAAGAGATTAAAGTAAAGACAGGCATAGGAAATTGTAAGTATTGATTGGGGAAGTGATAAATGTCCATGAAATCTTCACAATTTATGTTCAGAGATTGCAGTAAAGACAGGCATAAGAAATTATAAAAGTATTAATTTGGAGAACTAACAAATGTCCATGAAATCTTCACAATTTATGTTCTTCCATCAGGGTTTCAGCAGGTCCTTCCATTTGGGGTCCCTGACTTCCCGCAACAATACATAGCTGTTTTATATTCTGTATTCTAATACCTTCAGTGCTTGAGGATATAAATGTTTTGTTCATTAATATTTTTGACTCTTATTAACAGTGGTTTATTTTCTGCACTTCTTGCTGATTTTTTTGTTATGGGAAACATAAATGACAGATCATAATTTATGGGTGTCACATAACAATGAATTGGAGACTTTCTCAAAGTGACAACTTTTTTTCTGCTTTTTTCTCATGTCTAGAGCTAAGGTCCTCAACCTCTGGGCCGTGGACCAGTTCCATTCCATGGCTTGTTATGAACTGGGCCACACAAAAGGAGGTGAGCAGCAGGCAAGCAAGCATTACCACCTGAGCTCTGCCTACTGTCAGATCATTGGCAGCATTAGATTCTCAAAGGAACGCAAACCCTATTATGAATTGTGCATACAAGGGATCTAGATTGTGCATGCTTTTATGAGAATTGAATTAATGCCTGATCATCTGAGGTGGAATGGTTTCATCCTGAAACCATTCCTCCACCCCCCAAATCCGTGGAAAAATTGTCTTCCACAAAACCAGTTCCTGGTGCCATAAAGACTGGGGATTGTTGGTCTTCACAAGAAAGTCTAAGGCTCATCTATCTCTCTTTCCTGGTGTCCCAAGTTTCAGAATCCCAGTTACATTTTTTTTTGGCGGATGGGCGGGGGGGCAACAGAACTTATTTTTTAATGTTTCCTTTTCTAGCTGTTACTAGTTTCACAAATTTTCAGGAATTATTTTGGTGTTTATTTCTGTATTTTAAAATAACATAGCTTTTCTTGGTTTTTCCTGAATATTCATTTTGGAGCATTATTTATTGACTTCTTACTGTGGAAAATAATAATTGGCTATCTTTCACTTTCTCCAACCTTCATCACATGTTCTTATTTGCTCATACTCCCAATATTATTATATCCTAAATTTGATTGATTACATTGTTTATTCATTATTTCAGAATTTATATCATTCCATTTATTAACACTATTCACATCTAACTGAGGATCACTTTTGTCTTCTGAATCCAAAGTCTTCTTTCTTCGTGTAATTCACTTTTCTTTTAGTGAATGCTTTCTTTATTGTATTTTATGTGGTATTTATATGATATTAGTTATAGAACAAATTACAGTTCAAGGGGCTCATTTGACAGAAAGAAATTCATAGTAATTTAAATCTAATTTTAATTTTATTTATCTACGTAGGTTTTAGAAAGATCTTTTAACCCTTGAGATTGAATTATATATTCCTGAATTTAAATAAACCTTTTAAATTCTCTAAATCTTGTTCAGTTAATTGCTTTAAAATCAAAAGGTCTTAATAAACAATTTTTCATATTGGGGGAAAATTCTCTTTCTTACATAGTAACTTTTTCGGGAGAATGAGTTGTTATAAAATAAGAATACAGTGCAAATTAAATCTTACTGTATATATCGTACTACTTTATTCTTGTTAGTCTGTGGAGATGACAGTCTTTGCTGTAGTAGAGCTGCCAGAATTGTTTGAAAACTGGATATCATATTGGGAAAGTCCTATTTATTTCTCTTAATATAGTATTTTTATACCTTTATTCTGTGTATAAGTGATACTTGGGAAGTAGAAGAATTTAGGTCCTTATGAGAAATTTGCAATCTATGAAAGTAAGAAATATATGTTAAATTGTATATTATATATTAAATTGGATTTTCAGTTGACTTTAATTATGACTCCCATTTTGCAATCATCTTGTGTTTGCTTAGCTTTTCTGTGTCTTTCTTTTCTGACATCTGCTTGAGTGAATCATTGCTCAACAGTACACATATTGGTCCTTGGGAGGGCACATGCTTTTGTTGTCTGAGCATGCTGCCTAAGGATTTATACTGGTTCTGGGCCCATGGAAAAAATAGAACTACATGGTAGAATAGGAGTATACATGGCAAATTTTGGTTATTTGAAGATTCTGTGGAAAGCTTTGAAAAAAAGATAAATTTCTTTTTCTCTTACTTTTTCTCCTTCATCCTTTTATCTGTCTTTTTATATATCAGTTTCATAGGGCTTGTTATTAATAGTAATTTTCCCAATTTAAATAATCTATAACATTATAGAACAAATGTACTATTTTCAGTTATCCTGAGAACCAGCTATGGTTTATTCTGACATATACTTTTTGTAGCCCCCTACCATCAGGCAGATACTTTTTCTTTCTTTTTTTTTTTTTTAAAAAAAAAAGACTTTTATTTTAGGTTCAGGGATACAAGTGCCTGTTTATAATATAGGTAAGCTTGTGTCATGGGGATTTATTGTGCAGATTATATTACCACCCAGGTACTAAAAAATAAACCAATGGTTATTTTTATCTGATCCTCTCCCTTCTCCCACCCTTCACCCTCCACCCTCTGATAGGCCCCAATGTCTGTTTTTCTCCTCTATGTGTCCATGTGTTCTCATCATTTAGCTGCCACTAATAAGTGAGAACATGTGGTATTTTGTTTTCTGTTCCTGCATTAGTTTGCTAAGGATAATGGCCTCCAGCTTTATCCATGTTCCTGCAAAGGACATGATCTTGTTCTTTTTTATGGCTGCATAGTATTCCATTGTGTATATGTAACACATTTCCATTATCCAGTCTGCCATTGATGGGCATTTAGGTTGATTCCATGTCTTTGCTATTGTGAATAGTGCTGTGGGGAACATACGTTTGCATGTGTCTTTACGGTAGAATCATTTATATGGTTTTGGGTATATACCTTGTAATGGGGTGGCTGGGTTGAATTGCAGTTCTGTTTTTAGCTCTTTGAGGAATCGCCACACTGTTTTCCACAATGGTTGAACTAATTTACACTTCCACCAACAGTGTATAAGTATTGCCTTTTCACCACAATCTCGCCAACATCTGTTATTTTTTGACGTTTTAATAATAGCTGTTCTATCTGGTGTGAGATGGCATCTCATTGTGGTTTTGATTTGCATTTCTCTAATGATCAATGATGTTGAGTTTTTTTTCATATGCTTGTTGGCCATATGTATATCTTCTTTTGAAAATTGTCTGTTCATGTCCTTTGCCCACTTTTCAATGGACTTGCTTTTTTTTTTCTTGTAGATTTCTTTATGTTCCTTATAGATGCTGGATATTAGATCTTGGTCAGATGCAGAGTTTGCAAAAATTTTCTCCCATTCTGGCATTTTCTCCCATGCCATTCCCATTATGGCATTGTCATCATGAAATCTTTGCCTGTTCCTGTGTCCAGAATGATTATCTACATTGTCTTCTAGGACTTTTATAGTTTTGAGTTTTTATTTAAGTCTTTGATCCATCTTGGGTTGATTTTTGTATATGGTCTAAGGAAGAGGTCCAGTTTCAATTATTTGCTTATGGTTAGCCAATTCCAGCACCATTTATTGCGTAGGGAATCCTTTTCCCCATTGCCTGTTTTTTTCAGGTTTGTTGAAGATAAGATAGTTGTAGGTGTGTGGTCTTTTTTCTTGGCTGTCTATTCTGTTCCATTGGTTTATGTGTCTGCTTTTGTAAAGGTGTCATGCTGTTTTGGTTACTATAGTCTTGTAGTATAGATTGAAATTGGGTAATGTGATGCCTCCAGCTTTGTTCTTTTAGCTTAGGATTGCCTTGACTACTCAAGCTCTTTTTTCATTTCATATGAATTTTTAAATAGTTTTTTCTAGTTCTGTGAAGAGTGTCATTGGTAGTTTGATAGGAACAGCATTGAATCTGTAAATTGCTTTGGACAGAATGGCCCTTTTAATGATATTGATTCGTCCTATCCATGAGCATGGAATGTTTTTCCATTTGTTTCTGTCATCTCTTTGAGCATGTTTTATAGTTCTCATTGTAGGGATCTTTCACCTCCCTGGTTAACTGTCTTCCTAAGAATTTGATTCTTTTTTTGGCAAATGTGAATGGATTGCATTCCTGATTTGGCTCTCAACTTGACAGTTGTTAGTGTATAGGAATGCTAATGATTTTTGTATGTTGAATTTGTATCCTAAGACTTCACTGAAGTTCCTTATCAGCTTAAGGAGTTTTTAGGCCAAAACTATGGTATTTTCTAGATACATATTTTCATGTTGTCTGCAAAGATAGTTTGGCTTTCTCTCTTCCTATCTGGATAGCCTTTATTTCTTTCTCTTTCCTGATTGCTCTGGCCAGGATTTCCAGTACTGTGTCTGATAGCAGTGGTGAGAGAGGGCATCTTGTTTTGTGCCAGTTTTCAAGGGGAATGCATCAGCTTTTCCCCATTCAGTATGATGGCATATTTCCTATATGCTACGGGTTTGGCTGATAACAAAATTGACAAATATCCCTTCCCTTATGTTTCATATATCCTAGTGGAGCTAATAATATTTGTATTAAAATATATGTACAATTACAGAAACTTATTTACAGATGTATATAACCCGCACATAAATTGAGAATTGTATACTCTGCTTTAGGTAAGTTCTATTCGAACTACTTTTCATCAGAAAGGGACAAAAATAGGTTAGTTAGTTGGTTGGAATTGCAGCCTGTTACACTTCCGCTTTGTGTTTTATGTCAGAATGTTGGCCTGCATTTAATCTAGGCTGCCCTTTCTCTTTGCTTTTGAACATTAAAAGTTGTAATTTTTAATGATTTTTTGAATGATTATAATACCTTCTTTCAAATCATGAATCAATTTTTTAATATAATGAAAAAGTTATTTAGGAATATTTTACCTAAAGTATTCCATTTTCAGGGCCAATATAAAAATTGTTCTTTGCCTAAAAAGTTGAGCTTATTATTATATTTTATGGACAAATGTACTTTTAATGAGATGTAATTCACTTTCTATACAATTATTTTATATTGTGTGATTCAATGTTTTATAGTATATTCACCAGGTTGTACAATCATTTTCTAATTTCAGAATATTTTTATCACTCTCAAACCACATAGCTCTTAGCAGTTATTTCTACTCTCCCCTCTCACAGGCCCTGGTAACCACAAATCTACTTTTTGTCTCTATGTTTTTGCCTCTTCTGGCAATTTCATATAAGTGGAATTCTAAAATATATGTTTTCTTTGTCAGGCTTATTTCACTTAATATAATGTTTTCGAGATTCATCAGTGCTGTAGCATGTATCAGTACTTCATTTCTTTTTATGGATAAATACTTTTCCATTGTTTGGAAATACCACATTTTGTTTATTCATCAACTCATGGAAATTTATATTGATTTCACTTTTTGGCTGTTACGAATTATGCTGATATGAGCATTTGAATACAAGTTTTTGTGTGGGCATAAGTTTTCGGTGCCCACATTTCCTCAAAAAGACATATAGTTGCAGTATGACCCAGTTATGCCATAGTATTTTCCAAAGTGGGTGTACCAGTTTACATTCCTACCAGCAATGTATCAGGGTTTGCATTCCTCCACATCCTTTCCAACGCTTGTTACTGTTTGTCTGTTATGTCATAGCTATCCTACATGGTGTAAAGTGACAAATAGCTTATTGTTTTTTATGAGGACTTATGTAACAGTTTAAAAATCTTGTCTTTTAGGTGCTGTACTTCTTTGCAGTATACAAGGACTAGCAGTTAATATTGACCCAATCTTATATACGTGGCTCATCTATCAGCCTCAGAAACGAACAAGTAGACATATGCAACAGGTAAGAGATTTTTAAATAATTTTTTCTGTTAACAAATATTTTTCTTATTCATTTAGTAGAATTATATATGTCTTTTGATGGATTCTTTTTTAACAAATGTACTAGATTTCCTTTGTCTCCCCACCTTACCCCTTTCAAACAATTCCGTTCCCTTATTTTTGTATGAGAAATTGCATGTCAGTATAAAGTTTCTTTGATTATTAAAGGGGCTTTCTGTACAATGGCTTACAAAACAGAAACTAGTTTAGGAGTCCTATTTCACCAGTCTTCATTCTTTCATAGTGTCTACATGTCCATTCTCATGGTGTGCAATACATAAGAATTGCTCAGTAAATGAATGTTGGCTTGTTTGTTTTGTTTTGAGACACAGTTTCACTCTGCCTCCCAGGCTGAAGTGCAGTGGCGTGATCTCGGCCCACTCCCTGGTTCAAGTGATTCTCTCGGGACTACCTCCCGAGTTCAAGTGATTCTTGTGCCTCATCCTCCCAAGTAGCTGGGATTACAGGCATGTGCCACCATGCCCAGCTAATTTTTGTATTTTTAGTAGAGACAGGGTTTCACCTGTTGGCCAGGCTGGTCTTGAACTCCTGACCTCAAGTGATGTACCCACCTCAGCCTCCCAAAATGCTGGGATTGCAGGTATGAGCCACAGCGTCTGACCAGCTTTTATTTTTATCTCTACATTTCCTTGTCATATTTAGGTTTTTTCAACAAACATGCATCGAATACCTAATCCTGGGATTGGGATGGTTGGTGCAAAAAAGGTTGGAATATGTGTTTGTTTAAAAAGGTATAAATTAGAAAGTAGTAAGTAGGCAATTATAGTTTCTAGAATACTTAAACATAATTCTGACAGTTTTATTATTTTCGTTTTAAAGATGAAGAAACTGATGCTTATTGAGATTCATTTATGTATAGTCACACAGCTTTAAGTAAATGACAGAACTAAGAATTTTTGAGGCCAAATTCGTGCTTTATTGAATTATAATTTCCCATCAACTTAAGTATAATTTTGCAATATCCTATTTGGAATAGTTTTGTATCGTTTTTCTGAAGTAACTTCAAGCTAGTTGATGGGAGAAGAATACACAATTTTATAATTATGTAAGAATTAAAAAGTTTAACAAAAAAGTACTAAGGAGCACCTTTTAAAGGTTTTTCTTCACTTTGTCCTAATTTTATTTGAAACTTCTGCCATACCTGTCCCCATTTTTCCTTTTAATGAGTAGTTACAGAATATAAGGCAGTATGCTGTACACCATGGCCACAGAAATAAAAGTCATAGGTGAGAATATCCCTCCCTCTGAGAGTATTTAGTGTATTTGAGAATCTTAAGGGATATAGTAATGCCATTTTTAGTAATTAACTATGTAGATGTATGTCCAGGATTATGTGAAAACAAGAGGAATAGTTCTCACAACCAGGGTAGTGTGTGAAAAGGAGGAATTAACAACTAAGCTGAGTATTCTAGGAGTGAGACAGACAGAGAAGGTTGTTTTAGACTGAACTGTTTGAGCAAAGGCAAAGAAGATGCAAAAGCATGACAAGAAAGAGACTTCAGTGATTCCAGAATGGAGTCAAGTGTGTTCTTGTAGAGACTAGGAGAAATTGGAAACCAATTTCTGAAAAAAAATTTTGAATTTGTAGTCCTAGGTATTTGAGACTTCATTTTGAAGGGTAAAGAGGAGCTATAGGAAATTGGTATAAACAGAGCTGGATTTTAGAAAGTTTACTCTAGCAGAATATAGAGAATGGGTGATACAGAAGTTAGACTAATGGCAGTAACCAGTTGGGAATAATTTTCATTGTAAATTCTTGATTGGTTATTCTCTAAGTAATACAGTTATTTCCAGTGTACCATAGATATCCCTGAAGGTCAAGTAGAGTGTTCTAGCAGCTTAAGTAAATTAGACATTCATTTAATTGATACCAAGCATATTAAAATATTTTGATTTTTAACTTTTTAAAAAATTATAACTTTTAAAATGAACATACAATCACGTGCCCCTTAATGATGGGGATACATTCTGAGAAATGCATCATTAGGCAATTTTGTTGTTGTGCAAACATCATAGAGTGTACTTATACAAACCTAGATGGTATGACCTGCTAGACATCTGGGCTATAATCCATCTCTGGTATAGCCTATTGCTCCTAGGGTACAAACCTGTACAGAGTATTACTGTACTGAATACCTTAGGCAATTGTAACACAAAGGTAAGTATTTGTATATCTAAACATAGAAAAGGTATAGTAAAAATATGCCATTATAATCTTATGGAACCACCATCGTGTATGCAATCCATTGTTGACTGAAACATTGTTATGTGGCACATAATTATAGGTATATTTTTCGAATTCAGAAATAATGGCTTTATTTAGAAGCTAAACTACTTGCAATACCAATACTTTGGGAGGCAAGGTGGGAGAATTGCTTGAGCCCAGGAGTTCAAGACCAGCCTGGGGAACATAGCGAGACTCTGTCTTTACAGAAAATAAAAATTAGCTCTGCGTGGTGGTGCAGGCCTATAGTCCCAGCTACACTGGAGGCTAAAGCAGGAGGATTGTTTGTGCCTGGGAGGTGGAGGCTGCAGTGAACAATGATCACACCACTGTACTCCAGCCTGGGCAAAAGGGCGAGACCCCATCTCTAAAAATAATAAGAATAAAAGGTAAACTAACAAATACCATAACCCCACTCATTCAGAGTTACAAATAATGTTGGAGTATATGTCTCCATACCTAAATCTTTGCATTCATCTTTATTGACTTGGAATATATTTTTACAAGTGTAATTAGTAGCACTAGGCAAGTATTTTGCATTTTAGAAACATATTTTAAGACTTTTGTTGTATCACCAAATTGCTTCCAAAATGGGTATAAAATTTGCATTTTCTTTTTCCTTTTTCTTTTTTTTCCACACAGGTTCTTGCTCTGTTGCCCAGGCTGAAGTGCAGTGCTGTGATCACAGGTCACTGCAGCCTTAACTTCGTGGGCTCAAGTGATCCTCTTTTCTAAGCCTCCTGAGTAGCAGGGACCACAGGCACCCACCACCATGCCTGGCTAATTAAAAAACAATTTTTTTTGTAGAGGTGGTGTCTCACTATATTGCCCCGGCTCGTCTAAAACTCCTAGGTTCAAGTCATCTACCCACCTAAGCCTCCCAAAGTGCTGAGATTACAGGCATGAACCCCATGTCCAGCCCAGTTTACATTTTGAACAGCAGTTGATAGCATTGTTATTTTACTACAGTTTGGCATACTTAAAAATATACTTTAAAAAATGTTCTTAATCTACTATTTTACTCTTGAATGTTCCCCCTGCCCCACCCCACCATGGAAAATCGAGAGAATTGCATAGTTGAGCCATATGTTTCCATACCCAGGTTCAATATTTATTAAGTCATGACCACTCATCCTTTTAAAATCTGTTAGGTGAAAAAAAAATGCCGATATACAAGTATTGGTGAAAATGTAGAGAATGATTACTATTGTTGTGAGTGAAAATTTGATAAATTTGTCAGTATCTAATAAAATTGAAAATTAGCCAACTTATAACCCCAAACTTTTACTTCTTGATGTAGGTATGCTCTTAGAGTGAAATTCATAAAAGTAAGGAATACTGTGTAAGCCTGCTGTTGTGTAATCATTACAATAATGTGAAAATTTGAAAACCTAAATGAAAATTTGTAAGAAGGTTGATAAAGTATGAAATATTCACAGGATATAACATTTATTAAAAATTATACAATAGACCTTAGTATGGATGTCTCAAAAATTGTAGTTGATGCAAAAGCAATTTCCCAATGATGTATGCAATATGAGGGCACTTATATATATTTTTCTAAAACTGCCCTTAATGTGTGTCTGTAAGTGAATGCAGGTGTAAAAATTAAGTTGAAGCATTTGTACTAATATCATAATAATGGTTGACTCTGGGAGGAAAGGGCAGTAGGTTGGCACTCAAAGGGGATTTTAGTTTTATCTATAATATTTTTTTAAAAAAGCAAATATGATAAACTGTTAATAGCCATTAATTATTGGTCATAATAGGTATGTTGTATTCTTTGTAACCCTCTAGTATTTTTTTAATTTGTTAAATTAATAATTAGTGAAAGATGGTTACGTTTTATAGGATGCAGCTATGAAAAGCTTTAGGTATTTTGGGATTATGGGACATTTTTGGGTTAAAGATAGAACAGATCTGAGACTAGATTGCAACTGAAATTTGAGAAGAGCTACAGTACCAGAAGGAAAAAGAATATACACAGGGTAATAGGAGGTTGTTAAAAATAAATACTACTTATTTTGATGTTTTTGACCAAGGTAGCCATATTTCTAGAATAGTGGAGGAAATCACTGGTCTTACTCCTTATTTGGTATCACTTAATGCCTGACATGCAGCATCTTTATTAGCAGTCATTCAACAAATATAGGTATTTTGTATACAGCTGTGTACAAGGCATACAAGAGCCTTACTCTTGTGTTAGAAAGTGGTTTTGTTTGGCCTTGGCCTTTTAATTCTTGCCTGTGTGAAAATACACTCAGAGTTGACTGGGCACAGTGGCTCACGCCTATAATCCCAGCACTTTGGGAAGCTGAGGCAGGTGGATCATGAGGTCAGGAGTTAAAGATCAGCCTGGCTAAGATGGTGAAACCCTATCTCTAATAAAAATACAAACGTTAGCTGGGCGCAGTGGCAGGTGCCTGTAATCCCAGCTACTAGGGAGGCTGAGGCAGGAGAATCGCTTGAACCCGGAGGGCAGATGTTGCAGTGAACCAAGATTGCACCACTGCACTCCAGCCTGGGTGACAGAGCGAGACTCTGTCTCAAAAAGAAAAAAAAAAGATACACTCAGAGCTTTAGCTGCCCAAAGGTATTTTTTGTTTGTTGTTTAGTATTGTCAGTACCACGAAAATTTATTGGATCTATAAAATTTTATATGGATTTATAAAACTTTGTGCTTTCATTAGTTGCATCTTTCAGCTATTGTGCTTGAATTTACACTGTATAGCACATAAATTTTCTCTAGTTACTTATTATATAGTTGACCCTAGAAACAATGCAAGGGCTAGGGACACCAACTCCCTGCTTGGTCAAAAACCCGTGTATACCTTTTGAGTCCCCCTAAACTTAGCTAATAGCCTACTGTTGATCAGAGACCTTAATGATAACATAAATAGTTAATTAACACATATTTTATATATGTGCTATATATGTTATTCTTACATTAAAGTAGATAAAAGAAAATGTTATTAAGAAAACCATAAGGAAGACAAAATACTATATAGGACGAAAGTAGATCATTCTTGAAGGTCTTCATGTTGAATAGTAGACTGAGGAGGAGGAAGAGGAGGGGTTCGTCTTGTCTCAGAAGTGGCAGAGGTGGAAGAAAATCCACATGTAAGTGAACTTATGTGGTTCAAACTTATATTATTCAAGGGCCAAGTGTATATTAATTTTAATCCTGAACTTGGTTGTACCTTTTTAGAGTTTGGATTGTATTCCAGGAATATAAATGGACAAAAATTCAAAGGATTATGGAGTCACTAAATATTAGAGTATAAGAGGTTTTCTAGTCCACCCCCCCTCCTTATGTTTTAGATGAGGAAATTTAAATGCATCAAAACTTAACAATATAAGGAGCATATCTCATCTAGGTCTTAAAAATGGTTTCCAATTTAGATTTGTGTATTATCAGTTTGACTAAATACCAAATATAAAAGCAGGCACTCTATGTTATGATGCTTTCGATAATTTATTTAATCTTTTCTCATTTTAAATTTTTTTTTTTTTTTGAGATGGAGTCTCACTCTGTTGCCCAGGCTGTAGTGCAGTGGCATGATCTCGGCTCACTGCAAGCTCTGCCTCCTGGGTTCAAGCCATTCTCCTGCCTCAGCCTCCCGAGTAGCTGGGACTACAGGCACCCGCCACCATGCCTGGCTGATTTTTTGTTTTTGTATTTTTAGTAGAGACGGGGTTTCACCATGTTAGCCAGGATGGTCTCGATCTCCTGACCTTGTGATCCGTCCGCCTCAGCCTCCCAAGTGCTGGGATTACAGGCGTGAGCCACCGCACCCAGCCTCTAATTTCTTTTCCTTTTTTTTACTCAGTGTGACTAGCAACTTGTAAAATAATATGCCCTTTTCCATGTTTCAGAACATGATTGATTTTATTACATAGTTATATAATAAACATGTTTTCATTGAAATACTTTTTTATAATGTACATTATATTGAGTATTTTAAGTTGGGTGAGGCTTAAGGTTGGATCTATAAAACTTTGGTTGTGGTACTGAAGATAACCTTAGACTACACTGCAGCCTGACCAACCGCCACCAGATTCACCATCTGATACAGCTGTGTTACAGTTATCATCTGTTGTTTCCAAAGCTAAAATTTCCTTCTCAAACTGTGGCTAAAACGCAACGTTTGATGATTGTTTTCCACCCACTTCAGCATTTATCTTTGATCCTATGGCAAACTTAAAACTTTTTTTGCCAATAATATGACAAAATTGTATTGGGCATCATCATCAGTAACATCAGACTTTATTTCAGTGAATAAAGATGAAACAGCTGCTTTATTGTCCAGCTCAGCCCTCATGCATTCAATAGAGGATCATAATATTTTCCAGCTTTCTCTAACTAGTTATTTTTCTGTGCTTTCTGAATATGCTATGGATATCTTTTGTCAGACAAAACGTAGAGATTTTCAGTATTCTTCAAAAAAGTTGGACTATCCATATTAACATGTACATAATCAGTTTGTAAAAGTATGTTTCTAAAAACATAAGGATTTTTTTTATAAGGATCCATTTTATAAGGATAACTTTATAAGGATACTTTTCCATTTTTTGAAAACATAATTTTCAAAGTGAATTTTAATTTTAACTTGCTCTTTCCATATTATTTTAATACTTCTTACTAAAACTTACATTTTCTGGGTACTTACAGGCTCTTTGGTTTTCACTCAGAATTTTAATTTAAAATTTAAGTGGATAAGCATTGCTCTGTGTGTGCATGTGTGTCTGTGTCTGTGTGTGTGTGAGAGAGAGAGAAAAAAAAAAGCGGGGCTGTGGGGACAGATGAGGGAGGGAGAGATTGATTGATTTACAATAATGAAGTCTCAGCCCCAACTTGTGAAGGACTGTCCTCAGTATTGCCATGTTTAACCTTTGCTGCTTAAGAAATAGTGAAAAACTAAAAACTAAAAAGGTTTTCATTTTGTCTCTTTCCAGCAGCCTGTGGTAGCTGTTCCTCTTGTTATGCCAGTTTGTAGAAGGAAAGAGGATGAGGTGTCTATTGGAAGTGCCCCCTTGGCAAAGCAGCAATCATATCAGGCCTCTGAATATGCCAGCAGCCCTGTAAAAACAAAAACGGTAACAGGTATGTGTCAAGTACTGTAAAGGGACTATGATTGTACTCTACTTCTAAGCTAGCAAGTTAGCATCCACAATTTCATGGATGCTGGCCAAAGACATGAGACTCATTGAGTGGAGACAAAGAACTTTATTATCCACAACATTAGCAATAATCACAGTATTAGCATTTTTTTGTGTTAGTGCCCTGAGCCCAGTTTCCATAAGGTGGCATGAAGAGGGCCAAGAATTCTGAATTTAGGGAACTTGAACCTTTTATAATGGATAGAAAGCATGCCTGCCCTATTCTCCAGAGGGAGGCGCTGTGTCTCCTTTGCAAGGGTGTGAGCCCACTTGCCCTTTGCACAGAAGCAGGATCGTATTTCTATCTTCTGAGACTGTTCGCTATGCAAATATCCTTAAAAACACAGTAGGGAACAATGACAATCACCACCTCTACTTAAAAGACCCATAGAGAATTATCTCTCAATAGTATGTTCCTTCTTTAAGTGAATTCTTGAAAACGACAGTACACCTTAATCATCTTTCCTCCCCTTTCTCTCATACTCTCTGCTAGATCTTCTATGTAAATATAAAGTATAACTATCCTTCTATAAAATAATTTATTTCCTTTTGTGTAATAAAAAGAATTTTACATATATAATTCATCAATATATAATTAAAAAAATAATTTTTATGATTTTATTTTGTGATTTGTTTTTTCTTCTTAACCTCTAATTTTTATGATGATTGGCTACTTTTCTTTGGGTAATTTTATGTCTTTTCTTTAGCTTTATTTCTTATAACGCAGATATTCCCAACCACATTGATAAAGATTTTATAGTTTCAGTAAATCAGAACCATCTATCAAGTCTGTTATGGGCAAGACTCTGTTCTAAGTGAAATTGAGGGCAGAAATATTAAGAAGATCCCTACCCTTAAAGAATTTAAAATATAATCATATATGCAAGGAAATTCAAATTAGCTATTGTAGTATTTAAGTCGTATTTAACAACCAAAATGCTAAAATAAATTTGTTTATGGTATTTTATACATAAGTATTATTATTTTGTGCTTTATGATTTTTCCTAAAATATGACATTAATTATGTTTATTTTGTGGAATCATTAGTCTTCCACCTGTCCATAGCCACAAGCCTTTTACTTTGTTGAGATTTTATCAATTGACAAAAATGCCTGTGCCTCATTTTGTATCACAAAAAGATTATATAGTTTGTGTTGAGTTTTGATTATAAAATTAAATATTCTTTCCTTTAAATGTCATGTTAAGTTTAAGAGTTAGAGTTTAGGTTTTACATAAAGGTTTATAATTGAGCTGTTAATTTACATAAAGGTTTATAAACATCACCTTTTAGTTAAGAAAATAAATGTCCATTAGTGAAAAAAAAATGGTAAGAATTACCTTACATGCATGTAAACCATATATTTAAAATAATGGTTAAGGATAATTAACGGTGACAGAAAATGCTTATAATGTAAATGAAAATAGATGATATAGAACTATTTAGAATATGCAATCACAGATTTTGAAATGCATCTGTATATGCGTGGAAAAGTTTATATGTAAACTCATACCAATCACATATCAATTCATAAATGATATCAGTTGATCTGATAATTATTTTGCCTTCTTTATTATACTTTATGTTTTTATAAGAAATTAATAATTGTTAGTGAGGGAAAATAAGCTGAAAACATAATTTCTCATCATTAATTACTTTATAAAATATGAAAACATAAACAACACATTTTTTAAATTTTAAATTATTAATCTGAACTATGGTTCTTTTCTTTAGAATTAAGGATAATTGCATTTTATGTCTTTGGTGTTCCCCCACCTTTAGAACCATCAGATATCCTATAGATATTCTTCTTATAGATAAGGACATTATTATTTCACCAAATGTATATTCTTACTCAAGCTTGCATAAAAATTAATAGGCATCCAACTAATGCTTGTGATTGCCCTGTTTGGTGACTGTGAGCAGTCACCAAAGGTAAAAGGCCTTGAGTATAACATTTATTGTTTATGAATTCTATTTCTTTCCCTTTGGGTGCCCACTATTTTTAATTCTCTGGGGAACTTGGCAGTGGTACTCTTCTTGATAATACTCTGTCCTAAACATTTTCTTTACCTAGAATTATGTTTTAACACTTTGTTTTATTTTTAATTAAAGGATACAGTCTTCTTTTTTAGAATAAAAATATATTTTATGATTTCTTAGAGTGAGTACATACATCTAAATGTAGTTATCAATCACTGTTTTAATTATTATTTATATTGCATCATAAATTATAATGAGTTTGTTAAGGTATTCATAGTCTTTTGCACATCTGCCTACCTTTTTTGGTTGTTGGTTTTTGTTTGTTTTTTAACCATCTTAGCCATTTTCAGTAGCATTAGGTATAAATCAGTAGCATTAGGTATAATCACATTGTTGTAAAATACACATTTTATTTTTTAACTACATGTTACAGTGGAGAAATGTTAATGTTCATTTTATTTCTGAGTTCTTATTAAAATTATTTTTTAAATTTATATCATCACAGCCTATGGTCCAATGTTGATTTTAAGTTCATCCCCAACAAGTTATATATAGTGGTTTTGACACATGAATACAAAGACCTGCTGATACTGCACTGGGTTTGATTTTGCTTTTTAATTATTCAGTTAGAAGCAGACCTTTTCCTCTTCCAAACTCAGCCAATGTTAAGTGGCTGGCTACAGGGGGACCTGTGCTTGATGGCTCGGAATGTGTTAACAGCAGAATGCCACTATTTCAATGATATAGTCATGTAGGGCAGACTGAGCCAGAATAAAAACTTGCTGTTCCACATGAAGATAATCTATTATCACAGAATTCTAAATAATCTTCCAGAGAATCTGTATATCCTTCAAAACAATGAAACCCCTAAGAGCTATGCCATTTGTTTACCCTAGGTTTTGAAATGTTATAAACCTTAATTTGGAATTCTTGATGAAAATGTCTGTGATGGAGATGAAAACTTAACAAGCAGAATACTCCATAAATGATACTTAAGAGATATAAACCATTTTATCTTACAAGTTTATATATTACTTCTCACGTCAACATAATAAATACAGTTAAAATAATAGAAGCCTTTTAAATTTAAGACACCTTGACTATTGCTAAGATAGTAATAAATGAAGACATGTGATAATGATGTAGATTTGGTAGATAATACTATAAATTCAAAATATAGAACTTTAGCTTCTGGCCATGATAGAGTAACAGGGTTTAGATTTATATTCCTGCTGTAAACAACTAACAAACTGGATAAAATATATGGGGAAAATTCCCCAGTTTCTGGACATTGGACAATAGGCAGTGCAGGAGTGTGATTCCTCATAGAAAGGAAACAAAGGTGAGTCCTAGGATTTCCCTAGCTTTCTGCCTCAAGGCAAGTTTCTGAATACAGGGCAGAATAGGACATCTCAAACTGAGCTCAGCAGTCTTTCTGAGTTGTAGAGACAGGAACTGAAGTTAAGGGAGGCAGAGATGACTAGAAATTATGGAATAAAATTCCAGAGATGAAGAAAGCTATGCAGAGAAAGAGCCCCTGGGAGCAACAATAGAGTTCTTGAGAGTTTGCTGAATAGCAAGACATGAATGCATGGCGATGAGACCTCACAGGGTTTGGCAAGGAATAACCTCGGAGCTACGATCTTAATGATTCCCATCCTTACACAGGGTGGAAGGCATTGAAGTTCCTACTGTCCATCATATATAATTCTCATTGGTTATTTAGGACATTCAGTGGAGACCAGAAGGTCTAGGCCTCAGTAGTGGGGCTAAACTATCTATAGAGTAAAGGCTACCCTAGACTCACCTTAAACAAGCTTGTAAATCAGCCTCTGAAGGAAACAAAATAGTGAGTAACTGTTACTGTTAAAAGGAATACAATACTATTGTAGCCCAACATCATTAAAAGGAATACAATAAGATGGAGACATACAACAACTTAAATATAACAGTTGCAAACATTCAATAAAAAATTACTAGAGGTGCAAAGGAGTGAGAACTACAAACAGGAGAGAAACTAGCCAATAGAAATAGGCTGAGAAATGACACCAATGATAGAATTAGCAGGTATATTAAATACCTATATGTTAAAACAGGTGTCATAACTACGTTGAGGTATTTACAAGAAGTTGGACACATTGAGGAGAGAAATTGAAAATATATAAAGAGCCAAACTCAATTCTACAGATGAAAAATAAAATATCTGAAATAAAAAAATTTAGTGGAATTAGATGTTGAGTAGTAGATATTGCAAGAAAAAGAAATTAATTAACTTGAAGACATAGTGATGGAAACATGCCAAAATGAAGCACAAAGAGAATAAAGGAAAATAAATGTACAGAGCCTTATCGAACCGTGGGATGATAATTAATTATGGTTGTGAGGGTAGGGCTCACTGAAAGTTCACATTTGACCAGATACTTGAAGCAGGAGAGGGAGTGAGCCATGTAGACATCTGTGGATAAATGATTTGGAATTATCTATGTATCTGTATCTATATGTATACATATATATATATTTAGAAATAAATGATACACTGTAACCCTTTCATTTTATAATTAAGACTATTGAGTCACAAAGAGGTCAAGCAACTTATCCAAAGTTAAAAAGATATTTATTGAGACTTTTTAAAAATTGAAATTGCCAGACTATAGGAAGAGATCAAGCAACTTATCCGAGGTTAAAAAGATATTTAATGAGACTTTTTAAAAATTGAAACTGCCAGAGTATAGGCACTTTGCGATTATTTCCTTCTTCCACTCTGAATATTTCCTGCTTTCTTTCTTTCATGGCATTGGCAGTCCTGCAAATCAGGTCTGTGCAAATTTTGTCATCTACTATTTCATCTCTAATACCTAATATATAGCCAGCCAACTTCAGTGTGTTTTTTTTTGCTAAGGAATTACTCTAAATTTGCAGCCCTGTCCCGTGGCACTAAGATAGTGAAAGATTTTGCATCAGAGTTACCAAGATAGATACTACTGGGAAGCACCTTTTATGATCGTGTTTCATAATGGCATTGATGGTTCCACCTTTCTTTATTTGAGTGCCACTTCACTGATGCACAGTTAAGTTCCTGGATGAGACTCAAAAGTGAAACACTACTGTTGGTATATATTTTTTGGCCTTGATATATCCTTAAATATATTCCAGAATACTAAGGCTTCTACCAAAATGAAAAAAAAAATGATCCTTCAGATGTTTCCATTTTTATCAGGCATATGGAAAATCTATCTTTTATGCCTAGGTCTCCAAGAGAAGTAAATATGAAAAATCTTGAAATCTTAAAAAGTACATTGTTTATATTACAGATAATAAAAGGCTTTAGATTATTGTTACTTGTTTTTAAAGAATCTGTCTTTGGAGAATCATCTTTGGTTATTGAGTAGAATATTTCTTCTTTATTTATTTATTTATTTTTTGAGACGGAGTCTCACTCTGTCGCCCAGGCTGGAGTGCAGTGACGTGATCTTGGCTCACTGCAACCTCCACCTCCTGAGTTCAAAAGATTCTCCTGCCTCAGCCTCTTGAGTAGCTGGGACTACAGGCACGTGCCACATGCCCAGCTAATTTTTGTATTTTTAGTAGAGACGGGGTTTCACCGTGTTGGCCAGGATGGTCTCGATCTCTTGACCTCGTGATCTGCCCGCCTCGGCGTTCCAAAGTGCTGGGATTACAGGTGTGAGCCACCACATCTGGCCTGAGTAGAATATTTCTAATTACATTTTTTTGCTGACCTCATTTCAAGGTGTAATATTTTAAATTTATGCCGAAGTTTAATAATATATTGTTTAGGCTTAAGTTTGGCTGAAAATATCAGACTACTCTAAATAACAGTGCTTTAAACAAGATCCAATTTTGTCTCTCATTAGAAAGTTTAAGCACGCACCCTAAAGCTATTATGATCTTTCAAGATCAGGAAGCTTTTTATTCTACTTTGAGTGGCCTTCATTGCCAGGCTTTCCTCATGGTTCATGATGGTGGCTTCAGCAGTTAATCAAGTCTGCATTTCAGTGAGCATAAATGAGTACAGTGAAAGAAAAAGGTGCTTTCTGCCTCATTAAGCACTACCCAGAAGTTGTACACCCCATTTTGTTTATATACTCTTGACTAGAAGCTAGTTACATGGTCCTGTCTAACTGCATAAGAGGTCTTGCAAATGTAGTATGTAATCTTTAAGGCCATGTACCTGGCTACAACTTGTATGTTCTAACTAAGAAAGAAAGGGAGAGTGGATAGTAGAGATTATTTAGCTGCTTCCACCATAGTAACTTAAAATGGAAAATCAAAAGCTGAATTTTGGAAAAAAATAGAGAATAAAAATATTTTCCTTTTAGTATGCACATCACAAGACAAAGCTGGTTAAAAAAATGTTTTTAGTGTTGCTTAGATATTTCACAGTAAGAGATATAGACTTGGGAGTCATCAACATATGGATCATAGTGGAAGCCACAGAGTGGTTGAGATTTCTCAGGAGACCATACAGAGCAGGATGAGAAGAGAGTGCAAAATTACATTCAAAGGAACTCTTTAATGGTAGAGTAAGGAGAAGGAGCCAATGGAGGGAGTTCAGAAGCATGATTATGAGAAGTAGGCAACAAAGCTACATGTATATGTGTGACACAATTCCAAAGAGTTGCAAGAAGAAGGTGCATGACATGCTGTAGAATCATCAAGAACAATGAGGCTGAAAAATAGGCTGTTAGTCTGTGGTCAGTTGGCCAGAGGACCTTTAGTTGTTAAGGAATGGATGTGAATTGAAGAAGGAGGGACAACCTATGTACACCAATCATTCAAGAAATTTGATTATATAGTCACTTGGGGTATGTGTATAGCAATAGAGATGTAAAGAGACAAGGAGACAAAATTGGAGATACCACAAAGGCTGAGGATAATTTATACAGTGAGATCATAGGTAAGCAAGATATAAAACCCATGCACAGATGTGAGACTTAACGATCAGGAAAAATCATTTCTTCTTTAAGACAGAGGTAAGAAGATAAGACTATGTATCATTATATATTCATTTAGTTATTTTTCTTTCCACAAACAAGTATTTAGGTGGGACAAGTATTTTTTTTTTTTTTGCACTGTTTTAGAGAATCTAAGAGATCAAAAAATGTATAATTTTCTCATGACAAGCCTCCTATTTTTCTCATACAGGGAACCAGTTTTTCAGGTTAACTTTGGAATGCCCTGGCTGAGAAGAGGGGTTCATTCAGATGGTTAGCGGGCCCTAAAATTTTATTTTTTCTTTACAAATGTCATTTGAAAATATTAAAGCATGAAGGTAGACACTATTATATAATATGCAATTTATTTTATCAGGGATAAAAGATGGTTTTAAAAAATTTTACTACTTTGGAACAGAAAAAGGTTGAAAATAAAATAAAGTCTATCTAATGAAGTACATCTAAAGTAAAATAACTTGAAAATGTAATTCAGAAAGTCGTCAGAGAATTTAATGAAAATATATGTTTACTAAGTTGTTTTGTACATTGTAAGAAAAATTATTTTTATTTCTAAATCAAAATTCAAGGGAAAAAAGTATTAGTCTGCAGAGCTTAAAATGATATACAAAGTTAAAATTATTTCATAATTTGTTTCTGCACTATTCTAGGTAATCAGCATAATTTATAATTAGACAATATTTCTAAGATTAATTTTCTAAAGGACTTCAACAGATGCTAGATGATTATTTGATATGTTACCCATATTGTAGATGATTGTAGCCGTAGACTTCATTTCCTTAACTCTGTTTTTTTAATGTTTCATGTTTTATGAAGGTAATAGTTTATGAAGATGATAAATATGAATTATCTCTGATGATAGCTATCACTTTCATAAACATGAAGCATCCTTCGGTCATCTCATGACAATCTTTTATAGCCGTATCTATCAAATGCATTACTTAGTTGACATTTACCACATATTTGAATTTCTTGCATTGCTAGTGTTCATATGAAAACTCCTGAAGTGAATCATTAGCTCATAAAGAGATGTAATTACACTTTATTTAGTATGTCTCCATGTGTGCCGTGCGGAGTATTTTATCATTGGTATTTGATGATTAATTCTAACAAAGTGTTCAGTTTGTTAAGCAGACTGGGTTTATCTATTTTTATTTTTAAATATACTACACTTTATTTAACATACATATAATGTCCTATCTTGTTGGATCGTTTTCTTGAGAGAGTAGCAATTATTCCATATTTAATTTTTAAAAAATTCTTGGTCCTTACATCTTTGGCTCACTTTTTATTTTTCTAGGATTGTAAAGCAGATTTATTTGTGTATGGTTTCTTCTAATGTGTTCAAGTTTTGCTTTCTATTTTTACTTTGAAGGTAGAGCATAGACTTCATTAAATTTTCTCAGAAGAGAAAGCTTTAGAAGGTAAATTATGTTGAAAAATTGCTTCTACTTCTGTACCCTATTGGAGTTATTTGACTTCCATTACTGTTAGCACTACCTCACTCCCGTCCCACTTTTGAACATGCTGGCCCAAACTTGGAACAAAACAACAAAAAGAGGGAGGGGGAAATAAGAACCCCCATCCCCACCCCAAAACATGGTTTCTTGGTTTCCTTCAGCACAGCTGAGGCAGGCTAACATTTTGTTAAAAGCGTTACTGAATACTAAGAAGGAATAAATTAGAACAAATACAGAAAACATAAACTATTTAAAAATAGTTAACCCTAAAATAGTAGTCTTCAATTGTTTTTCTTAGTGCACGCCTACCAGTAATTTTTTGAGCAAGCATCCATAGTAGTTATTGATTTATACATTAACTATATGTATCACTATTTAATGTAATAAAGCGTGTAAGGTTATTTTAATTTTATTATTATTTAAGTTGTACTATTCAGATGGAATTTTAATACATCAGTAATGTTTCAGTGGGTATAATATTGCATGGTATTACTTTTTTTTGTTTTTGTTTTTGTTTTGTGGCGGAGTCTCGCTCTGTCATCCAGGCTGGAGTGCAGTGCGCAATCTCAGCTCACTACAACCTCCACATCCCGAGTTCAAGCAATCCTCCTGCCTCAGCCTCCCAAGTAGCTGGGATTACAGGTGCCCACCACCACACGTGGCTACTTTTTGTGTTTTTTAGTAGAGACAGGGTTTCACCATGTTGGCCAGGCTGGTCTCGAACTCCTGACCTCAAGTGATCCGTCCATCTCGGCCTCCCAAAGTGCTTGTATTACAGGCGTTAGCCATTGTACCCAGCCTGTATGGTATTACTTTTTAAATATTTGTTTAATACTTTGTTATAACAACTTATAAGTTTAATTTTTAATTAAGTTTATTCCAATTGTTGGTTTTAATGGCTGACATAATTGGAAAGCTGCCTCACTGAGATACATCATATTGAAGAGATGAAAAGGGCATCATTGACTGTACTCAGGATACTTATTTTTCAGTCCCATCTATTTTGCAAAGGTTTGCTGACATAAGGCTAGTAAATTTTCATCTTCCTTGTAAAATGAGTTATTTCAATTTAATGGGATAGTATTGCCTTTTTTATTCAAATAAATTAGTTTTGTCTTTAATCCATATTTTTGAGTGTGTTTTACAGGAATATTTTTAAAGTGTGTATACAGGTTATGAGTATTAATTTAGTTAAAATAATAAAATTTTTAAACCTGATTAACTGTACATGGTAAATTGTAATATGCCACAATTAACTGAAAACAAATGAAGGATTGAAGAGCCCTTGGCAATTCTTTCTTGTTGTTGAGTGTTCCTGTTCCTTTGTATACTTAACATAGTGTTATCTGTGGCCTTCTGACATGAGGAAGGACTCCAATGATAGTCTACTGTATTAAATATTAATAAACTATGGCTGGGCACAGTGGCTCACACCTGTAATCCCAGCACTTTGGGAGGCCAAGGTGGGCGGATCACCTGAGGTCAAGAGTTTGAGACCAGCCTGGCCAACATGGTGAAACCCTGTCTCTACTAAAAGCACAAAAATTAACTGGGTGTGGTGACGCGTGCCTGCAGTCCCAGCTACTCGGGAGGCTGAGGCAGGAGAATTGCTTGAACCTGGGAGGTGGAGGTTGCAGTGAGCCGAGATCGCGCCACTGCACCCAACCTGGGCTACAGAGCGAGACTCCATCTCTAAATACATAAATAAATAAATAAATGTGTTTCTCATTTTTAGATGAAAGTTAGTATAAGTGGATATTCTCATGTTGGCCAGGCTAGTCTCAAACTCCTGGACTCAGGCCAGGAACACCCTATGGGTGTTCTTGTAGCTTTGTGCACCACATATTTTGGAGAATACTGTTGTGTTGGAATGTTATTATCTGAAAGTTTAGCATTACCTAGAGAAAACCTCTCATGTAAAGTTCAGATATGATTATCCTGTGGTGCAGATTCACTGTGCAGTGGTTACCAACTTGTCCAGTGAGACAGAACACACTCACATGCAGTGAGTTACATGAAGCAGATTTATGACTATGCTCACAGGCATCAAGGGACAATAGAAGCCTAGGATTCAGTGTGATTTGTCCCCTTCATGTCCCCCAGACTCCAGAAAGGTGCTCAGGTTAAATGGTGTCTCATCTGTGTATGCCGCACTTGCACTACACCTGAGGGTCCCTGGAAGACATCTCTCTCTGGGTTTTATATTCCATGGTGATATGACTTGCTGGCTAAAGCATTACAGTGTACTGTTTCTGGTCGGGACTGGAACAGAACTTGAGCTGTTTTGGTCAGTCCCTTCCTATCTTAAGATGTTGTGTTGTACAATTATTCTTAAGAACTACAAGTGAAAAAAGGAGGAGAACTGGGTGGTCCAAGGCCACCAGAGCACTGTCCTGCAGATCCCAAGGAGCCAATTTAAACTAAGAAAGGTATTGGCTGAGATAGTGAAAGAAGTCTTTCCTCCTTCTGATCAGAGGAGTAAAAAGAAAAAAAAAAATCAATAGCATCTTCAAATCTGCTGGCTTAGGCAGATAATCAGTGGGATAATGACCAGTGAATATACTAATAGAAGGACTGAGAGTCAGGTGAGCTAGGAAGGCAATGAAGTTGAACAGCTCTTGAAGAAGTAAGCCTGAGAAAGGAGGGAAATAAGTCTCATGATATGCTTAAAGCATTGTGGGATCTATGCAGTCTATGCAATGATGTTGCTAGGGCAGGGCACATACAACTACTAACCAATTGCCTGGTATTCCCCAAATTGATAGGTGATTTCTTTACTAGCGAATAAACATTCCTAAATTAAATTAGAAAGGACTCTTCAATTGCAAGAGACAGGAACTATATTCAAATGATTTTCAGTTTGAAAACCAGTTGTGGCAGACTACTTATTGAATCCCATAACCAAAACGGTAAAGGCAAAGATGGATCTTTTCTTCGGAATGACTTAGAACCAGAGATTCCACATTATCAGGATGCCATCTTTTCATGTTGGTTTAACCTTCTCTTACTGAACACAGATTTCTTGACAGTTTTGTACATGGCTGGGGTACCTCTGAACTCACATACTTAATTCTCTATGATCAAAGAAAAACAGGTCTTATCCAGTGCCTATTGAAAATGTAATTGAAGCACTTTAAGAGGTCGAGGTGGGCAGATCACCTGAGGCCAGGAGTTCAAGACCAGCCTGGCCAACATGGTGAAACCCCGTCTCTACTAAAAATACAAAAATTAGCCAGGTGTTGTGGCACATGCCTGTAGTCCCAGCTAATCAGGAAGCTGAGGCAGGAGAATCGCTCGAACCCGGGTGGCAGAGGTTGTAGTGAGCCGAGATTGCGTCACTGCACTCCAACCTGGGTGACAGAGCAAGACTCTGTCTCAAAAAAAAAAAAAAAAAAATGTAATTGAAGAGGATTTTGCTTGACTGTCTTAAATCATGTGCCGACCTCTTGGACAGTCACTATGGTCAGGAAGGTTAGGTACTATGATTGGCCCAGTGGCAGCCCAGGTTGGGTCATGTATTCACCCCTGTGTTCTGGGGCATGAGATATAATGCCAGAAAAAATGCAAGAATAGTAGAAACATGGCTCATGAGGTTAACTCCAGCTATTCCAGTTTGTACGTACTAATTTTTTATTTTACAATTAGTCACAGCAGGTTTAAAACACATTACTGTTTTGATAGGAAGATGGTAAATTGATTATGAAGGTATTAGTCACATGAACTAGGGAACGGGGGAAAAATCTGGAAGGAAAAGACATGAGATGCATAAGACAGATTGCAGACTTTACAACAGGCTTTGTTTTAGTTTTTTTAAACACAGGGTTTATTCAACTGAGGGAAAGGAATTACGATATGTTTTTGTTGTGTGCAGTTTTGAACAATACAGTTTTGCTTAGCACAATGTATTAATTTTTCAACTTCATCTGTTTCATTACAAAGGTTTTTTCCCAAGGAGCCATTAATTTGAATTATCATAATATGTGATTTGAACTGTAATGTCACTTAATTTTAAAGTTCTTTGAGAACACATTGCAATGTTAATATGTGAACGTTTTTCAAATATAGAGTTCTTTGGAAATAAGTGTAAGTTATTCTAGTTTTTACACAGACTGGCAAGAATTCAGCAAAAATTCAACCAATTTTTTTTTACAGTCTTTTCACCCCCTTTTAGTAGTCAGAACAAGATTATAGTTTCCAGATGAAATTCTGAATGTCACATAGTGATGACATACATTTTCCTGGTTGGCTCAGCATGAGATGCAATTTTGTATGCCATGTCACGCTGACTTGCAGAATCCAAAAGCTGTTATTTCCCAAGGGGCTTTCAAGAGTGATAGTATTAAATGCAGGTTTATTTTGATGAAAAGTCTCATGCATTATTGCAGTTCTGTGGCAAGTTTCTTAAAGCTTTGAATATTGTCTAACTTGTAGAAATTTTAAAAATAGTACTACATAAAGGTCACTTTCTCTTCAAGTTATTTAAATTTATATTGCCAAATACAGTTGCCAAAAATAATGATGAGTGTAAAATATAAATCAAGAATTAGGAAGGTATAGTATATAAACCAGTAGCTTAGGGACCAAAACACCTAAGTTTTTATCTTACCCTACCCCATGTTAAGCTAACATCACACGGTCTTGTCTTCTTCATTTATAAAATGATGATAAGTTTACCCAGCAATACCTCAAGTAAAGTAAGATATGTGAAAGTTCTTTAAAATGATAAAACACAATTCAGAAGGTGAAGATCATATTTTTGATGTTTGAATTTTAAAGGGAAAGCTGTAGACTTCAAGCATGGTGAAGCTTATTTTGACTAATAAGTTTCTAGCCTTGTGGTAAAATTTTATTCTTTCTTTTTTCCTTTGGATCTTAATCATCTACAAGTTGCCTTAAATCTCAGTGTATCAGTACAGATGCCTACATAATGAAATTTATTTCACACTGATGATCTGCCTTCTTTTTTAGACTTGTCTAACTGACCTGCTCTGTTATACCAGTCTTATTTTTTTTTCTCTTTTTTAAAGGTGCCTCATATCCAACTGCCTACACATCTCTACTTAGGTATTATATGGGGTGCTCAAGCCTAACATGTCTTGTTTCATCTGCCTTCCTAAATTTATACAACTGTGTACCTTTCCCCGAACCTTCATTCACCATGATGCTCAAGGCTGAGACCTAGGATTCATCCTTAGTGTCTCCCTTTCCTGTCCATTCCACTTCCAAGTTGTATCTTGAATCTTTTTGTCTGTTCGTATGCCACAACAAATGGAGCCACATCATTTTTTGTACAGAGTAATGTAAGTATATGCTAACTAGTCTTACTGGTGCCATTTGGTATTATATTATCCTCTGATCTCAGTTACCTCAATTCATTGTTCACATGGCAGCAAGAGTCATCTTATTAAAAACCTAAATTAGATCATGTCTCTCCCTGCTTAATCGCAGTAGTTGCTTCCTATTGCACTTAAGATATAACCCAGACTTCTTACCATGCTCTACACAGTTGAATCTTATCTAACCTCCATTAGGTTCTCCCATGGCATCTTTGTCATTTTTCCTTACATGGATCCTGTTTCATTTTCTTATATACTTCATCCTTTTTTTTCTTTTTTTTTTTTCCTTGAGATGGAGTCTTGCTCTGTCGCCCAGGCTGGAGTGTAGTGGCGTGATCTTGGCTCACTGCAACTTCCCACCTCCCAGTTTCAAGCGATTCTCCTGCCTCAGCCTCCTGAGTAGCTGGGACTACAGGCACCCACCACCAACACCAGTTAATTTTTGTATTTTTAGTAGAGATGGTGTTTCACCATATTGGCCAGGCTGGTATCGAACTCCTGACCTTGTAATCCACCCAACTCAGCCTCCCAAAGTGCTTGGATTACAGGCGTGAGCCACCATGCCCAGCCGCTATATACTTTTCATACTGCAGGTCTTAGTTTAGATGATCAATAAAAAAACTTCTGTATTCCCTAAAATAGGTCTGTACCACTCACCCAGGATTCTTTAACACCCCTTTCTATCCTTAGAACACTTATCATGTATCCTGTTCTTGTTTTTTTTTTTTTTATTCTCTCCTTCTCTAGAATATATCTCAAGGGCTATATGTGAATTGTTCATTTTTGTATTCCCAGAGTCTAATAGCCATTTCTGGTATTGAGCAAATATGTATTAAATACTTGTTGCATGAATGAATTAACCTTTTTGTTTCTCGTTATTTTTATTCAGAGATGTAAAACTCTCATTCCTTAATCTTTTAAACCCCTGTTCTTTAATTGATTTAAGTTGATGTCCTATAACTTTTCATATCTGTTCTGGTTTCTCACAGATATTTATCAAATATTCAGAAGGAGTTAGCAGCTCATGGCACAATTTCACTTCGTGTGCATAATCTTCCAGTGTATTCCTGCTACATCAGAAATTTAGATATATTTTAAAATGTTGAATTATTATAAGAATGATCCAAGTACAATGCAGGATATTAAGATAAAATTTTACCTCTAGTCAGTGTTCTCCACTCTGTGCTAGTGGGTTGGGGAATTGCAGGTAATGTATGACATGGCTTCTGTTATGATGAACTTTAGGTTATATCTGGAGAGAGAAAAGTAACGTACAAATAGTAGACTTTAGAGAACTGAGGAAAATTGAGTGGAAGGAATCATTACTATAGATTTTAGGAATTAGAAAAGTTTTCATTGAGAAGACCTTAGGATAGGTGTTAGATAGGGTTTGTAACAATCATGAAGGTGCTTTCATTTGGATGGGAACAGCAGAGAGAAGACACTGATTGGAGTAAAGAGTCTTTAGTGGAAACAGTGGAAAATAAAGTTGAACAGAGTTTCAGAGAATCAAGACCAACTTATACAGGGCTTTGAAAACCATATAGAGAACTTTGACTTTCTACCAGAGATTCATTCTTAAGTAGTATCCTATAGCTGAGAATTGTCTGTAGGATGGAACTAAAGGAGGAAGACCCTTTTCAGAACTGTGAGTAAATCTTTATAGTGATGAACATTTTCAACAAATTGGTAGCCAGGGAAACAAAGAAGAAAGTACAGATTTAGGTTATTTCTGAAACTAAAAATTGACTTTTTTTCTTACCCTTTAAAAAAGGTATATGTAAATTTATGTTTATTTCTTTTGAGAGAGTCCCAAGTCATTTTTAGGATCATGAATGATAATAGCTTCTTTTTCATAGTCATACATATGTGGTTTAGAATAAAGTGAGAGGTCATCAGTGCTTCTACAATTATTGTACGTTCTACATTATGATACAATTTTTTGCTATCCATCTATTTCTCTCCTTATAATGAGAGCCCCTCAGAGATGTGACCCCAGTCTCTTTGTTTCTCCATGACCTAGCACAAGTAGGCACTCAGTTATACTTATTGAATTGAACTAAGCGACTTTTCCATAGCTCATAAGTCTTGGAAGAGGCCAGCATTTTCCTTTATCTCATTTTCTTTTCTTTTTTTTTGCCTATTAATTAATTAGTTTATTTTTTTATTTTTTTATTATACTTTAAGTTCTAGGGTACATGTGCACAACGTGCAGGTTTGTTACATATGTATACATGTGCCATGTTGGTGTGCTGCACCCATTAACTTATCTCATTTTCAAGTGTTTTCCAAGCCACATCAACAGAATGTAAGAATGCAATGTAATAAGATTCAGAAGTTGGCATCTGTTTGACTTTATTTCTGCTGTGCTGCTGAAATTTTAAAAATCTTTTTGTGATCTTCTAAAGACATGAGGAAATGGGGGATTGAGAGAAAGGTGATGAGGATGAGATTCCCTTCTGCTATGTTCTTCAACCTGTATTCTTGCCAAAATTCTTCTCTTCATGGACTAGCAAGGAGGACAATATGGCTGGTGCAGAGAGAGCACTGGGAAGAGGGATGTAAGAGGAAGTAAAAAAAGACAAGAGGAAGCCAGATCCTGTAGGGACTTACAAATCATTGTAACGACTTTGACTAATAAAAGTGAGCAAGATGGGATGGCATTTAAGGGTTTTGAGTAGAGGCATGATATAACCTTTTTTGGCTATTTTACCAATATTAATCTTGATGCTGTATTGAGAATGCACTGTAGGGAGAAAAGTGTAGAAGGAGATAAGCCGGGTGCCATATGGCTCTTGGCCATAGTGTATATCTATAATCATGGTAACTTTGCCAGGTAGTATTACTAGAGGATGCAAGGTCAAATTCAGGATCTATTTTAAGATAGAGCCAACAGATTATAGTAATTTTCAGGATGTATGGTGTAACAGAGAAGGGTCATGGTTTTGTTTGTTTGTTCGTTTGTTTTTGCAGCCAGAAAGGTGGATTAGGTATTTATTGAAACTTGGAGGACTATAAGATGAAGAGCATAGGGGCTTTTGAGAAAGAGACTCAAGAGTTTTGCTTTGGCTATGTTAAATTTGAAATTCCTATTAACTATCCAAATGGAGATGTTCAGTACGCAGTTGGATAAATAGTCTGGAGCTTACAGGATAGATCCAGACAATTCCCTGGAAATAGAATCCTCATAGAGGATACTTAAAGCCATGACATTGAGTGAGATCCTCTAAGAAGAAAGTGTTTGTAGAGAAGAGAAATGGCCCAAGTACTGAACCCTTGGACATGCCAGCATTTTGTGGTCTGGAGAATGAAGAATTACCAAGAAAACTGAGAAAGAGCTACAACTGAGGTAGAATGGGAACATGGAGATGGTAGTGTTCAGAAAGAAGTGAAGACTGTGTTTTAAGGATGTGGAAATGATCAACTTTTTCAGATTCCTCTAATAGTTCAGTGTTAAACAATGGCTCTAAAAAACTACCACAGAAATTTTAGTGACTCAACATAGCAGAATTCATTTCTAGTTCTAGGAAAGTCCATTACTGAGTCCACAGTATGATAGCTCTTCTCCAAGCAGTGAATCAGCCACCTTCCATTTAGCCACTCTGAGGATCCTTAGGGCCTCAGATTCAGAAAAGAGTTTTAGGAAGATAAAGATTTTGCTGATGACATATCATGAGTTCTAGATGGCAGAATGGAGGAGATTGCAGTGTGTGGAGTGAGAGATGAGGTCAGGTGGGGATTGCACAGGTCTGTTTAGTGATGAGAATCTGGGTGATGAGGGGTATTGTTAGAATTTTGGGTTTTTCCTGATGGCTGATGTAAACAGAATACAAATGGCATAAAGGAATTAGTACTGGGGTTTCTAATGCAGAATTAGGTGGCAAGGCTGTGAGTATTGGGGCTGGAGGGATGTGGTCTTTAATCCCTCTGGGATTACAGGCATGAGCCACCATGCCCAGCCTGAAACAAGTTTGAAGATATTTAAATCATACATTCAGTAAATATGTACAATTGTATACTTAGTGGATTTTTTAAATATTTGCAATTAGATATGTCAAATTAAATTACCAAAAAATAATCAAATTTTTAGGCCTGGGGTTTTTCTTTGGATTGCAAAGACCCCCACAAAATAACCAAGGATCATAACTTTCTTTTTCCGCTCTCCACTTACAGGAAAAACAATTAAATGCAGATCAAGTAAACATATTTAATGGATTTATTTAAGTTAACATCCGGACTACATGCTGGCGTCATAATAGATTCAACTTACAATTCTTGTATCAGGAATCAAATAAGATGAGAAGAGTTTTGAGTATTAGCAAAACAACTCCTAGTTGGTCTCTATTTTCACTCTCTTCCTCTTCCAATTATGTATCCTTTGTGTTAATATAAGAATTTTCACTTCATAACTCAGGAATGGAAAACCAAATACTATATATTCTCACTTATAAGTTTGAGCTAAGCTATGGGTATGCAAAGGCATACAGAGTGGTATAATGGACATGAGACTAAAAAGGTGGGATGGGGGAATACTTGGGTGACAGGTGCACTAAAATTTCAGATTTCACCACTCTACCATTTATCTCTGTAACCAAAAACCAACTGTATCTCTAAAGCTATTGAAAAATTTAAAAATTTGTTAAAAATAAAAAGAACTTTCACTTCTAAAACTCAAATTTTATTACACTTAATTGTTTAACAGTTTTCACTATCTCTTGGTACCTTCAGGATGAACTTCATGTTTCTTTGCAAGATATTTAAGACCCTGCACAAGTAGGCCTTATCTTGTCTTTCTGGCCTTACCTCTAGTATACCAGTTGCATTTTTTGTGTGGTATACTTCACTCACACTAAACTACTTACAATGCACTTTGTGAATCTGTGCCTTTGTGCATCTTCTTTCTGTCTGCTAGTCCTTCTGTCTTTGATTTAAGAATTCTTTCTCAAACAAACTCCATGTTACCTCCTTTGTGGAATCTTTCCTGCCAATATTTGAGTGAATTAATTCAATCTTGCTGTGTTACCAGAATTATTTATTTATTTATTTATTTATTTATTTATTTATTTATTATTATAATTTAAGTTCTGGGATACATGTGTAGAACATGAATGTTTGTTACATAGGTATACACGTGCCATGGTGGTTTGCTGCACCCATCTACCCGTCATCTACATTAGGTATTTCTCAAAATGTTATCCCTCCCCTAGCCTCCCACCCCACGATGGGGGCCAGTGTGTGATGTTCCCCTCCCAGTGTCCATGTGTTCTTGTTGTTCAACTCCCACTTACAAGTGAGATCATGTGGTGTTTGGTTTTCTGTTCTTGTGTTAGTTTGCTGAGAATGATGGTTTCCAGCTTCATCCATGTCCCTGCAAAGGACATAAACTCATCCTTTTTTATGGCTGCATAGTAATCCATGGTGTATATGTGCCACATTTTCTTAATCCAGTCTATCATTGATGGGCGTTTGGGTTGGTTCCAAGTCTTTGCTGTTGTGAATAGTGTTGCAATAAACATACGTGTGCATGTGTCTTTATACTAGAATGATTTATAATCCTTTGGGTATATACCTGGTAGTGGGATTGCTGGATCAAATGGTATTTCTGGTTCTAGATCCTTGAGGAATTGCCACACTGTCTTCCACAACGGTTGAACTAATTTGCACTCCCATCAATGGTGTAAAGTGTTCCTATTCTCTGCATCCTCTCCAGCATCTGTTGTTTCCTGACTTTTTAATAATCGCCATTCTAACCGGCATGAGATGGTATCTCATTGTGGTTTTGATTTGCATTTCTCTAATGACCAGTGATGATGAGCTTTTATTCATATGATTGTAGGCCGCATAAATGTCTTCTTTTGAGAAGTGTCTGTTCATATCCTTTGCCCACTTTTTGATGGGGTTGTTTGTTTTCTTCTTGTAAATTTGTTTAAGTTCTTTGTAAATTCTGGATATTAGCCCTTTGTCATATGGATAGATTGCAAAAAGTTTCTCCCATTCTGCATATTGCCTGTTCACTCCGATGATAGTTTCTTTTGCTGTGCAGAAGCTCTTTAGTTTATTTAGATCCCATTTGTCAATTTTGGTTTTTGTTGCCGTTGCTTTTGGTGTTTTAGTTATGAAGTCTTTGCCCATGCCTATGTCCTGAATGGTACTGCCTCCGTTTTCTTCTAGGGTTTTTATGGTTTTCGTCTTACATTTAAGGTTTTAATCCATCTTGAGTTAATTTTTGTATAAGGTGTAAAGAAGGGCCCAGTTTCAGTTTTCTGCATATGGCTAGCCAGTTTTCCCAACACTGTTTATTAAATGGGGAATTCTTTCTCCATTGCTTTTTTTTCAGGTTTGTCAAAGATCAGATGGTTGTAGATGTGTGGTGTTATTTCTGCTCTGTTCCATTGGTCTATATATCAGTTTTGGTACCAGCACCATGCTGTTTGGTTACTGTAGCCTTGTAGGATAGTTTGAATTCAAGTAGTGTGATGCCTCCAGCTTTGTTCTTTTTGCTTAGGATTGTCTTGGCTATGCGGGCTCTTTTGCAGTTCCATATGAAATTTAAAGTAGTTTTTTTATAATTCTTTGAAGAAAGTCAATGGTAGCTTGATGGGGATAGCACTGAATGTATAAATTACTTTGGGCAGTTGACCATTTTTGTGATATTGATTCCTCCTATCCATGAGTATGGAATGTTTTTCCATTTGTATGGAATGTTTTTCCATTTGTATGTGTCCTCTCTTATTTCGTTGAGCAGTGGTTTGTAGTTCTCCTTGAAGAGGTCCTTCACATCCCTTGTAAGTTGTATTCCTAGGTATTTTATTCTCTTAGTATCAATTGTGAATGGGAATTCCCGCATGATTTGGCTCTCTGTTTGTCTGTTATTGGTGTATAGGAATGCTTGTGATTTTTGCACATTGATTTTGTATCCTGAGACTTTGTTGAAGTTGCTTATCAGCTTAAGGAGGTTTTTGGCTAAGCTGGTGGGGTTTTCTAAATATACAATCATGTCATCTGCAAACAGAGACAATTTGACTTCCTGTCTTCCTACATGAATACCCTTTATTTCTTTCTCATGCCTGATTGCCCTGGCCAAAACTTCCAATACTATGTGGAATAGGAGTGGTAAGAGTGGGCATCCTTGTCTTTTGCTGGTTTTCAAAGGGAATGCTTCCAGCTTTTGCCCTTCCAGTATGATATTGACTGTGGGTTTGTCATAAATAGCTCTTATTATTTTGAGATACATTCCATCAATACCTAGTTTATTGAGAGTTTTTAGCATGAAGGGGTGTTGAATTTTATTGAAGTCCTTTGCTGCACCTATTGAGATAATCATGTGGTTTTGTCATTGGTTCTGTTTGTGTGTTATTGATTTGCGTATGTTGAACCAGCCTTGCATTCCAGGGGTGAAGCCAACTTGACCATGGTGTATAAGCTTTTTGATGTGCTGCTGGATTTGGTTTGCCAGTATTTTACTGAGGATTTTTGCATTGATGTTCATCAGGGATATTGGCCTGAAATTTTCTTTTTTTGTTGTGTCTCTGTAGGTTTTGATATCAGGAAGATGCTGGCCTCATAAAATGAGTTAGGAAGGAGTCCCTCTTTTTATATTGTTTGGAATAGTTTCAGAAGGAATAGTACCAGCTCCTCTTTGTACCTCTGGTAGAATTCGTCTTTGAATCCATAGGGTCCTGGGTTTTTTTTTGTTGGTAGGCTATTAATTACTGCCTCAATTTCAGAACTTATTATTGGTCTATTCAGGGATTCAACTTCTTCCTGGTTTACTCTTGGGAGGGTGTATATGTCCACAAATTTGTCCATTTCTTCTAGATTTTCTAGTTTATTTGCATAGAGGTGTTTATAGTATTCTCTGATGGTAGTTTGTATTTCTGTGGGATCAGTGGTGATCTCCCCTTTATCATTTTTTATTGTGTCTATTTGTTTCTTCTCTCTTAGTTATTTCTTGTCTTCTGCTGGCTTCTGAATTTGTTTGCTGTTGTTTCTCTAGTTCTTTTAATTGTGATGTTAGGATATTTATTTTCGATCTTTTCTGCTTTCTCCTGTGGGCATTTAGTGCTATAAATTTCCCTCTAAACACTGCTTTAGCTGTATCCCCGAGATTCTGGTACATTGTGTCTTAGTTCTCATTGGTTTCAAAGAACTTATTTATTTCTGCCTTAATTTTATTATTTACCCAGTAGTCATTCAGGAGCAGGTTGTTCAGTTTCCATATAGCTGTGTGGTTGTGAGTGACTTTCTTAATCTTGAGTTCTAATTTTATTGCACTGTGGTCTGAGAGACTGTTATGATTTCCATTCTTTTGCATTTGCTGAGGAGTGTTTTACACCCAGTTATGTGGCCAATTTTAGAATAAGTGTGATGTGGTGCTGAAAAGAATGTATATTCTGTTGATTTGGGGTGGAGAGTTCTGTCAATGTCTATTAGGTCTGCTTGGTCCAGAGCTGAGTTCAAGTCCTGAATATCCTTGTTAATTTTCTGTCTCATTGATCTGTCTAACATTGACAATGGGGTGTTAAAGTGTCCCACTATTATTGTGTGGGAGTCTAAGTCTCTTTGTATGTCTCTAAGAACTTTGTATGAATCTGGGTGCTCCTGTATTGGGTGCATATATATTTAGGATAGTTAGCTTGATCCCTTTATCATTATGTAATGCCCTTCTTTGTCTTTTTGATCTTTGTTGGTTTAAAGTCTGTTTTATCAGAGACTAGGATTGCAACCCCTGCTTTTTTTTTTTTTTTGCTTTCCATTTGCTTGGTAGATCTTCCTCCATCCCTTTATTTTGAGCTTATGTGTGTCTTTGGACATGAGATGGGTCTCTTGAATACAGCACACTGATGGGTCTTGACTCTGTATCCCATTTGCCAGTCTATATCTTTTAATTGTGGCATTTAGCCCATTTACATTTAAGGTTAATATTGTTATGTGTGAATTTGATCCTGTCATCATGATGCTAGCTGGTTATTTTGCCCATTAGTTGATGCAGTTTCTTCATAGTGTCAATGGTCTTTACAATTTGGTATGTTTTTGCAGTGGCTGGTACTGGTTTTTCCTTTTTATGTTTTATGCTTCGTTCAGAAGCTCTTGTAAGTCAGGCCCAGTGGTGGCAAAATTTCTCAGCATTTCCTTTCTGTAAAGGATTTTATTTCTCCTTCGCTTATGAAGTTTACTTTGGCTGGATATGAAATTTTGGGTTGAAAATTCTTTTCTTTGAGAATGTCGAATATTGGCCCCCATTCTCTTCTGGCTTGTACGGTTTCTGCCAAGAGATCCGATGTTAGTCTGATGGGTTTCCCTTTGTGGGTAACCCGAACTTTCTCTCTGGCTTCCCTTAACATTTTTTCCTTCATTTCAACCATCATTATGTGTCTTGGGTTTGCTCTTCTCAAGGAGTATCTTTGTGATGTTCTCTGTATTTCCTGCATTTGAATGTTGGCTTGTTTTGCTAGGTTGAAGAAGTTCTCCTGGATAATATCCTGAAGACTATTTTCCAACTTGGTTCCATTTTCCAGGTCACTTTCAGGTACACCAATCAAATGTATGTTTGGTCTTTTCACATAGTCCCATATTTCTTGGAGGCTTTATTCATTCCTTTTCATTCTTTTTTCTCTAATCTTGTCTTCACACTTTATTTCATTAAGTTGATCTTCAATCTCTGATATCCTTTCTTCTGCTTGATTGATTTGGCTATTGACACTTGTGTATGCTTCTCAAAGTTCTCGTGCTGTGTTTTTCATCTCCATCTCCATCAGGTCATTTATGTTCTTCTCTAAACTGGATATTCTAGTTAGCAATTCCTCTAACCCTTTTTCCCGGTTCTTAGCTTCCTTGCATTTGGTTAGAACATGCTCCTTTAGCTCGGAGGAGTTTGTTATTACCCACCTTCCGAAGCCTGCCTCTATCAATTTGTCAAACTCATTCTCCATCCAGTTTTGTTTCCTTGCTGCAAGGAGTTGTGATCCTTTGGATAAGAGGCATTCTGGATTTTGTAATTTACAGCCTTTTTAGGCTGGTTTTTCCATAGTCTTCATGGATTTATCTACCTTTGGTCTTTGATGTTGGTGACCTTTAGATGGGGTTTCTGTGTCAATGTCCTTTTTGTTGATGTTCATGCTATTCCTTTCTGTTTGATAGTTTTCCTTATAACAGTCAGGCTGCTCTGCTGCAGGTCTGCTGGAGTTTGCTGGAGGTTCACTCCAGAACCTGTTTGCCTGGGTATCACCAGCAGAGGCTGCAGAACAGCAAAGATTGCTGCCTGTTCCTTCCTCTGGAAGCTTCATCCCAGAGGGGCACCCACCAGATGCCAGCTGGAGCTCTCCTGTATGTGGTGTCTGTCGACCCTTGCTAGGAGGTGTCTCCCAGTCAGGAAGCACGGGGGTCGGGGACCCACTTGAGGAGGCAGTCTGCCCCTTAGCAGAGCTCACACACTGTTCTGGGAGATCCACTGCTCTCTTCAGAGCTGGCAGGCAGGAACATTTAAGCCTGCTGATGCTGCGCCCACAGCCGCACCTTCCTGCAGGTGCTCTGTCCTAGGGAGATGGGAGTTTTATCTATAAGCCCCTGACTGGGGCTGCTGCCTTTCTTTCAGAGATGCTCTGCACAGAGAGGAGGAATCTAGAGAGGTAGTCTGGCCACAGTGGCTTTGTGGTGCTGCAGTGGGCTCTTCCCAGTTCAGACTTCCCGATGGCTTTGTTTACACTGTGTGGGGAAAATCACCTATTCAAGCCTCAGTAAGGGTGGATGCCCCCGCCCCCCCACCAAGCTCCAGAGTTCCAGCTTGACTTCAGACTGCTGTCCTGGCAGTAAGAATTTCAAGCCAGTGGATCTTAGCTTGCTGGGCTCCGTGGGGGTGGGATCTGCTGAGTGAGACCACTTGCCTCCCTGACTTCAGTCCCCTTTCCAGGGGAGCAAATGGTCTGTCTCGCTGGCATTCCAGACACCACTGGCATATGAAAAAAAAACTCCTGCAGCTAGCTCAGTGTCTGCCCAAATGGCCACCCAGTTTTGTGCTTGAGACCCAGGGCCCTGTTGGCATAGGCCCCTGAGGGAATCACCAGGTCTGCGGGTTGTGAAGACCCTGGGAAAAGCATAGTATCTGGGTCAGAGTACACCGTTCCTCATGGCACAGTCCCTCATGGCTTCCCTTGGTTAGGGGAGGGCATTCCCTGACCCTTTGTGCTTCCTGAGTGAGGCGATGCCCCACCTTGCTTCGGCTCACCCTCCCTGGGCTGCATCCACTGCCTAACCAGTCCCAGTGAGATGAGCTGGGAATCTCACTTAGAAATGCAGAAGTCACCCACCTTCTGCACTGATCTCGCTGGGAGCTGCAGACCTGTGCTGTTCCTATTCGGCCATCTTGCCAGCCACCTGTGTTACTAGAATTTTATAGTGCAGTATTTGTCAAACCAAATGATAATCATAGTATTTAATTAAGTTTATATCTTATCTTCATCTTGTAAGCTCTTCTAGGGCAGGGATTGTGTCATATTTTTAAGCCCTTACTGCAGAGCCCTAGTATGTGGTAAATGGACATTTAATAAGATTTGTAGTTGAGGATGAACAAAATTACTTTCTACTTTTCCTTCCTTTCTGGCCATTTTTTCTCCTTTTTCTTTCCAAAAAAGCGTAGATGTGAACATTCAAATTCTAGTAGCAATCTGATTAACCAAAGTATTTTAATTTATATTTTTATAAGCTCCCTGGATTATATTTAGTTTCTCCCCGACTCCTTATAAATAATGATAAAAGCCAAAGAGTGGGAAGGGTGCTATTGAAAGGCGAACATAAAATATTGACACCAATTTCATAATTCTACATAAAAATCAGCTTTATTGCTTTATAGTCACACTTTGAATAATTTGTTCTTCTTAATGAATCTTAGTTCTGAGTATAAAATATTGGAAAACAGTGACAGCCTGTTGCAGATATAAGCAAAAAACTACCTCTCTCAACCTAAAAATTCTTACTGCTTCTTAAACATCTCATGATATGCTATCTGGAAGTGCTTTAGCTCATTTACTCCCCTGTTCAAATTTTTTGTTGTTGTCTATGTGATTTGTTTTGGAATTTAGGCCAGGAGAAAGGAATTTTAATGGTCTCAGTGGATTAATTTGGTAATCTATATATAACTTGAACATTGAATTCTAGAGACATTCATATCTTTACTTTGCTATTTATAACAAGACAGTGTTAATCAGTGTGCTCACTCTTTCTCACTCACTTTCTCATTATCTCTCTACTTCTTTTCTCCTCTTTATTCCCCTTACCTTACTTTGTTTCTTGTTTTTTTTTCTTGACAGATTTCAGAATTCCTGCCTTGCCCCATGACTTTCCATTGAGATCTAGGTAGACTGTATTGTTTATATCCTGCAAATTATGGAGGAGAAACAAACCTAAATAGTTGACGTGATTTTAAGATCACATATCTTGAATTGGTAGAATAAAAAAAGAAACCTAGGTTTTCTGAGTCCTCCCAGTCCATGCTTTCAGGAAACTTTTATTTAAATATATTAATCTCACTGGTATCTGAAATTCTGTCACAAAGAGTTTTTTGATTTTTTGTTTCTATTTTAAATCTCAAAGCTTCTTCAAATAAGCATAAGCTTCATGAGGACTGGGATTGTGTTTGTTTTGCTCACCACAGAATTTCCAGTTCTTAATCTAAGCCTTAAGAAGATAATAGGTACTCCATAAGTAGTTTTTGAATGATGTTTTTTGACATGTTGAAATTAGGGGATAGTTTAATTTTCCATCCCTCCCTCCTTTCTTCTTTTCTTCTTATTTTTTGGTGAGCTACATTTTCTGATTTTTCTCCTATTAGCCCATATTATTTATCTAATAAAAGTATTTTAAAAACTATACCATATAGCAATAGATATATTGTATTTTAAAAACTATACCATATAGCAATAGATATATGAACAGTTAACACTTTATCATAGTTTTCTTTCTTTCTTTCTTTCTTTCTTTCTTTCTTTCTTTCTTTCTTTCTTTCTTTCTTTCCTTTCTTTCTTTCTCTTTCTTTTCTTTTCTTTTCTTTTCTTTCATTTTTTTGACATGGATTTTTGCTCTGTAACCCAGGCTGGAGTGCATTGGTCCCATCTCAGCTCACTGCAATCTCCACCTCCCAGGTTCAAGTGGTTCTCCTGCCTCAGCCTCCAGAGTAGCTGGGATTGCAGGTGTGTGCCACCATGCATGGCTAATAACACTTTATCTTAGTTTTTCATGAAATTTTCGGAATAAAGGATGACGAAATGTGATAGTGTGTATCACTCTTTTGTCAAGGCCTGGTTTCTCTTCTGAGGAATTTATCCTTCTTCCTTCAAATTATTGCCTAGAAATCTAGAGCTTGCGCTCTTCTAGATGGCTTGGTGTTCACCAGTTAGTCTTAAGCTTTCTGCAAACTTGTAAATAAATAACTCTGTCATCTTCCTTCAGGTCCTACTGAACCATTTCTCTCGCAAAGGCCTTGCCACTTTTTTCTCATTATCTCAGGGAACCTTGACTTCTGATATGGTCTGGCTATGTGTCTTCACCCAAATCTCATGTGGAATTGTAATCCCCACGTGTTGAAGGTGGGGACTGGTGGGCAGTGATTAGATCATGGGGGTAGTTTCTAAAGGTTTAACAACATCCCCCTAGTGCTGTCTCCTGGTAGAGTTCTCAAGAAATCTGATGGTTTAAAAGTTTGTGGCACTTCCTCACTCCCTATCTCTTTCCTGCCACCATGTGAAGAAGGTCCTTGCTTCCCCTTCACCTTCCACCATGATTGTTTTCCTGAGGCCTCCTAGTCATGCTTCCTGTTAATCCTGTGGAACTGTGAGTCAATTAAACCTCTTGTCTTTATAAATTACCCAGTCTCAGTTAGTTCTTTATAGCAGTGTGAAAACAGACTAACACAATTTCCCTTATGGGTTATTTTTCATAGTCATCTTCTCTGTCTGCCTTTGACTCTTTAAAAAATGCTGCCTCTCCATTATGATCTATGATCTGAGTTTGCAAGGCTTATTTTCTAGAGGTTTTTAATTTTTATATTTTTATCTTTTAGGTAATTGAACTGTGGTTAAGGCAGTTGCCCCCTAGTATAATACTGGCTTGGCTATCAGTTTGATTTCCCATGAACAGAAAGGAAAAATAAAAATTGACAATGATTTTCTTCTTGATGACTATTAAAATTTCAAATAAAAATGAAACCACAAATTATAAATAGGTACCTTACACAAAGGTGATACAGAATATCAAATAATATGCTGATAGAAAAGGTTTTAAGAAGGTACACATATGATTTGTTCTCTATTTTAAAAGATATCAATTGATTGTTTGATCGAGTATTTACTATGCAAGGCATTATACTACTGCTACATGAAATAAATAGATAAAAGAAACATGAATTCTCCTTTCAGCAAAACAAACACTCTGTTGGTGTCAGCACTGTACTGAATAAAGTCCATAAACATAAGTTGATGGTTGCAAGTTTTATGTTTAAAGGGAAAATTTTAAAGTAAGTATCCTATTAGAAGTCATCCTTCTTTATTGATTTAAGTACTAAACCTAACCTACTTTAGTGAAAGCACTTCTTTCTTTAAGGCTTTTACTTAGCAGATGATGAAAACCTAGAACAGAAAGGGCTTAATTCTAAGAAGTGCTTACTATGAAAACTGAATTATTACAGCTGAACAAATGTATCTTGACTTTTTGATATGATGAAGTAACGTGGTTACTGTGAGAATCTTAAACTTCAGAATATAAGCCATTTGATATCAAGTGTCAGTATTTGGTGCCATTGGCTTATACATGTTACTAGATATTTAGAGTTACCATTTAATCATTGACATCATTATTCAGTCTCCCAGAATAAGAACAGAGATTTTGATGTACTGATTTTGAGTAATTTTATCAGGTTCCAGTTCGACTTGAAGAAGGTAAAGAGATGTTTTCGTATAAATCATTGATTAAAATATAGATGCAAAACAGTAATTTAATGCTGTGGCTTGGAATTTCTACGTTTATGATTTTTCATCCAATTCTATCTAATTGGTGGCATGTTAATAAATATGTATATAAAGATTATTTCTCATTGGAAGAATAAGAGTAAGAGAGGACATAAAGAGAATGTGTCTTCAGTGTCTAGCCATTAGCCACTACTCTTTCTTGCTACACCATATCACTATGCTCAGCTCCTCCTTTGGAGAGACACACATTCAAATATTTAAAGTTATACCATGAAGAATGTTACGTTATACAGAATTAAGTCAGAATTCTGCCAGGCTCTAGAAGAAGGACCAAATCTTTTTGGGAAATCAGTTACCATTTCTCAGAGGAAATGACATTTAAGGTAGAACTAAAACAATGAGTTGATTTTGATAGAAAAGGAGTACAGTTGTGTTTCAGATATAGTTGTCTTCAGGTTCTTTACATAATCAATGATTAGTTAAGTTTTATATCTTTATTCCTTATATTTATAGTATTTTCATAAACTGTTTTCGTATACATTACAACATTTAAATTGAGTAGTATTCTTGATACTACACATATTTTTAACTTTAAGGTGGAAGTCGGAAACCTGACACTTAGATTAAATTCATTTTCCTTAATCATGTGTCTTGTGGCACAACTAAAACACAAGCTGACTCCAAGTGTAGTACTTTTTCCATGGGACAGAAATGAAGGAATCATATTGTACCAAGTTGAATGGTTCATCCCCAAGATATAATTGTTGATATGTTATTTTAACCACTGAAATTTGGGTCTGAAAATTATTTATTTATTGTAGAAAACTAAAAGTGTAATAGATACATTTGAAATGAGATTGCGATGTTAAATTTAGGCTTTATGTAGCTCTAGTGGGAATGAGTAAATCTGATGTTTTCTGAACTATTTATTATCCATGATCCATAGTAGAAATTTTATACATTTGTTGTACATTTGATAAAACTAGGAGTCATTGTATGGGGATTGAATAATAGAAAAGGCAGCATAACATAGTGGTTACAAGGATGGACCCTGGAACCAGTCTGCTTAGATTTACATCCTTGTTTTGCCACTTACTAGCTGGGTGACTTGGGATAAGTTACTTAACCTCTTTGTCATCAGTTTCCCTATCTAAAAATGGTGATAATAAGAGTCTGAAAATAGTATATTTCCTGTCAGGTTGTTACAAGGGCTAAACAGGGTATTATTATTATTATTTTTTGAGACTCCATCACCCAGGCTGGAGTGCCGTGCCATTAACTCAGCTTACTGCAACCTCCACCTCCCAGGCTGAAGAGATCCTCCTGTCTCAGCCTCCCGAGCAACTGGGACTACAGGCATGCACCACCATGCCCAGCTAAGTTTTGTAATATTTTTTGGTAGAGACAAGGTTTTACCATGTTGTCCAGGATGATCTTGAACCCCTGGGTTCAAGCAATTTGCCTGCCTCAGCCTCCCAAGGTGCTGGGATTACAGGTGTAAGCCACCGTGCCTGGACAAACAGGTTAATAAATTTGTAAAGCACTTGCAGCAGTGCCTGGCTTGTAGTAGGTGCTATAGAGGTTTTGATTAAATAAGATAGATGGGCGTGAAGCTTGACAGAGTTTTATGTAGTAGACCTGTCTTGCCTTTCCCTAGCTGCAGAAAATATTGTCTTTTCTTTTTTACAAACTTGACTATCATCATTTAGAAATATAATGAATTGAAAACTGGTATATCCAAAATAGTGTACTTTTACTGATTATGTTTTTCATAGCTATTTGAACAACACTTTTAAGCCACATGTAGATTTCAAAGTCTCTAAATTTTTTCATTAGATCATTATATCAGAGAACATAGTATTTACAAAAAACATGTAGCTGTTTTGGTTAGTGGCGACTGGAAATATTGCTTGACGGTGGTTTAATAGTGCCCATACTGCTTGGAAATATTAGCATTTATTAGATAGATTCATTTTCAAATGGTAATAATAGTACTCATATAGTACTAATATTTTTCATCGGTAGGTTTTTAAATTTTGACCGTGAGGCTTTTGTGCAAACCTTTGCTATTCATGGTTTCAAGTAATTTTAAAATTTGGTCTGTATTTTAAGCTAATTATTTAGATTCCTAGAGCTATACAGTAATATTAGGTAACCATTTTCTTCTAATAATTACTAATGTACAGAAGAAAAGCAAGAAGTCCAAATAAGTACAAAGTTAATTAATATACATGTTTTAAAAAATACAATAAGTAATTCATTTTTATAAAACAATTCTGAAACATATATAGTAAAGAGTTAAATACTTACCACTTCCTTACCCATCATCATTTCCATTTTTCCCTCCTCAGAGGTACTCTCTCACAGGCTTACGTTTTTACACTTCTATAACTTTTTCTATGTGTGGGAAGATAAATACGTATTCAAATTTAGTACACTGTTTAAAAACATATTTGGATGATACCACACATATGTTTGAGTTTTTTCACTTCGTAAGATACCAAAAATATGCCTTTAGTCATACCTGTAATTGTACCTCATCCTTAAATGGTTTAATTATACTCTTTATTGCAAATATTTCCAAATTAGCTGTTTCTTTTTTGATGGACAGATAAATTGTTTAGCATTTTCTTTCCTCTCGTCTTCTCTCCTTTCCTTTCTTTCTTTTTTGCTGTTACAGAAATTACCACTGATGCTGAATATCTTTTATAAATTGTTTGCATGCACCCTCACAACTTTTACTATTTCCATAGCATATTCTTAGAAATCGGATTATTTTATAGAAAAAGTATGTGTGAATTTTTTTTTTTTTGAAACAGTCTCACTCTGTTGCCCAGGCTGGAATGCAGTGGGGCAAACTTGACTCACTGCAGCCTTGACCTCCTGAGCTTAAGCAATTCTCCTGCCTCAGCTACCTGAGTAGCTGGGATTACAGGTGTGTGTCACAACATCTAGCTAATTTTTTTTTTTTTTTTGTATTTTTAGTAGAGAGGTGGTTTTACCATGTTAGCCAGGCTGGTTTCGAACTCCTGACCTACAGTGATCCACCCACTTCAGCCTCCCAAAGTGCTGGGATTATAGATGTGAGCCACCCACCATGGCCGGCATGTTTAAATTTGTAGCAGATATAAATTGCCCTCTGTTGCAGTTCCATTCTATAGAGCATACCTATTTTCCCCATATATAAAACATTCTCACAAGAGGCTTCAACAATGACAAATTTCATAGGTATACAACTTAACTCTTTAACATGTTTCCAGTATAACAGATGAAAAGTATGTCTGGTTTGATTGCACTGTGGTCTGAGAGACAGTTTGTTATAATTTCTGTCCTTTTACATTTGTTGAGGAGTGCTTTACTTCCAACTATGTGGTCAGTTTTGGAATAGGTGTGGTGTGGTGTTGAAAAGAATGCATATACGTTGATTTGGGGTGGAGAGTTCCTTAGATGTTTATTAGGTCCGCTTGGTGCACAGCTGAGTTCAATTCCTGGATAGCTTTGTTAACTTTCTGTCTCGTTGATCTGTCTAATGTTGACAGTGGGGTGTTAAGTCGCCCATTATTATTGTGTGGGAGTCTAAGTCTCTTTGTAGGTCTCTAAGGACTTGCTTTATGAATCTGTGTGCTCCTGTATTGGGTGCATATATATTTAGGATAGTTAGCTCTTATTGTTGAATTGATCCCTTTACCATTATGTAATGGCCTTCTTTGTCTCTTTTGATCTTTGTTGGTTTAAAGTCTGTTTTATCAGAGACTAGGATTACAACCCCTGCTTTTTTTTTTGTTTTCCATTTGCTTGGTAGATCTTCCTCCATCCCTTTATTTTGAGCCTATGTATGTCTCTGCACGTGAGATGGGTTTCCTGAATACAGCACACTGATGGGTCTTGACTGTTTATCCAATTTGCCAGCCAGTCAAACTAGAACCCAGGATTAAGAAACTCACTCAAAACCACTCAACTACATGGAAACTGAACAACCTGCTCCTGAATGATTACTGGGTAGATAATGAAATGAAGGCAGAAATAAAGATGTTCTTTGAAATTAACGAGAACAAAGACACAACATACCAGAATCTCTGGGACACATTCAAAGCAGTGTGTACAGGGAAATTGATAGCACTAAATGCTCACAAGAGAAAGCAGGAAAGATCTAAAATTGACACCCTAACATCACAATTAAAAGAACTAGAGAAGCAAGAGCAAACACATTCAAAAGCTAGTAGAAGGCAAGAAATAACTAAGATCAGAGCAGAATTGAAGGAAATAGAGACATTTCCCTTCAAAACGCTTCAAAAAAATCAATGAATCCAGGAGCTGGTTTTTTGAAAAGATCAACAAAATTGATAGACCAAAGCAAGACTAATGAAGAAGAAAAGAGAGAAGAATCAAATAGACGCAATAAAAAATGACAAAGGGGTATCACCACCGATCCCACAGAAATACACACTACCATCAGAGAATACCATAAACACCTCTATGCAAATAAACTAGAAAATCTAGAAGAAATGGATATATTCCTCAACACATACACCCTTCCAAGTCTAAACCAGGAAGAAGTTGCATCTCTGAATAGACCAATAACAGGCTCTAAAATTGAGGCAATAATTAATAGCTTACCAACCAAAAAAAGTCCAGGACCAGGTGGATTCACAGCCAAATTCTACGAGAGGTACAAGGATGAGCTGGTACCATTCCTTCTGAAACTATTCCAATCAATAGAAAAAGAGGGAATCCTCCCTAACTCATTTTGTGAGTCCAGCATCATCCTGATACCAAAGCCTGGCAGAGACCCAACAAAAAAAGAGAATTTTAGACCAATATCCCTGATGAACATCGATGCAAAAATCCTCAATAAAATACTGACAAACCAAATCCAGCAGCACATCACAAAGCTTATCCACCATGATCAAGTGGGCTTCATCCCTGGGATGCAAGGCTGGTTCAACATATGCAAGTCAATAAACATAATCCAGCATATAAACAGAACCAAAGACAAAAACCACATGATTATCTCAATAGATGCAGAAAAGGCCTTTGACAAAATTCAACAGCCCTTCATACTAAAAACTCTCAATAAATTAGGTATTCATGGGATGTATCTCAAAATAATAAGAGCTATTTATGACAAACCCACAGCCAATATCATACTGAATGGGCAAAAACTGGAAGCATTCCCTTTGAAAACTGGCACAAGACAGGGATGCCCTCTCTCACCACTCCTGTTCAACATAGTGTTGGGCAATCAGGCAGGAGAAGGAAATAAAGGGTATTCAATTAGGAAAAGAGGAAGTCAAATTGTCCCTGTTTGCAGATGACATGATTGGATATCTAGAAAACCCCATCATCTCAGCCCAAAATCTCCTTAAGCTGATAGGCAACTTCAGCAAAGTCTCAGGATACAAAATAAATGTGCAAAAATCACAAGCATTCTGTTTTTTGTTTTTTGTTTTTAATTTTTTATTATACTTTAAGTTTTAGGGTACTTGTGCACATTGTGCAGGTTAGTTACATATGTATACATGTGCCATGCTGGTGCGCTGCACCCACTAACTCGTCATCTAGCATTAGGTATATCTACCAATGCTATCCCTCCCCCCCTCCCCCCACCCCACCACAGTCCCCAGAGTGTGATATTCCCCTTCCTGTGTCCATGTGATCTCATTGTTCAATTCCCACCTATGAGTGAGAATATCCTGTGTTTGGTTTTTTGTTCTTGCGATAGTTTACTGAGAATGATGATTTCCAATTTCATCCATGTCCCTACAAAGGACATGAACTCATCATTTTTTATGGCTGCATAGTATTCCATGGTGTATATGTGCCACATTTTCTTAATCCAGTCTATCATTGTTGGACATTTGGGTTGGTTCCAAGTCTTTGCTATTGTGAATAATGCCGCAATAAACATACGTGTGCATGTGTCTTTATAGCAGCATGATTTATAGTCATTTGGGTATATACCCAGTAATGGGATGGCTGGGTCAAATGGTATTTCTAGTTCTAGATCCCTGAGGAATCGCCACACTGACTTCCACAATGGTTGAACTAGTTTACAGTCCCACCAACAGTGTAAAAGTGTTCCTATTTCTCCACATCCTCTCCAGCACCTGTTGTTTCCTGACTTTTTAATGATTGCCATTCTAACTGGTGTGAGATGGTATCTCATTGTGGTTTTGATTTGCATTTCTCTGATGGCCAGTGATGATGAGCATTTTTTCATGTGTTTTTTGGCTGCATAAATGTCTTCTTTTGAGAAGTGTCTGTTCATGTCCTTTGCCCACTTTTTGATGGAGTTGTTTGTTTTTTTCTTGTAAATTTGTTTGAGTTCATTGTAGATTCTGGATATTAGCCCTTTGTCAGATGAGTAGGTTGCGAAAATTTTCTCCCATGTTGTAGGTTGCCTGTTCACTCTGATGGTAGTTTCTTTTGCTGTGCAGAAGCTCTTTAGTTTAATTAGATCCCATTTGTCAATTTTGGCTTTTGTTGCCATTGCTTTTGGTGTTTTGGACATGAAGTCCTTGCCCATGCCTATGTCCTGAATGGTCATGCCTAGGTTTTCTTCTAGGGTTTTTATGGTTTTAGGTCTAACGTTTAAATCTTTAATCCATCTTGAATTGATTTTTGTATAAGGTGTAAGGAAGGGATCCAGTTTCAGCTTCCTACATATGGCTAGCCAGTTTTCCCAGCACCATTTATTAAATAGGGAATCCTTTCCCCATTGCTTGTTTTTCTCAGGTTTGTCAAAGATCAGATAGTTGTAGGTATGCGGCATTATTTCTGAGGGCTCTGTTCTGTTCCATTGATCTATATCTCTGTTTTGGTACCAGTACCATGCTGTTTTGGTTACTGTAGCCTTGTAGTATAGTTTGAAGTCAGGTAGTGTGATGCCTCCAGCTTTGTTCTTTTGGCTTAGGATTGACTTGGCAATGCGGGCTCTTTTTTGGTTCCATATGAACTTTAAAGTAGTTTTTTCCAATTCTGTGAAGAAAGTCATTGGTAGCTTGATGGGGATTCTTATACACCAATAACAGACAAACAGAGAGTCAAATCCTGAATGCACTCCCATTCACAATTGCTTCAAAGAGAATAAAATACCTGGGAATCCAACTTACAAGGGACGTGAAGGACCTCTTCAAGGAGAACTACAAACCACTGCTCAATGAAATAAAAGAGGATACAAACAAATGGAAGAACATTCCATGCTCATGGGTAGGAAGAATCAAAATCGTGAAAATGGCCATACTGCCCAAGGTAATTTATAGATTCAATGCCATCCCCATCAAGCTACCAATGACTTTCTTCACAGAATTGGAAAAAACTACTTTAAAGTTCATATGGAACCAAAAAAGAGCCCGCATTGCCAAGTCAATCCTAAGCCAAAAGAACAAAGCTGGAGGTATCAGGCTACCTGACTTCAAACGGTACTACAAGGCTACAGTAACCAAAACAGCATGGTACTGGTACCAAAACAGAGATATAGAGCAATGGAACAGAACAGAGCCCTCAGAAATAATGCAGTGTATCTACAACCATCTGATCTTTGACAAACCTGACAAAAACAAGAAATGGGGAAACAATTCCCCATTTAATAAATGGTGCTGGGAATACTGGCTAGCCATATGTAGAAAGCTGAAACTGGATCCCTTCCTTACACCTTATACAAAAATTAATTCAAGATGGATTAAAGACTTACATGTTAGACCTAAAAGTATAAAAACCCTAGAAGAAATCCTAGGCAGTACCATTCAGGACATAGGCATGGGCAAGGTCTTTATGTCTAAAACACCAAAAGCAATGGCAACAGAAGCCAAAAGTGACAAATGGGATCTAATTAAACTAAAGAGCTTCTGCACAGCAAAAGAAACTACCATCAGAGTGAACAGGCAACCTATAGAATGGAAGAAAATTTTTGCAATCTACCCATCTGACAAAGGGCTAATATCCAGAATCTACAATGAACTCAAACAAATTTACAAGAAAAAAACAACCCCATCAAAAAGTGGGCGAAGGATATGAGCAGACACTTCTCAAGAGAAGACATTTTTGCAGCCAAAAGACACATGAAAAAATGCTCATCATCACTGGCCATCAGAGAAATGCAAATCAAAACCACAGTGAGATACCATCTCACACCAGTTAGAATGGTGATCATTAAAAAGTCAGGAAACAACAGGTGCTGGAGAGGATGTGGAGAAATAACACTTTTACACTGTTGGTGGGAGTGTAAACTGGTTCAACCATTGTGGAAGTCAGTGTGGTGATTCCTCAGGGATCAAGAACTAGAAATACCATTTGACCCAGCCATCCATTACTTGGTATATGCCCAAAGTATTATAAATCATGCTGCTATAAAGACACATGCACACGTATGTTTATTGCGGCACTATTCACAATAGCAAAGACTTGGAACCAACCCAAATGTCCAACAATGATAGACTGGATTAAGAAAATGTGGCACATATACACCATGGAATACTATGCAGCCATAAAAAATGATGAGTTCATGTCCTTTGTAGGGACATGGATGAAGCTGGAAACCATCATTCTCAGCAAACTAACGCAAGGACAAAAAACCAAACACAGCATATTCTCACTCATAGGTGGGAATTGAACAATGAGAACACATGGACACAGGAAGGGGAACATCACACACCGGGGCCTGTTGTGGGGTGTGGGGAGTGGGGAGGGATAGCATTTGGAGATATACCTAATGTTAAATGAAGAGTTAATGGGTGCAGCCCACCAACATGGCACATATATACATATGTAACAAACCTGCACGTTGTGCACATGTACCCTAAAACTTAAAGTATAATAACCAAAAAAAAAAAAAAGAAAAAGTATGTCTGATTGTTGGATATCTGATGAAAAGGATATCTGATATCTTAATTTTTATTTCTTTGTTAGCAATGTTGAGCATTTTAAAAATAAGTTACTAGCCAAATAACTTTTTTTCTGTAAATAATCTATTCTTATCTTGTCTATTTTTTTATAGTCGTTTATCTATTTGCCACCTTATATCTTTACTTGGATGTCTAATGGAAATCTCAGTTTAAGACATCCCAAACTAAGTTTCCTTTCTTCTCAAATGTGCTTTTCCTACAGCTCCATTCTTCCAGTCTCTCAGTCCTAATACCTTGGAATCATCTTTGCTTTCTCTTGTACTATACATCTAATCCATCAGTAAGTCTTATTGGTTATGTCTTTGAAATGGATACAGCATTTTACCACTTCTTGCCACCTCGTTGCTTCTGCTGTCTCTTACAACCTGTCTTCCTTTTTCAACACTGGATACATGTAGTAAATGTTTTGCACAGTAGCCAGAGAAGTTCTTTCAAAACACATATTCAACAATGTCATGACTATATTCAGAATCTGTTATTCTGTCCCAGTTCCCTCAAGTAAAAACCATCTCCTTACTATGACCTACATGAGCCCTGTATGACCTGGTCCCTATATATAGCTCTAACCTCATGTCCTACTTTTCTCACCCTTGCTCACTCTGCTGAAGCCATCTTTGCCTCCATACTTTGCTTGAAAATCCCATGCATACCTTTAACTTCAGACATTCGTTGTTTTTGTTTCATCTGACTACTATAATGCTCTGCCCACTGAGATCTGCATGGATCTCTTCCAAACTGGTTTGCTTTAATAAACTTTATTTACAATTTCTGATATTGACAATGTCATAATATATGACAATATAACTATGAGAAAGAAAAAGTCCGTTCTTCATGCCCTTAAGGTATTTTAAATATGGTATCAATGCTCATATATTAACCAAGTTAGGGGGAGAGGGGAAGTATGAGTGGATATGGCAACTAGTCATATATCACCACATTCTCATAGTAGTGATATGGTACTACTTATTTTGGAGAGCATCCTAGGTTCTTCAAACTTAATTTATTTAGGTCTGATTTATTTATTTTATGCTACTTTATAAGTACCTAAAATACTACATATAAATTATGTATTTGAATTAACATAAGCTGTATTATATAAATGTATCCAGTTTTAAATGAAACTGTTTAGTTATAATACATTACTATAAATTACTCAATTGTTTAAAATAATTCCTGAAATCTTTCATTATGAAAACATGGTTGAAATCCTCTAATTTCTTTACTTGGAAGAACAAAATTTTAAATAATATAGGGAGTGGAATATTACATTTCATTTTATTAAGAAATCTTCCTTTTATGTAATCACATACCTCTTTTGGTTATCATCAAAATCCACCCCCCCCCCAACTTTTTTTTTGTTGTTGTTGAGACAGTGTCTCACTCTGTTGCCCAGGCTGTAGTGCAGTGGCGCAATCTCAGCTCATTGCAGCAACCTCTGCCTCCCGGGTTCAAGTGATTCCCCTGCCTCAGGCTCCCGAGTAGCTGGGATTACAGGTGCCTGCCACCATGTCTGGCTACTTTTGTAGTTTTAGTAGAGACGGGGTTTCACCATGTTAGCCAGGCTTGTCTTGAACTCCTGACCTCAAGTGATCTGCCTGACTCGGCCTCCCAAAGTGTTAGGATTACAGGCGTGAGCCAACGTGCCTGGCCAAAATCACTTTTTAAAATTGAGAGATTTTATTGGTAAGTTTTTGTTATCAGGAACATTTACATATGGGAAGGATAATTTTCTATCAATTTTGGATGAATCAAGTGCTTTTTAGTTGAATTTCTCTTTTTCTTCCAAGAAAAGATTTTATTGATGTATTGCCTTTATACTGAAAATTGGACAAGTTGTTAAGTTACTGCTTAATGAATTCTTACAAAGTGAATACTTGCATGTAATTAATAAATAGAACGTTACTATCACTTCACAAGTCTACCTTCTAGTCACTAATCCCTGACAAGGGTGAATGCTCTCCTGACTTCTAACAAATTAGGCCTGCTTATTTTTGAATACTTGCAAAAATCAGTTCTATAAGAGAAAATGATGTAAAATGACAATTCATAATCTCATATAAAAATTATAATTTTAAGCAAGGAAAGAAACAATCTTGAAAATACGTTTGGTATGTTCTGTGAAATTGTAAGTTATGTTTCTATTAAATAATTAGCTATTCTCGTACTCAGAATCCCGCCCATTGTCAGTTCCTGTTAAAGCCATGTTGAATATATCTGAAAGCTGTAGAAGTCCTGAAGAAAGAATGAAGGAATTTATTGGAATTGTTTGGAATGCAGTGAAGCATCTCACACTACAGGTAAAATAAAAGTTAGAAATATTATGGATATAATTTCTATAATCCTTTTTAATTCCCAGCATTGTTAATATTGGTAAGACTTTTCTCACATGTAACAATTATGTATACCATCTCATTTTCTTAATTTAGTTGAAAATAATTGGTGTACTTCACTTATCCTAAACATAATTTTATGAAACTCATATGAACTTCCTTATAGTTATAAAAATTTACACATTTTGACATGTTTCTTGACTTAAAAAATTTTAGTTCATTCTACTTTTTGTTTAAGCATTATTTTCACAATTTTAAATTCTTAGTGTTCATATAGTTCCATTCTTATCTCAGAACTGAGATAAAGTCTGAGTTGGAATTAAATTAACATGAAAGGGTTATCTAATTATTTTTTCTACATAATTATAAGTTAAATATGAAAATTATAATAGCTATTTCCTTATTGTTATTTTCCTCTCATTGATTTTTACTTTAAAATGCACAATTTTATCTTATTGAATTACTTTCTTTCAAGATCATGTTTAACCTGACTAAAATATACAATTAGATGCTTATTTGATAAGCTAACAGTTATAAATTTTAGTTTTTGCATAGGATTTTTTCTCTGTGATACCAGAGACATCCTTATAGAATTTTGTATGTACCAGAGTGTAATATCAAAGGCTTAAGTCAAAGCTTTTCACCTTGACTTAAGATATAAAAGTTGCAATAGAACCTTGTTCCCACCTTACTATGAGAACAAGGTTTTGTGATCTGCAAAATTACAGCTATATTAAGCCCATAGAGATCTGAGGTCTTAAATTGACATTACCATAACAGCAGGGTGCTAAAATCCAAAAAAGTGACAAGCAACTCACTTTTTGAAACTCAACAATCTCAGAAAACTCCAAGAAGAATATATAAAAAGGAAAACATAGCTAAGTACCTAGTAGTCAAACTACTGAAAACTTACGGAGAACGTTTTATTTTATTTTACTTTATTTAAAGTGGGAAGATCTTTATTTATCAATATTCTTGTTTACCTGAAGACTATACTGGAAGAAGCTGAAATTATAAGTAAGGCAGACCTAGATATGTATTTCTTAGCAATGTAATATTGGAGAGTTTTTTCTTGTTTCTGTATCCACAAGTTGGAGATTATAATATCTTCTTCATGAAGAGGGTCGAAAATATAGAGTGATAAAGTATATAAAAGCAACTGACAAAATTTATTCATTTATTGATTCATTTTGCAAAAGTTACCATACTGTATTCAGAGAACATACTGAAGAAAACTAATGCAGTCCTGTCCTCATGAAGATCATAGTTTGGCAAGGAGAGATATTCATTAAATGATTGTACTTAAAATAATTTGACTATAATGGTGATGATCCTGCTTCATGAACATACGTGTCAATTAAGCTAACCCTAGAAGAATCAGGAAACATTTGGGTACTCAATAACACTTGTGTTTTCTTTCTCTATTCCATCTTTCTCTCCTGTAGCTGTAGCTTTTTTCTAAAGCAGCTGAAGGCTGCACTGCCCTTCAGCAGGCAGACAAGAAGTGATGGAGATAACACCCCTGGGATTATCTTCACCCACCATGGGAAATGATTCTGTGGCATTCCTTGTCTGTCAGTGTGTCCTCAGTAGAATTAAGCTCCAGGTGTCCAGGGCTTACCAGCACACCCATTTTGGTTACTGTCCTTTTGAGAAAATTTTAGAAGTGGGTAGACAGTAAAGGCCTGTTATATACAGATTAAAAACATTAAGAATGACTCCTTACATCTTATTAGAAACAATGGAGGCCAGAAGACAATAGAATAACACTTTTATGTGCTGAGGAAAATCAGCACATAACATAGAATTAACATAGAATTCTCTAGTCAGCAAAGTATTCATAAAAATGTTGGCCAATAAATACATAAAGACAGAACTTTTCTCTAATAGAAATTTACTGCAAGATATTCTGATAGAAGTTATTTAGGCTGAAAGGAAATTATAACAGAATCTTGGTTTTTCAGAAAGTAATGAAGTATATCAGAAAGTATAAATAGTTGTAAAACAACTGAATATTGAAAAAAATAGTATTCAAGGAGAAAGCTTTAGTGTGTTTTAGTCTTTTGGCTGTTAGCTTCTTTCCTCTTCATTTTCCAGTTAACTTTTTGTTTGTTTCTTTTTTGTTTTTGGACAGAATCTTACTCTGTCGCCCAGGCTGGAGTGCAGTGATGCGATCTCAACTCATTGCACCTTCGCCTCCCAGGTTCAAGCAATTCTTCTGCCTCAGCCTCCCCAGTAGCTGGAATTACAGGCGCCCACCACCACGCCCAGCTAATTATTTTGTATTTTTAGTAGAGATGGGGTTTCACCATGTTGGCCAGGCTGGTCTAGAATTTCTGACCTCAGGCGATCTGCCTGTCTTGTCCTCCCAAAATGCTGAGATTACAGGTGTGAGCCACTGCACTCAGCCCTAGTTAAATTTAACATTAAAAAATATATGACACTTAACAAAGTAAAGGAGTTTTGATTAAGATCAAAATTCAGCAGTTAAATGAAATTTCAGTAATTTATTCAGAAAATATTTATGAAGTCCCTGGTCTGTCCTACACTCCAGCCAGCCCTTAGTCCTACAGATGTGAGGAAATTGTCTCTGTGAGCAACTAGAGTGAGTTTGGAAGTGTATTCTTTCCCAGGTGAGCCTGTGGATGAAAACACAGATGGTCAACACTTTTATTGCGGCTTTTTGAGACCATAATTCAAGTATTTAACTAAGCCATACCAAGATTATTGACCCACAGAAACTGCAACAAATGTCTGTTGTTTTAGGCTGTTACATTTGTGGTGATTTCTTATATAGCATAGAAAATTAATATAGACAGATACAGACACATTATGCATAGCTATAGTGTAGTCTGATTAATCACTATAAGAAATACATACCTGCCATAAAAACTTTTTAGAAATTCATCCAAAAATATCTCCAGTGCATAAAAATACTAGTTAATATAGGAGCCAATAATCTTGATTTTAGCATTCCTTTACATGTTTCTTTTCTGAGCATGCCTCTTATAAGAAAATTAAGAGAAGAATGGGGGGAAGAAAGTATGGCTTGTCGTTCTTGTGTAATTAACTCTTAGCTTGCAGAGTTATGACTCTTTTAGGGATATCAGCTATATTTCACCAGTCTCAGCTGTCATGATTCCTTGTAATGAATATCCTAATAACTCCTTGCATTGACTTACCTGTCCTTCTCCCTTAGAGGTACCCTTTGTACAGTGGTAACATCCAGCACTTAATTTTTGTTATATGTTGGGCTATATGCTGAGAAAAAAAAAGAGACATAATAGTTGTCATGGTCTAGCTGGGAAAAGGCTAAGTGCCATGGTATGGAGTATACTGTAGGGAGCCCCTTAGAAAACTTAACGATGAAAGAAGAGAAATGGGAATGTCAAGAGGAATGTTACTTATTGAAAGGATGCCTAGGGCATGTACTTCCTGGTTTGTGATGAATTTAGATATTATCCTAGGTAAGTATTTATTGCTTTGTAGAAGATCTAGTTGACACCATTGTGTGGTTTAGAATATGATAGCTACCAATAATATTTAGTTGTTTAAAGTTTACTATAGATCTAAATGCTATTTCATGATAATAGAAGTAGTTATATTAAAAATAACCTCATTCCCTCTTATCTAATGATTGAATAATGTGGTATAATTATCCTTTTATTGATATCATTTTGAGTAGTTCTGTAATAGGGAACATGAAAGATAGTATTGGATTACATGATTATTTGACAACTCTGGGAAAATATTCCAATTTAAGATTCCAAGTAATATCAGAAATCTTTGCACTATCGATAAACAAGTAGGTACATCAATATTCCACAATGTAGGATATACTGGAGAATGTCCTTCTCTGGCCAGGATTAAATAACAGGAATAAGATTTATTTCACTGCCTGAAATAACCAAAAAATTATTGAAATATATAACACAAAGATTTCAAACCACTAGGCAATAAGCCAAGTAGACAGTGATTCCTCAGAGACTTAAGATAAAATCAGCAGGACTTAGTAATTAATTGATTTGGGGAATCAAGGAACAGAGTCTAAGAGATCTTCTAGATTCTTGTTTTGGTGTTTGGGTGGTAGTGATGCTATTAAATGAAGTAGCTTTTCCAGGTTAGGGGCAAATAGGGATTTTGAATTTACACATGTATTTGAAATGTATGTGAGACATCCAGGTATGTATTAGATATTTACATCTGGAGTTTAAAAAACAGGTTAAGAGAAGAGATATAATTTTAGGAGTTATCTGCAGATGGTTTTCAAACCAGGAGAATGGGTCATTCAAGAAAGTATGTACAGTTGAAAGAGCAATGGGCCAAGGGAATACCGTTTTAAAAGTTGTTAGTAGAAGAGAGAATGTCCTTGAAGAAAATTATGTTAGTGATCAGAAATGGAGGAGGAGAAACCAGAGAGTTCATGAAAGCAAAAAATGCTTAGAATTTTGAGGAGCTACTGGTCAGCAATGTCAAATTCTAGATGTTAACTATGTGCTTTACTTGCTTATTTGTAGTATAAAATGGATACATTAAATAATATTTAAGGTTACTTCCAACTCTAACATTATTGTATGATTCTTTTGCTTATTTTATAATGTTGCAGTACCTTTTAGCTTCATCACTAACAAACTTAATCTTATATATCACTTTGAATTAATTGTAAGTTATGATAGTGATTTTCCTCATTTTTCCTTTTTTAATCTCTAATTATGGTAAAATACATATAACATAAAATTTACCTTCCTTACTATTTGGAATAAACTATATGGTTTATTTTGTGGTTCCTCAATTTGAGTAAGCTTATTGAGTATCAGTTAACATAATCATTGCAGTACCAAATAATACATCTTTATATAGGTTATCTTATATATGACCTAGGTACTTGGCTTGCCTCACCCTAGTCCTGGCCCTGTGTTAAACATACTATATATTTAAACATTTCCAGATGTTAATGTATCATCAACACTTTAAAAGATAAAATTAGATTCTCATTAAATGATTACAATTTAGACTGTGAAAATCTGAGTTTTATTTATTTTATCTTATTTTATTTTTTTGAGACAGAGTCTTAGTTGTCGCCCAGGCTGGAGTGCAGTGGTGTGATCTCGGCTCACTGCAAGCTCCGCCTCCCAGGTTTATGCCATTCTCCTGCCTCAGCCTCCCGAGTAGCTGGGACTACAGGTGCCCGCCACCATGCCCAGCTAATTTTTTTGTATTTTTAGTAGAGACGGAGTTTCACCGTGTTAGCCAGGGTGGTCTCCATCTCCTGACCTCGTGATCCACCCGCCTCGGCCTCCTAAAGTGCTGGGATTACAGGCGTGAGCTTTTATTTTTAAAAACGTTGTCCATTTTTTAAGATGTTTTATGAGCCAAAATATAAAACAGAAAACCCTGCAAGTTATCATCAGATAAAACAGGACATCATAACTTAAAGGTTTCGAATGATTATTCTTTTAGTGGAAGTTTGTGCAGGTAATTATGTTTGGAACCAGAATTTCTGCAAAGTTGATGTTGGAGCCAAAGTTGGTATTTGCTAAACCCATATTATTTTTTACTTAGAATAGAAACATGTATATTACATAAAATCATTAACAATATTTGCTGTAACCTATTTGTTTTTCAGTGTGGAAGAAGGAGTTTCCATACTTAATTATAATGGATTATTTTATAATATTCCATGTAGTCTTGGACAGTCTTTTTTTTTAAAAAAAAATATATATATATATGAACTTTGGGGCCAGGCACGGTGGCTCACATCTGTAATCCCAGCACTTTGGAAGTCCTCGGCAGGCAGACGACTTGAGGTTAGGAGTTCAAGACCAGCATGGCTAACATGGTGAAATCCCGTGTCTACTAAAAATACAAAAATTAGCTGGGCTTGGTGGTGCCCACCTGTAGTCCCACCTAGTCTGGAGGCCGAAGCAGGAGAATCGCTTGAACCTGGGTGGTGGAGGTTGCAGGGAGCCGAGATTGCGCCACTGCACTCCAGCCTGGGTGACAGAGCAAAACTCTGTCTCAAAAATAAAAATTAAAAGAATAAAAATATATAAACTTTGGGGGCCTTTTAACAATAGATTAGCATAAGTTCACCGGTTCTTTCCAAGTTTTCTATACCTGCTCATTAACAAAGATTCTATTAAAGCTATGTTTTTATTCCAGAAGCACATAATTGGCAATAGTATGTAGCTGATAAAATAGAAATGTGCTGGCTAGAATTTACTCCTTTCTAGGAGAACATTTCTCTGCTTATTGCCAGACTTAGCTTTTTTTTTGGTCATTTACATCGAAGTTCATCTTGCTGTCCTATGACATGTACTAGCATTTTCTTTTCCTCTTTTTTTTTTTTTTTTTTTGTACTCTCTGAGTTTTTCTGAGTGGACTGAAGTCTTCTGAGTTTAATGGCATTTTTAATTTCAATACCAAGCATTCTGGTCTCTTTCTTTTGGTAATAATGCTGTTATTCCTTTAGGGAACTACTTCCCACATTCTGTGTTATTTTGATGAGAGTGTCAGTCAGGGTGTCTCAAGCAGCATGAGCCAGTTAAGCTGGGCCAGTTGAATTCTGTCTTCTAGGAAGTTAAATCTAGAGCATGACTAGTGATGAAAAAAGTCATACTGCTTGATGTCCTGATGTCCAGTAAACTCCTTGGCCTTTATTTTCAGGATTAAATGGGAGTAGACATTTTAGGCCAGAGAGATCAACTATCAATCATGCTAATTATAAAAGTAAGATTTTATATTTAATCCTTACAAATTTTGCACACAGGCCCACATTCTTACTTATAGGCATTGAACAAGTGACAGCCATTGCATGGCAGTTAGGAGGAAGTCTGGAATTCAAATCTAGGAATTTTTAATGTCTTCTCTTGACAAGATTTTTATGGAAAAAGTGTGAAGATTTATAACACTTACTCTGGAAAGGATGACAACCAAGACAACCAACTGTAGGCTTTTAATCTATGGCCCCAAATCAGGGATATTTAAATTTCTACTACATATGATGATATCCAAAATATTTTCATGATGCACTGAAAATTTATCAAATAGGAAAACTGTGATTTGGGTGATAGTTTATATATTTGTTGTAGTGCAAATGGAATACTAATTTTAATGGCCCCTATATACAGAGATAGTGAAACCGTAAGCAACAGCATTTGAAAATAAATGCACTGTGAACAGGTTTTATAAATCTATGAGGCTAATAATATATGGGATCTCGCCTATAGGAGAGACTTGGTGTTGTTTGTTGACTATCTTTCTTTAGCAAACGTTTAGGTAACACTTACTGTGTTAAATATATATATCAATGCTATAATTTCCCCCATTAACAGATGAGGAAACTGAAGTCATGGAGAGATGAAATAGCTTGTCAAATATCCCACAGCTGTGTTGAATTCATCTCATTAACAAATCAGTTTTATTAATCACCTTAGAGGTTGCCTCTGGAATGAAATGATGAACAACGTGCATGAAGCAATTATTTTCATTACCATATCTGATGAAAATAATTGTTTAATTGTTTCTACTTGTTGAACAATTATTTATTGAGTACATAGTACATGCACCACTGCACAATGTACAGAAACTATATAGTGTACAAAATAGGCAAATGTTTGACTTCATAAAGTTTATGTTCTCGTGAGAATTCTGTAAGGATATTAATACTTGAAAGTGATCTTGTTTTAAGCTTTTTTAGGGCTGGCACTATGTCTTTTGTCTCTGTATTCCTGACTTCCAGGTCAGTTCATGATAGATATTAGAGAGTACATGAATAAAGGAGAGAAAAAGTAATGAAATGCAACATACAATGTTCCTTTATTTTTGTTTTTTATTTGAAACTCTTTCCTGAAGAGTAACATACACTTATATAGAGAACATTTGGTACTGTAGAAATTATGCAAAATATAATTATCACTACATTTTCAAGTTGTAAATAAAAATAAATATATTATTTGGGAATAGGAAATAGTTATGTTATTGAAAAGGGAAGAAAATGTGGCACAACATTTCAAAGCTTTTATCTATAAAGTGCTTTATATGATGGGCAGTGGCTAATTAAGATTTTCAGATTAATGGGTAAATAAAACCTATCTTAGTCTCTTCTTTTTAGCTGAATTGGGATCACAATTATAGAGCACTAAAAGAGAAAAATCTAAGTTTCTCAAACCTCACATATAGGGCCAAGGACTTACAGAGGCATATATCTTTCAAATAGCACATAAACTAGAAACTTCAGGGAAAAATGCATTGCAGTCATTTCATTTATTAAAATAAGAATAACAAATAATTTTTACTTTATTGGTTTATCTTCAGTATATGATACTTAGATATGTAGCCCTTGACCTAGTAGGAATCAAAATAGAGGTGGTTCCACTTCAAGAATTTGTAATAATCCCTTCACTTTAACACATGAATGTGTTCAGTATTGGCAAAAGAACACGTTGCTACCAAAACTGAAACAAGATCCTTGAAACAGAAAGGATGTTGCCATGGAAAAATGAAGTAACACTCAGTGCAGCTGTGATGCATTCATGAATAGGATATTTTTTTAAAAGATCATTTGTGTTTGGTGTGGCTCAGAGGGTCCCAACCAGATGGTTTCCATGAACATGATCTGACCCCCAGCTTGAGGACTTCTTACTGGCAGATTACTTCATTTTCTTTCCCTTGGATTGTCAGATCCTTACATTAATTCAGAATTTACTGCTGCAGATTTATATTCAGTAATATAAATCACTCAACATTTTACATTAAAACCACAATTTTATACATACAGTTTAACAGTTATTTTAAAAGTGTAAAAAGATTTATGTGATAGCTTTAGTATATATAATAGATAAAACATAATAATTTTGAGTAATTTTAATTATATGATTCTTATCATTAAAGGAACTCTCACAACATATATTTTAGAAAGTTTATTTTAGAGTTGTTATGTATCTGATGCTACTATACTGTTGATTCTGTTTATGTTGCTCACATTGTTTACACTTGATGAAATAATTGATTTTTAAATTAGTGAAATTAATGTTTTTGATTTTGGAAATTTTGGCATGATTTGAATTTTTTCCTAAGGATATGTATGCATGTGGTTGTGTATGGTAGCATACTAAACTAATTACCTCACAATATTGAAAGCATTTTTCAAGGTAGTATCAATACCTACATGAAGTGTTAAATACTGACACTTCATATTTTGACCTTTTAACCTGAATTAATAAAGGCTATGCTCTTAATGTGCCATTTTAAATTGTGCAACTGAAAATTACTAATGAATTATGTTAAATATTTTAAAGCATAATTCTAAGTTACCTGAGACAATATAGACTTCTATTTCAGAATAAACTACATCATGATCTTAAATCAATAAACTACTTAACACACATGTACTTTATCTAATCTGCAGTATAAGATTTTAGAACTAAAATGAGCTCATGCTTCACAAACCAATGCGTTTATTTTTGCAAAATTTTACCTGTATTTTTCATCACTGAATTCATCAGTTTGGCCATGCCCCAAAATGTGAAGCAAAGACAAACAGGTTTGTTTATTTATAGGTTGACAAATTATTTATCCTATCAAGGAATTCCAAACCTGTTAAATATAATCATGTTCTCACCAGAATAGTATATTAGGCCCAAGAGAAGAGATGTTGCTATTATCTTTTAAAAATGTAGTCTTTTTGCTAACATAGTTTCTTTGAATATCCAAGAATGTATGAATTAAAAAAATTATTTTGTATCACACCTCCAGATAACATATTTTTATGTGAAATATTTTGTAGGAAATCAACCAATCATAGTTTGTATTTTCTCAATAACTTAAGTATCGTAGGCTGTTGGAGCAATTTGATAATGAGATACACAGTATTACTTTATAAGCACCGCTAAGACAAATAGACTTTACATTGCTTCTGAATTAAGAAGTCACGATGAATTCAGTTTTGGGGTTGGGCTTACTTTGTCTCCTTATCTTAACCTCTGAGGTCCTGGCAACTTAATGTAACTCTACTGGGGATAGGAGAACATTAAGATAATACATGAAATTACAATTTAGGTAATTTGAAGAATGAAAAAAGCAAGAAATAATGCTCTGATTTTTAAGTCTTCTGATTTTTCCTATTATGATGTATTTATGTATAATAAATCTGATACATGTATGTATACTTGAATCATTGTATATAAAAGTGAAAGTATGTGATATAAACATGTTCTTTAATGGTTGTCTAGTGTTATAAATTGAATGTTTTAAACAATGTTTTCTTATATTCTAGTCTGTAAAGTAAAAATGGAAGGACTAAATTCACGTAAAAATAGCCCTTTTTAAAAAAAGTAACAGCAATAAAATGCTAGGTAGTTCTAGGCCTTATCTGGTGTTAACAAAATTTTCTAATAAACTGCAAAAGAAAGAGTGTTTTCTGATCTTCTTTTGCCAGCACACTTTCTAACTCAATCTTGTGTCTTGGAAAAGACTGTGGAAGGGCAGATCATCTCTTGTCACTAGGCATTTTGTATCAAGTTTATAACAAGAGTAAACAATACCTTTTCAAGTTTTTAAAATATTCATTAGTGAAAATAAGTCATAAAGACATAAATATGGAACATTTACTTTTTTTGGTTGTTTATTCTGGCGAAGATGTTAGGTGTTTGAAGGCATATTTAGTCTAATCCGAATATTTTAATTCTGCTTTTCTTTTCTAGCTTGAAGTACAATCTTGTTGTGTGTTTATTCCAAATGATAGCCTGCCTTCCCCAAGTACAATTGTATCTGGTGACATTCCTGGAACAGTAAGAAGTTGGTACCATGGACAAACCAGCATGCCGGGAACACTTGTCCTCTGTTTGCCTCAAATAAAGATTATTAGTGCTGGGCACAAGTATATGGAACCTCTGCAGGAGATTCCATTTGTTATCCCACGACCCATCCTTGAAGAAGGTATATGTTAACATTTTTTTCCTATGGTTAATGTTTTATATGGACATTTTTAGATTTGTTGGTGTTTTTAAATGTGTCAGTGTATAAGCAAATCAGTCTTCTCATTGAAAGATTTTTCCTGACCAAAGTAAGTGAACTAAGTGATGCCATTTATTGCCTTCCATACCTTTTAATCTTAGTCATATATTCACATATGTTATCTGTAAAAGATCATATGCAATATAATATAATCATTAAAATGTAAACGTAGGAAAAATTAACTTGGGAAGAAAATTGCTTTTGGATATTATCATTAGGCTGAACTAAGAATGATAAGTAGATTGATCTTAATTTAAGTTACTTGATTTATGAATGAATGTATTTTAAATATATAAATAATTGCGTGAATATATTATTTAGCAAGCATAATGTATTTTTAGATTCCTCATTTGTTTATACAAAGTAATTATATGATGATTAGAGTCATGATCCTTTCTCCAATATATATATACTTAATTTCTCATATTGCTGTGTTTTCAGTTATGAATTCATAACCTTTTGAACTTTGGCATATTCATTTCAAACAAAATGTGAACCTGGAAAGATTTTGAGTCATAAAGTAATCTGAATATATATTATAATAACAAGGCTCAAATTTTTGACAGTGCTAAACAGGTCAACACCTTGTTCATATTATTATGGTGTAAGTGTATGAATCCTGATATCACTGAAATTTCTACATACTGTCACTGAAAAGCAGACATAGCCTGTGTAATTTTTGATCTCTACTTTGATGTTGATTTCTCTCTCCTTTTCTCTATACTGAAATTTCTATTGAAATCTACTTTTCTTATATTCATTAAAAGAAAACATGATTTCACTGAGAGACATTTTTGGTCCTTAATAACATGAATACTATTATCATACAATTATAGAATTTTAAGGTTAAAGGGAATGTTTTTAGAGTATATGGTCTTTTTGTGACTGGTTTCTTTCATTTAATATTTTTAAGATTGATTCATGTTGTAGCAGTCTTTGTTGTTTTTATGGCTGAATAGTATTCCATCTTATGGATATATCAAATTTTTTTGATTCATTCATCAGTTGATGGACAGTTGAAGTTGTTTTCACTTTTTGGCTTTTATGAGAAATCCTGGTATAAACATTCCTTTACAGGATTTTTGTGTGGATTTGTTTTAATTTCTTTTAGCTATATGCTGAGGAGTAAAATTGTTGTGTCGTATAGTAACTATGTTTGAGCTTCTCAGGAATTGCCAGACTGTCATCCAAACTGTCTGCACCATTTTATAATACCACATTATGTACAAAGGTTCTAATTTTTTCACATCTGTGTCACTATTTGTTATTATCCGCTTTGTTTCTTTTTCTTTTCTTTTTTTTTTTATTTTGTTCTAGCCATCCTAGACAATAACCTCTTAAACTGGAGAGAGCAATTAATTTTAAGTGGTTTGTTTCTTTTTTTTCTTTTTTTTCTTTTTTTTGAGATGGAGTCTTGCTCTGTCGCCTGGGCTGGAGTACAGTGGCACAATCCCGGCTCACTGCAGCCTCCGCCTCCCAGGTTCAAACAATTCTCCTGCCTCAGCCTCCCGAGCAGCTGGGACTACAGGCACTTGCCACCACACCCAGGTAATTTTTGTATTTTTAGTAGAGTCAGGGTTTCACCATATTGGCCAGGCTGGTTTCAAACTCCTGACCTCGTGATCCACCCGCCTTGGTCTCCCAAAGTGTTGGGATTACAGGCGTGAGCCACTGCGCCTGGCCAAATTAAAGTGTTTTTAAGAACTGTGTTGGTCAGGCAGAGAGTAAATAGATTGATTTAATACATCATTTAATATACTAAATACACATCTTAATATTTATAAAACTGAAGCTTACATTATGAAACTGGTGTTTATTTTTACTATAAAAATAGTAAAAGTGGTGTGAAGTGGAATCTCATTGTGGTTTTGGTTTGCATTTCCCTAATGACTAATAATGTTGAACTTATTTTCGTGCTGGTTGGCCATTTGTATATCTTCTTTAATATTTTATTTCTTTTTATTTATTTATTTTTTTGGATCAGGTTTCATTCTTGCTGAGGCTGAAGTGCAGTGGTGCAATCACGGCTCACTGCCGCCTTGACCGCCGGAGCTCAATTGATCCTCCCACCTCCTGAGTAGCTGGGACTACAGGCACACACTACCATGCCTGTCTAATTTTTTAATTTTTGTAGAGGTGGGGTTTCACCATGTTTCACAGGTTGGTATCGAACTCCTGGGCTGCCTCAGCTTCCAAAAGCACTGGGATTATAGGTATTAGTCACCCTGCCCAACCTAATATTTTCTTCTATTCAAATCTTTTGCCTACTTTTTAGTTGTATTTTTAGTAGAGTCAGGGTTTCACCATATTGGCCAGGCTGGTCTCGAACTCCTGACCTTGTGACTTCTTACAGTTGAGTTGTAAGAGTTCTTTATTATATTCTAGATACGATACCCTTACACATGATTTGCAAGTATTTTCTCCTGTTCTATACATTGTCTTTTCACTTCCTTGATGGCTTTCTTTGTCATATAAACATTTGTAATATGAAATTTTTATAATATGAATATTTATATTATAAATTTATATAATATAAATTGATATTATAAATTTTGTAGTATAAACATTTGGCAAGACTTCATCTCTACAAAAAATTTAAAAATTACCCGGTTGTGGTGGCTTGAGCCTATAGTCCTAGCTCCATGGGAGGTTGAGGTGGGAGGATTGCTGGAGTCCAGGAGTTCCAGGATGCAGCAAGCTATGATCGCACCACTGCACTCCAGCCTAGGCAACAGAGCAAGACCCTGACTCTGTAAATTAATTAACTAAGTATATATAATACATGATATATAATATGTAATATATACTTTTTTTAATAATTATAAATTGTATAAATATATGTAAATATAAACATAATCTAAAAAGTTTTCCTGTGCTATGTTGGAAATTATTTTCTCACTATTCTTTTTTTTAATATTAGAAATTAACACCATTTCCACAAAGTATGTTTTAGTTTTAGAAATATTAAGATGCATATTTAATTTATTTAATGATGTAGTAAATCAGTCTATTTACTCTCCATCTGAACAATACAGTTCTTAAAACACTTTAATCCTTCTCTCCAGATTGAGGTTATTGTCATAAATTTTCTTTTATTTTTAAAACTTGATATCATTATTTTGTAATATAATTGCTTAGATTTGGCATATATAGAATAAGGCAGAGGTTGGAAAACTTTCTCAACAAAGTGCCAGATAGTAAATATTTTGTTTCATTAGCTATATGGTTTCTGTTTTCACTACCCAACCATGCTTTATAGTGCAGAGACAGCCATAGACAATATGTCAATACATTGGTATGACTGTGTTCCAATAAAACTTTATTTACAGAATCTGGTGGTTGGCTGCATTTGGCCATGAGCCACATTTGCCTACCTATATGCTAGTGCTTTAGTAGTCATTCCTTTTCACAGCTTAGCCCTTCCTTCTTTCTCAGTTCATTTACTTCTGCCTAAAGTACATCCTTTAGAAGCTGTTTTTGTGATGGCCTGATGTTAGCAAACTCTCAATTTTGTTTCTTTGCCTTTTTTTTTGAAATATATTTTCTGGGTATATAAATCCTTGTTTATAGTTATTTTCTCCCAGCTCATTAAAGATACTGTTGTGCTGACTCTTGCTTTTCATTGGCCTTTTAGGAGGTACAATGTCATTTCATGTTTCCTTGGAAGTCGTTTGTCCTTTTCCTCTGGGTTCTTTAAGGATCTTCTCAGTCTTTGTGTTTTAAAGTTTTAATATTCGAATCTTATGAGTCCTGCAAGTTTTCTGGCATAATCTATTCAGATATTGCCTTTACTTTTTTTCTTTCCATACATATGTTGGACTTTTTTGATTTTTTACTGTATTTTCCATGTTGTTTCTTCACTCTTTGATATTTTTTCTCTTTGATTTGCTGACCTGCATTCCAGTTAATTTCTTTAATCTAGTTCATTAATTTTCTTTTCAATTGTGTCTAATATTTTGTTAAAGTTGTTCTTTGAATTTTTCAATGTCAACTGTATGAAAGTCTAACATACAGAAAATGGTACAACGCTAAGTATACAACTGGATACATTTTTGTCAGATAAATCCATACATGTTACTAGTACCTGAATAGAGATCAAGAATATTCCCAGTACTCAGAAGATCTTCTCTTGGAGGCAAATTGTGTTTAACATCTAAAACCGCAAATTAGTTTTCCTGTTTTTGAACTTCATAGCACTTATTGAATAGCACTTTTATTGAATTTAAAATTTTACATAGGATATTCTTTTTATCTTGATTCTATTTAAAACTCTTTATTAATATTTTCAAGGCTTCCTTTTATCTCTTTCTGCATGAAACTTTTAACTTACGTGATTGCCTAATTCCTGCTGACTCTTGCCTACTATACCTAATATTCCTTGTTTATACTTTTCTTTTCTGTGCTACTTATTTTCCTTAGAAATTTCTCTGTAGAAATGTTTTGAAGCCTGGCCTGAAAGATTCCTCCTATACAGGCTTGAATTTACTTCCAACATGTTGGTGGCACTATGAGTTCAGAACCATTTGAAACTAAATTCTTGATAAAAGGTTTTTATGCCACTTAGATAATAAAAATTTAAGCTACAGCCTTGTGGTTGTGGGTTTTCCCCCCACCCATCTATTGAAGGTTTCATTTTCTGGCAGCGTTTGTGAGAGGATCATATAAAGAAGGGAAGAGCAGAAAACTTTATTTCTAGTTTACCTGTACATGAATATTCTAGCCATTTGCATGCCAGCTTTATCTTTTATTATTTTCTGCACTGTGAGTTAGCTTCAGGCTTTATCTTCAGTCAGACTTAACTTGACTTCAGTTCAGTGGTAAACACGGATGCTCAATTTTAACCAACTTTGAAGTGCCTCGGGCATTTACTTTGCATACCTCTGTGTTTCTGGTTTCCCTCAGCCCCTGGCTTTAATTATCTTTACTCTTTTTGGAAATTCATTAATAAGTTTAAGAAGATATCATTTGGTGTGTGTGTGCATGCATGTGTATATGTGTAAAACATTATATAAATTTTATAGTATGTGTCACATATTGTTAAAATACAGTATAGTCATTTTTATTTTTTTAGGAGAGGGATCATTCAACATATTTATCGTGTTGCTGTAAATAGAATTCCTCAGTTATGTTTTTTAAAGATGATGTGACACTATTATACTCTGTCTTTTCAAATGATTTTATAAAAGGACCGATATATAGTGCCCATCATTCTTTATACCTTCAATACTCATTTAAAATCTCTCTTATTTCTACAAAACTCCTGCCAACATCTACTGCTTGTCTTTTTCATATTAAAAAATTATTTTATTTTCATCTTGTTTTTCAAGTACATCAAGAATGACTTAGGAACTGCGGAAGTCTCCATCTTTAAAGCATAAGGTGCTATTATATTCTCAGGTGGTTTTATTTTTATTTATTTATTTATTTATTTATTTATTTATTTATTTATTGCAAGAACTGAGATGGCAACTTAATTTATTTTGAACTTAAAAAAAATCACATACCAGATGGAGAGGGCTTGAATCAAATTGAAATTTCCAGTCTATTTTTCATACTCCCTAAGAGAATATAGAGTGACTGCATAATCAACATTGAAACATGAAGTAGAAACAACTTTTTAACCACATGGTTATTCTCATTGACCAAACCTACTCTGAGGAAAAGAGATTATTTCAAGATATTTAAATTCTCTTTTGGTCTTAAAAAACTATAGAAATTAACTTCTTATGAATAACCAGAAATCTATCCCTTTTTCTGCATTTAAAATGGTGTTTATAAAAATATTATAAGCCTTTGATGCATACGTGTTAAAAGTAATTTACTCTTTGTCTTTACACATGTACCCAGATAGAAAACTGATTTGGAGGTTTACTTACTCATTTCCAGTTTTCACACAGCCCTTCTGGTTTCAGTGTCATGCCTGTATTCTCTTTTTCAATCTTTCTTGAGTATTGGGACTGATGGCATGAATTAGACTGCTCTTTTATAGCTTCCTTCTCTGGTCCTCAGTCATTTGCTATTTACACACATTCCAGCTTTAAAAAATTTGTGATATATTTCATCTTCAGTCATTTCCTCTCTTGTTCTTATTAGTCCTTTTTGATTTATAATGCTTTTTCCATTTCATTGTCATTTTGTTGGTTTCAAAATGTAGATAACTTTCAATCATTTATGTTCAAGCAGATACAGGATGTCTGAATCCATTCCACCTCCTATTATACCCCTTTCCATTCTACTTCTCTGATACTATTGTTTTATGTTTAGCTCATTTTTGTTCAGTAAATGTTTCTTAGTAAGTATAGAGGATGGATTGGGGGTAATTGGATAAAGTAGGAAACCTGGAGTCAAGATTAGTTAAATATTCCAGATAGCCATTATAGCTTAGAAGAAATGATTGTCAGAACCAGGGCAGTGGTAATAGATACTGGGACAGAATAGAGAGAAATATTTAAAAGGTTGACAAAAACTGTCCAAACTTAATGACTGGATTAGTTATGGATAGGGAAGGAGAGAAAAAAATCTGTAGAATAACTCCGTGGTTCTTAGCTTAGATGTCAATATACATTATTTACATAGTTAATATTATGGTTAGGAACAAAGAAAGAGGGCCAGTTTTTGGTGTGCATGGTGGGATGGATGAATTTAGTTTGGTCCATATGGTGAAGTATCCATGGGACATTTAAGTAAATAAATCTGATGAGCTGCTGCATATATGGATCTAGAGCTCTAAAGAGGGATCATAGAGACACAAAATGACCACAGGGAAAACATGAAAAAAGATAGGATTATCCGAAGTCATTTATAGAGTGACAAATGAAGTGGGATCTGCATATAACAAGGCAGGGAACGTAATGTTATGGGATGAGAAAGGAAGGAATAATTTGTGATGGAAGCTACCAATAGAAGGTCAGGTAAGTAAGGAAAACTGTGAGGAAAAACTGTGAGGCACTAGTCTTATGGCTTAAGACGTAAGATTGGATCATGTATAAATGATTAGATCATTTATAAATGTAGCCAATAAGATAAGGACTAAAAACTATAAGGTTTCACAATTTTAGGTAACTGGTTTCTTTTATCACAGTATTTTCAGAAGAATGATTTTTTTTTTTCTTTGAGATGGAGTCTCACACTGTCACCAGGCTGGAGTGAAGTGGCACGCTCACTAACTGCAACTTCTGCCTCTTGGGTTCAAGCAATTCTCCTGCCTCAGCCTCTTGAATAGCTGAGACTGTAGGTTCGTGCCACCATGCCCAGCTAATTTTTGTATTTTTAGTAGAGACGGGGTTTCATCATGTTGGCCAGGATGATCTTGATTTCTTGACCTCGTGATCCACCCCTCTTGGCCTCCCAAAGTGCTGGGATTACAGGCATAAGCCAACGTGCCCAGCAAGAATGATTTTAATGACAGTCAGTGATGGTGGCTTGAGAACTGAAAAGGAAATGAAGAACTAATTTAATAAATAATTTGTTTAAAAATATTATTTGAGAAATGACAGGAGAAAAAGGATGGTTCCTGAATGTATATATACCTTGATATTGTTTGGGTGCAGGAAACAGAAACCAAGTCAGGATAACTAAAGCAAAAATGAAACTTAATGATTCATTGTCTATATTCTATTATAGAAAACAACTTTGACTTTTAGTTAAAATTTTAATATTACTCCCACCATCTGACTCTGGTGGTTATGAAGACCATATGTTCAATTAAAAATTTCTTTTCTGCCACGTGTGGTGGCTCATTCCTGTAATCCCAGCATTTGGGAGGCCAAGGTGGGCAGATCACAAGGTTAGGAGATCAAGACCATCCTAGCCAACGTGGTGAAACCCTGTCTCTACTAAAATACAAAAAATTAGCCGGGCATGGTGGCGTGCGCCTGTAGTCCCAGCTACTCAGGAGGCTGATGCAGGAGAATCGCTTGAACCTGGGAGGCAGAGGTTGCAGTGAGCCAAGATTGTGCCACCACACTCCAGCCTGGTGACAGAGCAAGACTCTGTCTTAAAAAGAAAAAAAAATTTTTTTCTTTATCTTTTTTTTACTTGTCCTCATAACCCCTGAGAAATTATTTTTCTCTATCTTTAGAATTGCTTGTTTATCATTCTGGGATTCCAAATTTCTATTAAATTTGCAATTCTTTGAAACCAATTATTTAGATTCATGATGGAATAGACCAAAAAGAACACATTCGTATGTAACTAAGATTATATACTCAAACCTTTTATTTTTTATGGAAATATTTTGGTATATTGCATCTGTTAATATCTGACTTTATAAGCAGAAAATATGGTACAAAATTTAATAATTTAAAAAATTACTCAGGATTATCATTGTGAATGCAACCAGAATAATAAATGAGACCTCTTTATTTATACCTTCAAATTTTTTTAGTATACTGAGGAATGTAAAAATGACATAAATTTGATTCCAGTACACCTTGAAACATAATCTACAACTTTACAGGTAAGGGAGTTAGTTGGCACAGCATTCTAAGGGTGTCTGTTTTTTTCTTTTAATTCCTAAAACCTAGGCTGATACTTCCTTCAACCATCTGTCCTCTCTATCCCACTCAATCCTCCAGCCTTTTTTTGTATTTCTTTATTTTCCTAAATTTCCCTTATTTGTCCCATTCATTCAACAAATACATATTGAGCACCTACCATGTGGCAGTCACATAGAGAATACAGATTTGAACAAGACAGATATGGTGCTTGCTTGTTGATATCTTACAAGCTATTGGGAAGAGTAGTGCAATAAATAGTCCTTGGTTGAATCTTATGTATTGCTGGCTATTGATATCTTTTCCTAGGGTAACTAAAGATTAAATGAGATATACATTACTTTGAACAGTGTCTGGTAAGTGCTCGGTAAAAACCATTATGGTTCTCAACATCCATGTAGGATTTCCAAATTCCATGGCCTGGTTTTCAATCTTTGCTGTTTCCCAGATACATTTTCTTTCCTTGGTCTCTTCTGCTGCCATGTTCCTGGAACCCTGTATGGAACTCTATCTCCGTAATAGGCTTATAACTCTTCACTTCCTTTAATTCACTTATAGAATCCACTCACAAAGAAGTATTAAAGAATGAAGTAGAGTTTGCTGAAGATGTCCTACCATAGGGAAGAGGTGGTACTGGTGTACCCTGTATCAAACGGTGTTTAAAGTGGCTGTTAGTCTCTTAGACATGTTTGTACAACACAGTGCTTATTTGGCCCTTTTCTCTTCCTCTTTAATCTCTTGACCAAAGTAATTTGAAATTCCTCTCCTTTTGTCATGCAGAGTAATTTAGTTATTTTTGCGTGCAATCCTTTTGATGGCTTCCTTTCAGTCTTAGGGTACATTTAAAAGTCCTTAACATGACCAAGACCCCATACGAATTGGCCCTGCCCACCTCTCCAGTTGTATTTTCTGCTACACTCCCTGCTGCTTGCTTTGCCCACCTCCAGCCCTAGTAACCTTTCTGTGTTCTTGGAATAAGCACAGCGCTGTCCTATCACAGTGCCTTAGCATATGCTACAAACATGACTTCATCCTTCCCAATCTGTCCTCTAGGCATCTTTCTCCTTCTCCTCCTTCAGGCTTCAGGGCATTTCATTTATCAGGTCCCTCCAACTCTGTGCTGTCTTTGTACTCCAGTCATCACTTTTACAAACTTTATCCTAATTTTAACTATTTTTCTTCAGTATCTGATTCCCCTACTAGGGTGAAAAGAGCAGGAGCCATACCTCTCTTGCTCGTTGCTGTATTACCATTATTTAGCACAACACATGCCACAAAAGGGGAGCTCACTGTACATTCTCAGGCCACATGAAATTTTCAAGTTATTCATGGTAAATCGTGGTTGGTTACTCTAAGGGAGGAAGAACTTAAGAAATTAAAAAGTTACCTTCTAACTTATCTTAAGATCCATAAACAATTGAAAAATAATTCCTGGTCTTTACGAAATGAAAAAAAGGGGGGAAAAAGCATTACATAGATGATTAATAGGATGAACAAAAAGTTCTCTGTAGATTTGAGGCTCTGTCTATGCTGAACTTGGACTTCTAAAGTTCAAAATGAGGAACTGTTTGCTGAAATGTGTCATCTGATTTCAATTGCTGTGGAAAGGGAGAGATGATCTCTAATATAGCCAGCTCCAATCTGTGTAGGGTGTTTGGGTCAAAATCAACATCTTGAGTTTCATTAGGGAGCACTTGCAGTGAGCCTTGCAGATGTAATTTGCTACATCCAGCCAACACCTCTGAGCAGATGGATTTCTACACTGTGCCTAAGAGAGGTTTGTTTTTTCTTCTTTGAATGAGTTGCCTGTGACTTTTATAAAATATTTTGACAGAAATGGAATATTGAGATCATTTATAAATTAAAACTTTGCTGTTGTTGGATTTAGTGAGTTTTAATAGAAACTGATGTGAAAATTATTTAGCATCTATGAAAAACACAGGGGCTGCTTTTCTATGTAATTCTTGTTCACCTTAGTGGTTTATATGTATTGTTCTATTTTAGGTTTTTTAAGTCATAGTTTTATAATCATAATTTCCACTTGTTCTGAAAGATGGTGATGTACTGTTACAATTATTTTCTTTCCAGTTTCACTTAGTGTGTTTGACTTTAATCCTCAAACCGTGTATGCAAATAGGATTCCTTGGGGAGAAAAGGAAGCTCAGAAACTAACTTCCAATTTGTTTTTGATGATGTTGTTTTTAAATAAATTTGTTGGGAACAATCGTGTATGTATTACTAGTAAAATTAAGCTGTTGCACTACCTAAATGTACTTAATATAATTGCTGTAGACATTATTCTTCTCTAAGTAGCTCACATTCAGCCTTCTTTATCATTTATTTAGTTAAGGGTTCTATAGCTTTTAAAGGCTGAAAAGGAAACTTACCCTATTTATTCCTTGCTTATCAATTTTGCATTTCCCAATCTCCTCCCTCTCCCCACCACACTTATTTTAAAAACCAAACCAATATGGCAGCCCTAATATGCTGTCATATTTTTCCTGATCACATTTTTAGACTATTTTTTTAAAGCAGTTTGAGTTTCATAGCAAAATTGAGAGGAGGAGACAGAAATAGTTCATATATCCCCTGCTCCTAAACCTGCGCAGCCTCTCCAATTCAGTACATTTGTTATAACTGATGAACCTACAGGGATACGTAATTGTCACCCAAAATCTGCAGTTTACTAGAGGACTCACTCTGGGTGTTTTGCATTCTGTGGACTTGGAGAAATATATAATGACATGTATCTGTCATCGTAGTATCATGCATAATATTTTTACTGCCCCCAAAACCTTCTGTGCTCAACATACTCATTTCTCAGCCCTTGCAAACACTGATATTTTCCCTGTCTCCATAGCTTTGCCTTTTTAAGAATGTCATATAATTGGCATCAAACAGTATATAACTTTTTCATATGGGATTCTTTGACATAGTAATATGCATTTTTGCTTCTTCCATGTCTTTCCATGGCTTGATAGCTTTTATTTTTTTGAGACAGGGTCTCATTCTGTCACCCAGGCTAGAGTGTAGTGGCACAATCATAGCTCACTGCAGCCTCAAACTCCTGTTCTCAAGTAATCCTCCTGAGGAGGACTATTTGCCACCTCACCTGGCTAAATTTTTTTGTTTTTAAATTTTTGTAGAGACAGGGTCTTGCTGTGTTGCAAAGGGTGGTCTCTAACTCCTGGTCTTAGGTGATCCTCCCACCTTGGCCTCCTAAAACACTGGGATTACAGGTGTGAGCAGCTGCACCTGGCTGATAGCTCATTTCTGTTGTGCTAATATTTAATTGTCTGGATGTACTAGAGTTTATCCATTCATGTGTAAATAGGCATCTTGGTTGCTTCCAAGTGTTGGCAATTTTAAATAAAGCCGCTATATACCTCCATCTGCAGGTTTTTGTGTGAACCTATGTTTTTGGCTTCTTTCGATAAATACTAAGGTACATGCATGACTGCCAGATCGTATGGTAAAAATGTTTAGTTCGGTAATATACCACCAGACTGTCTTCAAAGTGGCCATACAATTTTGCATTCCCACCAACAATGAGTGGGAATCCCTGTTGTTCCACATACTCACTAGCATTTGGTGTTCTGAATTTTGGCCATTCTGATAGGTATGTAGTGGTATCTAAATGCTGTTTAAATTTAGTTTCCTGATGACATGTTCTGTGAAGCATCTTTTTATACGCTTATTTGCCATCTGTATGTCTTTGATTGAGGGGTCTGTTAAGGTCTTTGGCCCATTTTTAAAAATAGGCTTTTTAAATTGTTGAGTTTTCTTTGTATATTTTGGATAACAGTCCCCTATCAGATGTTTTGTCAGATATTTTCTCCCAGTTTTGCTTTTCTTTTTGTTCTCTTGAGTGTTTTTGTTTGCAGAAATTTTTAATTTTAGTAAAGTCCAGCTTATCAGTTCTTTCTTTAATGGATCAAGCATTTGGTGTTAGGTGTAAAAAGTCATCAAAAAGTCAGGGTTATCTAGATTTCCTCCTGTTATCTTTTAGGAGTTTTATAGTTTTGTGTTTTGCATTAGGTCTTGTATTAGTTTGTTCTTGCATTGCTATAAAGAAATACCTGAGACTGGGTAATTTATAAAGAAAAGAGGTTTAATTTGCTCACAGTTCTGCAGGCTGTACAGGAAGCGTGGTGGCATCTGCTTGGCTTCTGGGGAGGCCTCAGGAAACTTACAATTATGGCAGAAGACAAAGGGAGAGCCAGCACTTCACATGGCTGGAGCAAGAGGAAGAGAGGGAGGGTTGGGGAGGTTTCACACACTTAAACAGCCAGCTCTTACTGAAGTATAATTTATATAATGTAACATTAAATTTATTAAGATGTATAACCATCATCATAATAAAGTTTTAGAACATTTCCATTATCCCAAAAGTTTTCTTGTGTCCATTTGTAGTTGATCCCTGCTCCTACCTACAGCCCTAGGCAACCCTGATCTGCTTTCTGTCCCTATAAATTTGCCTTTTCTGGACATTTTAATACACTGGAATCATACAATATATAGTCTTTTGCATCTGGCTTCTTTCACTTGGTGTAACATTTTGGTGTTCTTCCATGATGTAGCATATATCAGTAGTGTTCCTTTTTATTGCTGAGGAGCATTCCATTGTATGATTATGCTACATTTTATCAATTCACCAGTTGATATGTACTTCTACTTTTTGCCTACAGTGAATAATGCTGTTATGTACATTTAGGTACATGTATTTGTATGGACAGATGTTGTAACTGATCATTGATAGAGTCTTTAGAGTGGAATTTTTGGGTTGAATGGTAAATTTATGTTGAACAGTTCAAGAAACTCCCAAATCACTTTCTAAGTGGTTATACCGTTTTACATTCTTGTGATCGATTTGTTAGGGTTAGCGTAGCTGTGGGTTTTTCAGAGATGCCCATCATCATTTTGAGAATGATCCATTTTATTCCTAGTTTACTGAGACCTTGAATTTATTTATTTTTTTGAGGCAGAGTCTCACTCTGTCTCCCAGACTGGAGTGTAGTGGCACAATCTCGGCTCACTGCAACCTCTGCCTCCTGGGTTCAAGTGATTCTCGTGCCTCAGCCTCCTGAGTAGCTGGGATTACAGGCGTGCACCACTATGCCCAGCTAATTTTTGTATTTTTATTAGAGACAGCGTTTCACCATCTTGGCCAGGTTTGTTTTGAACTCCTGACCTCAAGTGATCTGCCCACCTTGGCCTCCTCAAGTGCTGGGATTACAGGTGTGAGCCACCGCACCAGCCATTTTATTGAAACCTTTTAAAAAATCATGAATTGCTTGTTGATTTTATGAAATAGTTTTTTGAATATATTGACATCATGTGGTTTCTATACTTTATGCTGTTACTATTGTGTATTAAACAATTCTATATAATTCTTATGTATAATTAATAATCATGTGAACCTAGTATTTCTCAAATGTATCCCATTTGGTCATAGGGTGTTATCCTCTTTATATGGTGCTGGATATGATTTGCTAAATTTTTAAAGGATTTCTGTATCCATGCTTATTGAGGGGTTTTAGTCTGTAGATTTCTTGTAGTGACTTTGTCTGCTTTTCATATCAAGTTAATGCTAGCCTCAAAGAATGAGTTGGGAAGTCTTTCATTCTGTCCTGTTTTTGTAAGTGTGTATTAGGGATTGACATTCTTTCCTTAAATGTTTGATACAGTTTACCAGTGAAGCCATGTGGAATTGGTAGAACTTTTTTGATGGAAAGTTTTTAAATTAATAATTTAATTTCTTTGTTATAGGTCTATACAGATTTTCTTCCTTCTTTAGTCAGTTATGGTAAGTTGTATCTTTCTTTTTTTTTTTTTTCTTTTGAGACAGAATCTCACTCTGTCGCCCAGGCTGGAGTGCAGTGGTGTGATTTCAGCTCACTGCAATCTCTGCCTCCCGGGTTCAAGCCATTCTCCCGCCTCAGCCTCCTGAGTAGCCACGATCACAGGCGCCCACCAACATGCCCGGCTAACATTTTTATTTTTAGTAGAGTTGGGGTTTCACCTTATTGACCAGGCTGGTCTTGAACTCCTGACTACAGATGGTCCGCCCGCTTTGGCCTCCCTAAGTGCTGGGATTACAGGCATGAGCCACTGCGCCCAGCCAGTAATTTGTATCTTTCTAGACAGTTATGTATTCATCTTGAGTTATCTAATTTGTTGGCATAAAGCTGTTCTTAACATTCCCTTTTAATCTCTTTTATTTTTGGTGAGTTAATAGTGATATTCTCTCATTCCTCATTCTGGTAATTGTGACTTATCCCTTTTTTCTGGGTTAAGCTAAAGGATTGTCAGTTTGATAATCTGTTAGAAATAATTTTTAATTTCGTTGATTTTTTTCTATCTTTTTTTTCATTTCATTGATTTCAGCTCCAATCTTTACTATTTTCTTTTTTTAATAGCTTTGTGTTTAGTTTTATCTTATTATTTCTCATCTTAACGCTAAAACTTAGATTATTGATTTGAGAAATTTATTCCTGTATGATGTGGGCATTTAATGCTATAAATGTCTTTTTAACCACTACTGAAGCTGCATCCCAGAAATTGTGATATGTTTACATTTTTTATTTTCTTTAAAGTGTTCTGTTATTTTCCTTATGATTTCTTCTTTGGGCCCTGGGTTATTTAGAAATATGTTGTTTAACTTCCAAATATTTTACAATTTCATAGATTTCTTTTTGTTGCTGATTTCTTTTTTTTATATATATACTTTAAGTTTTAGGGTACATGTGCACAACGTGCAGGTTTGTTACATATGTATACATGTGCCATGTTGGTGTGCTGCACCCATTAACTGGTCATTTAACATTAGTTATATCTCCCAATGCTATCCCCCCCCCCTCCCCCCAACCCCACAACAGGCCCCGGTGTGTGATGTTCCCCTTCCTGTGTCCATGTGTTCTCATTGTTCAATTCCCACCTATGAGTGAGAACATGCGGTGTTTGGTTTTTTGTCCTTGTGATAGTTTGCTGAGAATGATGGTTTCCAGCTTCATCCATGTCCCTGCAAAGGACATGAACTCATCATTTTTTATGGCTGCATAGTATTCCATGGTGTATATGTGCCACATTTTCTTAATCCAGTCTATCGTTGTTGGACATTTCGTTTGGTTCCAAGTCTTTGCTATTGCGAATAGTGCCGCTATAAACATACGTGTGGCCTGTGTCTTTATAGCAGCATGATTTATAATCCTTTGGGTATATACCCAGTAATGGGATGGCTGGGTCAAATGGTATTTCTAGTTCTTGATCCCTGAGGAATCGCCACACTGACTTCCACAATGGTTGAACTAGTTTACAGTCCCACCAACAGTGTAAAAGTGTTCCTATTTCTCCACATCCTCTCCAGCACCTGTTGTTTCCTGACTTTTTAATGATTGCCATTCTAACTGGTGTGAGATGGTATCTCATTGTGGTTTTGATTTGCACTTCTCTGATGGCCAGTGATGATGAGCATGTTTTCATGTGTCTTTTGGCTGCATAAATGTCTTCTTTTGAGAAGTGTCTGTTCATATCCTTCGCCCACTTTTTGATGGGGTTGTTTGTTTTTTTATTGTAAATTTGTTTGAGTTCATTGTAGATTCTGGATATTAGCCCTTTGTCAGATGAGTAGATTGCAAAAATTTTCTCCCATGTTGTAGGTTGCCTGTTCACTCTGATGGTAGTTTCTTTTGCAGTGCAGAAGCTCTTTAGTTTAATTAGATCCCATTTGTCAATTTTGGCTTTTGTTGCCATTGCTTTTGGTGTTTTAGTCATGAAGTCCTTGCCCATGCCCATGTCCTGAATGGTATTGCCTAGGTTTTCTTCTAGGGTTTTTATGGTTTTAGGTCTAACATTTAAGTCCATTGTGGTCAGATAATATACTTTGTATGATGGTCATTCTTTTAAATTTATTAAGACTTTTTTTAACGTCTAGCATATGGTCTGTTTGGGAGATTGTTGCGTAGGCACTTGAACGTGTATTCTGCAATTCTTGGCTGCAGCATTCTATTAATATATATGCCAGTTACGTTGAGTTGGTTGATAATCCTGTTCATTTCTTCTATCACCTTATTGAGTTTCTGTCTAATTATTCTATCAATTATGGAGAGCAGGGTATTGAAATCTTCAAGTGTTATTTTTTAGTTGTCTATTTTAGCATTTAAATTCTGTCAGTTTTTGGTTCATGTACAGTCATGAGTCACTTAACAATATGTTCTGAGAAATGCATCATTATGCAATTTCCTTGTTGTGCAAACATCATAGAATATACATATACAAAGCTAGATAACATAGCCTACTCTACATTTAGGCTATAGCCCATCTGTGGTATAACATATTGCTCTTAGGCTACAAACCTGTACAGAATGGAACTGTACTGAATACTGTAGGCAATTGTAAGTTTTGGTAAGTATTAATTGTTAATAATGGTAAGTATTTTTTATTTTATCTCAAACATATCTAAACATAGAAAAGGCACAATAGAAGTATGGTATTAGAATCATATGGGACCACCATTGTGTATGCAGTCTGTCATTAAGTGAAACATTGTTATGTAGCTCATGATGTATTTTGAGATTCTGTTGTTAGATGTATATGTACCTATAGTTGTTAGGTTTTACTAAAAAGTTGACCCTGTTTATTATTATGCAATATCTGTCTCTGTAATATTTCTTGTCTTAAATCAGTTTTTATCTGTTATTAATTATAGCTACTTCAGCTTTCTTATGGTTGTGGTTTAATAGTATACCTTTTTCCAGCTTTTTACGTTAAACTTACTTTTGGTTTTGAATGAAAGTGTTTCTAGTTTAAACAGTATTTTGTTAATCTTGCTATTTAATGCAGTCTGACAATCTCTGATTTTTAAATGGGGCTTTTAACATTTCCATTTAGTGTAATAATAATATATTTGAACTCACTTGGTAATTTGCTATTTGTTGTCTGTTGTTCCTGTCTTTTTTGTTACTCTGTTCCCCTTTTACTACTTTATGTGCTTTATATCTGTATTTTAGTGTACCATTTAATTTTCTCTATTCATTTTTGTACTATGTATATTTTCAATGGTGGCTCTCGGAGCTGTATTATGATTTGAATTTACATTCTACCTCAGTTAAGCTCCTAAATTAATTCTGGTAAATTATGGAAAATTTGTTCTAATTTATATCTAATCTTTATCCCCCTTATTGACACATATATCTACATATAATATAACCCAATGTTACAGTTACAGTGTTATAATTATTGTTGTATATATTCAGTAGCATTTTCAAGTACTTAAGAGAAGAAATGATGAATACTATATCTGTAGAGTCTTTCATATAACCCACATATTTGTCATACCCAGTGCTCTTCATTTCTTTCTGTACATTGGAGTTAACACCTGAAAGATTGCAGGACAAGGTATTTCTGGTAAGGAAGGTCTGCCACCATTGAATAATCTGAGTGCCTGTTTACGAGAGAACATCTTTGTTTCACTTTTAGTTTTGAAGGATAGTTTTGCTGGGTATAAAATTATTGGTTGACTGTTTTGTTTTTTTTTTCTTCCTTGGTAGTGTTATCAGTTTCCACTGATAGTGTTGCTGAGTGTGGACATTGTTCACCACTCCAAATCAAGTGACCTCTCTTTGATCATGGCAGCAATGCCACCAGTCCTCATAGTTGTGCTAGTGGAACCTCCTCTGTGGTAGAGATAGAAATGACTTCATGCAAGAACATCACAGATTCTCACTCTTCGTATCCTAAGTTCAACAGTTCTTCAAGCATAAATGCTTTTCTCATTCTTTCAATCCCAGAGTGCTGAAATGGTTGTGTTTTTTGTTAAATGTTGTATCAACTGTATCTAGCTTTGCAGTTTATTTTTGGAAAGAGGATTTTAAAAAACCTCCTTATTTGGCCATAACTGCAAGTCTAACCCAAATCCTCTTCTTTTCTCAAGCTACTTCATGTATTACTAGTTTTTTTTTTTAAATATTTAGCCTGGAAATGATTGCATTTCACTATCTCCTTAGATTGGCCCCATTACGAGTAAGGAAATGCAATGCATTATGACCTATGCAGAAAGAATTACTGGTGACTGCTTTATACTTAAGACAACTGTGAGTGTGGTAGACAGTTTGTGCAATAAATAGCACAAATGTATGATTACATACTCTCTCAGATTTTCATTTTCATGAAATGAAGTTCAGCTTTGAATCATTCCAGCTCTTTGACATCTGAGCTTTTCTTCTTACATTCCTGACAATATTTAGGAAAATTACTTGTGACTTTCATTAATGATCTTGCAAGCTTTTCTAACTTATTTAATGTCTTTGCATTCCTTATAGTAGCTAGATAAATTTTTTTTTACCGATTTCTTTAAGGTTATCTAATTGTTTTCCCTACTTAACAGGCAACATTCATATTACTTTAATGGAAGTCAGTGAAAGCATTGACAATTTCTCATCCAGACCCATCACATTCCTAATAAAGAGCCTTTGCAATTCTCCTAGAATGTTTCTCTTCCAAATAGTCCCACAGCTCACTCTCTGAAGAATTACACTTTTTCAGAAAGGCCTTACTGGAGTATCCTATTTTAAAATGACACCACCATCAGCTAGTGTCCCATTACTCTGCTAATTGTTCTCCAGAGCTTTTATCAACATTGACATAAACTAAATATCAGTTAATAGTTGGTTATCTTTCTTTCTACCACTAGAATGCAAGCTCTATGAAAACAATGAGTACGTATTGCTCAGTGCTCTGTCCCTAGATCCTAGAATGAGGTCACATAATTTTAGCTCAGAATATTGGTTCAACAAAAGAATCTGCCTTACTAGAAGCAATCTTTATACTGCTGCCAATGCTTAAGACCCAGCCGTTTTTACTCATTCATTCCCCTCCCTCCCTTCCTTCCTTCCTTTCTTCCTTCCTTCCTTCCAACTTCCTTCCTTCCTTTCCTAACTCTCCCTTCCTCCCTCCCTTTCTCCCTCCCTCCCTCCCTCCATCTCTTCCTTTTGTGTACTGTATGCTATGCACTGTGTTTTTAGAGAACTTGCTTATAAACTCTTTATTTTCTCCATGGTGGCATGTAAGAATATCAAGATATCTTTTCATCTTGTCCAATCAAGATAACAAACTTTTTGGTTGTCAAATCGATTAGAACTTTTTTTTTATTCTTGACATCATTGGTTGATTCCTTCTTAAATACCTTTCTAACTTCTGGATAACCACTCTCTTTTGGTTTTCTGTGGATCTTGGCCATTCTTTCTGAACGTTCTTCATGGGCTGTTTTTCCCTTTCCTCTACCTTTCTCTTAAATACAGGTATTCTTCCTATGTACAGCTTTCCTAAACTTTAGCTATCATCTTTCACTGATAGTTTACAGATCTCTAAGATTTTCACATACCTGACTTCTTTGTTCCTTTCTTATATGCCCAGATACCCATTTTAGCTATACCTATATTAATGTTAAGGATTGAATATTTGTGTTCCCTCAAATTCATATGTTGAGCCCTTAACATCCAATGTGATGTTTATGAGGTGGGGCATTTAGGAGGTAATTAGGTTTCTGTGACATCATGAGGTTGGAGCCAGTGGGATTAGTACCTTAAGATGAAGAGGAAGAAATACCAGAGCTTCCTCTCTCTTGGTCGTGTGAGAACATGGCAAGAAGGTTATCTAATTGTTTTCCAGCCTCAAAGAGTGTTCTTACCAGGAACCAGATCTGCCAGCACCTTGATACTAGAACTCCCAGAGCTCTTAGAGATGGATGTCTATTGTTTAAGCCACTAGTCTATGGTATTGTGTTATAACAGCCTATGCTGACCAAGACAGCTATCCATTCCATGGCACTGATGTTACCGATAGGATCTTGTCTTATAGAGAGTAGTAGGAGTCTTCAATACCAATTTACCCTAAGTCACACACTGTTATAATATTCACATTTTTAGCAAAACTATAGGGTAACTACTAATACCTTTGTTGTTGGAAGGGCAATGCTATTCTTTTCAGTCCCTTCTTCTTTTAAAAGCAGTGATTATTCTAGTTTTGCATTGTTTACAATTGAAATAATGTTTTAGAGAATCTTAGAGTATTATATTTCTTTATGAATAATGAAATGTTGACAAACAAGTCACGATTAATCCAGTAGTGACTTTCAGAAGTAAATAATAGTTTTATTAGTAACATAGATTTCTATATGTAAAATGTTTTTCACAAATTTGAAATCAATTATCTCTTAATACTATTATCATTATTATTACATTTTGTACATGCAGTTCATTTCACATTTCCTAACACAAAACAGTATTCCAAATGTAGAATTTTAGTTACAGAGCAAATAAAACTGAAGGTTGCTCATTTTCATTTCCTTTCTTTCTATGCCTTTCAACTGTCTTCCTCTTCTATGAAGATGGACTAGATATCATTTATAATGTCTTGATTTTCTTTAAAGTACCTATTACTTAAATTAACATCACTTAGAATTAATAAACACTTTATCTTTAACTGTCTATTTTATTTTATTTTAAGATGGAGTTTCGCTCTTGTTGCCCAGGCTGGAGTGCAGTGGCATGATCTCGGTTCACTGGAGCCTCCGCCTCCCGAGTTTAAGCAATTCTCCTGCCTCAGCCTCCCAAGTAGCTGGGATTACAGGCGTGCACCACCATGTCTGGCTAATTTTTTTGTATTTTTAGTAGAGACAGGGTTTCTCCATGTTGGTCAGGCTGGTCTTGAACTCTCGACCTCAGGTGATCTGCCCACTTCGGCCTCCCAAAGTGTTGGTATTACAAGCATGAGCCACCGCTCCAGGCCTTAACTGTCTTTAAATAAGTTAAATGCTAACTAGTTTGGAGTAATAAACACTCTCAGCAATTTTGGCCTATTTATGTTTGTAGTACATCTTTCTCTCGAGTGTTATACTCACAATAGGTGGTAGAATGTTCCTGGTTATACTGGTTCATATTTGAAATACAGACCTGCCTGAGTCATACTGGTTTTTTGAATGTAAGAGAAAAAACTGGGAGAAGAGGAAGGCATTTT